>NC_000013.11:101877979-102502979 GCF_000001405.40 Homo sapiens
GTGGTCTTCCCACCTGCAGTTTTCCTTTTCAAATCCTTCATGTCTGGAAATATGCAGTGACTCTTCACCATCCACTGAGTTACGTATGCACCTTACCGCAGTAAGGCCCTATCTTATCTGATGGCTCTGCTCACTATAGCCCTTATCCATCCCCTGCAAGTAGCCTCACCTGGGTCACTGTGGGTTACCTATAAATATTCCATAATTTCCCACATCTATCCTGTTCCCTTAACCTTATCTGTCTCAAATATGGCCACCTGCATTAAAATGCCCCTTTGCACATCTGTGTAGGCATGCACCCACATGCACACACCTTTGCAGAGCTGCCTCCTTTTCCTCCTCCCCACTCTGGTTCTATCAACACGTCCATTTCCTCAAGAGCACTTTCCTGAAACTTCAGATGACATCAAATTCTTCCTTTGGACAATTTTATGGTAATTTTATGGTATCATAGGTGAATGTGTAGCAATTTATGTGTTCCTGGTTAAGTAGATTTATAAGTTATATTATCTAGTTTACCTAAAGTTAGAATAGTTTAGGGGGAAAAATCCCATAGAGAGAATAAGGATTAGAGGTGATACGAATAAAATAAGCTAAAATAAACACAAAACAAATAACAAAGATGAGATTTTTCTTTTACATGGATTTTGTGGTTAAAAACAAGTATAGAAACTAGTAACAAAAACAAATGATGATCTATTGAAATCTAACATGAAATTAGCCAAAAGAGTTTGAAAATGTAAAGACAATCTGAAATATAGTTACTAGGATAAAAAATGAAACTTCATCCTAAATGCACATACCTTCAGATATAAAAGTGTGGAAATATTACATGTGTAAGACAAACATGTATTAATGTAATATGTAAAAATACATGTAATATGTAAAAAAATGCTCATTTTTTTCAATAAACTGATAGAATAAGAAGGCTTGCATGATATTTTTCTAGTAAACGTTAAATATAAGGCCTACAAGTATTTTTGTTTTAAATACTGATGTATCCCAAAGTCTTACAATACAGATTCCCAATGAATAATTGAAAAATAAATATCTAAAGTCCTACACCTATATTTTAGCTAGCCATGCAAAAATGCAAAATACTTTTTAACTCATAAAATTATTAGTTCTTTATTCTCTTCTGAAACATTCGTGTTCAGAATACCTACTCTGCTTAAGAAAATATAAAAACTTAGAATCTCTTCTTTGCCTGTCTTAATTCCCCTTTTCCTCCAGTTTTGTCTTTTATTTTCTATTTAGTGTGCCTGATAATTTTACTAAAAACGTTTTGAAGATACTCCTTGCACAAAACTCTGTGCTAACAATGATCTGTGATATTAAAATAGAAATAATGAAAACTAATGTGCATACATATCAAGAAAAAAAGATGTTTCATAATATATTACCCTCAACACTCAGAACTGAAAGAAATGCAAATCAGTCCGACTGCCTTCAGATTCAGGGGAAAAATACACAACATTTTTAATTAAAACACTCATTCTCTTAGAAATGAGTTCAATTAAATTAAACACCGTCATAAATGGTTTTCATGCAATGGGAAGACTGGCGAAAGAAGAATCAGGATAACCAATCAAATGGTGTACTTATTTTAAATTATGATTTAAATGGAAAAATGTACACTATGACATATGTTTTTCTGTAGCAAATACATTAATGTATATACATCATACGAACTATGTTTATATACACATAAATCTCAGTACTAATTGGTTATCAGTATAGGTTCTTAAACGTAAGTTCTCTTCTATTAGCTATGGAAAAAATCACACATTTTTATAGGGTAAAAACAACTTTTGTAATGTACATTTTTGCAGAAAAAAATGTGGCAGATCTAATTAGATTTTGGCACTCCCAGTAGCAGAAAATAGTATTTGAATAATTTGCTTAAAGATATATATTATCATATAATCCAACCACAAAAATAAACTGTGTCCAGGAACTTTTCCAAAGGACTGAGAAAATAAAGGTGGGATAGGGACACTAAGGAAAATGATAGATAAAATTAAAGGCATGGGAAAATTTGCTATCTTTGTTTATCCCTTAAGATTACATTGAATTTCCTTTATGGATTGACCCAATGCTACCTCGAGAACCCCTTCCCTCTAGGAACCTGGTTCCAGTTACTTCAGAGTGATTACCCAACTCACGGTCCCATTCCAATGTACTATTATGTGTGTTAAATTTTAACACTTCTTCCACAGGCTAGAATAGCTCTCCACCACTTCTCTGCCTATCAGAATCCTATGTCTGCAGGCACTAGAGATAGCATCTGGCATTAACAACAAACAGGCCAGGCACAGTGGCTCACGCCTGTAATCCCAGCACTTTGGGAGGCTGAGGTGGGCAGATCACCTGAGTTCAGGAGTTCGAGACCAGCCTGACCAACATGGAGAAACCCCATCTCTACTAAAAATACAAAATTAGCCGGGCATGGTGGCACACGCTTGTAATCCCAGCTATTCTGGAGGCTGAGGCATGAGAATCGCTTGAACCCGGGAGGCAGAGATTGTGGTGAGCTGAGCGCACCATTGCACTCTAGCCTGGGCAACAAGAGCAAAACTCCATCTCAAAAACAAACTAACAACAACAAAAATAAACAAATGAAAAACCCAAACAGCTCTTGCCCTCAAAGAGTTTGCTGTTTATTGAGGAGAGGAAAGAAACTATAATATGGCTTTATATCAATCAGCCATGTGTTAAATTAGCGGGTTTGCATGTCTTTCTGCTCTGCAAATAAATGATAAATCCCTTGATAATTTGCATATTACTCAAAATAACCTACCACGGTGCTTGCCACAGAACAGATGCTCAAATAGTATTTATTGAACCGAATTCACTTTCTGTTTTGTTTTTAAAGTGGCTATATATCTATAAATGGTTTTTGAGGCAAAATGAATTTTTTATATTGTATTTAAGAGTTGGAGAAAAGCATGCTTGAGCTAAAGATAAATGTGGGTTTTGAAACGGAAACACAAATAATTTTAAGCTTTTTAACTACTGTAGCTAAAACATTTCCTCTAGGTAAAGTATATTAAGAGAATGACTATGGGCAAAGACTTTTTCTAGGGGAAAATGTTTGAAGAGATCATTAAAGGGAAGGGAGACTGTAAGAATCCTGCTTAATACTTGACCCTTATCTCCAAGGAACAGACTTAACAGGAGTATCTTGGGATTCCTAGCCCAGGGTTGAACTCTCACTAGCTTTTTGAATATCCAGTGTATATAAACTACAGAAGGAAGGAAATCTTTGGAACTCAGAAAAGCACTCTTTCCAACACTATTTTCTAATGAAATTTTCTCATTGCAAAGTTCTAACATATTAGAAACACATTGGAGCTCTCATGGCCCACACAATCCAGAAATGGACAATAAAATGGCCAAAATATCAAATCTATTGTCCCACCTTATTTATTCATCACATACAAAGATGAATAATTGTATGATAAAACATCGTGTGCTTTGGCCTACTAATTTATTATTTTTAAGTTGTAATTACATATTTTCCAAATTAAATCCTAAATATCAATTATGTAATTGCAAAATACAATCAGCAAAATTCTTGTGCATATTTAAGTAAGAAAAGAAAGAAAAGCACGTATCTTTTGGTGATAACATTTGGGATCCAAGTCAATCCATCACTTACAATCACATCTAGAAAAAGCTTTCCTGATTCTATATTGTGCCAGGAATTCCTGATTTGTGAATGATTTCATTTGCTCCTTCCCAGAACACAAGCGCACCAGCAAAGAAGCTGTATGCTCTGTCTGAGGTGCTGGTGTGTCGCTCAAGTGCCGGCTGTGGCACTGACAGATGTGGGTGTGTTACTCATCTTCAGACTCCTTGTTAATATGTCAATGACACCAAACACTAAAAGACACTTATGGTACTTTCAGGAACTTTTATGTATCCTTCTATTAACATAAACATTAGTAAGGACTACACTGCCAGCTGAGAGAGTACATATGTCCCAGATTATGAAGCAAAGAGGATTTTATGTAAGTTCTTAAATGCTATTGTCATCTAAAGAGGGAAATATGAGATAATTCAGTTTAATTGTTATCTAAATACTATTCTTTTTTTAACTGTAGATACAGTATTATGTTAAATTTAATACACAGATTTAACATATTCAGCTAAAACACTACGCAGAATGATTCACTTCTCCTTTCGGAAACTAGAAATAGGATTCCCTAAATTTAAAGAATCTGAAGAAAAACTGCTGCTTGATTCATTCACAGAATTTTCCACAGCCAGTTAAACCTATAGCAGACCGTATTAATTTGTTCTTCAGCTGCCATTACATTGTCTGAAATACAGAATTAGCATGACAAAAAGTAGATGTTAAAGAACCAAAGACATCTGTCGAAAAAAAAATGCATTTTTATGTAACAAAATTCAGAATCAAAAGCCTTTCAGGGAAAGTTATATTGCATCAGGATATTGCATTAACCATGAAAACAAGAATTACACCAGATGTGCAGTTTTATCTATTTCTTCAGATAAATAGTAGAGCAGTAAACTGGGAACTTTGTCTGAAAAAAATATATTTTCTGTTTTTTTTTTTTATACATTTGCTTTAGAGCCAGGAAGCATTTCTTTAAATGTTTTATGTTAAAAAAATAAGCAGTGGGTGAATTTAAGAAAATAACTGCACATGGCAAGGACTGATCTATTCATCCTCCAGAGTTGAGGCTCATATATTTAAGAAGTAACATTTTGGAGCAAGAATATCACTCATCTTGTCTGTTCATATCTAGAACTATTTAGAGACCTCCACCTAATGGGTAGATAGTTGGAAATGATAGTGATAAACACTTTAAAGCTACTTCCATTTAAAGAAAGGTACAAACATCTGAGCTCTGTTCCCTTCTGAGTTTCTTTTCCAGACATTTGTCTTCTAGCTGCTTCTGGGAGGAGATGGGAGTGATAAAATTTTTTTTTTATTAATAATCCTCTCTACAGAATCTCCCAAACAGCAAGGGAAGGAGAAGAAAAGAGGCGGCATTCAGAGATACGATACCTATGAATCCAAGTAGACATCTACACTTTTAACCAGACAGGAAAAACATTTAAACCAGATGTTATGTACAGAAAGAAAGAAAAGAATACTCCTGGAAATCAGTGTGAAAATTTCATGAAGGATACTGTAGCATTTGCTCTTGAATTCAGTTGCAACCAGTTATATGCATCTCTAAAACCCAAAGTTTCTCCTTATTTTATCACCAGGAAGTGATGCCTCTTGACCATTTTTATTTATTAAGGCTTAAAATTTTAGAAAGGCAGTTCATAACATCACCCTTAATCAATCTTACAGACACATCTATCTCTAGAATTCTGCAACACAGCCACAGAAATACAACATTTTACATTGGAAAACAGGAGGAGAAATCCTTTCTATGTTTTGTTTAAGCATGTTTTCAAATGCCAAGATATTTAACTTGCTCCTTTAGGAGGCATTTACTGTGAATCTACTTTGTTCCAAGCGTTTTGTTAGGAGCTGAGAGGAATTTACAACCAAAGCAGATTGCTGTCAATTGTCCACATCATCATTAAACCAATAGCATGATGTGAGTCCTAAAACAATGAGGCTGTATAAACAGAAAGGTAATATCCAGCGCTAATGATAACAATAGTAAGAATAATAGCTATCATTTCCTGAGCATACACTTTGGGCCAGAAACGACTCTAAGTGCTCTTCTTAAAAATACTAACTCATTTAATATGCATAGCGACTTTTTGAGCTAGGTAGCATTATTATCCTCACTTTAAAGATAAGAAAATGAGGCCAGGTATGGTGGCTCACACCTGTAATCCCAGCACTTTGGGAGGCAGAGGCTGGCGGATCACCTGAGGTCAGGAGTTCAACACCAGCTTGGCCTACATGGTGAAACTCCATCTCTACTATAAATGCAAAAATTAGCCGGGTGTGGTGGCATGTGCCTGTAATCCCAGCTACTCTGGAGGCTGAAGCAGGAGAATCAATTGAACCTGGGAGGCGGAGGTTGCAGTGAGCCCAGATCGCACCACTGCACTCCAGCCTGGGCAACAGAGTAAGACTCCATCTCAAAAAAAAAAAAAAAAAAAAAAAAAGACAAGGAAATGGAGGCAGAGAGTCACTATATGATGTGTGCAAGAGCAACACAAAAAGGAAATGATGGCGTGAATGTGAAAGCCTCTGTGATCTGGCCTCTCACGCTGCCCAGGTACCACTCAGCTGTGCTCTAGGTGGACATCCCAGTGTTCTCAGACCACCCCTGATACAAACACACAGTGAAGGGGCACTGACAGATGAGAGGAGAGTGACAGACAGGGTGGGCCTGGGGAAAACCGTGTAAGAAAATGTTTAATCTGAAGATGATGACATGTCATTTTCAACAATTTGTGGGGCTGTCACAAAAACAGGGAATGGAATGATTTAGTTTTGCCTCAGAAGACAGAATTAGGACAAATAAGTAGAGTGACACCAAGATGGAACATAAATAAGGGCAGTGGTTGCTGTCCCTTTGGTCACTGCTAGATTCCAGGTGCCTAGAACAGAGCCTGTCATATAGTAGGTGCTCAATAAATACATCATTAATATATGAATAAATACATCCAAAAGGACAATGAAATGTCCAATACTCCTAGCTATCCTGTGTAAGAATCAACTCTCCCACAAAGTAATGCATTCCCTGTCGCTGAAAGTGTTCAAGCAGTTGGATGGTCATTTGCTACAGGAACTGGGAAGGGAATTGCTGCTTTGAAAAAAATCTTGAGAAAAAAAGCATACCTTATTTAAACGGTGGAAATGTATTATCATTTAAAAAGCACTAGTTTAGGATCCCTGTCTCCCTGCCTAATCTTGACCAAACACACACACAGACACATACATACACACACACACACACACACACACAGAGTAAAGTATGGCAAACGCTGCCCCTTTCTTCTTAGGGGCTTGACTATGAATAATTAGTAAGTGAGGAAGGGTGGACATGAGTGAAGGAATGGAGAGGAGAAAAGGAAACAGTTTCTTATAAAATTGTTAAAAGAAAACAGACAGACCTTGCTTATTAGAGCAAAAGTTTAAAAACATGGAAACCTATTGCAGTCAAAAGTTTGAGAATGTTTTGATACTTCATAAAGCAAACTGTGAGATGTGGAGTTGCACGCAGTCCAGGGCTATTTTAGAGGTAGTTTGAGCTGGAAGAACATTTGCACTAGAGCATGGATTCAACTTTCTTTTCATATTTTTTGCATTTCAGTTGTTTTCTTTCAATTTTAATTTGACTCTATTTCACAAATATAGTTACATAGTCATAGTGTCCTAATTTAACAAGCAATCCCACTGTGTGGACATGTTTTCAGGGTGGAGGGTGGGAGGGAGGAAGAGAAAGAGGCGAGGTGATTCAGAAACAGATCCTCTTTCCACTTTCCCCCGACTCTCCCAAATGTACATTTAAGTCCTTCACTTTAATTGGATTTATGGTTTGTAGCTTTGGCATCAGAGCCATACTTTTAATTTCTAAAAAAAGAAAATGCTGGGAAAGGCACTACTCAGCGCACATTTTGGCACACTCCTTTCGAATGGCATAGGTAGCCACTGAATTCCTTATCCCTAGGGGTTCTATATTTTTACATTCATGCTTCTTGCTCAGTACATGAAGTTTCCCTTTACCCAAAAGCCTTTTTTTGTGTGTGTAACTGATGTGGCACAGGCCTCTGAAAAAAAAAAAAAAAACTGCAGGGTCCTGGAGAACCATAGGCCAGAGAAACCTGGAGCTGCAAAGAAGGACAAGATCTGGAAGGTTTGCAGCTAGCCCTCAATGAACCAGGTTTCAAGTGAATGCCATGAGGAAACTGAAAGTCAAAACTTTAAAATACCACACTCAGGAACACCACCTAACTATCATATTCCCATGCCTGTTTTTGGTTTCCTTTAATTTTATAGTACAGCTTTGCAGGGGATAGAAAACCTAATATTTCAAACCAGTTTTAAAATTTCAGGTTAATGCTTCAGGACATGTTTGTGAAAACCAAACAAAAACTCCTCCTTTAATTTCAGCTCTATGAAAAGACAGTGTTAAGATCCAAATCTACTAGGAAGTTTAAGGTATTTTCTTCCTTAAAACATTTACAGCTTTATGTGGCCATCAGGTTGGATTATATGGAAAACAGCTCAGCATCAAAAAACACTTTATAGTAATTTATATGATGTCACTGGCCAAGGAAGATGATCATCCTTTAGAAGTAACTATAAAAATGCTTGCTATGAAGAACAAGCTAGAGGCATCACACTGCCTGACTTCAAAATATACTACAAAGCCATAGTAACTAACACTGCATGATACTGGCATAAAAACAGACACATAGACCAATGGAACAGAATAGAGAGCCCAGAAATGAATCCACACATTTTTGTTCACAAACTCATTTTTGACAAAGGCACCAAGAAAACACTTGGGGAAAAGGACACTTTCTTTAATAAGCAGTGCTAGGAAGACTGGATATCCATATGCAAAACCATAGATCCCCATCTCTCACTATATTAAAAAATCAACTGAAAATGTATTAAAGATTTAAATGTAATACGTAAGACCTGAAACTTTAAAACTACCAGAAGAAATCATTAAAGAATTTCTCAGGACATTGGTCTGAGCAAGAATTTTGGGGTTAAGACCTCAAAAGTGTAAGCAAGAAAAGCAAATATAGATAAATGGGATTATATCAAGCTGACAAACTTTTGCACAGCAGAGGAAGCCACCAACAGAATGGAGACACAACCTACAGAATGAGAAAATATTTGCCAACTATCTATCTAACAAGGGATTAATAACCAGAATATATAAGAAACTTGAACAATTCAACAACAACAAAATAACAAACCCCATTTAAAAATGGACAAAGATCTGAATAGACATTCTTGAAAGAAGACATACAAATAGCCAACAGTTATATTTTTAAAATGTTCAGCATCACTAATCACCAGAAAAATGCAAATCAAAGCCACAATGAGATACTATCTCACCCCAGTTGACATGGCTATAATCAAAATGAGGAAAATAACATATGCCGGGGAGGATGCAGAGAAAGGGGAACCCTCATATGCTTTTTGGTGGGAAAGTAAATTAGTACAGCCACTATGGAAAACAGTATGGAGGTTTCTCAAAAAATAAAAAAGGGAACTATCATATGATCCAGCAATCCCACTGCTGGGTATATGAAAAAAAAGTCTGTGCTCTCATGTTTGTTGTATCACTCTTCACAATTGCCAGAATATGGGGGTCAATGTCCATCAATGGATGAATGGACAAAGAAAATGTGATGTAAATATATTTCATATATATGTGTGTATATATATATATATATACACACACACACACATACACACATGCACATATATAATGGAATTTATATAATATACAATGAAATATTATTCAGCCATACAAATGAGTGAAATCCCTTCATTTGCAGCAACATGGATGGAACTGGAGGACCTTATGTTAAGTGAAATAAGGCACAGAAAGACAGATATCTCATATTCTTGTGGGAGCTAAAATAGTTGATCTCACGGAGATAGCAGAATGGTGGTTTGCAGGGGCTGGGAAGGAGTAGGGGTAAATAATGAAGAAAGGTTGTTTAATGGGCACAAAAATACAGTTAAATAGAAGGAATAAGGTCCAGTATTTGATAGCACATTAGGGTGACTATAGTTAGCAATAATTTATTGTACATTTCAAAATAGTAGGAAGAAAGATTTGGAATGTTCCCCACACAAAGAAATGATAAATGTTTGAGGCAATGGATATCCTAGTTACCCTGATTTGATCATTACACATTGTAGTTATGTATCTAAATATCACATGCCCCAGAAATATGCACAATCTTTATGTATCAAAAAATTAACAATAAAAATGCTTGCTATAGATACAAATTGTTAACATCTGGTCATTTTAATCCAGGTGGTTAGTGGAAAGCTTTGGAGAGAAAGTGAGATGAAATTGAGTCAGAGATGGCCAAGATGTGGATGATGGAATGAAGTACCTTTTTCAGGTAAGGAGATGTCCTCCTGGGAGGAAGTCCAAAGTATTTTTTGAAGACAGATGGGTTTGGAGGCTTTGGGGATAACAGTAGGTGAGGCTGATGGCAGTCTGCAGGCAGCTCTGGGCACGCATGAAACTCAAGCTAAAAGTCTGCACACTGAACATCAGAGAAATAGTAAACATATTTTCTCAGCTTTTTCTCAAGAAGTGACCCATCGGAGTCACATTTTAGAGAACACTGGGAACTGCTGGTAGCGGTAACCTATTCTTCACTCAATAGATGATTGGTAAAATAAATGTTAAAATTTTAACCTGAAAAAGTACTGGACTGTATTTCTAAATTTCTAATTCTGAAATGTTAAGCTTTTCTGTGGAGAATGGTAGCATTTTCTGTGTGCATATACATACACATAAATATATACATGAATGTGTGTGTGTGTGTAAAATTTAAAGCTTGTGCTCAAGAATTGGGAGGCTTTTTAAAAAATTATGTGACTTTAGGTAATTCAATATGATTCCTACTGACATTTCCACATGGGGTTAATTTAAATAATTTTTAATCAAGCTTACTCTGTTGCCTTATGATGGAGGATATATAACAAGATCATTAGTAGACAATAGCAAAGCTTTAAATCCCTGTCAACATTTTTCTGAAATGTGTTCATGCAGTTAAATAAATGAGCATCTCCCTGATCAACTCAAAGGCAGACAACTGTAAAGGACCACATGTCTTCAAGATTACCTTCTGATATAGAGCACAACAAAACACTTCTTCAAAGATATAGTTCTTCTTACTTGTGTCTAATGGTGTGAAAGCATCAAAGGGAGTATTATTAAATGAATTGTGTCCCCCTAAAACTCATATGTTGAAGTCTTAACCAGAATGAACTACATTTGCAGACAGAGCCCTTAAAGACATAATTAAGTTAAAATGAGGTCATTAGGTTGGGCCTTAGTCCAATAGGTCTGGTATCCTTATGGAAGAGGAGATTAGGACCTCAGACAACTACAGGTAAAAGACCACAGGTAGACCCAGGGCGAAGACAGCATCTACAAGCCAAGGAGAGAGGCCTCAGGAGAAATCAAGCATGCCAGTGCCTTGATCTTGACCTTGCAGCTTTCAGAACTGTGAGAAACACATTTCTGTTATTGAAGCCACCAAGTCTATGATACTTTGTTAAGGTAGCCCCAGCAGACTAATAGAGGAATTGCCATTTAAAAAAAATAAAGTTCAACTGCCACGTTCACCGATTTAGAGACAAAACCGCCTTCACTTCAGAGGACTATGTAGCTAACTATGAGAAAAATCTGAGTTGTAGCACCCGGCTCCCAGGATAGTTTTTGCCTTTTCTCATTCACTAAAGTATTTGAAGAAAGGAATTTGATATTCACTTTCTGTCTCAACATTTAAGTACTATGATATGTTTTCTAGATTTTTAAGTTTAATGGAATTGTAGAGCTATTTTATGGCCCTGATTTTACTCATGTGAAATATAAATAAATGAAAAAAAATAACCAGACATATTTATAAACCCACGTCTGAAGAAATCCATCCATCTCCACATTGGGAAATAGACTGCAAACCACTCATCAAGCAAAACGTCAAGCTGATGTTTTGTCAGATAAAAGAAAGAGCAAGGGAACTTCACGATGTACTTTTTAACCCAGAAACTTCTAACATACATTATTTCCATCTGAAACCTACCCCATGCAATACATGAAGAAAATCTGCATCTGAGAACGTGCATCATCTGCTTAGTATTGTCTGGTTAATGAGAGAGAGTTGATTCCAACCTCTACATGTTTCAGGCTCTGAGAGTGCTTTGCAGTGCTACTTAGCCTATGCTCATGCATTTTTATCATATTCATCTTTATTCAAATGATTTCCTATGACTCTACACCTGTCAAAACACTGCCCTATATCAAGGCTTAGCTTAAATATCCCCATTTATGAAATAGTTTCTAATCTCTCCTGTCAAGAACCAGTCTTTGTGTTCCCTAATTATGATATTGTACCAAACCATCTTTGCTGAGTTCTAAAATTCAGTTCCTTTAAACAATACAAAAGCAAAAACAAAACAAAACAAAACAAAAGACATAGCTCCTTTAGACTAAAAAGTGTAATAGTTCAGTTCTGATATAATTTTTAACTTATGCGAGGGCTTCAGTACTAGATAGGAACAACTGCTTTTCTGCATATTTCAGAGCCTTGCTGAGGAGGTTTGGGTGCTTTTGTCTCATGACTTTCTTTCTTTCTTAAGCAGTCCACACCTGTAGCACACCTCTAAGTTTAATAAGTGAAAAGCATTTCCTGTCTTACCTGAAAAAAAAAACACATTGTTCTTGGAAAACGGACTAACGCTGACTGCCCAGGACTTGTAAAAACCTTTCTGTCTGCTTTGCTCTGCAGTGTGCCAGGGAGAACCATTTGGGGACCTCTGTTCCTCTAAGTCCCTCCAGGAAAATGAAATCTATAGCTCCTAAGGTCATCCCAGAAAGGCAGAACTTTAAATAAAAATCCTCAGATCTCGGCAAGAACAGCAGAAAATAGGTTACAACAATATGGGGTGTATCCACAATGCTCTACTCTCACACAACCTCCATGTGGGAACAAAATGTTTCCCAGTCAAGGAACAGAATTTACGCTTCTGTACGTTCATGGAAGCAGACAGGTCAAGGGGTCCTGTAGCTGCGCATTACCTTGGTGATGCCACACACAGCAAGATGTCCAGGCCCAGAGCCACGTGTACTTCTGCCTGCCTTGCTCAGACATCTGCAGCACTGACTCCGGATAAGACGGGATTGGGGGTGGAGGAGGAAAGAACTTGAAGTAGGGGCAAAGGTGGAGCCAGTTACCCTCTCACCAGCTCCCTGAGTTGGATAAGGTGCCTTACCTTTCAAGAGCCTTTTTTTTTTCTTATTGATAAGAAGACAAGGGGAATAATGTCTACCCCATCAAGGTAGGATCACCAAGATCCAGTGGATGGTGGTTTCAGAACTGTTATCTGGCCCTTAGTACAGGCTAAGCCGAGGTTAAAACTTTTTCTTCTTTTGCTATTTATTTTCACTGTACCTTTTACAGGAAATTAAGTTTGAATTCATAATTCACATCTTTTGTGAAACTGGCAACCATAATACAGAGAGGTGAGTATTTTGTGTGAGGAGACCCACTACCCTTTGCTTTGTACCTCTTCTTCTATAATAGCCCCTGTAGTCTAGTTACCTTGCTCCAAATGCCTGGGCCCTCACATCACATTGGCCTTCCCTGTCTCCAGTTGTGAGGAATATAACCCAATTCCAGATGTGCCCTCTGGAGATGGGCCCTTTGCTCTCAGCGTTCAGATAGTGCCATCCCAGAATACTTTATAGCCACCACCTTGCAAAAAGCAACCTAATGCCTAGTAGTAATACAAGAATGCATCCTTCTCTTTCTGGTCCTCATAGTCTGCTCTGTATCTTCCCATATGCAGTCACCATGCTGGTTGTAATAACAACAGTAATAAGAATGACAGCCATCATTTAGCCATTATTCACTGTGTCAAACACACTACTAAGAATTTTATAAACATTAATTGACATCATCCTTTGAAAACCATGCAAATCTATTATTAATGCACTAATTTTATTTATGTAAATACACAAATCTATATATGTATTTCTATATATATACATACATACATATACAAATATACATATGTATACACACACATATATAAATATACATATAAAATTAGAAACTTAACCCAATCAGAAATTTAACAATGTTCACACAGTTAGAAAGTTGTAAATCTAGGTTTTTGATCCAAGCTGCTGAATGTAGTAGTAAATAATCACACAGTTTTAATTTATTCCACCAATCACAGAGAGAACTTCTGATACATGCTTCAGATGGAGAATATCAGAAATAGAGAAAGAAGTTGAGAGGTGAGAGCTCTATAAATAAATACAGAGAATGAGAGTGTGCATGTTAGAGGTACGAAGATGTGACATAGCAAAAAACAAGAAAAGCTATCCAATTACTTGGCAGACTTACAGGAGAACTGATAAGATTACCAATAGCTAATTTTCAAGATGTCTAGAGTTTGCATAGCAAGGAAAATAAAATAATAGGGAATTGAACACAACACAATCCAAAGATGCAAAAGAAGCATCTTTTCAATTTTTTTTGATTATTTAAAAATGTGTCCCTTATCTAAACTCTTAATTTTCCCCTAAGGAAAAGTGCCTTATATTACCTAAAAAATTTTTGTTATGAAGATTTCCATGTAGGTTCCCACTGTACATTCTTTGAAAAGTGTTTTAGAAACAAACAAAAAAATAGGCCTCATCCTTATTGTTTACCATTTAGCCACATATATTATTTGGGCATCAGAAAGGCCTAGTAAAAGCTAATTAAGATCAAAACATTCTTAACTTGATAATTCTTTTAACAGCAGAGAGGAAATCCCTGGGCCTTGTAATTACATGGGCCATTGAACATGTGAAGTAAAAGGAATTAAGCTTGTTATGACTCACTACCACGTCCCCAAAATACCCCAAACCCAGTGTTATATGGCTAAAGGGAAAATGAATTTGCAGAGAACAAGGAGGTAGTTTGTCCCATATTCATCCTAAAATCTCCAGGAACAAAATCTAACATTTGACAGTAGGCTGGTCTCCCCATAGTGTGCTGGGAAAACAGTGGGGTTCAGTTGCCAATTAGCTATGTGGTTTAATGTAAGTCATAGCCTCTTGAATTTCTCTGAAAGGTGGACATAACCATATCTGGCCAAATAACAGCACAGGATGCTGTATGAATCTCAAATGTTATTTTAGATAAGAAAGTAGCATCACCACGGAATGAGGATGGAAAAGATGGCCAAGTGTCCAAATCTTGGGAGGTCTGTTAATTATACAAAAAATGAATTGCATCCTAAGAATATTTGAGGTCAGTAGATTAAAGCAGGCAGTGGCAAGATCATACGTAGACAGGTGAACTATCACTCTGGTCACTGGATGTTGGGTATGATGCATGCAGTTAAGATGCCATACCCATGACCCTGCAGTAGATGCCAGATCCTTTCTCAGAGGCTGGACAGTGACAAGGACTTAATTGTGAGAGTAATGTGGGAGGCAGGATGGTAGGATTTTAATAGAGGCTTGTTCTCTGCGTGGGCTGCCTGCTATTGAAAGCCAGTCTCTGCATCTTTTCAAATGGCTAGTTCCTATTCACCCTGTCATCACCTCTCTGTCCATGATTGCCTCTGGCAGGTTTTTCCTGCTCCTGCACCTTGAGCTGCATGAAGTCAGCCTGGGTTGTACCATCACAATATTCTGCAGCCAAGTGCTGCTATGGCATTAACCATGATGTATTGTGATTATGTGTCCATGTGATTGCTTTGCTGTGGTGGAGAGAACAATGGCTCCCTGAAAGCACCTACATTCTTATACCTGAAGTGTGTGACTGTGTTACATGACATGGCAAAAGGGCCTTTGCATACAAGATTAAGTTAGGGACTGTGGCATGGTGAGATTATCCTGGATTATTTGGGTGTGTCCAGTGTAATAACAGGGTCCTTAAAAGGAGAGTGGAAGGCAGAGGTGACTATTAAGTAATTATCAGAAAAATGCAACATTGTTGACCTTGAAGTTCAAGGAAAGTGCCACGTGATAAGGAATGTAGATGGCCTCTAGAAATGGAAGAAGGCAAAGAAATGGATTCTTTTCTACAGCTTCCAAAAAGGATCAGAGCCCTACTGACAAGTCAATTTTAGCCTGGCGAGATCCACGTCAGAATTTTAGCCCACAGAACTATAAGATAATCAGTTTATGTTCTTTCAAGCCATTAAGTTTGTAATGACTTATTGTTACAGCAGTGAGAAACCAATACACCTGACAAGATTCTTAGCATCTCATGGGGAGGGTCTGTGTTTTCTTTGACTCCCAGAGGCATCATAAGGCAGGTCCTCTGTGTTAGTGAAAGTGCTTTCACTAAACACAACAGCTCAACCCAACCTTTCCTGGCTTTTTTTTTTTTCACACTTTTTATCTTGCAGAGATATGGAAAGATATTTAAGAAAGAGTGACAATAATATCAGGCTTCTTTTGCATTTGGAATAGCCCTTTAGAGTTTTAAAGGTGATTTCATATACCTTAACTCATTTGAGATTTAACAACTCCTGCTAAGATTGGATTGTATCTACATTATGATTAAAATAACTTACAAATATACAAATATGGAAGAGAAGATAGAAAAATGAAAATGGTTAGGTGAGAGAAAAGGTAAAGCTTTAAATTCACCTTTGTGTGATTATTGTCATGATACTTTATTTAGCTTGCTGGTGCTTCTAATTGAAGAAACACCACCTGTATAGGCCATAGACATAAAATATTAGCAGTAGATAGCATCTCAGGAATTATCTATTAGTCCAATGAACTCCCCCAGTCAGGGCAACTGACTGAGACTTATCCTTGTCCTAAGTACAAAGAAGCAGTCTCAGAAACACAAAGTCCTGCCCCACACCCAGCGCTACAGCTGCGAAGTTGACAAAGAAATTTCCGCTCCCATTTTAACCTACTATTTCTGCCAAGAGGCTCTTTATAGCATGTTATATTGCTTAACATATACCCACTGACAGATTTCATTGGTAACTAATGTAGAGTGAGCATTAGATGTGAAACTGAGCTTCTCTAGCTTCCTATCATGGTTTGGGACATATAATAAGATTTTCCTTTACTGTAAGATTAAAGAAAAAAAGGAGGGAAGGTGAGGAGAAATCTACTTAGTAGCAATGGTGTCAGTAATTGAAACTGACAAAGATATTGTTGCTCTTTATTAGTCACCTTCAACTTTGCCTTTCCAGCACAATTTGCATTTGCATCGAGAAGCATAGCATGGAAAAAGAAAAAAAATATTAATTCTACTGTAACCTTAGACAACAAAATAAAATAGATGAAAACATTTTTTGCCCTCATTTAAGAATCACATAAAGAATATTAGTTCATCCAATATGGAGACATGTTTCAAATCATTAAATCTGGAACTCTTAAATTATTTGCTGAATATATCCTCAGTAATTCAACTTTTGAAATTCTGTTAATATTAATATCCATCTCTGGACTTCCTTAAATAAAGGTTTAAGTGTACATCCTTTTCTTGTCATGTTAATGTGGGTATATGCTTCAGAGATCTTACCTAAGTCATTAAATTCCTAATGACTGTTTGGGAAAGATCATTTTACAAGGTATATTAAGTAACATTTTTAAAGAAATCATTGGATTTTCAACAGTTTCTGAAGTTTGATAATGTAATTTTCTTACAAATGCCTTTAGTCCTTTATAAGTATAAAGTAAGGATGTCAATTTCAGTATATAAATCCAGGCAAAGCATAAAGAAATACTTTATGTATTTCATCTCCATTCCTCCAGTTACTTCCTACTTCTGTTCATTCATTCAAAGTTAATTTTGCACAATAAAAATACTTGTTCTTATTCTAGACATGAATGTAACATGTTGTCTCACACTAAGTAAAGAATCACTCAAAATCTTAAGACCTTTAAAAACCAAGTGAAAGATGATTACTCTCATCAGAAGGGTCACTGAAGTGCAAACATACCTGCCCGAGAGAAGTAACTTTAAAAAGGTAAAACGTAAGAAAAGAATGCATCAATTTGCAATGAATCAACTTTCTATACTTTGCATTAGGAAGTTAAAAAGGGAACATCTGTTGTTTGCTATTTAGAGACAAAAATGAAAGGAGAGATTTGTGAGAGTTATATGGAGTGCCTAGAAATATTCTATAACAAAAATGCTCCAGTGATTCTCACGTATTTTTTTTACGTAAGTACTTTCAATGGTAGAGGAAAGTAAATGGTCACGTTTCCTGGTGAGCCTGAGGGATGGAGTCTCAAAGCATCTGGTAATCAGGAATTTCTTTGGAATCTTGTATTCTACTTGAATATCCTAACAATTATAATCTACTAAATACCTGTTTGGTTTGATATCAAGTATTTTAAATTACTTAACCATAATTAAAATTGATACTGCACAAAGATATACCTATGGGTTCTCATACCCATGTACTGCTTGGTTCTCCAAGGGTATTCATACCCATTTGCAAAGTTTGCTAGCTAGCAGAAACCTCCCTTCCCTTTCTTTTTACTATTAAGGTGGGGCAATAGCAGTGCCTGAATATTTTTCTCATTTTGTGTTCATATCATCAAGTCAGTATCAAATAAATATCTTGCCTTTTTCTTGCCCCAAATCAACGCTTCCCATACCACCAAGGACAGTTTCAGATGATGGCACTCACACTAAGGTGCTGTGGCTTTTGCATTGCGTTTGCCTGAACTCCATAGCTCCCTCTTCTATGCCCCCCACTCTGTACATTTCACCTCTCACCTACCATCACTCCCTGGCTATTAGATCACTCCTCAGCAAGCCTATGGGTCATATCCGCAGACTTTGTGTTCTAATATTCAGATTTTCTCATAGTGTGACTCCAACTCCGCAATGGAGAAAAACATAATGAGAGGCAGCAAAAGGCTCCAAAAAGAAAACATTAATGCTTTTAACAGCGGGGAATCTGAGTGGAAAGGAAATCCCTTCTTTCCTGTCACTTAGGGATGAAGGAAGAGTTGAAAAATATAATAGATCCTTTCCTACAGCCTCAGATAAGCAATTTTTTGGAGGGCATATGTGTACCTACATGCACGCAGGCAGACATGTATATCTGTGTGTGTGCTTTATCTACAATGATGCAATGCTGCATCAACAGTAATCAATAAAACCAATTAGGAGAGTTATTTCTCATCAGGCTCTGACAATGACTCACCATGAGACCATAATAGGGGATTTCACAGTTTTGGGCCTTATCTATGTTTTGGGGTAACTTTATCTATAAAATAAGATGACTGAACTGATAATCATTGAAACTGCTTCTAGGCAAGACATAAGAAAATATACTAGAGACAAATAAGGATAAGAAAGATGGAAGTAAGTAACAAATAACTTCTATCTTTTTCTCCCAATTCACATTTCCAAACTGATTTATATCATTATTCCTGGAAATGAAATTAGAAACATGGTATGCTAGGATATATATTATTATGTGTACAGGAGAAGAAAAGGGTTCTGATCCATAGACATGTGGAAAGATTTACCTAGGTCCTGGGTTTGCCCCGCTCACCATATGTGCCTAGAGTGTGACAACTCACAAATGCTCTCACATGCATTATCTCATTCAAGTTTTACTTGTGAGTTAAGCAGAATAGATAGAATTATAAACTTAGTTGAGAAATAAGGATATTAAGATTAGAGCAGCCGAGTCACTTATTCAAAAGCACACAGGTCTAATGTGGAAGAGCTCTGCAAATAGAGGTCTATTTGGGGTGTGGCCAAAGCTGGCAGCAGCATCACAATGAACCACAGGCTTCAGAGAAGAATACTCAGATTTCTTGTCAGGGCTACTCCAGTCTTTGCAGGGTGCTTATGAGTAAGAATACACCTGTTGCCCAGAGTTATAGCAGCCTGGAGTAAGAGATATGCTGTTTCCAACCTCTCTTGTGAACTTTAAGAGCTAAGTCATAATTAGATCCCACACAAATCTTTATTAGAGACTTTTTCAGGTAAGCTCATAGGTTTTTAACATTCTGGAAGGTGGTTTGATAATCTACAACTTTGTTGCTGCCAGGAAATAAACTTGGAAAGTGAAAGAATAACCCAATTTTTACAACAAAAATACTAGTAGTATTAGTAGCATAGGTTGAGCATTCCTAATTTAAAAATCTGAAATAAAAAATGCTCCAAAATCTGAAACTTCTTGAACACTGACATGATGTTCAATGGTTATGCTCAAAGTAAATGTTCATTGAAGCCTTTAGGATTTTTAATTTATTTTATTTTTTATTTTTTGGAGACAGAGTCTTACTCTGTTGCCCAGGCTGGAGTGCAGTGGTGCAGTCTCGGCTTACTGCAAACTCTGCCTCCCGGGTTCAAGTGATCCTCCCATCTCAGCCTCCTTAGTAGCTGGGACCACAGGTGTGTGCCACCACGTCCAGATAATGTTTGTATTTTTAGTAGAGACAAGTTTTCATCATGTTGGCCAGGCTGGTATTGAACTCCTGACCTCAAGTGATCCACCTGCCTCAGCCTCCCAAAATATTGGGATTACAGGCATGAGCCATGGCACCTTGAGTTTTCTATTTTTAGATGAGGGATCTTCAAACAGTAAGAATAGTGCAAATATTCAAAAATATTTTAAAAATCTGAAATCTGAAACACTTTTGGTCCTAAGCATTTCACACAAGAGATACTCAACCTGTATAAAGGCATGAAACATACAACACACACACACACACACACACACACACACACACATATCCCCAGAAATGAGTATTGACAGAAATACCCATCTCCGTCACAGATTTTATTAAAACTTAGAGTGGAATATGGATTTACTCAGTGGGTAATGTTCTGAAAGATCAAATCAAATAAAAAGCTAGTCAATATTTTTCTTCCAAAAAATTCAAAGAATTTACATACAAATTTGGTGCTGAAGACTTGGTCATGAGCTTTATATAAGAAAAACATCCTCTCTATTTTTGTCAAGATATTTGATAGTCTTTCTATATTTAAGAAGTAGGGACCCAAAATGGAAATAATATTTCCTAATAGCCAGTTTCTCTAAGAATTATGACTTAAAATTTTCACTTCTAGTTATAACCAACTATCAAGCATAAGACCAACACTCCTACCATATGTGAAAGCTAGATATTTTTAAAAACAAGAAGAGAAAAGAAAGAAAATTGGTTGATGGCACTGGAGAGCTTCCAAGGCAACCAGGAGTTAAGGGGCCAACATTTTGGAAGAAAGGAAAACATATGGAGATGAGCACTGTGTTGTACATTACTCTTTCTCTCAAGAATTTGCTGCTTCAAAAGTGGAGGAAGGCAAAAAGCTGAGAATCAGAGCAAAGCTTTTGGCAATCCACAATGCTAAGGAGACAAAAATTAGAGTTCAAGGCTTGCCAATAAAGAGTAGCCTTGGTAAACATCCAGGTTTTCAGTTGGAGCCCCTATAAACTATACGTTAGCCAAAAATCAAACTAGAAATAGACAAGCTAGCACACACATATATGTGAAAGCCAATTTCAAATATATTTCATACTACAGTAAACTGGAATCTTCTGCCCCAACTGTAATAAAAAGAAAAAAAATCCTCCTCAAAGACGATAAAATCATAGCTTCTATAGTTTTCTTTCTAAAATGTCCAACACTCAATTAAAACTACTGAAATTGCCAAAGATACCAAAGGGAACAATTAAAAAAATAAATACATATAGGAGTTAACAGACACAGATTTTAAAATAACTATAATTAATATATTTAAGAAAATCAAGTAAATGATGGAGATATAACCAAAGAACTGAATTAATCAAATGGAAGTTTTAAAACTGGAAAAAAATATAATACTGGAAAGGTAAATTCAATGGATGAGTTCAATAGCAAGAGAAGAATAAATAATTTTAAAATGTTTTAATTGAAAATAGCCACCCTAAAGCAAAGAACATAAAAAATGTATAAAATCTAAAAAAGGGAGTAAAAACATGTGGGACATTATGATAAAGACCAAAGAAAGCTGGTGTTATTATACTATAGCAAATAAAAAGTAAACATGAAAGTGAAAAGCAATATATTCTGATATAAGGATATATCTACCAGTAAGATATAATAATGTTATATTAGCCTATAAAGAATGAAGGCAAAAACTGACAGGTCTGGAGGAAATATAGAAAAATTCACAATCATAATGGGAGATATTTAATGCAGTTTGCTTCAGTAACTGATAAAAATGGAGAAAAGAAAGTAAATTAAAAAATAAAAATTTGAACTACAAAATCAGTAGACTTAATGTAATTGTCATACAGAGAATATTGCACCTGGCTACAAAATAAAACATACATTTTGTTTTCAATTTGCTATTTTATTTGTTCTCTGATTATGGTAGATTTAGTCTAGAAATTTAGTAATTTTTTGTTATAAAAAGATAACCAGACAATTGTTAAATATTTTGAAATTAAACAAGCACTTCTAAATAATCCTAAGTGAAAGAAATCACAGAATAAGAAAATATTTTACTAAGTGAAAATTAAAATATAACAGAGAGCTACTTTTTAGTGTAGCTAAAGCCATGACTACAGGTAAATTTACCATTTTCCATGAATGTTTAAATTCTTCAATGGCTTAAAATCAACAAGCTTACAATTTATACTTGCACAAAGTTAAAAGAACGCAAATTTAACCTAAAGGAATTAAAAACAAATAATAAAATTAAGAAGAAATTTTAATACAAAAAAATTACAATAGGAAAAATCAGCTAAGCCAAAAGTCACTTCTTTGAAAAAGACTAAATAAAATTTAATACACCCAAACGAAACTGCATGAGATAAAAGAGAAAAGGTACAAGTCGTCAATCTCAAAAAAAGGGGGACTTCACTACAGATTTTATGAACTACTAGCAGAGATAACATGAATGAACCTGCAAATACAATATTAGGTAAAAGAAGCCAGACACAATAAAGTACATGCTGCATAACATCATTGATATATAGTTTTTTCAAGTAGGCAAGACTAATATATTGTGTTAGAAGTCAAGAGAGTGGCTGCTTTTAGTTTTCATTGATTGGAAAAGCACATGAGGAGCGTTTCTTGGGGGCCGGGTAGTGCTCTATTCTTGATCCGCATGGTCTTCACACAAGTGTATTTATTCACTCTGTAAAAATTAATTAAGTTGTGTATGATTTGTGGACTTCTTTTAATGTGCATGTTATATCTCAATAATATTTATTTTGAAAGTGAAAGAGCATTTTGAATGTAAAAACTGCTATATTTATGAAATAGAATTAAATGACCTCCATATCATCTTCAATATATAGGTTATTTAATAAATCTGCCCAAGTGCTCTACTCTAGGAATTTTGTGTATCTTCAACTTTAGTCTTGCTTGAGAAATACTGAAAGGATTTTCTCATCAAAATAAAAGAAATGCCTTTTAGAGGAGAAATAAAAGCTAGGAATGGACAGAAAGAGGATTATAATTTTTCCCACAGGTTGGGAAGAACATTTATTCTGTTAGGTTGTCTCCTGGATTTTATGGTGTTTCAAATTTTATGAAACAAGAAAATATAAAGAAAGTCTTTCTGAAAAAAAAAATATGGTGGAATTCCTATTATTGAAATAGCAACATTTGCGAGAAAGGGATGGGAGAAGATGAACTAAAGCCATAATTCTTGATGTCTCCCTCCCACTTCCCAAGTAGTGACTTCCAAATCTGATTTCTTGCAACTAGCCCTCTGTCCATTTTTCTTATTTGTTATCAAAGAGACCCCAAGTGAAGAGGGAGTCATATCAAAATGGGGAATTCAGATGGGATGCGGTGGCTCATGCCTGCAATCCCAGTACTTTGGGAGGCCGGGGCGGGTGGGTCACCTGAGGTCAGGAGTTCAAGACCAGCCTGGACAACATGGTGAAACTCTGTCTGTACTAAAAATACAAAAATCAGCTAGAGGTTATGGTGTGCACCTGTAACCCCAGCTGCACAGGAGGCTGAGGTGGGAGAATTACTTGAACCCCAGAAGTGGAGGTTGCAGTGAGCCGAGATCGCACCACTGCACTCCAGCCTGGGGGACAGAGCAAGACTCTGTCTCAAAAAACAAACAAATAAACAACCCAAAAAACCCAACTAATCAAACAAACAGATACGCGAGGAGTTTGTGCAGAAGAAATAGAAAAGTACTACTACTACCATAGATTATATGACCCAGGAAAAATTACTTAACATCTGTCAGTTTCCATTCTTTCGTTTGAAAAATAAAGAGAATATTATCTACTTTAAAGGGTTTTTTAAGCTTTACTGAGACATAATTAACATACAAAAATGCAATTCATTTTGATGAGTTTGGACATATTCATATACTTGTGATACCATCACCACATCAAAGTTTTTGTGAAGTTCAATGCAGATAATGATGAAGTTTGATGAGCTAAGATATTGGTTGCTTTATTTTTACTTGAAACCATAGGAATATCTCAGTTTTATCAATTTAGCAACATTCTTAGATTATTCAAAACAAAAAGTGCTTAAAGAGGACCATATACTTAGAGCCACTCTGAGATGAGAATATATACAAGAGTAGGCAAGGTCCCCCATCCCAAGAATTCTGGCACCTACATTTTAGAGGTTTATCGCTCCCTTTTTTTTATTATATTATTATTTTCTGTCCTTATGCTCTTTCTCTTTCTTTTTTTAAGCTTCTTGGCTTTTCTTGTGTCTATCTAAGGTTCTTTACAGTGTCCAGAGGTATTTAAATGAAAGAGGCTCATACGTTTCTTAACAACAAACCCAAGAGACAAATACCCAATATTTGTGTGTGTTATATAGTTTCTTAATTGGAACTTTAAATACCATGCCAATATATGCAGTTTACAGCCCACCCCATTTTTCCTCATGAAACAAGATGCTTGCAGCCAATAGTGATGCAGCCAATATTGATACCAAGCCACTATTAACTCATATGTTTAATCAAACCATCTGTGTGTAATACAATCTAAATGAAATCACCTTAAATGCAAGCGCCAGTAAGTGCAGAATAACTAACTTCCTGAAGCCATAAAGCAATTCTCTTGACTTATAATTATTTTCTTCACTTGCAAAATTACTATTTACTGAGAGTTTTATCAAGGGATGTCTTTCCTGCTCAAAATCCTGTCATGGTTTTGAGAATCTGAAATTTCACTGGCTGACTGCTAATCAGAAACACATTAGTCTAGCCTTCTTTCAAAGGAGGCACTTTTAATAAAAATCTAATAGCTTTAGTTCTATGTTTGAATAATGCAACTTATTAAAATTGAGAACCTCACTTATTTAGTGCTTCTCTCTCTCTTCCAAAGAAAGCCAGCTGATACTGTTATCTCAAACTGGTTAGTATCCAGTGGTCTCAGTTTTCTAGTTCATCCAATGTTGCCATCTAGATCAGCTTGCCAGTTTTCTGGGGTTTTTTGTTTGTTTGTATATTGCTCTTTTCCAATGAATTCTAGTGGCTATTTAGAAGCATGCATGCTGTTGCTGAGGAATATGTTCAATATTATCTACCAGAACTTCAGACTGAAGATCTGAAATTCCTGTGAGGCAATTTGACATTCATTTAAGTTACAGATCAGAGTTGTGGAGACTCTAATTGTGGTGTGTGTGTGTGTGTGTGTGTGGTCATTCATGTTAGTTAGACCTCTTTTCCTAGGCTTGTCATTATTTCCATATTTCCTCATTGAAGCTTTATTCTCTTTAAATGGGTTTTAACTTTGCACCTAGTGTGACTGCTGTTATGTACACAAGCTGTAATTTTTAAAAATAATTCTGTACAGATTCGAACCCTAGAAGAAAATAATGAGACTTGTTAAGATAAAACAAATAAAAGTGTCTGGAAGAATCGAGTTCTATAAATACTGGGAGGCATTAAACAGACTTTTAGTGGAGACTTGGGTAGGCTTTTTTTTTCCTGTCTCTATATTCAAATCTGTGAATACAGGAGAATTGTAGCTTTTATATGCCTAAATATAGAGCAGGGTGACTATAGGGAAGGAGGGAGGGCTGTGTGCCACAAATATACAGAATCTATAGAATATACAAAGATGATTAACCAACTATTTTCAGGCTGCATTTAATGAGCAGCTAACAGGAAGCATGGAGTCTAAGCCAACCCTAAAGAAAGGGGGTAAGGCAGAGACAGGGAGACAGGCACTGAACATAGACTGTCAGCATCTAGAGGACAGTCCTGTTCTCCAGAGGGCCTTTTGTGTTTGTTTGCTTGTTTGTATGAGTGTACGGAGTACAGGTGCAATTTTGTTACAGGCATAGATTGCATAGTGTTGAAGTCATGGATACCTTAAGTATCCATCCTACAAATTAAAACCACAATGTAGGTGGCCTTCTAATGTAACATATAATTGCTCTGGCAAAGGAATACACTACTGTCTCAATGTTCTAAGATCTAATTCATGAGGGACTCTACACAGCGTGCAAAAGAAGAACTGAAAGCTGAGAGGCATCTATCAAATTGTCTTGTTCAATGGGTTCATTGCATAGAGGTCTCTGCGTGTTAACAGACCTGCCCAAGTTTTCCAGCCAGTTTGTGGGAGCACAAGGCCCAGTGTGTCTACCTCCAGGGCTTTACCAGCACCGACCACACCATGAAGAGTGGCAGTTTTTTGTGGACCTTTGGGCTCTAGTAAGGATAGTGGTAAATAATACTGATGGAAATGTGTGAGACAAAATGCAGGTGAAATTTGGGGTATTTTCTTATATTCAGGTTTTAAGAAAAAAAAAATCAACAGGCCTATCTCTGGAGATGCCAATGAGAATGTTGCAGAAAATTTAAAAAAGAGAAGGAATAGCAGTGTGAGGCTAGTCAATTATGATGACACCAGTTATTGCTAAAAAATGGATATTGCAAAGTGCTGTTTCCTTTTTTAAAAAGTGAACAAATAGAAAGACTTAGCTTGTAAACGAATGTTCCTGGGGAGATTCTGCTGGAGAATTCATTATAACTACTACCATAGGGCAAAAGCAAAACTCACAAAGACACAAACATTGTACCTTTACCTTTAGGTTAGCCTGATTTGTTAGTATAGAAAGTTGCAAAAAGTACTTAACAGTGTAATATGCATCTCAGTTTCACTTGACTATACAACCATGCAGAAAGTAAAAATGATAACATTTATGGGAGTGTTTGGACACTAAGGGCATTTCTAATGATAAAAAATGTGTCAGTTCAGCAGCAGTAGCATGGGAACAGGAAACCTTTGCTCATGAGTGCCATATTCTTGAAACTTTAGCAACTTTTGCAACTTTTACAATTTTCCAAAATGCAAAGGCATTGGGATGCAGAAAACAAAAGTTGGTCAAACATGAAATACTTGAAATCTTGTAGGAAAACTTCAATCTTGCTTCACCCTCTTTAGTGGCTTACTCCAAAAGGAAAGTCTAAGAGATGATGGAACAGACGTGTCTGAACTCTGCTGTCCTGTATAACTTTTAAAACTATTGTCCCATGCATTGAACAGAAAGGAGTGGAGGCAGATCTGGAGAAGGCTCTTTTCTGCAGGGTGGCCATCATTTGTAACATTACTGTCCCAGCAGTTTCTGCATCATGTTCTCTCAGAGGATTATAAATTATTCTACTATAAAGACACACGCACATGTATGTTTATTGCAGCACTATTCACAACAGCAAAGACTTGGAACCTACCCAAATGTCCATCAATGATAGATTGGATAAAGAAAATGTGGCACATATACGCCATGGGATACTATGCAGACATAAAAAAGGATGAGTTCATGTCCTTTGCAGGGACATGGATGAAGCTGGAAACCATCATTCTCAGCAAACTAACACAAGAATAGAAAACCAAACATCGCGTGTTCTCACTCATAAGTGGGAGTTGGACAATGAGAACACATGGACATGGGGAGGGGGACATCACACGCTGGGGCCTGTTGGGAGGTGGGGAGCTAGGGGAGGGATAGCATTAGGAGGAATACCTAATGTAGATGACAGGTTGATGAGTGCAGCAAACCACCATGGCACATGTATACCTATGTAACAAAACTGCACATTCTGCACATGTACCCCGGAACTTAAAGTATAATAATAATAATAAATTATAGGAATGAACAGAGGGAATCTTGTGGTTGACATTCTAGCCTGTTCTATGGGTACATCCAGGAAGACACTAGAGTATAATGCTGACTTTTATTATGATTAAGGATTCATTGAGTTAATTCTAAAACTGTACCCCATATTTGTCAGACTTGTGTTCAAATACTACCCCTGACCACTATGAGTTCCTGGAAAAATTCCTTCACTTCCTCTCATCCATGAAATGAAAATAATACCAACAACACCCTGTTGTTGGGAGAAGTATGAGATGTGGTATGCAACACTTCTCATCTGAGCAGATGCAGTGAAGATGTCTGGTTACTTTCCCTACACTTTCCTTTAATTCATCAGGTATGAAACCAAGAAGACTGCTTCTACCTAGCATAGATTTGTACAATATCCTTATCCCTGTATTCAGATCAGATCCCACCCCAGAGAGAAGCAAGACAGCAAATGCATTCAGTCTTCTCTACCCCAAGTTTGGCCTCAGCATGAAATTCTCTTCATGAAAACAGCAGTCATCTCATTTGCTGGAATAAGGATGAGGTAATTATTGAACAATCTAAGCCACAGAAATGATTAAGGTGCTGGTGGCATTTACTTATGCAGAAAGATTAATAGGGTTAAACAATTGTAAGTTGGCCAAATGGTAAGAGGAATAAAAAAGCCATGAACAAATATTTAAAGGGCATGTTGTATCCAAGGATAAGCAGGAATTATTTACAGAAATTCAAAGAGATAAAATGAGGCATGTGGTGTAATAAAAAGACATTAAGCAATGAGAATCGCACTATTTTAAAGGCTTTTTCAAAAGAAAGAGAATTGTTGGATTCTGAAGAAAACAAACAAGTAAATACCCATCCATCATTGAAGAGTTTCCTGAGAAAAGACACTGCATTCATGTCTCGTTGTTGAGCCAAGTAGTTACATGTTACCCCGGAAAATCTCAATGGAAGAGATAATATTATCATGTCTATAAATTTGTTCATCTACTCTAATTGCCAGCTCTTTGCCATTTGCTTATACCTTAAAAGCTGTTTGTCATTTTGACAAAAAATTAACATAGAAAAACTAAAAACACAAATGTAGAAACATTACCTTAATCATGTCTGTGTAATAGGTAGGTAAAGAAGAGGTAGAACATATTATCAATACTTGAAACCCTTAGGTGTAAAAATAAGGAACAAATCTATCCATGAAAACGTTCCACATAGAGAAAATGAACTATGATAAACGGCCCTTCCAAAGTTTATGACTATTTCTTTCTACATAATGCTTAAACTTGAGTGATATTTATCATTAAGCAAACTAATATTTTAGTTTGCCAATGATTATTTGCTATGATAGTAATTAAGGAGTCTGAAAAGCAGCCGTTGCTTAATCACAAATCTATTATATTTAAATACAAAGACTAATTCTCAGAAAGACCATTCATCTTCTTCTGTTTTATAGAGACAAGCCACTCTGTCCAAACACAAATACATGTGATGAAAGGAATATTCTTCCCAAGTAAGGAAACACCAAGCATTGCCTTCTAATGGTACCCGAATACCAACTGAGTACTATTAGTGTTTGGCTGAACATCAAATCACATGGAATAGTTAACGTATTAATACTCTCAATTAGAAACCCAAATATATCGTCACTATAAAAAGATGATCGCATAAAGGGTACTGGTTGGGTAAATGGTAGGTTTAAAGTATTTCGATGCTAACTTTACCACTTTGTAGTAAAAAATACAAATTTATTATGAAAATTTGAATGCCAAATACTATACGGGTAGGATAAGAACTGAAAACAGAATCTTGAGTTTGATCACTTGCAGGTCATGGGTGACCGTGACAAGAACAGTTTGTTACTGGGGACAAACACCTGTTTAGAAAGGGTCCAAGAGAGAATGGGAGAAGGATAGTTGCAATTTCTCTTTCAAAGAGTTTTGCCAGTAACAGACAATTAATTCAATAGCTAGAGAGAAATGCATAACCAAGAGGGGATTCTTTTTTAACATGGGGTAATTATTTAAGATGTTCTAAATATTAGAGCATATTTAAATACTGTTAAGGATAATACAGGAGGATGTGGGATAACACAGTAGGATGATGCAGAAGAGAAGAAAATTATTGGATTGATTTCCCTGAGTAGGAGAGATGGTCTAATGCTAAATTTGATGAGGTCTTGAACTTAGATTACAGCACTAGGAGTTTATCCCCAAGTTCAGTAAAAAAATAAAAAGAGGAGTAAATGGATAGATCTGCAGATAGACTTATAAAAGCAGTTGTGGAGTATGTGAACATTTATTTCTTATTATTTCTACTTTCTCAGACAAATAGAAGTAAGGATATAGCTGAGAGTAGAAATGGGAGAGGAGACATAAGAGGTTTGAAGGGAAGTAAGGTAAGAAATATGATCCAGTTAAGTGAAAATGGATTTTAAAAAAGAAATGTACCAAGGGGCCCCCTGAGGTTATTGACTGTGAATTTAAAGTAGGACCAATGTGTCTGCGTATTTTTCTTCAGCCAAATTCAGCCTTGTAAGTGCAGGCAAATAGTAGGCAGGCAGATGGGCTAAACAGTTAGCAGATCTTCTCCTAATCCCAGCCCCACTCTTCAAAGCTATGCAAGCTTTTTATTTTTGTTTCCGATTCCTCATCTGTAAAATGAATGAATGGATAATATTAGTGTATTATCGATTACTGGATAATTTAGTGTATTAATGAATGGATAATGTAGTGTACCTACCACATGGGTTTGTTGTGAAGATTAAATAGTACTCAATAGACACAGAGTGTCATGCAGGTAGTTGTTAAATACATTAATAATTATCCAATTATTGGACCTCTTCAAAGAGAACTACAAACCACTGCTCAATGAAATAAAAGAGGATACAAACAAATGGAAGAACATTCCATGCTCATGGGTAGGAAGAATCAATATCATGAAAATGGCCATACTGCCCAAGGTCATTTATAGATTCAATGCCATCCCCATCAAGCTACCAATGACTTTCTTCACAGAATTGGAAAAAACTACTTTAAAGTTCATGTGGAACCAAAAAAGAGCCCGCATTGCTAAGTCAATCCTAAAACAAAAGAACAAAGCTGGAGGCATCATGCTACCTGACTTCAAACTATACTACAAGGCTACAGTAACCAAAACAGCATGGTACTGGTACCAAAACAGAGATATAGATGAATGGAACAGAACAGAGCCCTCAGAAATAATGCCACATATCCACAACTATCTGATCTTTGACAAACCTGACAAAAACAAGAAATGGGGAAAGGATTCCCTGTTTAATAAAGGGTGCTGGGAAAACTGGCTAGCCATAAGTAGAAAGCTGAAACTGGATCCCTTCCTTACACCTTACACAAAAATTAATTCAAGATGGATTAAAGACTTAAACTTTAGACCTAAAACCATAAAAACCCTAGAAGTAAACCTAGGCAATACCATTCAGGACATAGGCATGTGCGAGGACTTCATGTCTAAAACACCAAAAGCAATGGCAACAAAAGCCAAAATTGACAAATGGGATCTAATTAAACTAAAGAGCTTCTGCACAGCAAAAGAAACCACCATCAGAGTGAACAGGCAACCTACAGAATGGGAGAAAATTTTTGCAATCTACTCATCTGACAAAGGGCTAATATCCAGAATCTACAATGAACTCAGACAAATTTGCAAGAAAAAAACAAACAACCCCATCATAAAGTGGGTGAAGGATATGAACAGACACTTCTCAAAAGAAGACATTTATGCAGCCAAAAGACACGTGAAAAAATGCTCATCATCACTGGCCATCAGAGAAATGCAAATCAAAACCACAATGAGATACCATCTCACACCAGTTAGAAAGGCGATCATTAAAAAGTCAGGAAACAACAGGTGATAGAGAGGATGTGGAGAAATAGGAACACTTTTACACTGTTGGTGGGACTGTAAACTAGTTCAACCATTGTGGAAGTCAGTGTGGCGATTCCTCAGGGATCTAGAACTAGAAATACCATTTGACCCAGCCATCCCATTACTGGGTATATACCCAAAGGACTATAAATCATGCTTCTGTAAAGACACACGCACACATATGTTTCTTGCGGCACTATTCACAATAGCAAAGACTTGGAACCAACCCAAATGTCCAACAATGATAGACTGGGTTAAGAAAATGTGGCACATATACACCATGGAATACAATGCAGCCATAAAAAATGATGAGTTAATGTCCTTTGTAGGGACATGGATGAAGCTGGAAACCATCATTCTCAGCAAACTATCACCAGGACAAAAAAACCAAACACCGCACGTTCTCACTCATAGGTGGGAATTGAACAAGGAGAACACATGGACACAGGAAGGGGAACATCACACACGAGGGCCTGTTGTGGGGTGGGGGTAGGGGGGAGGGATAGCATTAGGAGATATACCTAATGTTAAATGACGAGTTACTGGGTGCAGCACACCAACACGGCACATGTATACATATGTAACAAACCTGCGCTTTGTGCACATGTACCCTAAAACATAAAGTATAAAAAAATAAATAAAATAAAAAGTAAATCAGACCAAAATAATAATAATAATAATTATCCAATTATAGCCATTGCTATGCGTTCATTTATCTCAATTGTATTCTATGCTTCTGCTGCATATATGTCCTGACAAATGTGGTATGTTTCATTCACTCAACAAATACTTCTGAAGTGTTAGCTGTATGCCAGGCACTGGTGAGACAATGACTTTGAAGTGGCCCTTCCCTATGGTGATGCCGTATGGGTTCCTATCAATCCCAATATCAAAAACCATAAAATCATAGGGAGAAACATACATTCCACAAAATAAATTACAAAATTTAATTTTATGAAAGGAGACATTTTTCTGAATGACAAAGTAGTACCTATCATAAAATGGTGTAGACACTGTGTCTGCATTTCTACGCATGCCTACTGGTATACTGTCACCCCAGTAAACAGCAAATGGTGACATTTTCATGTGATCTGAGTTTCTTAAATTGAATGCTGGACCATTATAGACCAAAACTATGAAATTAGTTGTTTTCTAATGCAAACACTGTAACTGGCTTTAAATTGCATTGACGTCTCTGAAATGGTCTCTTAGAGATTTGGATTCGTGTGTGTGTGTGTGTGTGTGTGTGTGTGTGTGTGTGTGTGTGTGTGTGTGTGTGTTTTAGTTGTTGGGTGCTAAAACAATATTTGAAATATTATATAACATTTGTATTATCTAAATATCATAGTCCTCTTTGGCTAAAGTTTCTCAACATTTGGGGAGACATTAATATAAATTATATCTAAGAAAAATATAGAATTCCATAACTAAGTGGATAAATCATATTTAGAAACCTTTCCTTTTAAATTTCTACCATTTAAAAAAATTTAAATAAATAAAATTTAGAAGACGTAACTTTACACCAAAGAGAAGGGAGGTTCTTGTTGGGTTTGAAAATACTTGTTCTCACAGTAACATCATAGAGAATGGAATTACTAACAAAAATCACAAGTTTGGGGCTAAATGTAAAAGTATTCAAATTCAAAATGTGAAGTGAAGCCCGTAATTGATTACGGTAACTTTGGGACAGAAGGTTTTGTGTATCTGAAATCTTGTTAGGAAAGGTCACAGGATTTCTTCACCAGACAGTTGGCCATAGATTATTAATATATGTAAACTCAACTCAATCTATGGATATAACTAAACCCAAAGCAAACCATCTTCTTTATGTTTAATTACATTATACCTAATCTGTTACACTATTTTACACTTTACTTATTGAACTACTGAGGTATTAAACATTTTCAGAAACCTATAGCAAATATGGACTGTGAAATCATAACAATTAAGCCACAGGAGGAAAATGCATAAACAATGAATGCCTTTTTTGTCTCTAACATTATTTCATTGACCAATCTGGTAATATTCTCATAAGATTCCCTGCTTAGAAATTGCATTTATAGTATGTCCCTTGTTAAAAACAAAACAAAACAAAACTCAACATTTTAATTTAGAAGACCATAATTTGATCTAACCTTAATACAACTAACAAATAATAAAATTATAATTATCAAAAAGTTAGCAACAGGTATTAATATGTAGTAAGACTCCAATGGGTATGGCCTTAGAAAACCAACACCAAAGAGAAAATATCTTCCAAAAAATAAAAAGTGCTTTGAAGAAAAATGTTCCCTTGTTTTAGTTTAGCCAAAACAGCCAAAACAAACAAGCATGTGGTCTTTGTATGAGCACATGGTAATGACACTAAAACAGTAGCGCACAAAAACAGTGTTTTTTTTTTTTTTTGATGACTATTTGCTGTGGATTATTTTCTGAGACGGTAGACACTTGTTTCCTTACATAGCACCTTGTAAGAAGGAAGGACACTTTTCTTAGAATAACTGATGGATTTCACTATCACACTGGAGCAAAGCAGTTTATTTCTATAGGTGTACATGCATTTCTGCTTTTTATATTATGCATTAACTTGAAAACACATTTTAAGTACCTCACTTTCCATTCCTTATACATACTGTAATTTATTTTAGTTAAAATGTTAGTAAGAAGCCCAGGCACCTGCTGATTAAGCATACATGGCACATAATACCATAGCTCTCATGATCACAGCCCCAAAAAAGTAAATCTCAAGAAACAACTGCATTAGCAGCCATGCCAAAGATTTAGAAAGGTTATTATCCTGTGAACAATTATGGTTCTTGTTTGATTGAAAAATTCATAATAAAAACATAACACTTTTGGGGATACAATGTTCATTATACACCATTGTAGTCAGTGGCTACTTTAGTTTTCATTTTTGTTAAGATTCCAAATAATAAAACTATTTGCAAACTGTTGATTTCCTTGTAAATTCCCCTTTCTTTGGCTAAATCAATATATGTAAATATCTTTGTTCATATATTAGTTAAGCTTTAAAATGAGGTTGTTTATGTTCTTGCATTCTTATAAATAACCCACAAATATGTAATCCCTCTAATTCTCTTAAAAAAAGATATAATTATATTTATTTAGGGAAAGTAAAAAAGGTATAAAATTTGAAAAGTATTTTTATGTCTAAAATTATCTAGTTAGATCACTCTGGTTCAAGGATACTTTCTTTTTTAGCTTGGGCCTATTAACCTTCCTTATTTCACTCCAATCCAAGGGCAATGAGGAGAACCCAGTGTATGGCAAACACTCTCAAGATTTGAGAGCCTATGAAGATGCAGAAAACACAGACTTTGCTTCTTCCCTACAATCAGCTGAATATGTATACTTAATTAATTATTATCAGGTATATATAAACAACAACAGTGACGTATGAAATACCACAGGAGAATTATTTTTAATTGTATCCAATAAATGAAGGCTTCTCAGAGGAGATGGCATTTTCTCTCAGCTTTTCAAAATGAGAATAATTTCATAATTTCAACAGGTGAATGTAGAAGTGAGGAGAAGATGCTAGACACACAGTAAAGCACAAACAAAAGGATAAGGATTTGAAAGCATATGACTAATTTGCGGGGTGTGTGGCATTGTATTGTGTTTGAAATCTGTGGAGGTCGGTGGAGGGTAGATGGAGCTGAATCTGGAAAGGTGGGTTGCAGTCATGCTGCCTACCACACCATTAATAGCCATCTTGCAAATTTCTGTCCTTCACAAGAGTAAGTCAACTGGTATAAACATCACTCTTCTATAGGGGTAGGGGTGATGGAGATAGGAAAGAGTGTGGGTGTAGGGCTCCAACTCAATAATCTTTACATTAAATAAATTACTACTTAATAAAGGATTTTTTAAAACCCTACATTTCAAAAATGTGTATTACCCTTCCCCAAAACACAAAATGTGGAGCTATTCTTTATTCTGTTTTCAAGCATATCACACTATATTCTACTTGACAATGTGCTTAAAATTTCTATGCCTCTTTTTTTTCTCCCAATGGGACAATATTTTTTCCACCTCAAGGTCTCTGCACACACATTGCTTTTTCTACCTGCTCTTAAAATCTCTGCATCCTTCTTACCTGTCATCTCTCAACCTGTGGATCCCAGTGTTGCCCACCCTGACTACTTTATCTAATTAGATCCCTCTCCCCACCCCTCTCTCCTCCATAATTCTTTATCCCAGCTCTCTTCATGCTTTATAGGACTTTGAATTTTATTATTTCTTATTAATTTGTTCCTTTCCATAGGCAATGACTCTCTACCCCATGTTTGTGAGCTCCATGATGGCAGGAACTTCAACTCTTCTATTCACTGCTGTATGTATATATAATACCTGCTACAGAGCCTAACAGATTGTAAAGATTCAATAATTGTTATATTATTTTCAGCTATAAAGACATATAAAACCATCAGACTTAAAGGTTGTATCTTTAATAAATATGATTTTTTAAAATTTTCTGAGGGCAATTCCCTATGTAAAGAGTGTGTAATAAGAAGGTAAATATGCTTGAAAATATGTTCGACAATAAGACTTAATTAAATGAATAATTATATTGTTATATATAATAATATAAAAGCATACTATTATATGTCGATATATAATTTACATAACATAAAGTCTTAATATTTGTTTTGCTTAAAATTAGTGATACTAATAAATTAATCCTTTTCTGATACTCAAGAGATATATCTGTATTTTTCTCCTCTGAAGAATATATATACTTTTATATAAGAAATATAAGAAGAATAAAAAATTCTCATACAATTTCCTTATAACGTATCTTCCCTTCTATTTTCCTGTCCAAAGTAAGGTAGAAAAGTGACCTCAAATATATTTTTCTTACAGAACATTGAAGATTGCTTATCATTTCAAAATCAGGAATACCAACAGAGCAGTCAGGGTTGAAAATGGAGAAACGGACCATTAGAAAACTCAGACAGCTTTCTATACTGACAAAAAAGTAAACACCCAACTTAAAATTCATTAAGTGTAAAGCAAATCCTCCTTCGCCACCCAATATGGCACAAAACATTTATTGTTCATATTTATAAAATAATCTACTGGCTATATTCTTAAGAAATACACACAAGTTTTAATCATTGTTTATATTAAAATAAGCTTATTTAGTAGATAGTATGTTAATTTACTTTATGTAGACAGCCAATTTGGAGCTGTATGTGGTGAAAACTGTATTCTAAAAGATAGTCTGTTTGATGACATAAGAGGATAAGCACAATTTAAGTCATAATAGATTGATCCTCCGTCTATCAACGGTGATTAAGGCAGTCGAGTTGGTCTCATTACACAAAGGTGGGCTGAATAAGGCTCTAGGCTAATGTGGAAAATTAAAATCCATTTTTTTCTTAATGGCTCCTACACTGGTCTGAAAATATGATTGATCCCAAATTCTCCAACAAGAAGTTCTTATTTTACTTATATAATTTTATTTCTCTAACAGAACTTCCACTCTGATTTTCTTCCTATCTTTGCCTTTGAAGCTTGATAGTAAGAGCAAGTAATCTCCAATTTCTTAAATGTGACAACAAGAAATTGTCCTTTTAAAATATTCAGCATTAGCCTTTAAAAAAAAAGCATCAAAACTTTTGGTCATCAATTTGCAAATGTAAGGACACGCACTCACTCTTTGAGAAACACATGTATAGCTTATGCTTCTATCCCCCGTCTTTGGAACAACAGGGCATTTAAAACAAATACAGCTGGGAGCCGACAATGTAATGTGCTGGGCAAACATATACTCCCATTAACGTAAATAGATTCTTCAATGTTTCCTACCAACCCCACTTGGTTATGAAAAGCCAGCAATGCCCATTTCCCCCACAGAACACACCACATGCTCGCAAAACAACCAGCCTTAGCAACTGGATGCAGAGACAGGCAGAGAGAGAGACAAAAGCGCCTGGCTCCTGAATAGGATGCCTTCTCAGACCCTGGCATTTCAAAGGCAGTGAAAGGTCATCCTAGGTACTAGTTTCTCAAAGAAATACCTGTAGTAAGGTAACTATTCTAGTCACCTTTATATAGTAACGGCTTGTATCTCAGGCAATTCGCCAGTTTTTCAATTAAAACTGACACATATTAGGGATTTTTACTTCTGCCCCCCGCTCCCCGCAATTCGGATTCTTTCTTTAGACTCCCTGAGCCTCTGTCCCCATCCCAGGATTTGACTGAAGGGCTGCAGAGCCCAGGGCTGCGCGCTAAGCAGCCTTCTGCTGAACCTCAGCGGACTGGGCCATAGTTCACACACCCTCCACTCCTTCTACAGCAGCTCCCGCTGGGGGCACCGCCAGGATATCCACATTTGTCCAAGGTCTGGGAACCCGGGAGGTTTCTAGGAGACCCCAGAGACCAAGTGAGGCCAGGCCCACCCCATGGAAACCCCCACCAGCTCAGATCAGACTGCGAGCGGTGGCTCGACCCCGGGTGTGGCAGGAAGGGGTGCCCCGCGTTCCAGAGCCAGTGCCAGTCCCTATCCTCCCGGGAAGCCGAGACTCAGGGGGAACAGGTTTCCCAGAGCCCAGCCTGCAGGGACGCGGAGGGCAGGAGCCGCCGGCGAGGAGCAGCCAACTTGCCATCTCTGGCGGCTGCACTTCTCGGCGGCTACAGGTTGCCCGACAGCGGACTCCAGGGTCCCCGCGACGGCACCCAGAGTGCTCAGAAGGGAGGCCGGGGCCGGGGTGGGCCGGGAAAACCGAGGGAGGGAAGGAGCCTGGAGAAGCTCCGTTTAGGCGGGGAGGGGGCGACCCGGGGCGCATCTCCCGACCATGACCCCCACAGACCTTGGCGCCGCAACCTGCGCTTCTTGAGGCCGAAGATGCGCACTTTGGAGAAGATATCCACCAGGTTGCCGTTGCAGAGCCCGCGGTTCTTGCTGGGGCTGCTCCGCCTCCTGCTGGCAGACGGCCGGTCCCAGTGCTGCTCCCGCGCCTGCCGCTTCTGGCGGATCAAGCCGCTAGCGATGGCCGCGGCCATGGTGGCCCCGGGAACGGGTCCGGGGAGGGAGGGCGCGGGAGGACGGCGAGCCGGGGGCACCGGAGGGGAAGGCGGCGGCGCAGACCGTGGCTCGCCCTCGGGGCAGAGGAGGGGGTGCCAGGCGGGACTGGGGAGAGGGGAAGGGGGGCTCAGTCCTGACCGGGACCCATCGCCCTCTCCGCGGGGCGCGGGGCCAGGCGCGCAGATGCGCCCAGGGCGCAGCCGGACGATCCCGGGAAGCCGGACGTCGTGGCCGCCGCCGCTTGGCCACGTCCGAGTGGAGAGCGGGACCGCGGCTGCGGGCGCTGCTGGTCACCGCTCGTCGCAGGAACCCCGGCGGGGGTCGCCACCGCCACTCGCGCTGCCTTCTCGCCCTGCCCGGCTCCCGGGCGGGAGGTAGAGCCGGCCGGCGGCTCCCCGGGCGCCGGCTGGAGGGCGGGTCCCGGCAGGGTCTCTGCGCGTCCGTCGGTCCGGGTCGCGCTGGGCAGGACTCAGCGCCGGGCTCCAGCTGCCCGCGGGCCGGTGCCGCCGCCGGCGCCGCCCGCTCTCGGCTTCTGCCGGTGATTGTCAAGTGCTTTGGAAATCAGCATCTGGAGAGACCAATCTTCTCCCCTGAGATCTCTAATCAAACGCTCCGTTCCCACCCCACTACACCCCCTCCACCTATGTGGTCCCCCTCCTGATGTACCTCTTCAGAAAGAAACAAAACGTATAGGTAATAATGATTTAAAAATAATAAGAAAGAAAGCTAAGATGGATTGCAGGGATGGGGTGCTAAGAGGCCGAGCCAAAGCAGGTGGAATTGAAGGAACATCGGGGCGCTTTTTCTTAGATGCAACTCGCTGGTTCCCGAGCCTTCCGCGGCTTGGTTGGGGCTTCTCGGTCTTAACGTGGTTACCGGTGCACTGAAACTCTCAGCAGCGGTTGGAGGGCGAGGTGGTTTCCGCCCTCCCTGCTAATCCCTCCAGCACCAACGCCCCCCCGTCGCCACCCCCAACCCCGGGTTGGAGGGAGGAGCCTCCACTCCTCACCTAGTCCACCCAAACTTGCAGGACCCTCCCTTCTGCTGCAGGAAGGGTAGGTTTGTCATTTTGAAAGGCTACACGGAGCAAAAAGGAGGGAATGGAAAGAGAGAAGGTGTGATTAAGCGAGATAGAAAGACCCCACTCCCAAATATGCTCCCCAGCCCTGGGAGGAGGAGATGACAGCCGCAGTAGCTGCTACAGAACAGCAGCTGGGTAGGATAAACGCCCAGGAGAATGTTGAAGAAGTCAGGGCAGAAATATAAGGGGCAGAGGAGGGTGTCACACTATTCCAGGGACAGTGAAAAGCAGCCAGACAGGACACTCCAATTTGAGCTGTCATCTTCTGGTGTCCCTGGGCAAAGAAGCTCTGTCAGGGAGCAAAGCCATCTGAACTGTGTCTGAAATTCAAATACAACAGCCGGCGTCTCCTCCCCCTTGATTTTCTGTCTGTGTCCCGACAGCGGTTCCCTCCTGGATACCTGAAAATGTGAAGGTCCAAGAGAAAGGGCGGCAGTGGAGGGCACCCGAAAAAAACAAAAAGCCGGGGGGAGGTTGGGAGAGAAACACTTCATGCTTGGATGAACACAGTTCCGTGGTTTCTAGGATACACCAGAGTGGCAGAACCAAGTGCAGCTCTGGCTCCGGGCTTCTTACTTTTCTCCTCTTCCCTTTACACTGCTTTGCCTATCAGCTCAGGCAGCTAAAGAGAAAGAAATGCTCGAACTAGACTTCTGGAAATTCAGTGTGAAGCAAGGGGGAGAGATGGCTCACTTGGTAATCAAGAGACTTGCAACAACCTTCTTCTCCAGTGACTGCTTTAGAGCTGGAAAGAGGGCAAGCACACTACGCAGGCAGCCCTGGGAGCAGTTCTCAACCAAAACACACTTTCTCTTTGTCTCAGGAATAGGCAGTAGAGTACTCGCCACCAGGCAACTGGGGGGAAGTGCAGCAGATTACAGGGAGGCTGGGCACCTTCTGCTCTAAGCAACTTATCCACAGCTTCTCCATGGAAGCAGCCACTGCTGGGCTGTTGTTTGTTACCTTCACTCCACATTTACCAACAAGTCTCCTTTTGGGAAGGAAATGCAACCTGATGAGAGTGTGTAGATTTAGATCTAAGGCAGGGATCATTGGCTTTACGACGGTGTTTGTCATATATTACAAAGTGTACTTCTGGAAGTTTATTTTCTACACTTTGCTATGTTACATCTACAAATTCTACAATTATTAAAAGGAATATGCTAGAGTTGTTTTGCTAGAAACTTGCAATCCCTAGTCACTCATAAAATAGCAAAAGTGAGAAAAAGGGGAATGCTAATTATTTTGCTCTGCCTTTCCCTCTCTATTTTCAGTTTCATATGTCTCTTTTCTTCCATTTTTTTGTGAGTGTGCATTTATGTTGTGTTGCTGTAGTCCTGCTTAAAAAGGGAAAGATGTCTATAGAGAGATGAAAATAACTAAATGGCTATTGAGTGTGTCTGTTGTTTTAATTCACTGAAATGAGTCCTACTGAACATTAAGAGTCACTACTCTTGGTTTCTATTATTGAAGAAACGCCATTTGTACATTTCAGAAGTTCTAGATTTGAATTTGCAAATGACTGTAAGATTAAAGCATCCAGGTTTATTATCAAAGGCTTCTTGCAGTGAGTGTTTCAAAAAAGTAAAATGTTAAGTATAGTGACCTCTTAAATCTAGTATGACTTCCCCAACACACCTAGTTTATTTTTAAAGGTTCTTTAAGCCTTTTGATGTATGTGCCAACAATATTAATTTGAAAAGAGTGACATTAAGCTTCTTGTTCTTATAGCCGTGCCTCTATTTTTGCAGGCATTTTCTTATGCTGCAGTCTTTCCCCCAAATCCTTGGACTTGGGGGTCAGGAGGTCAGTTTTTGGCCCTCTCAGAGCCCTCCCTTCGTTGTTCAGCAGCCTCGGACCAGCCTGACATTCAGCACCGCGGACAGGGATCCCGCCCCAGCCCTACCTCTCCCAGCAGAAGCAAGTTCGCTGATGGAGAAAAGCGCTGGCTGTGAGGGTCTCTGACACTTTCCTCCCCTAAAAGCAGTTTCTCACTTTTTTCCCTCATGATGGGAAGGAAATTGATCTTCACAGCTTCTACCGACGTTAATAACACCTTGGAACACAAAGCCTTTCAGCTTTTCCATAACCGAGAGATACTCTTTCTTTCTCGAGCGTCCCGACCCCTGGCGCAGCGCCTGAACAGCGGACTCCGGAGTCTCCGGGCATCTATTCTGGCTGTGAATTTCAGGAGCCTCAAGCGGTCATTTCTCTTCAACGTAGCTTCCTATTTTAAGGGATCTTGGAGAGGGGGGCAGCATTGGGATAATCAAGGTCTTTTAGGTTAATCCCTGCGTTTTCATTTTACCTCCCCAAAACGCTGTTTAGTTGTTTACGGATGGAGGTAAGTGAAAGAAAACGCAAGAGAGCCATCTGCTGTCTTAAGCTGTGATAAAAGAATGTGCAAAGCTAGGGTGAAAACCAATTCAGGGCCGGTGAACACAAATGTAAAGGTTACTGTAGTTCAGAAAATAATTTGTCACTCATCAGAACCTCCTTGGAGTTGTTAATTTTACCTTTGACGTTATAAAGAGGAAAATAAAGTACGGCCCAGGTGGTGTAGCTCCTCACCAAGCTATTGGGAGCCTGAACTCTCATTTCAGAGGTTCTTGGTTCATTTCTTGACTCTGCAACTTCCTAGCTGTATAATGACCTCCAAGGTGTTGCTTTAGTCTCTCTCAGCCTCAATTTCTTCATCTCTCAAATTGAGGTGAAAACAGAGCCTCCTTTTCAACTGCTGTGAGATTAAATTTAGTAAATAAATGTAAAGATCCTAGTACCACATCTGGTGCACCCTAATTGAAAATGACAGCTATGACTGTATTATCATCATCTTCCAGTTTACTCATTTCTATCTTGTAAATTCTTTTGCAGTTTCCATGTTTTTTCAATATCAAAATATATGTATTCCCTATGTATATTTCCTCACCACCACCCCCCCACAGTGGATGCATGACAAGATTTTAGATAATTCGAAACATAAGAAGTTATTTTAAATTTTGACGAAATAAGTCCCAAGTTCAAACCTTAGTTATTATTAACTACATTTGTGAACTGAGTCCCGTAAGCCTACTTTCACACCAACTGATTGATAATAAAAACATTTCTCTACCTTTCAGAGACTATGATGAGGGTCTATGAGAAAGTACTTCTAAAAACACTAAAATACTATACAAGCATCAGTTTGGAAGGTAATTAGTACACTGTGCTTGATGGTCTCCTGAAGATGCTATGATCCTTTTGGTCCTCCAACTTTAAGTATGTTGTTCCCTCTACCTGGAAAATTTCTATTGCCCTATCCTCACACTCCTCTTGATGATTAAAAAAAAAAAATCATCAGCTAAAGAGTAAGGCATGAGCCACCATGGCTTGCCAACAGATTTTTAAATAAAAATAAAGAGACTTTTTGGCTCTGTCTTGATGGAGCTTATAGTTTAGGTCTCAGCATAGATATCTTCTCTGGGAAACTTCTTGCCACCTACCCCTAATTAACACTGAATCTAGGGCACCTTCTAAAAACTTCATCATTCCTCTACTAACACCAGCAATTGTTGAATAAAGAGAGAGCTATATTGAAACTTCTACAAAGATGTCTGATAGGTAAGTGTCTCATGCTTAAAATGGCCATGAACGAACTACTGTTCTTCCTTCTTAAACCTGTTCTTCCAATCCTCGCCACTTCTGAAATGGCAACTTCATTCTTGTTCCTCAGGCTGAAAACTTTAGTATCATATTAATGTCATTTCTTTCTCTAATACCCCGTATATATTTGTGTAAGATCTATTCTGTCTATCTGCAAAATATATCCAAGATATCACTCTCACCACCTCCACTACTACCTACCACCATCATCTTTTGGGTGATTATACTACAATAGTAACTACGAAATCCCATACTTCAAAACCAAAGTCCTCACTGTAGTGGCCTGCCATGGCTCATGTGATTTGTGCCCCATCTCTGCCTTCAGTTGTTCTCTGACATCATCTCTATTCATCTCCCTTCACTTACCACTTGCTGTCCATCAAACCACCTGGCATGATCCTATGACAGGACTTTTATACTTGCTGTTGCATTTGACTCTCATCTCCTATGAATCTTTCCTCACATCTTTGCTCATAAATCTATTTAAAATTACAACTCATAAACACAGACATTTCCTTCTTGCTACCCTGCTTTATGGTTCTACATAGCACGTACAACTTTTAAAATTTCCATGTACTTTCCTTATTTATTTGGGCTGTCTTCCCCGTTTAAAATATAAGCCTATAAAGGTACAGACTTTGTCTCCTTTGTTTACTGCCACATATCCAGTGTTTAAAATGGTGCCAGGCAAGTAGGTGCTCAATAAAGATTTGTGTATTGAAAGGATTAAGACATTGGATATCTGAACAAATAGACAGTTAATACCAAATAAGAGGAACAGAAAATCTTGCTTAATCCAGTCTGTCAAGGATGAAGTACCCCATGGTACCTAAAGAGATCCTTGATCTCTTTAAGCACCAAGACACCTAAAATTCTATCTGGATTACACACAATCTCAACTTCATAAATAGGATACACCGAAAATACTTTAGCCTTTGCTTGATGTCCTGGGCTCAACCAAACATGACAAACAGTTTGAGTTCTGAATTTCAACAGTGACACCCTCGGGGCTTACTGAAGGATGTGAGACTGTTTCCATTTGAATCAAAAAGGACTTCTGGTATTTGTGATTCACCACTTCTCCACACTTCCTAACACACACACAGTTTTCTATCTTGCCTCCTCATTTTCAGATTGTTGATTGATAAATTGACAATATGCCCTTTTTCAAATTTGCTACATCTAATCATGTAATCCATTATAGAATTTGACACCAGATAAATGTATTTGTTAAAATTATCTATAAATATTAAAGTATATAAACTCGAAGTGAGGAGAGTATACAAACAAGAAACAGCCTTATTGAAATTGAATTGATTATTAAATTTTTTCCTATTGCATTCTGAGTTCCATTATGTTCTGGATGACTTTGTGGCATACATTGTTTGCCTTCCAAGTAGATAAGTTTCGATACAGTTTACTAAAAAAAAAAAGTGCCTGGATTTTGTTTTTTATTTATCCTTCAAATGAACAAAAAAATCCAAAAAACATATTTTGTACATTGATATATATATTAAATTCTATCATGTTATTTTTCCAAATAAAAATCTATTACTTTTCCTTCATTTCTGCCATTGCCACGGCCACTATTTCGCCTTTCCTAAATTTGTCAAATTTAAGAAGCTGTTAATTTTAAGATTATTTTAGGTACTTCGATGAAAGAAATAAAAACACTTCATTAAGCTATGTTATTTTATAGATTATAATACGCATATGAATTCTAAAGGTGTTTATACATAAAAAGTATTGGCATCTAAGAATCACTAAAATATGACGTGTACTTGATCGTTTTCATACATTAAGTGACTCACTCCGTTTTGTCACATGGTTTCCTTTGTGAATCACTTTTGACATTTTTCAACATCTCCAAAATTAAAGATAAAATATGAAAGTCCAACATTATTTTTTCCACAATTAAATTATTATAAACCAATTTGGGGTGAGCTTCAGTGGAATTAAAGATGATATATATTGGCATTTGTTTAAATCTCCTTTCTCGATAAATGGGTTCTATTTGAAAATGTTTGAAATACTTCCGGAAAAGTAATCGATATTGATGTCCCTTTTCATTTTTTACTCATTTGGAAGAATATTTAAAAAGTCATATTAGTATGTACTTGGGGCAAATTTTCAACTAGTTAATTAAGACTGACTGCTTATCCGCTCATTACAGTTTAAGTTCAAGATCACATTTTTTTCCGTGATAGTATTATTGACCTTTATTTTAGAATCAAAGGTTGATCTAACTGAATATTAAATAATTCTAAATTAGATTTTCAAAAACCAAGTGATTGCATTAATGTTATAACAGTCTTGTTGATTAATTTTGCTGGATATATTTATTTCTGGTAGGCAACAGATTTCTATCTATTAAAAAACTGGAAGGAATTTTATTGTTGCTTAATGTTTTGATTCAATAAAGGAAAAGTAGAAACTATTGATACTAAAAACTTGTGAACATTCTTTCCTATAGAAGCAATACCAGATTGATACTAGCAGATGGTTTAGCTTTACAAATTTAGTGATTTTCTTTTAATCCAGCTAATACGTTGGAAAAAATATTCTCAGTAGCTTCCAGCCTTCAATACTAAAGTGAATCCAAAATGGGCATAGAAGTCATTTCTGAGTTGTGAATATTGGCAAATCTTTTCCTACTCTAAATCAGTAGTGGAAGATTAAAATACCAAGCATTTTAATAATAGATCAGTGAATTTTTAACACTACTGAATACCTCAACAGAAAAAAAATTACTCAATTTCCAAGAAAGTTTGAGAAAGGAAAGTTCATTTATAATCTCAATGCAAAGAGAGTCCCTGTGCACATGTGATATAATCTTTTTCATATTTAGCACTGTAATGAGTTTTTCAATAATTTCTAGAATGACCACTTTCATAGGAAATAAGTGAGCTGGATTAAGATTATGTTCTTTGCATTTAGCATACATGAGTTAAACATATATGTAAACTTGTACATCTGCACACACATGTTGTATGCATTTGTGCCAAAACACACAACTAAATTTCTGACTCTGTTAAAGGTAATTAAAATAGTGATTTTTTTAAAAAAGCCATTTTCAAACTCCCAGTTCATGCCTCCTAGTAACCTGTTTTCATTACTACCTTCACAGTATAGAACTTTTACATTCACATTTGAAAGTTTTCTGGATAATAGTTAAGTGGGAATTAATAATAAATTAGAGAATATTTCGGTCATAATTATTTAAATGGGAACAAGAGCATGTCTGTTTATAAAACATCCAAATAATATGTGTATAATAGTATGTGAAAAGCTTTTAGTTCTAGTGAAGTGGACATCATGATCTCTATTTTACAGAAGAGGCAATTAAGCCCCAGACATGTTAAATGATTGCCAAAGTTACACAGCTATGAAGTGGAAGAACAAGATCTTAAGCACATGCCTTTTCTATCACACTATCTGCCACCCAGAAGTCAGCTATTTGAAATATACATGTCTGACACAGTGACCAGTGTAGAATAAGAACTCTTACATGGGAGCCAAGGACTTCCAGAAGCTCCAAGGATGGGTGTAGGATTATCTGATTCCCCTGAAATTTATGCTGAAAAAAAGGTGTGCATGTGCATGTTGATAACACCAGGGTTCACAATTTTTATTCAACTGTTAAAAAGCTCTGTGAGCAAAGCAAGAATAAGAACCGAAAACTGTAGAGGAGGGCAAAGAAAGAATGAGAATGAGAACACAACATCCAATTCTACATTTTCTGACTATAAAAGTACAATTAGAATATAAAAATAAATGACAAATAAAAATTGCCTCTAATCCCAACATTCAAATGTTTTGGTATATTTTTCCAGTTTTTTAGAACGTTATTTTACATACAAATTTGCTATCATATTTTTGGCCCAGGTTGGTGACTGAGAAGACACAAATGCAGTAAAAGCCAGTGCATCAAAGACCATACACTTTAATTATATGACCTGAAAGCGTACCAGGGACTACATATTCTACATTCTTCCAAAAACTCTCTACAACTAAGAGGGCACTTCCTCCTGCAGGTTCTGCAGGCTCTAATCTCTGGGGACAACTGGTACTTCAGTGTGCAGGGTTTCAGAAAGTCTAGTTAAATACCGGAAGCCTTCAGGTTCTGGCAAAGTTGCTATTAATCTGCCTCTGATCTTGTAATCTACTTCTAAAAGATGCAAGTGAAAGTAATTTCCAAAGTGCATGCATGTAGGAAATGTTATAATTTTAAATTAATGCCTTATTCCTGAGCCTAGTTTCTACTTTGTATGTAACTGCTAAAAATATAGATCTTAAATTATTCCCGAGTCTTTCTCAGTAACCTACAGTGTAAGTTTCATATTGCTTCTGTAACAAATTAGCATAAACTTAGTTGCTTTTAAAAATACACATTTATTCTCTTCCAGTTCTGCAGGTAGACAGTCCCAAATCAATCTCACTGGATTTAAGTCATGATGTCTGCAGAGCCTTCTGGAGGCTTTGAGAGAAGAATCCATTTCCCTGCTGCTTTTTGTTTGTTTAATCTTCCAGAGGCCACCTGCCTTCCTGGCTCACAGACCATGTCTTGCATCTTGCTTCCATTGTCACATTTCCTACTACTGACTCTGATCCTCCTGCCTCCCTCTTCAAGATCCTAGTGATTTCACTGGGCCCACCCAATAATCCAGGGGAATCTCCCCATCCCAGGATCCTTAACTTAATCACATCTGCAAAATCGTGTAAACTGACGTATTCACATACTCACAAGTTGCAGGGATAAGGATATGGGCACCTTGGGGGAGGCAATCATTCTGTCTACCACACCTACCCTGTATCCAAAACACACAGAAACAGAATCCTTCCTAGCCTTTGACACTTACCCACGCCCCTCTGATGGACAGAATAGCTGCTTCCAAATACCAGTTTTTAAATGAGAGTCCGGTTTCCTACCAACATAATTTTTTAAACACCAGCAGCTGTTTACTCGATTGAATCTCTAATGATTGCCTGCTCCTGCTTCCTAGGCTGCTTTACTCCCCTGCTCAGTGTTACCTGTTATCATTTGCTGGACCGCTCCAGTACCACCTGCTTACCTGAATTTCTTATAACTTTAATTATTGCATCGCTCAGAAAAAAACGTACAGCAATTCTCAGTGATTGTGGAGACAGGACCATTAGGCTCCCCAGTGAATTGTGAGAATGCATTTTTCTAAGCCCCACATAAATCCATGAAGAATTTAATTTCTTGAGTTTATAACATGCCTTTCATGAGATTTAAGGCCATAGAATCTAGCTAAATAAAACTAAAGCTAGACATGTGATGCTTTACAAAATGAGATTTGGGGCCTAAGGCTATTGCCAAATGAAGGAAATACATTCTGCAAGTCTTTTTTCCCCATTCCACTTTCATTTTTATATAGCTGTAGGGGAAGTAGATAATTGGTCTTTCCTTTTAGAAATTTAGATGAACTCCTTAGGTAAGAATTTGCCTTAACCGTATAGGTTGACACTGACTGCAAATGGAAAGGTGCCATTTATGCAAAAGATTTTTAAAGAAATCAGAAATATTTCCTGAAGCTTTATGCGGACAGAGGAAGAGGAACCTCAGGAAAAAGAATTATTTCAGAGAGAACATCATGGATATTTTTAAATAAACAAGTTTTAGAGCCCCGAGACAAGCCCTGCTCACCACATTTTTCTTTGCTCACTCCTTCACCCCTTTTGGCCTTTTTGTGTTGTTTCTCTCTGTACCCTCCTCTGAGGTCCTACAGAGATTTGAAACTGGCTTTCAGGGATGAGGGTACCCAATGGTTAAAAGAAGGCTTTGGCTGTGAGTCAGGAATAGCGGCCATTGCACTTGACAGGTTTTGTTTTATATGTATTGTATATATACATAAAATATTTGAAAGCACCAAGACATATCAGCAAATGAATCTCTCCCCGACAGGGAGGGATAAACTGTCCAAACACAAATTTTTCCCCAAGACACCTAATCGATGCAGTCAGCTGTGCTCAGGAGAGGCCTGCACTGGCCATGCTCACAGGCTTGTGTTCATTTCTCCATGAAATGGGCTTCGTGATCCTCTCAAGAGATTTAGTTCTAGCAGGACAAGTTTCAGATTCATTTATGTCATGGGTATTTGAGTACAGATAGGAGACAGCAGTTTTACATATTTGTACTGTACAAAGTTTAGATCTGAGCCCTTGTTGCCCTGCTGCAAGAGTCAAAGCTGATACTCAAATACTCTAATTCCCAGCTCTTTGTCATAGGTTTCATTTCCAGGACCGGGAGTTGCCCCTTTCTGGCCTCTTTGAAGGGTCATTCTACCCTCGGTGAGTCAACGATGTGCACAGGCTCCCAGCTTCCCTGCCTCTCCGGGGATCATTTCTTTGACTCCTACACACTCCTGGCTTTCCCAACACACAGCTCCTGATCAGAGGGGCTCCACCTCCCCAGAGCCTGGAGCAGTGCCTGACCCACCACAGGTGCTCAGTCAGTGTTTGTCAAAGGGAGGATGAGACTCAGACAGGAATAGTCCCAGGTTCTGGACTGTTCCTGATGTCTTTAATCCTCCTCCCAACGGTAAGACACATATGCCCTCCGTCCCGTTTCCCTCTTTCATCCCCGGTGACACTAGAACTTTTCAAAATATCTAAAAAAAATAGTCCCTCTCTAGAAGAAGCTACTTTTACTCTTGAAGCACTAAAAGAGGCCCTGTGGGCAGAGGCTTGTGGAGTTCTGGATGACCACGAGCTGGACACTCTGCATGTGGAAGGAAGTGGAAGGTCTGCTGCCCAGGAGATTTTCCTAACATTTTAATAAAAGGGAATGGCATATGCAAAGGAAAAGGAAGAAAGTCAACCAAATGCAGGCTTTCGGCTTCATTGATAATAATGAGTCTGAAAATAAAGACACTTTTTAGTACATATTAACATAATCGAGGACCATTTTTTATTCAAATCACTGAAAACTAATACAACTTGAATTTTTTAATAGTATACTTAAAACATTCTAAACTTGCTGTGGTGTGTGTGTGTGTGTGTGTGTGTGTGTAGTTTTTGCTAACTTCAATCAACAGGGAAAGTCACTGAGCACAGGATATTTTCATATTATATTTCTCAATTTTATTCGTTTATGGCTTTGAACTGAAATCTTACTGTTATCTTATTTTCCCTATTTTTTTTTGAGACAGAGTCCCACTCTGTTGCCAGGCTGAAGGTTAGAACAAGAAGTAGCCTTAGAGATGATTTAAAACTAATAATCCCATTTTACTGATCAACACACTGAGGCCCATGGAGGTTAGGTAATTTGCTAAGCTCACGGCTAACTGGCAGCAGCTCTCAGCCTGATTTCTCTTCTCCTGATGTGGTGTGCCAGGACCTCTCCATCACAGCTCTGTACTTCTCAGAAGGCCTTGGCTACAATGCAGAAGAGTGGCCATTATACTCTCTCCAGAGCATTTCTGGAACATGGCTATCTCTCTTTTCTTGTTAAGCACAGTCCATTTTTTTTTTCTATGCAGCTATACATACTATTATTAAATGCTCTGAGTTGGATATGAATTACTGCCTCCAATGTTTGCAAAATAGGCCTCGCTTGGACAATATATTCATAAAAACATAATTTTCAGAAAGGTTTACCTCTTGGTTTATATGATCAACCTTTATTTATCATCAAATAATTCATTACATTAATGCGTCTATTGAGCGCTAACTCTGCACCACTGTACTTGACCCGGCATTCAGGCATCTCCCCTTGAGTGGCTCAGAATATAGCGGGGAAGATGTTGACATAGGCGCTTGTGCCTAAGTGTCTCAGATGCTGGGTGTGAAGCACGTGCAAGAACAGTGGAAAGAGTCAGCTCCACCTGGTATGGGTTGGGAAAGGTCTCATGGAAACAGTAACACCTGGAGCTGAGATTAAAAAGATGGGAGATAGTCACCAGCTAGTCAAGGTGGGTATGGGGATTGCAGTCAGAAAATGTCAAAATAGAGGAACCCTGAGTTACAGGCACAGCCTAATCTGTGAAGGTAAGCGGAAGCAGCCTAATCTGTGTCAGGGGAAAAGGATACAAAAAGCCTGTCAGTGACGAAATTAGGAATTTTGTATGTCACTGGGGACATTCACACCAGCTGTAGAACCAGCTGAGGTAATAAACATTAAATAATATTCATGAAGAGCTATTTTCCACATAGGTTTGCAGTAGACCCACTCAATTACCTGGGCGTTGTCACGTCATCTGACTATTTTCATGCTGACCTCTTCCCATGCTTTTCTATTAATGTGTGAGACATGGTCATTGGACTTAAAAATGTACACATTATATGGCATCTTTATTTATATGTGTTATATATCATTAAATATATACATATATGCACATATATACATGCACACATTCACATAAAATAGACTGAAGTATAAACAGTGTTTATCAGTAGGTGGTGGGTTGTAGCCCTTTATGTTTTTTATTCTTTGCACTTTTCCCTGACTTTTCACAAGGAGCATGTGCAACTTGCATAATCATAGAAGGATGACTTTGTTTTTAATATAGGTGTTCATTTAGTAAAGAGAAAAAAGGGGCAACACATACATAAAGGAAAAAGTCTGTAGCTGTGGAGCAAGCTGTGGATATCCACTAGCTGATTAGAGGGCTTTACTTCCAAATTTTAATTCATCCCATTACTCGTTTTAACGTGAGAGCTTATTCTATTTATATCAAAAGGCTTGCATTTCTAATTCTTAAACATCAAATTTTTTCCCTTCCCTTCCTGTTTTCAAAGACATGAAATAGTTCTGTTCCAATAAGACACTTGAAAAAACAAACCAAATGAGAAACCCAACAAAAACAACAACAAAACATTTTTCCTTGAAAAATCAAGGTTGCAAATCTCAGAGGCAACTTCAGTATAGCTTTTTAGAGAAATATTGAGAGTATTTACAAGGTCTTATGTCAAAAAGAGCCAAATTAATTTCCTGCATTAAAATATTGCTCTCTTTATGGTCATACCTTGGCTCCTGGGTAAACATACTTCATTGTATTTATAGCACACTCATGTCCCCATATCCTAGTGTTAATACTGTATTGATAAACACAGAAATGAATCTCAGCCACTGGAATGCTCCATTTTCATAACATTCCTTATGTGGTTACACAATCATTCAGCGATTTTCTTTTTAGCCTAGAGGGACTCAGTCAGTTGCAAAGTTTTTTCCATCAACTTTCCTTGGCTACTTGGTATGAACAGTTTAATTTCATTTTCTTCACAGACGAAAAGTATTTTACACTGTAACAATCCTTGCATATCATTGTAGATTCAAACATGCTCACTCACACACACACTCACACACAGAGTTAAACTAATACTGCTAATCCCTCTAGGTATGTCAAGGAAAATAAAAATATCTGCTTCCATATAGAGTTCCAGAGGCTAGTTTGTTAAATCCACATTTATTCTTCTGCTCAAAAGTTTAGTAGGAAGGGGACTTACAATCATCTGGTCCTACAGTGTTCTAACAGCCCTGTAAAGAGAATGCCTGTTTTCCACTTAGACGGTCCAACAAGTTAGAGTCCAACAAATTTACCCCTCTCCTTTTTTGAGATGGCTTGTGTTTTAGCATGCCCTTCTCAGAATTGGCCCCAAAGCCTGGTTTTCTAAAATGTCCAGTCATCTTTCACTTATTGCCCATCGGAACAAAATATTTATCCTTCTTCCATATGATGGTCTTTAAATATTTTATGACAAAACCTACCCTATTTATTTCTGTCCCTTTAGTTTCAGGAGACCTCACTGACGTTGACCCACCCAGGAGAGCTATTGCTGAGATCAAACGAACCCTGTAGGTTTTTTCTGCTTGTCTCTGGAATGCAAAGGCGCCCTTCCCATCCTCTTCATTCTCCCTGGTCCTGGCTTCCCAGCTCCTTCCATTCTCCCTCACGCTGTCTCAGTTCCAAGTCTTCACTCATTTCACTGTCTCTTGGTTTTTCACCAGCAATTTAGTTAGTAGTTTGCATTTGCTTTCTTTGGCACTTCTTCAGAATACACATTTTGATGCTCTCTTTAGTCACAACACCAAGAGACTTCACAATGAGGCTGCAATTATCTCAATTCTCTGAAAACCTTAGGACTGGATGCTCCCCTCTCTCCTCCTCCACCATGTCTGAAAGGCATGAGAGATTTTCAGCTTCCCTGAGTCAGGGACTTTGTTTTGTTCACTGTGCATCCAGTCTACCCTCAGCGGCTAGCACTGTGCTTGGCCCACAGAAGCAATTCAATGAACAGCTGTTAAGAGTAACTTTGAAAGGTTGGTTTCCTCCGGGTGAGCCGGACAGGACACTGATGCCCACGTGAAAGCCTCACATCAGAAATGCACACCACAGAGAAAATGGAATAAGTACTTCAGCGGATCTGTACCTCGCAAAGCACCTGAAGAACGCGATTGACCCATTTTAAACTTCCTACATGTCACTCCTAAGTCTTCTTCACCACATTTCCTATTAGAAATTAGTTTATTATTTGAATCCAGCAGAGCTCCAAAGAGCTGCCTATTGGAATCAAATAGGACACTTCTAAAAGGTTCTCTGGGGATGGGTGTGTCTTGGTTATAAGAACTTTCCCTAAAAGCTCTCCAAGATCAATGCCAAATATTAAGATATTATATAAATGATCAGGGATTCCATTAAAATTAAGGCAATATCTTTTCAAAGATTTTGTGGAAACGCATTTCTTTCATATGCTGACCTGCAGCCTTGCTCTGCAATTTTCCTTTTAGTTTGTACAAAACAGAGTTCTTTAGTGGAAGACAGTCTTGCCTTTATTTTGAGCCCACAGGAAAAGGTGTATGGCGTTCTTTTCATTGCTTTTTAAAAATAAATTCCAGGCCGGGTGCAGTGGCTCATGCCTGTGATCCCAGCACTTTGGGAGGCCTAGGTGGGTGGATCACCTGAGGTCAGAAGTTTGTGACCAGCCTGGCCAACATGGTGAAACCCCCATCTCTCCTAAAAATACAAAAAAGTTAGCTGGGCGTGGTGGCTGGTGCCTGTAATCCCAGCTACTCAGGAGGCTGAGGCAGGAGAATCGCTTGAATCTGCGAGTCGGAGGTTGCAGTGAGCCAAGATCACGCCATTGCACTCCAGCCTGGGTGACATAAGTGAGACTCCATGTCAAAAAAAAAAAAAAAGGAAAAAAGAAATTACAAAACATAAAACTCGATAATAAAATTACAGATTTACATAGGATAGTACTGGGGAAGCTTTGTTTCTTGAGCCACAAGTAACTACTGGCTGAGTTGAATTAGGAGATAGGCAAGTTTCCTAAAATGAAGTTATCTGTCAGTCGGTTGCCCCTACACACTTTTGATAAATCCCTCTCCCTTTTAAAATTACAGTAAAAAAAAAAAAAAAAAAAGCACTGAGAAAAAATTATGAGGACAAGAAGCAGGTTCTGAAATCCCAGGCCAAGATATATTTGGCTTTAGTGTTTAACACGGTGGACAAGTTTAGAAAGATAAAAACCCAATTCAATGAATTTTGAGATCAAAATTGATGAGATGGGAGATAGCAGCTGAGGGGAAAATGGAAACAGCTAACGAGCTACAGTGATGTCCTGAAGTCCTATTTCTTCCTAGGTGTGTTTCTTTTTAAAATAATCTATTTTTGTCATAATTTTTCACTCTATTCATCTCCATCTTTCTTACTTGATCATAATATGAAGATGACTGAATTAATTTCAGTAAAGTTAGTGATATTTTATATATTCTGTTCTTAATATTTTAAAAACTTAGTTTAACTATTTTTATCCGTCAAAACAAGTTCAAACAAATCCATTAAAACTAACCAAAGTTATCGATATCCCTTTTCTTGGCCTCTTTGCATGTGTTTGCAGACATTCTGTGTCTAACTCTAACTCCCATTTGTTCTATGAATAATGGGAGGTTAGAGGTTCTTCCATTATTCATAGAACAAATGCTTTGAGAGCAATAAATAAGAAGTTATCCGGTACAAGATTTGCTAACTGTCTTTGTGAATTTCTGTTGAATTCTACAGAATTACTGTTATTAATAATGTATTGGTAGTCCGGGCATGGTGGTTCATGCCTGTAATTCCAGCACTTTGGAAGGCTGAGACAGGAGGATCACTTTAGGTCAGGAATTCAAGACCAGCCTGGCCAACACAGTGAAACCCTGTCTCTACTAAAAATACAAAAATTATCTGGACTTGGGGGCGAATGCCTGTAGTCCCAGCTACTCGGGAGGCTGAGGCGGCAGAATCACTTAAATCTGGGAGGCAGAGGTTGCAGTCAGCCAAGATCGCACCACTGCGATCCAGCCTGGACAACAGAGTGAGACTCTATCTCAAAAAACAAACAAACAAACAAACAAAAACATATATAATGTATTGGTATATTTAATCTGTCTTAAATTTTACATATTACTCTTTCTTACATTAATTTAGATAACCAAATATTACTCTAAATATTATTGCTCATATGTATATATATTTGACAAATAATACTTTATATATGTGTGACTGTGTATGTTTTATATATGTATACACACATATATATATACATGTATGTATATGTATAATTCAGAGCAGGAAACAAATTTTAACACAATTTCTTTTGGATTGTCCTTGTTGGCAGAGGATAAAACTATCAACTCTTGTATTCAATTTGGTTAATATTTTTAAGTGATGACTTTTCTTCCTAGCAAGAAAATAATGGGAAGATAAGAAACATTTAAATGATTTGGTAAACAAGTGTGGTTGTTGCTAAATTAGAAAGCAGTCTGCAAGATGCAGCGGCAGGTGAAGGCAGCTGATTCTTCAAAGCACAACAGAAACGAACCAAATGTCATCTGTAGAATGCAAAACAAAGTGGTATATTCGTACATTTTAGTACTACCTATCAGTAAAGAAAGCCCAAATCACTGGTATACCAGTAACAAGAATAAACTTCCACATCATTATGTTGAGCAGTTAAGAAGCCAGACACAAAAGAGCACAATCGTGATTCCATTTTAAAAAATGGAATGTGGTATCTATAGATATCAGAAGAATTTTTGTCTCTGAGGTGGGAGATTGACTGGAAAGCATCAAGAGGCAACTTTTTGGGGTGCTGGAAATATTATTTGCCTTGATATGGGCAATGGTTACAGGGATTACACATTTGTCAAAATTCATCGATATGTTTACCTAAGTTATTTACTTTGTATATGTTAGACCTCAATAAAGTGCTATTCAAAATAAACAAATAAGAACATTAATTCAAATGAACATCAGAAAAACCCATTAACTGAAATGAAGCATCAATCCCATGCACAATTTTAGGGCATGCAGATTCTCTGAAAGTCCAAATGCCCCTCACTCTACACTGCCATTTTCTATACATGAAGACCCCCTGATGGTTGGTGGAGATTGGGAGAATGGAATGTTCTACTGCTGCAGACTGTCTGCCGGGTGAGTATTTCCATGGTTCCCACTGTTACAAAGGAAACTCAATTCTATTTTTTTAATATTGTTCAGTGAGGACACTTAATATGAGATGTACCCTCTTAACAGATTTTCACGTGTATAATACAGTGTTGTTATCTACAGACACGATATTGTACATATTGTATTGGCTCCTAGAACTTTTTCATCTTGCATAACTTGTTTTAGGCTCACTGAGATACAAAAGGAGATTGTGGAGCTACAGATACAGTACACTGAACTCAAAGAAAGAAAAGTAGGGCAATTATTTACAAGAATACATTTTAATAAAATATTTCTTACTAAAGTTGAAATAATAAAGGAAATCTCATCATTTCCTGAAATGAGGCTTAGGCCAATGTAAGCAAGCTGATGTGAGAGCAGTATCCTCCTTTCTGCCCCTTCAGGGCTACATCCAGCAGCTGCTTGGGGCCCCTAGAATCCACTGTTGAGTCCTCACTAACCAGGCAATTTTGGCTTCTCACATTCTGCTGACAGAGCAGCTAGGTGCTTCTTGGTCCTGATTCTCAAGCTGACCCCAACTGCTATGGTTTGGCTGTGTTCCTGCCCACATCTCACCTTGAATTGCAGTTCCCATAATCCCCTGTGTCATGGGAAAAACAGGTGGGGAGTGATTGGATCATGAGAGCGGTTTCTCCCATGCTGTTCTCATGATAGTCAGTGAGTTCACATGAGATCTGATGGTTTTATAAGTGTCTGGCATTTCCCCTGCTTGCACTCATTCTCTTTCCTGCTGCCCTGTGAAGAGGTGCCTTCCACTATGATTGTAAGCTTTCTGAGGCCTCCCCAGCCATGCGGAACCATGAGTCAATTAAACCTCTTTCCTTTATAAATTACCCAGTGTCAGGTATTTTTTCACAGCAGCATGAGAACGGACTAATATACCAACCAAATCCCCAGAAACATATGCCCCCCAAAACAAAACACACAGAGATGTTCTATCCATCCAGCAAATGTCTCTTTTCTCCACAGAGCTTCTAAGTTGTCATCTAGCTACCGTGACTGATTAATTTGAGAATGCATTAAATGCATCATATTTTCCTGCTTAGGTGAGATTAGAGATTTTTAAACATAGTATGAAATCCCAAAAGGATAATATTTTGGTGGTTCTATGACAGGTCAATGAAGGGGAAATTTTTAAGGTAGTCATAGAAAGGATCTGTCCATGGTCTTAAACATCCCATATAAACTAACATGTACTGAATGCCAGGCACAGCAGCAAGCTTTAACATACCTTATCTTATTTAATCCTTGAGACAATTTTATAAAGGAGAAATTCTCCCTTCCATTGTCCAGATGAGGCAGCCAGTGCGCTCCTGCAGGGTCATGCTGTTTGCAGTCTGCTGAGACCAGCTCAGGACTCCTTCTTAATGCCTGACCCACGAGGGTTGTGGGCACTTACGTGGTCAAGAAGTGAAAAGAATTTCACAGTTGATTTATTAGTGATTTACTGAGAAGCGCTGAGTTTTGAGGGATGCACAAATCCTGCCACTTGCCTTCAGGTGCCCTAAAGTCCATACCTTAGGCCACGTCTCCTAACCCTAAACATTGCCGAGTAACAGTCACCATGGATTTCAGAACTCAAGTCAGGAATACCAGTTGCCAGTATCAGCCTTCCAACTTTGTAACTATGAGAGGCAGGTGACTGTGGATAGGAAAACACAGGCATTTCAGGGACATTTCAACAGTTTGTGGGGATCACGGGATAACATATTTTAATTAGTGCCTGTTCCAAAAGATCTAGAATGTAGGACCACCATGCCAAGTCAGCACCAGAAATATATCCTCTGGGAGCTAGCTGCCTTCTTCCTAAAGTTCTCTTATTTTTCTTGTTTCCAGAGCAAGCAATGAATGCTATTTGTTCACTATCTTCCCCACAATACTGAGCCCATGGCGTATATTGTCAATAATATGTGCTGAAAGAATAAATGAAGGACTGAATGAATGAGAGAATATTCTCAGAATGGAACATTCAGTCAATTGCTACAAAGCCTTAATTTACCATCCATAAGATATTTGCAAATGAATGTTCTCTTCCTAGGCAGAAAAATTAATTAGTGTATAGAAGCAAATCAGTTTAAAAATGTCAGATCAAAGGGGTAGAGATGGGGGTGTTTGAAACACCAGTGGAATGAAGACTGTATTTTATACAACTCATAATCTCTGTGAAAAATGCAAACTCCCCTTGCTAAAAAGGATGGCGCTTTAATTTGTCACAGCATCCCCAAGCCTGCCTCAGCCCTAAAGGACATTCCAGACTTGAAACCCACTGCCACTGTAGATAAAATTCTCTCTTTACATCTATGTCTTTTTATGGATTAGTGGAACTAATTGAGAATAATGAACATATCAGAATAATTCCCAGTAATCTGTGGTACTGACATGGAAGCTAATTGTTACAGGCTGAATTATGTTCCTCCCAACTCCATATGTTGAAGACCTAACCCCTAGTACCTCAGAATGTGACTGCATTTGGAGACAGGGTGATCAAGTGAAAATGAGGCTGTCAGGTGGGTCCTACTGTAATCTGACTGGTGTTCACATTAAAGGAAATCTGGACACACAGAGATCCCAGGGTTGTGCACACACAGAGATGAAACATGTGAAGATGCAGTGAGAAGGTGGCCGTGGGCAAGCCCAGGAGAGAGGCCTCAGAAGAAATCAACCTTACTGACACCTTGACCGTGGACTGCTAGCATCCAGATCTATGAGAAAATTCATTGCTGTTTTTTGTTTGTTTGTTTGTTTGTTTTTGAGAAGGAGTCTTGCTCTGTCTCCAGGCTGAAGTGCAGTGATGTGATCTCAGCTCACTGCAACCTCTGCCTCCCGGATTCAAGCGATTTGATTCTCCTGTCTCAGCCTCCCAAGGAGCTGGGACTACAGGTGCTCACCACCACGCCCAGCTATTTTTTGTATTTTTAGTAGAGACAGGGTTTCACCATGTTGGCCAGGCTGGTCTCAGTCTATCGACCTTGTGATCTGACTGCCTCAGCCTCCAAAAGTGCTGGGATTACAGGCATGAGGCACCGTGCCCAGCCCATTTCTGTTATTTAAGCCACCCAGTCTGTGGTATTTTCTTATGACAGTCCTAGAAAACTAATACATTATTTGAAAATGAACTCAACCCTTCTGTTAAAAGAAAAAAATCTGAAATCAAGAAGGCCTGCCTTCATGCACCGAATAGACAAGCAATGGCTTTATACTGGCTTCCAGACAGGGCACCACAGAGGCCAGGTCCTCATGGGGTTCTGCCAGCCACGTGCTGCCTGCATTGACATCAGTGGGGGTCGGAATGGTCAACCCATCAAGCCTTCACTTTTGATTTCACTCTCATCTTGGAGACTAAATCCACTTATGAATAAAAAGCACCATCCCCTTGCAGACAAAGATTACATTTGACCATTTGCTTCATACACAACAACAACAAAAAAAATCCATTGGCATAGAGAGGGCTGTCTGTCATGTGTATTTACCAAGAATGATTTCTCTTTTTCAAGCACTGTTAACATTAATTATGATGAACATCTGGTAGAGAATATCTTCATGAAATTAGTGTTTATAATTCTTTCCTCAGCTTTTATCTTGAGTTAATATTAGACATGAATATGGAAAGAACATTGATTTAGTTCCTAATAAAAAGGGCTACCAAAATACTACTCTGCCAAGTTTGTCCCAATAAAATCCATGCCATTGAGAAAATTTTGTTTGTAGAAAATTAGTATTTATTTTTCCCTTTTATAAATTAATGAGGATTATACAACTTATTTTTCCTTCTAAATGTATCCTCTTGGATCTCAAAGCTAAGCACATTTTTAAAATATAATTGTTATCCTCAGCCTAGATATCGGGTGTATGTCTCTCCCTCACCACTACATTTCATTTGACCTTCAGTATTTAAACCAACAAATGTACCAAACTTTGCTTTTCCCCCATAAGCTTCTTCAAATTCTTAGCTGGAATTAGGACATAGATGATAATTCAGAATTATCCTTTTTAGAAAATAAGATAACTTCATTAAGGAGAGTAGTTCTTCACTGAGGGCATTTTTGCCCTCCAGGGAACATTTGATAATATCCGAAGACATTTTTCAGTTATCATAATGGAGTGGGGATGAGCACTGATGGCCAGGGATGTGCTAAACATTGTACATCATGCAGCACATCCCTTCCCAAAACCAAGTATTAACCAGCTCAAAATGCCAATAGTGCCAAGGCTGAGGAGCCCTGGCATGGAGTGAGCAGATTGGAAACATCAGAATAATTTGGTATGGCCCTAGTCAAACATTCAGTGTTTGAGGATGGAAAAACCTATATTGATCTCTAACTTTTCCTTTGTTATACTTTCTCATTCCAGAGAAACAATTGTTCAATACAATCTGTGCGTTTCATAGATATTCTTGGTTTCCTTTGTCTGAGTATTAGTGGCAGAATTTCTTCAGCTCTCCTAAAAATACGTTTAAAGTTACTAACAGCACCATTACACAAACTCGTTTTAATGATTAGAAATAGCTTAGTAAGCCACAGGCAGCTTACTAAACAATCTCAGTCCATTTCTTACTTTATTTTTGTCTGACTTTCCATGGTCCCAAGAGTTACAGCACATCCTTTCTGTCCATTATCTCTGACAGTAAGCCTAACTCCTACCTTAAGTAAGGTTGAGTGAAGATGTTACACTTAGGCCAGGAAGCCCCAGGGTGTTGGGTTAATGCGAAATCCTAAAATGCACCACTGACCATGGTTATTAGATTTGCATCTTGAGTAACAAAGTTCTGTAAAAATCTCACCAATGTGCAGTCTTCTATCCTCTTCCTTGTTTCTAATTCACAGACTGTAAATGTCAATCTGTTTTGTATACCTGCATTATCCGTCTGAACCAGTCTCACTATCAGAAGGATTCAATATGGACATTCTTTGTATTTAATCTAGTTTATTGGAAAAAAGTTAAAGTCAAAAACCACCTCATATTAAATAAAAACGAGACAAAGAAATGGCATGCTTTAGAAAGAAATAGCATGAATGAAAGGGTCAAAAAGTGAAAGAACCATGATATACAAGAGAAGAAGGAAAAAAAGTAGTTGGAGAAAACAATAAAATTTTGCAGACGGATATATTACAACAGACAGAACAAGGTAATTCAGAGAGCTCTGGGTGGGATGCAGAATCCTTTGCTTCTCTTTTCTCCTTAACTGGCAAAATGGCCTTGGCCAAGTCACCTCTCTGGACCTGCAAAAGAGGACTTATCTTGAATGATCTGGCTTCAAGTCCTTCTAAGCAGTAAATCCCTAGTTGTATCCATGCCTTGGGTTGGCTACTGAGAAACTCAAGGATCACACACTGAAATAGGCAGGCTGTCAAATACAAGTCGAATACAGGAGAAAGTGAAGAACAGTGTTTTAAAAGGGTGATCGGGAGGTCTCCCAAAAGAGGTCACCTCTTCCTCTGGAAGTATGCAAGAGGTGGCGGTCAAGGGAGAGGAAGGGAGGCTCAAGCATTCAATAGAGCCTTAATTCTCCAGTGGGAGATGAATGAGAAAAATATCCCCTGTGCACACCTGTTCTTTCCAAGGTGAATGGGAAAGAGTACAGGCAGAGAGGGTGGCCTACTTTCCATTCTTCAAACATGAAAAGCTTGTGCTCGCCTTGAGGCTTTTGTACAAATTGCTTTTTTCTACTTGAACTACTTGATAGGGTTGACCCTGTCCTTTCATTCAGGTTTCTACTCCATATCACCTCCTCAGAAAGGCATTCCCTACCCATCCAATCTAAAGTAACTGACAATCCACAGTAACCACCTGCACTCTTTAGACCTCACCTATTTTCTCTGTCTGCTCAAGTCTTTTGTCAGCATATCTCATTTTGATTTTTGTCTTTATACATTTGATGATCAGTCTTCCTCCTCTACAGTGTAAATTCCATGAGATCAGGGGTCCCTTAGGTTTTGTTCATTGCTCTATTCCCTGCTCCCAGCACAGTAAAATTCAACAAATATTGAAAGAATTTTTTAAAAAATATTTTTCATTCATAAGCAAATTTTTCATATGCAAAATAAAATTTGCATGTGGAAAGATCTAGAAGACAGAAAATGAAAACAAAGTAAGTTAAGAACAGATAGAGTCTTTTGGGGACATCTCTAAGACTTAGAAAAAAAAACAAGTCTTGATCCTGCAGGTCAAGTGAAAACCTGAAGGGTCACAGAAGAATAAACACATGAGCTGAAAAGAGCAACATTGCGGAGCGATTTATGTTTTCAAACTACTCAGTCCTGATGTCTAGGACCTTACAGCTCCAAATCTCAAAAAATGGGATTCATCACAAAGCAAGGACACAGTGAGCAGAGATGGAGTCAACACCTTTTCACAAAATTTAACAATCATCATCGATATGCACAGCCTTCATGTGTAGTGTATGCTCCCAGCTACAGCTGTAGTTACCCAATCTCAAAGCAAGTAAACAGCAAGATTCCACACTAGCTCTTAACTGGCCAAGCTATATTTCTATAACTAGAATTGCTATTTGTGGATTTCCATAAGTTATAATAACACGATAAGACCACTTTATCCATGTATTCTAGTGACTTTTTCTTCCTATAGCAAAAAGAAAAATACATCTTTCACCATTTACAAGTACAAATTTCAAGGAGAAATTTTAAAAGGAGAGTAACAAACTGTCCTGAGTTGCAGCAAGACTCCTGAGAGTTCCATTTCCTGGGCCCTCTGCTGCCTGTTTTTGGCATTGAACCCAGGAATCTTTTCTAAAGCACACAGAAATCTTGCAAAAGAGGCCATTTCTAGTTAGGCTTTTGTCCAACTGTCTAGTTAAATAAATTAAATTCTTAGATTACAAAATGTGCTTCAAAGGTTTAACAAATTGAAATGTCCTTAAGTATTTCAAATAAATTAAGGAAGAATTCCCATTCCCATAGTCTTCTACTTTCCTCTTCCACACCTATGATGAATGTCCTGAAAAGAATAAACCCAGGTAAATTTTTGGCGAGTAATTGTTTTAAATGATGACAAAACTTAGTTGCATCATGGTAATCATTTCTTTTGCTTATTGGGTAGCATTAAGTACAAACCTTAGTTTGTAAAACTATATGTTTTACTCTCTTAATATTTTAAACCTCAACTATCTTAATAGGAATTGTTACTATGTTGTTTTCTTAGGTTTAGAGAGGCAAATTGATTGCTGATCAATCATTAATTGACTATTGGGCTAATATAAAACTAATATTTTTCTCTTAAATAATAATGGCATCTTTTCACATTGCATGCCTTAAAACCCTTACCTGAGAATACATCCTGGTGAAAGTAAAATGTTATTCCTCACATACAGCAACTGTGTAAAGTGTGGTGCAATTATCTGATTTGCCAGCAGTGGACACTGTTACTCTAGTTATCACCATCGAGTAACTAGAGAAAAGCCTGTTTAGTGTCTCAGGAAATGCCTTCTCCTTATTCCCTTAGACAGAGCAGAAGCCTGTAACATAGGCAACTATTCTGGAAAAACAACAAAATAAATTCTAGAAAAAAAATACTAGTGTTATTCTTGAACATGAAAATATTATTAAGAAATAATTTTTCACAGTTAAAAATTTAGTACTCATTTGATTTTGTCTTTTTAATTTATGGAACAGATCTATTAGCTGCAGAATGTCCAATCATCATCATTCTCCAGTGTATCTTATGCATCTGCAAATTATATCTCTCTGAGAAAACACTGACAATCAGTGAAAGAAACAAACTGAGCTAAAAAGCAGTGGTCCGCATCAGTTCTGGCTTCCTAGGAACTAGTTCTGCAATTCTGGGCAGATTATCATTTTACTCTGATCTTAGTCATCTCCTGTCTGTAAAAGAAGTAGCTAAACTAGAAAATGGCCAAGAACTCCTACACTGGTGTCTGTGTTTCTATGACTCTCTCAGGATAGACTAGAGCTAAAAGCCTTTGCTTCACTTGTATAATCAGGTAAGGTGTTAATTGTTTAATCTCTAGCCAGAAAATAACTATATAAAACAGCTCTTCCTTCCTTAATGAGGCCAGAAGCATAGGCTTCAGCCCTCAGGGTTGGCATTATGGAAATCAATCGGCAGAGCTAATGAAAACCAGGCAGTGGGCTCAAAATAGAACCCCTCTTAATCCCCACTTTCTGCCCTGCACAGCAGGGGGCCTCAGCTTCCCATAGCCATGGTGTTTACTTTGTGTCAAGCAAGTATTAGTATTAATCCCATTTTAGAGATGAGGAAACTGAAGTACAGAATGCTAATAACTAGTCCATGGATAACAACTAGTAAATGTAGGATCTGAATCTTGTAACTAGGCAGTCTAGCTGGAAAGCCTATACTCTTGAAACTACTAGGTTCACTCTTCCGGGTTCCATACTGACTCTCAGTATAATACTCTCCTGTTTTAGACTTAACCGTGTGTCTGCTACCATCTACTAGATTGTGAATTGCTTCAGAGTAGAAAACCAGAGAGGCATGGTCGAAAGACATGGATATAAACCAGTGGTTCTCAACTCCAAGTGATTGCCACCCCCAGGGGTAATTTGGCAAAATCTAAAGACAGTTTTTGTTGTCACAAGGGGGAAGAGGTGTTACTGACATCTAGTTGGTAGAAGCCAGAGATGCTGCTAAACATTCTACAAGGCTCAAGACAGCCCCTCACAACAAAGTATTATCCAGGTCTAAACATCAATTGTTGCAGGGGTTGAGAAAAGCTGCTGTAGAATAAGAGAAGCTGGGTTTGAACCCCGACTCTGCCACTTACCCGCTGCATGCATTCAGACACTTGCACAAACTCCGTAAGCCTCTCAATCTCCTCCCTTAAAAATGGCAAAAGGCTGGGTGCAGTGGCTCACGCCTGTAATCCCAGCACTTTGGGAGGCCGAGACAGGCGGATCACCTGAGTTCAGGAGTTTGAGACCAGCCTGACCAACATGGAGAATCCCTGTCTCTACTTAAAAAAAAAAAAAAATATATATATATATATATTCACAAAATTAGCCAGGTGTGGTGGCGCATGCCTGTAATCCCAGGTACTGGGGAGGCTGAGGCAGGAGAATCACTTGAACCCAGGAGGCGGGGTTGTGGTGAGCCGAGATAGCACCATTGCACTCCAGCCTGGGCAAGAGTGAAACTCCGTCTCAAAAAAAAAAAAAAAACAAAAAAAAAACATGGTAAAAAACAAAACCACTTTCAGCAGACAATTATGGTTGTGAGGTGGATTAAATGCTTTTAGACTGTGAAGTTGTCTGCATATTTTCAAAGACAGTGCCATACTGCAGAAAGAGCAGAAGTTTTATGGCCAAAGAGGCATGAATACTTAAACTTTCCAAGCCCAGTTTTCTTTATCTATTAGAAAAGAGGAATGGATAGGGAATTTCTACTTTATGGTCTTCCTCAGGATTAAATGAAGTAATGCAAAGATTATATCATTGTAATGTTTGTCACAGAACACATCCCTAAAAGTGATTATTTCTGTCCTCCAAAGTATTTACATATTATTTTTTTCTTTTGGTCAATCTTGTATGCAAACTCCACTCTCTGCAAACAACATTCCTTCCTTCCCAAACCAAATCCAATTGTGTTCTATTATCTAAAACTTTATTTATTAAAACAGATGTCAGGTTAGATCTGACTTGAGGGTCATAGTTTGCCAATCCCTGAGTTGGACTATCAAATACGTATTAAAGATTAAAACTTAATTACAATATTAAAGCTCACTATTTATACCCATGTTCATTGCAGTATTATTCATAATAGCCAAAACGTGGGAGCAACCCAAATGTCCATAAAAGATGAATGGATAAACAAAATGTAGTATACACAGGCAAATCAATATTACTCAGCCCTAGAAAGAAAGGAAATTCTGACTCATGCTACAGCATGAATGAACTTTGAGGACATTATGCTAAGTGGAATAAGCCAGTCACAATAGAACAAATATTGAATGATTCCCCCTTTATAAGGTACCTAACATAGCCAAATTGATAGGTACAGACAGTAGTATGGTGGTTGCCAGAGGATGGAGTGGGGAGGGAGTGGAGAGTAAGTGTTTAATGGGTTCAGAGTTTTGGTTTTGCAACATGAAGAAAAGTTCTAGAGATGAATGGCTGTGATGGTTGCAAGACAATGTGAATGTACTTAGCATCATAAAACTGTACACTTAAAAATGGTTACAGGCCAGGCGCGGTGGCTCACGCCTGTAATCCCAGCGCTTTGGGAGGCCGAGGCAGCAGGTGGATCACCTGAGGTCAGGTGTTCGAGACCAGCGTGACCAACATGGAGAAACCCCATCTCTACTAAAAATACAAAATTATCTGGGTGTGGTGGCGCATGACTGTAATCCCAGCTACTTGGGAGGCTGAGGCAGGAGAATCACTTGAACCCCACAGGCGGAGGTTGCAGTGAGCCAAGATCGTGCCATTGCACTCCAGCCTGGGCAACAAGAGTGAAACTCCATCCCAAAAAAATAATGGTTACAATATTAAATTATGCATGTTTTAACACAATTTTAAGAAAAAAATAATTGAATAAAAGGGCAAAAAATAATCCAAACACGTAAGTCTTCACTTGCTCTACTCCTGTTGTATTTTATATGAACTGTTAGAACAGTTAGCCATACACAATTGCTGCTGGAGTTGGGGGAGACCTCTATCTTGGCAGGGATGCTGGTGGACCGTGGCAAGAGGCTGAACCTCTGGGCCTGCACCTCGGCCTGATAAAGCAACTCTTGTGTCTGCTACTGCCCTCCCATGGTCACCCCATATTACAAACACTGCCTCAGCAGCCTGTTTCCCTTCTGCCTTCCTTCTGTCTGCACTCCCACAAAACCAGGGACAGCATCCTCATCCCTACCTCCCACTGCATTAGCAGTGGGTATTCCTGACCTGCCAAAGCCCAGGCAGCTCTGCTGCTGTGACACGGCACACTTTTCAACACGGGGAGGAAATGGAAGGATGCAGTGTTTAACGCCCACGGAGCATTATGGCACTGTTGCCCTCCATGGTGGCATGGGCAAGATGACCTTTAATTGACCTCAAGTCTCATTCTCTTATTTATAGACTGTTTTATACGTGGGTCACTAGGGAATTTATTCTGTCTCCCATCCCTACACTCTGAATCATCGTGAAGCCTTAATCAATTCTTAATCAAAAATCAATTCTTTCATTTTTTTCAGTCTCTAAGAAAGAATTCTCATTTCCCTTATTCAAACTAATATCCATGCTAATCTTTTATACCTTGGATTTAAAGTCACCTTGGGTTGGGGCAACAGGGTTCTCACTCGTGTTTAAGATCTCCTTATTTCAGCCTCATACGATCAAAGGGCAGTCTTCCCCTTTTCTCTTTCACCCTCAGGACTCCCATGCCTTGGAGCTGACTCTTCCAGGCAGTTTCCACAGATCTGCAGTCCTGCTCTGCCACTGTCTCTCTGTTGTCCCCACATCTACCCAACGTCCTGTTGTATTGCCCTTCTGATTTCATTTAATAAAAGCAGCTGCTTCTCCATCAAAAAAAAAAAAAAAAAAAAAGAGGCTGAGTCCCAAGTCCCCCTCTAGCAGTTTGGATGTTTTTTGATAACAGAAATTCCAAATCAAACTGTCTTAAACAATAAGAAAATGTATTATTTAACATGTAGTAACTCCAAAGGCAATGCAGTCCATATGGTTGATCCAGTAGTTCCACTATGTTCTCAAATATCACCCTTCTGGTCTGTCCATTTCCCTGTTCTGCCATCTGTGGAGTTAGTTTTTCCTCCTCAGGCTAACAGTAAAATGACTACAGCAACTTCTGGCACCATGAACAGTTGCTGTAACATCCAGGAGGAAAACAGATTGTCTCTCACAGGGACTACTTTTTAAGAATACAAACTCTTTTCTCCAAAGTCCTCCAAGTTCACTGTCCAGGACTAGGTCACAAGGCTGATGTTAAGTCTGTCACTGGTGGATTACATTAGATAAATTCAATGGAGGCTTGTTTCTGGATTTGGGAGGTAGGATCATTTCATGAGGCACTTGGCTGCCTGATTTTAATAGTTTTTATAATATTGAACCCAGTGAGGTTATTATATTTTTATATCTAGAGGAAGAACTCTTTAGTGCCCCGAGTTTTTATCCACTTAATGCTGAGATTCTCTGATAATGCAATCCTAAAGATAAATTTTTCTTTAACATGAGTTGTTTCTGACATTTCTCAAAAGAAGACATACAAGTGGCTAGGAAACTTATGAAAAAAATGCTCATTATCACTATCAGAGAAATGCAAATCAAGACCACAATGAGATACCATCTCACTCCAGTCAGAACTATTATTAAAAAGTCAACAAATAACAGATGTTGGCGAGGCTGCAGAGCAAAAGGAATGCTTATACACTGTTGGTGGGAATATAAATTAGTTCAGCCACTGTGGAAAGCAGCTTGGCGATTTCTCTAAGAACTTAAAACAGATCTACCATTTGACACAACAATCCCATTACTGAGTATACACCCAAAGGAAAATAAATTGTTCTATGAAAAAGACACATGCATTTGTATGTTCATCACAGTGCTATTCACAGTAGCAAAGACATGGAATAAAATGTAGGTGCCCATCAATAATGGATTGGATTAGAAAAAAATGTGATACATATATACCATGGAATACTATACAGCCATAAAAAAGAATGAAATCATGTCCTTTGCAGCAACATGGATGCAGCTAGAGGCCATTATTCTAAGTGAATTAATGCAAGAGCAGAAAACCAAATACCACATGTCTTCACCTATAAGTGGGAGCTAACCATTGAGTACACATGGGCAAAAAGATGGGAACAACACACAGTGGGGACTACTAGAGGGGGTAGGGAGGGATCATGGATTGAAAAGCTACCTACTGGGTACTCTTCCCACTACATAGGTGACAGGATCCATACCCCAAACCTCAGCATCATTCAATGTACTCATGTAACAAACCTGTACATGTACCCCTTATGTCTAAAATAAAATTTGAAGAAAAAAATTGTTGTTTCCAAAAATTAAAGCAATATGTAAGAAGCAATAATAATATGTAGAACAATTTAATGGTAGAAACAAGACTTTTAAAAACAGACCAATTCTTTCAGGACAAATAAAGAATATTGATTCAAATAAAATTTAAAGTTTCATGTTTTAAAGAAAGAAAAACTTTGCTGAGAGGTGATGGTATCCAAGCAGGCCATTTGAATGGATTTCTACTACCATTTTGTCTTTTGTCAATTCTTAGCGTTGTAGTCAAAAGATGTTTTCGATATGCTAAAACTTAGCAATGGTACATAGTAAATGCTAAGGTGAAGCAAAGACATTTGGTCATATCTTTGTAGGGCATATTATATGTTACTTTTGGAGTTTATTTTTTATTAGTAGCAATTAGTCATCCACATGTATTTTGAAATAGCTCAGGTTTCCTTGCCCAATATATAGCATGCCAAATGCAAATTCAGAATTATGTTGTTAAAGAATTCTATAGGAACCACTGAAAAGACAGAAGAGAAAGAGGGAGATAGAAGAGGGAATAGATGTGGTTGAAATAGGTATACTACACATATGTAACAAACCTGCACGTTGTGCACATGTACCCTAGAACTTAAAGTATAATAAAAAAATATATATATATATATATAAAGAAACAAGTATACTACATTTTCACTATGGGAAGAGCAGACTTCTAGGCTTCTCTAAAGAAGTCAGCTTAATCACAAATGCAAATATTAAAATGAGCTCATTCGTAATGATAGTAAATGGGTTCCCAACACATAAGCTTCCCAATACATAATGCTTCCCAATACATAAGCTTCCCAATACATAATGACAAAGAAGCAAAAATGAGTGGTAAATAAAAAGGTTTTTTTAATTATGAAAAAAGAACAAATAAAAAGGAAGTTTGGCACAGAATGTTAACATTTGCCAAAGTTTTTTAAAATAAATACAATCATCAAACGTTTTTAGAATAGGGGAAATGCTAGCTCAACTTTGCCTTGAATTTTTTAAATACAAACATAATCTTCCTGCAATTTTGCAAAAGTTTTTTTTTCTGTCTTATTTTTTAAAATCACTGTTCCATACTCTTAAGCCCAATTCAAGTGACTATGATGGTCTCATTTGTACGAATTTGAAGGTTTGGAGAAAATATTGATTTCCTATCTCTTTTCCAGTTGTATGGGTGTGTTGGGGGCTGGGGAGATGGGCAGCAACAGGAACTGGGTGATGAACTACAAGATAATGGCACAAACCGCTTTCACCAGTGGTTTGTCCATTTTACGTTTAGGTTAATATTTCTAAATATGTGCCTCGGTTTTCTCTCTATGAAATGGTCAATAAACTGCATTTTGTGGAGATTGAAATCTGACCAAAATCGAAAAGGTGGCCCAATATTTGTCCCTACCGGGAACCTTTCCTGGTAATAACTCAAAATTCTGTCCTACTTTCTAATGCGATCACTGCCCAGTGTGGACTTCCATGGTGACACAGTTCTGATGACTACTGCTTGGAGTCCTTTCTGTCTAGAAAGTTGCTTTCCTATTCTTCCTGAGTGCTTCTCACAGCTGCTTGGCTGCGGAACTGCAGAAACCTGAGGGGCTGAACGAGTGGTTCTTTGGAGCCACTGGGGTACTATTTAGTAAATGGATGCCATTTGCAGATACCATTAATTTGGTAAGTGCTGAAAAGTAAACAGAAAAGAAATTCAGTAAAGGCACATTGGTTCTTAGACATGCATGCCCTTTAGTTACTGTACTATGGGGATTTAAGAGGGCTCATGCATATTCCCAAATGCCTATATTTTCCCCAGAAAGATGTTAACTCACTGAAAAAGAGCTAAAGAAGAGTTAGTAAAATATTTCAAATTGCTTGCTGTGGGATACACTAAGTTTTCACCAAGCAGCATTGCATCCATTTTTGTTGAGAGAACCTCAATCTCATTCATTGTGGCAATATGCTCAACTCCAGGGAATGAAACACAGCTGCTCTAAGCCAACCATGGCTAACCCACTTCCCTTTTCTAGAAATTCATTTCCCCTGCTTTCCTTGAAGATATGTGTAGCTATTGGACCCAGTTGCTTTTTAAAGGGAGGTCTTGGGCAGGTGGCAGGAAGTAGGGTGTGGTAGGAGAGGTGATGAGGCAAGTTTTCTTTTTCTTTTTCTTTTTTTTTCATTTTCCTCCTTGATAAACTGACAATCCATTTCTGTCTGGCCTCTTTCTGTATGGGACATCCTTATAAGCAAGAGATGCTCAGAGCTATGGAAGTCATCTTGTACCTACCAGATGCCCAATAAGAACAGAAAAGCCTGGGTTTCTAAGTCATTAAAGAGCCACTCAACGAGTCTATAATGACCTCTCTCCAGACATTCCAAGTTACACAAAGAATGAAAAACCCAACATAAATTTCTAAACTAAGCTACTAGTAGTTGGCTACTCTGTTACATGTAGCTGAATGTATCCTAATTGATACGCTTAGGTATTTTCTAGGTATGAATAAAAAGCAACATTAGTTATCCTTAACTCAGGACCTCCATGGACAGCTATACATGATTGTGTTGATTTGTGTTATTTTAATCTTCTTCATTAGTTAGTAAAGTCCTTAGTGATAGAAAGCATGCCTTTTACTGTCTTTTAATATCCTGTCTCTAAACATGACACCTAGAGTGAGATGCTTCAGAAATACTCAATTAAAATTTGCATAACTGTCAACTCAGTAATGTCAAACAACTTAGGATCACTGAAACCAGCCTCTCAAAGATATCTGTTTGTGTAGTCACAACTTCAAAATGCCTTTTCGTTCAAAGGGAAAAGCTAGTTAAGCCAGGCCTTTGCTCTCAGCAGGTTTTGCATTTGAATGCCAAATTTAAAAATGTGATCATCCTATTAAACAGAAAACCTAATCATGTTTTTTTTTTTTTTTTTTTGTCTTTAAGGAGTTTTCAAGCTAATAGGAGAAGAACAGGTTTGCAGAGTTAAAAAGAAAATGGTAGTTCAAGTGGTCAAATTAAAAAATGGCAAGATACCACAAACAAAAAGGGGTTACTTTTTCCTGAAATGCTTACTTACTCTTTAAAGAAAAGTGTTGGAAAGTGCTCCAAAGAGCAGGTAGGTTTTTGGTACGTAAAACTACTAGTAGCTTAGTTTAGAAATCTCTGTTGGGTTTTTGGTTTTTGGGTTAATGTGGGGTGAATAATGAGAATTCTAACTAAAGAAAATAGCTAGAGCTACAGCATGGATTTTTGGTGAAATTTATACTACAAAAGTAATGCAGTCAGATAAATGGCTATTTGACATCATATCATTGAAGATTCTATAAATCAGGCTAAGAACGTTGTCCTTTATTAAGGAACAAACATGGAAAATTGCCTAAGGTTTGTAATCAAAGAATGATGTTCATATGATTTGATGCATGTTGTAGAAGGTTGCACTATGAAAGAGGTATTATTAGCAATACGGGCACAAGTTCAGAGGTTTTACCAGTCTAAGAGGGTGATGAAAGTCTAAGCATAGAGCATGGCAGTGGAAAGAGGAAGAGAAATAATTTAATCCCTTTATTTTTTTTCAGTTTTCTAGAACCAATTATAATCTGTAAATTGGACAATTTTAGGAATTTTATTAAGAAGCAAGTCATTGATTATATTAAATAGATTCTAGAAGTTTGGAAACATTAAGGAACATGGTAAAAGAATTAGACTCAAATTATATTTCCCAAGAAAATTAATATTCCTTGTTTCTTTAAAAGGGATGAATTTCAACATTATTTGTCTTGTTTATGACTACTTGAGCTTGTTGATTTTCAAACTAGTTGATTTCAAGCCTTCAGATTCACCAATTTAGAATCTGATGTCATTCTCAAATAATAAACAGGATTTTCACAAGAATTCCAAATTGGAATCTAATTAATAATTATGTGGCCATGTCCTCACAGCATACAGTGCAGCAGCATCATCATTTATCATTCTTATGGTTAATAATAACATTAATAAACCAGACCATCCTCTTTTCAATCCTTAAATTTGTTAATACTGGAAGGAGAATACTACATCATATTCAATTTCTTGGAATCACCTATCAAATATTTGAGTATGGCCAATATATCAACTCTAGTGTTTACAGAATTTTCCAATCATATTAACAAAATGACCCCATTGTGTTTAATACTTTGTGCTTTATAAATGTGATACAATTTATTTAATTAAACCCAGTCAACATTTGTCAAGTGCCTACTATTTTAAATGCTGGAAGATATTTTGTTCATATTTTTTTTTCATTTTGTCTTTGAAATAAGCATCCAAACTATGCATTATTATCCCACTTCATAGATAAGAATATGAAGGATAAGAAGATGACTTGTCTACAATCTTGCAAGAGTACAGTAGGTCTTGGAAAGGATTCCAAGTCTTTCCACTGCAAATTCAAGGCTGGCTTGTTTACCATACACTATGATCATCAGAAGTTTCCCTTTGTTATACGGCATGAAGTTACATTTTAAAATGAGGACTTCTCTAGATCCTGTTTTTCTTTTACACCTGTCTTCATAACTGCTTCTTTGTCCGTTTTTGGCTACTTTTTTTTTTTTCTGTCTTTATTGTCTGAAAGAAAAAAAGTCCCAAGCAAAAAATGTTTTGTCTGAGGTGATTAGTTTGTTGCATAAGAATAATAAATCTGAATGATGAAACGACACAATTGGCAAAAATAACTTTCCTGTGGCTGTTTCCATAGGTAGTTAAGGGCATCACATCAAGTACCTGCCTTCATAGAGCTCTTTTTTTCCCTGACATGGCAAAGAACAGGCAAATATCACCTATCAAAGAAACCTGGCACCAAAATAAACTTCATCTGGACTATTCCTAAACCACTTCTGATGAATGGATCAACATAAAAGTTAAAAAATGTCTTGGAGGTCAGGTGTGGTGGCCCACGCCTTTAATCCCAGCACTTTAGGAGGCCAAGGCAGGCGGATTACCTGAAGTCAGGAGTTTGAGACTAGCCTGACCAACATGGTGAAACTCCGTCTCTACTAAAAATACAAAAAAAATTAGCTGGGCATGGTGGTAGGCGCCTGTGATCCTAGCTACTCAGGAGACTGAGGCTGGAGAATTGCTCGAACCCGGGAGGTAGAGGTTGCAGTGAGCCAAGATTGCACCACTGCACTCCAACCTGGGTGACAAGAGTGAGACTCCATCTCTAAATAAATAAATAAACTGTCTTGGAAAGTTGTGTAGATAGCCCATTTTTTACCCTCCCTCTACTATTTGGCCAGAGTTGCTTTATTACTTTACAATCTCAGAAGCGTCAACAGTTGTTCTATGTCATTTTGAGAAGTTTGTCAACATCTCAGTCCTACCTTCACCTGTTCTGTTTGCACAGACTGAAAACCATCTTTTCTTCAGGTTCATCTGTGCACCAACGGTTTTATATTCTTCTGACTTTTTTCTGTTTATCTTTTCCTTTTTAATTAATTCCACCACCTGCACACAGTTGTCAACTCTCTCTACTCAGCTGAACACCCTGAGTGTTTAACCCAGCAGGGGATCTGGGAGCTGTTCTGCTAGGACAGAGATGAACAAATGTGGCAGCAAAGTGATAGGTGGCTTCTGGACTCGAACCCAATGTCATATTCACTCCTGGACCACTCTTCTCTAAAGGTTCTTTCTACTGCTTGAAATGTTACTTGGTCAACTGCTACCTTTCTGTATGTGTATATATATATGTGTGTGTGTGTATATATATATATATATAATTTTTATTTTTTTTTTTTGAGATGGAGTTTTGCTCTTGTTGCCCAGGCTGGAGTACAATGGCGCAATCTTGGCTCACTGCAACCTCTGCCTCCCCGGTTCAAGCGATTCTCCTGCCTCAGCCTCCCAAGTAGCTGGGATTACAGGCACGTGCCAACACGGCTGGCTAATTTTGTATTTTTAGTAGAGACGGGGTTTCACCATGTTGATCAGGCTGGTCATGAACTCCTGACCTCAGGTGATCCACCCACCTCGGCCTCTCAAAGTGCTGGGGTTACAGGAGTGAGTCACCGTGCCCGGCCAGCTTTCTAGATTTTTACCAACCTATTACTACAAATTTTAGATCAAAGCATCCATCACCCTCTGTCTATGTCTCAACAAAAAAGATTAATTGAAGTTGAGGGAATAACTAGAGATTGCTTGAACATTGTCTGCAGTCTAAAGTTTCTTTCATTACAGCACTGTGGGCTTGACAGAAAACTGTCCTTCTAAATTTTTGAAGAAGCAGGTAAAAGCAAGGTCGGATTAGGTTTTACTGCTCCATGGTCAGTGTTGAGAACATTCCCATAGAACTAAATGCGTCAACTAATCACCAGAGAAGCCGAGATGTCAGACTCAACTCTGTAACGTCAAAAAACCTGACCAGGCGTGACCTTGACTTGTTCTGTTCAGTAAAATTAGTCCCTGAAGAGTTATGGAGCATCAACAATGTATGAGGCACTGGGCGGGGTGGGGGGGTGGTAACTGAATTTGATGCAATAACTAGAGCCTGCTCAAATAATGTCCCTGGTCTAAAGTTTTATTTCATTGTAGCACTATGGGCTTGAGAGAAGACAGGCCCTCTTCTAAATTTTTGAAGAAACACGTAAAAGCAAGGCCATGTTAGGATTTACTGCCCAATGGTCAGTATTGAGAACATTCCTTTATGCTTGCAAGAAGTTAAAAATAAAGATCTGAGACACATTATGGTTTTCATCCTTCTGTTGGTTGTTAACCTCTTTCTTCAATAAAAGGCTAAGGGAAAGTCCAATATATAAAACCTGTGTAGGCTGAGCTATGCTCCCATGGCCCCTGAGGGCACTCGGCAGAAGACAGTTCTGAATTCACTGAAAGTGTGTGTGTGTGTGTGTGTGTGCTTGTGCACGAGTGTGTGCACATGCACAGCCATAAGATAAGCAAACATTAGAGGTAACAAAATAGCAGTATAAGTTCTAGCAGCTATGAGAATTCAGAGACTGAAGGAAATCAGTATTGGAAGTGGCTGTTAAACATCTCAGCTAACAGATTTAGCCTGGAGGAGAGTGTCTTAGTCAGGAGGAATAGATGAAATAATATGGTCTCTATGGACTAATAATCCCCCATTCTCCAACTTAAATCTGAAATGAAGACTATTTCCAAAATAAAAATTAGACAGAAACTCTTGCTGGGGCTTTTACCAACTGTTAGGTTGTTTTTGGTTCTTTTATTTGAACAAAGCTGCCACCTGTACTGAGGCCTCTAACTCTTGAATAGTGTGGATGGGCGCATTCCCAGCTGGAGACTGTACGTAGATCTAGCAAGCCAGAATGAGCTATGATCACTGCAGCCTGAACACTTTCATTTTAGTTGTCTGAAAATTTTAGCAATACACCAAAGTTGTTTTCTAAATGGAACTCAGTTTTCAGGAATCTCTTTGAACTAGTAGGCAATTTCCTTTAAATCGTTCTACACTGCAATTGGGTTTAGCTTCTAATGTGGCTTCAATGATTCTCACAACCAGCAGGCCTCCTGCCTTCATGAGTGGGGCAATGATTTGTGGCTTGTGTCAGCCATGGAAAAGCTGGTTTCTTGTGAAAGTACAAAGGGACACAATTTGTGATGCAAGGAAACAAGCTCACAAAGACATAAAAATTAGCTTTCCACATGATTTATTCTACTGCTTCATGTCAATAAAATGGGAAAATGGTTTAAAAATATTATAAAATGCATAGGTAGGTAGGTGTCAAAGTTATAGATGACAGCATTGGATGTGCGTGACACGCCACCTTCACATGCAAGTCTCCTGAGGGGAAGGGTGAGACATGAGTGTCCAATACTGACCAGAAACTATGTGGACAGCTGATTTCAATGGTATTCCCTATGGTAAAATTACTATGGTAACATTTATGTTTCTTAACAGATTGATCTGGAATCAAGACCTTTGCTCCAACATAAAAGGGAAGAGACACTTGATGAAGAAAGCAGTTCCATGGATAATCCAAGAGAGCTATTTACCATCCAAGTTACCTTTTCTTCATTAACCGAATTTTTTAAAAGATAAATCTCAGATGGGTACATAAACCAAAGACAATTGCTGCCTCGTGTTACCTAGACAAAGCAGAGGGGCAAGAAACAAGTCCCACGTTTTCACTTTCACTTTTCATTTAAGTATTTGGCAAGTTGGTTCACTGGTGAAGACTCAGAGAGAAATATAAGGAAGAAACAAAGTGGTCTATAAAAATATTGTCACTTCATCATCTCAAAATATTTCCTGCAACCTCTGCAACTCTCTGAGGAAGCAAGTCAATTCTACTAGTTTCCCAGGCATGAGGCATGCTGCATGAAAAATCTCTACCCAAGTAAAGAAAATGGCCCATTGGTTCACATATTCATGTGATAAATTGCACTGTTAATATGAATATTAAACTTTAGATAGATAGATACAGATACAGATAGACGGATAACATCTCTCTTTACATAAAACACACTTGACATTGCGTATTATCATGTAACTCCTCTCCAATTTTAGATTACACTATCGTATTATAGTGGTGAATAATTTTTAAGTCAAATAGAAAAATACCTGAATTTGCCCAACATCTATATTAGGAAATGATCATTCCATGAGGTGAAATATACAAGGCCTGGAATGTATCGGGAGACTGGTAGTTTATTGCTGGCTTCCTCACTCTCTGGCTAGATTCTCTGGAAAAATTTGTCTTAGTTCTGAGCCTCGGTTCTCAACAATATACAAACAACAATAACGATGGACCTAAATATCTGCTGGGGTTAATGAGGTAAAAATATAATATCCACAAGCTATTTAAGTAGTAACATATCATATAGAATAACTTTTATAACTAAGGTTTGATTTGCAAAAGGAGTCACAGTTGGTGGTCTTTAAATGCAAAGCTCCCTATCTTCAGATATTATTCACTTTACCAAAAAAAAAAAAAAAGAAAAAGTAAAAGTATTTACTGAAAATCTTCAAGACTATAAAGAAATGTGGCTGAGATGCTCCCAGGAAAGAAGAAAAAGAGACGTCCTTCCTTTGTTTTTGTTTTTTTCTCTCTCTCTTTCTTATGTATAGATTTCATTATTTCATTTTAGAGGTAGAAAATTAAACTCTTACTACCATGACACATTTAATTGAGAGAATAATGAGACCATAGCTAAATATAATCAATATATTCAAGATAATGTATAGAAATTTAATCAAGAATCTGCTTCATGAATGCAGATGCTTTCCAGGATATAAAGATACTGAACTTCAAGGAGGGCCTATCTTCCCAGTGTTTCACTCCAGCAACTCAAATTTGCATTGAGATATGTGAAGTATAATACAAAACAGAATATACAATACAGATATATGAATCAACATCCCTTGAATGCTGCACTTTTCTTGTCTAATTTCCAAACTTCGGTGTGTTTCTTTCAGTGTAAAGTAAAAAAGTAAGTAAATTTACTAAGGCTTTTCTTTTGGGGCAAGAAAAGCAGGTGAGAGTAGAAGAAAGGAATAAAGAGACACTATATATGTTAGACAAAGAGGAATAAGACGAAGAAAATACAGAACCTTAGGAGAAACTGAACCAGAGCTCACAGAGTATTGAATAGTCAGCAAACTAAGTAAATGCAAAGACAAACAGCTTTGCTATTCAAAGTATGGTCCCCAGACCAACAGCATTGCCATTGGTCAGTAACTTGTTAGAAACACAAATTCTCGATCTTGTTCAACCCACCAAATCAGACTCCCCATTTTAACAAGCTTTCCAAGTGACTCATATGCATATTAGTATTTGAGCAGATCTAACTCAGAGTCATCCATTTTGGCCTATTATGATTAGAGCTCATCTTTTCCATCCACCCTAATTTCTCATAACCAGAAAATCATTTCCCATAGGCAATCTTTATCCATTTACACAGGCCTACTATTTGCAAACACATATGAGACTCAACTCTAGAGGATGTGTGGCATGACTTAAGGAAACCATTGTCACTCTCTTAATCCACGTTATATATGATCACATGTGTGTTCAAAGGCAGTTACTTCTTATCCATCTGACTATGACAAGAAAAAAAAATTGGTGAAGAACATGGAATGAAAGGGCCAAATGGGTCCAAAATAATGAACTAAAATAGAGTAAATAAATATAGTAAATAGTATAGGAAAATAACGATTTAAAATATAATAAAATGTACTATAAATTACAGTAAATAAAACACATTGTCTATGGCAAACGTGTTAACATCTGTAAACAACTTTCACCTGAATACCTAATTGTTGGAAGTGATGCCTTCCTCCTACTCAGCTTTCAGAGAACTTGAGAGCTTTCCTAAACTCAGAGAGCTTCTCTAAAGCATGTTCTGTGTCTGTGAGGTTGGCAATTTATAAAGGAAGGTGTTTCTATTCCTCCAGAAGCAATGCTCTGAATGACCTTGGACAGAAGTTAACCAAAAGTGACCCATGATTGGCAGCTTCCAGTGTTGGCAGGGAATCTGAAGATGTTAAGCATGTAGGAGTGCCAGCCCCTGGCAAAATTGTGAACTCATTTCATCACTCCTTTACTTTCCTTTACTTCCTCCTGTCCCACTTATGAGTCCAAAGCCCTTGCACATCCTCCTGGACCCCAGTGGTCCTGCTCTCCATTCAGTCTGGTTTAGGCCTCCTTGCTTTTCTGAACTGTTGCAATGGCTCTCCTGGCTTGTGTTCTCTCTACACTCCACTTGCTGCTCTTCAAAGCACAATAAAGTCAGAAGGTATTAATTCTTATCTCACAAGTCTTCGACTCTGACTACATATAGAATACTACTATAAGTCTTGACAGAGAAAAAAAGAGCATCCCTGTCATTTAGAAGCCAGCCTCACACTCAGATATTCTCTTGTGTATAAACAATCTCAGAACATATGCACCTCAGATAAAAGTCACTCTGAGACCATAACAAAGTGAGACAAAGCAAGGGTATTTTATAACGTTGCCTAAGCAATGACAAAATCAAGGTCACTGCGCCTCCACCAAAATACCAAACATCCCCTCTTGGCATAACATAAGCAATTGCTATGGCTTTATCAATTGCATTTCTATCCTCAATGTAGTCACTCCTCCCTATGGATAAGACTTATTGAGATACACAATCAGAGATTTGCCATTACTCTCTGACAGCATTCAGAACACACCTCCCCACCCCTTAGACCACCCTGAAATTACCCAAGCAAACCTTCAATCTTCTAATGCAGCAGATGACTTCAGGATGACTGTTTCACTGCAGATCATCAGGCATTATCTAGATTCTCATAAGGAGTGCACAACCTAGATCCCTCGCATGCACAGTTCACAATAGGGTTAGTGTTCTATGAGAATCTTGTGCCACCCTGATCTGACAGGAGGTGGAGCTCCGGCGGTCATGCTCCTCAGCCACCACTCACTTCCTGCTGTGCAGCTTGGTTACTAACAGGCCATCAGGGTTGGAACCTCTGCTCTAATAGTTTCCTTCTAGCACCCTCCTACCGAGATACCCCACAGTTGCCCATGGTGTGTGTTCTCTCTCGCTGCAATGTGTAGTAACAAAATTTGTTTAACTACAGGTATATTACTGGTGGTCTTTGGGTGAAAAGCATTAACAATTCAGTGTCATCTTGAATGCCCTCCCTGACTTTGTTTCACAACTTTCAGTCGCATATTTGTTTCATTAAACTACTTGTATTTCCTCAACATGCACTGTATTTTCACAATGCTGCACGTGCTGAGCTGTTATTCCAACTTGGAGTTTCTTTCCTCTGACTCCCAGCTACTGAAACCCTGTTCACCTTTCAAAGCTCAGGTTAAATTCCACAAGCAAATTTCTCTGATTTCTCTGGTCAAAGCCTATTACTTTCTTCTGAGTGTTTTGTTCATACTCTATTTGACATTTACTTTATTTGATCTTGCACTATAGTGATTTGTATTCTTCTTTACTTCTTCACTCGCTATAGAAGCTCCATGAGAATTCCAGTCATGCTTCATCCATCCTCTCCTTTCTGTGGTGATTGCCTGGTCTCTGCTCGGTATATAACACAATTTTAATAAATATTTGCTAAATTGAATCTGGAGATGAAGTCTAAAACTGCTCAGTTAAAGTTGAAAACTTTGAGAGGTGTCTGTAAATTAATTTAATAATCTCAGCTTAACCATTTAAAGCTTTTCATCTATGTTATAGTAACGAACATATTTATTGAATAAAATGTCAAATTATCAAACTGTTTGTTGACTAACACAAATCAGTTTCACTTGCCTCAACCTGAATATTTTTATTATTTTCAATTCAGCAATTACTAAAAGTGGTATTAAGCATATAAGCTGGCCTTGAGAATTTTCTTTAAATAAATGTTTACTTTGTCTCCTTTCTTAATTAAGTTCTGGGACATATGGGCAGTGTGCGCATGTTTGTTACATAGGTAAACATGTCCTATGGTGGTTTGCTGCACCTATAATCCATCACCTAGGTATTAAGCCCAGCATGCATTAGCTATTTTTCCTGATGCTCTCCCTCCCCCAGCATACTCCACCTGACAGGCCCCAATGTGTGATCTGTTCCTCTCCATGTGTCCACATGTTCTCATTGTTCAGCACCCACTTATAAGTGAAAACATGTGGTGTTTGGTTTTCTGCTGAGGATAATGGCTTCTAGCTCCATCCATGTCCCTGCAAAGGACATGATCCCATTCCTTTTTATGGCTGCAAAGTTTTCCATAGTGTATATGTACCACATTTTCTTTATCTAGTCCATCACTGATGGGCATTTAGGTTGATTCCATGCCTTTGCTATTGTGAATAGGGCTGCAATGAACATACACGTATATATATCTTTACAATAGAATGATTTATAGTCCTTCGGGTGTATATCCAGTAATGGGATTGCCAGGTCAAACGGTATTTCTGGTTCTAGGTCTTTGGGGAATCACCACACTGTCTTCTACAATGGTTGAACTAATGTACATTCCCACCAACAGGGTAAAAGTATTCCTATTTCTCCTCAGCATTGTCAGCATCTGCTGTTTCTTGACTTTTTAATAATCGTCATTCTGACTGGAGTGAGATGGTATCTCATTGTGGTTTTGATTTGCATTTCTTTAATGATCGTTGATGTTTAGCTTTTTTTCATAGGTTTGTTGGCAGGATAAATGTCTTCTTTTGAGAAGTGTCTGTTCATATCTTTTGCCCATTTTTTAATGGGATTTTTTTGTAGTAAATTTGTTTAAGTTCCTTGTACATTCTGGATATTAGACTTTTGTCAGGTGGATAAATTGCAAAAGCTCTCTCCCATTCTGTAGGTTGTATATTCACTCTGATGACAGTTTCTTTCACTGTGCAGAAGCTCTTAAGTTTAACTAGATCCCATGTGTCAATTTTTTGCTTTTGTTGCCATTGCTTTCAACATTTTCATCATGAAATCTTTGTCCATGCATATGTCCTGAATGGTACTGCCTAGATTTTCTTCTAGGGTTTTTATAGTTTTGGGTTTTGCATTTAAGTCTTTAAACCATCTTGAGGTAATTTTTGTAATACATGTAAGGAAGAGGTCCAGTTTCAATTTTCTGCAAAAGTCTAGTCAATTTTCCCAGAACCATTTATTAGATAGGGAATTCTTTCCCCATTGCTTGTTTTTGTCAGGCTTGTTGAAGATCAGGTGGTTGTAGGTGTCTGGTCTTATTTCTGAGTTCTCTATTCTGTTCCATTGGTCTGTGATATGCTTTGGCTCTGTCCCCACCCAAATCTCATCTTGTAGTTCTCATAATACCCATATGTTATGGGAGCAACCTGGTGGGAGCTAATTGAATCATGGGGACGGTTACCTCCATGCTGTTCTCATGATAGTGAATGAGGTGTCAGGAGATCTAATGGTTTTATGAGGGCCTTTTCCCCTTTTGCTCAGCACTTCTCCTTGCTGCCACCATGTGAAGAAGGATGTGTTTGCTTCCCCTTCTGGAATCATTATAAGTTTCCTGAGGCCTCCCCAGTCCTGTGAAACTGTGAGTCAATTAAACCTCTTTCCTTTATAAATTATCCAGTCTCAAGTATTTCTTCATAGCAGTGTGAGAATGGACTAATACAGTCTATGTATCTGGTTTTTGTACCAGTACTATGCTGTTTTGGTTACTGTAGCCTCATAGTATGGTTTGAAGTTGGGTAGTGTGATGCCTCCAGCTTTGTTCTATTTGCTTAGGATTGTCTTGTTTATACAGGCTTTTTTTTGGCTCCATATGAATTTTAAAATAATGGTTTTAATTCTGTGAAGAATGTCAATGGTAGTTTAATGGGTATAGCATTGAATCTATAAATTACTTTGGGCATTATGGCCATTTTCAAGATATTGATTCTTACTAACCATGAGCATGAAATGTTTTTACATTTGTGTCCTCTCTGATTTCCTTGAGCAGTGGTTTGTTGCTCTCCTTGAAGAGGTGCTTCACTTCCCTTGCTAGATGTATTCCTAGGTATTTGATTCTCTTTGTAGCAATTGTGAATGGGAGTTCATTCATGATTTGACTCTCTGTTTGTCTGTTGTTGGTGTATAGGAATGCTTATGATTTTTGCACATTGATTTTGTATCCTGTCTCTCTTTTCTTAATCAGATTATAATTTTGATATAATATTAGGAAATGTAAACTGAATTAATAGGTCCTAATAACCCATAGAATGACTAAAGTTGTGATCAAAACCAAAGGCACTCAAGGGAATATCAGAAAAAAAACACTATTGAAAAATAGACATAAGATAATTTGTCATAAAGCCATTTAGGATAAAATAAAGTTCATTTTCACTGAAATTGTAAAATAAATTATACAGAACTCTACTACACTTTATGAATAGCTTCAGTTAAATTTTTTATATTTTGAATATAAAATTTGTGATAACTTCATGACAGTTGTATGCAACATGTTTATTTTTATACATGTATTGTTTGGAGACTAAATAGCACAATAATTTAGAGTACTGCATCCAGCTTGCTGCTCCGTTTCCCTATCTGAAAAGCAGTGGTGATAAGAGCCCCTAACTTTGTCCTTTGCCGTGAAGATTAAGTGAATAAATGTAAACTGCTTGCACCTGCACCTTGCACATGGGAAGTGGAATTGAGTGTTAACTGTTATTACTATATTTCATCTTCCGTAGAACTGCCATAGCTTCCTTCCTGGCTTTCTTTCTTTGGATATGATCATGCTTCTTCCATTTAAAATCATTGAAAGTCTCCCGTTACTGGCAGGATCAAGTTCCATGGCATTCTCATGCCATTCAATCCTGTTCACTCTCAACTGCTGACACTCAGCAAATTTTATTTTAATCCAAATACTTAAGGAGAGAATGAAATGTTGGTTTCTTTTCTAAGGACCATTGCTCCAACCAACCTACATCTGACGATTGCTTCGTGTTTTCACACTTGTGACTCTTCTATTCTAGAAATGTTAATTCCCCCATTTTATTTATCTAGGGAGTGCCCCACCCTTTCTTCTTTCTTTGTTCAAATTTCAGTTGTTTTGGCTGTATTCTCTGACTCTACTAGATATACTGAGTTGCTCCATTTCCTTGATTCTCCACCTTCTACATGCCTCCAAATGGTCCCTCTAATTCTGACATTTGTGGGGCACTCATTCACCCTTTTTTCCCCCTATGTCACAAACTAATGCTCATTCCCATCCTTAACTGTGCCCCACTCTGCCGGAAGTTCCTTGTTTTTCTAAGATACAGTAGAAATCAAAATATGCAATAGCTCTTCATTTTCTACACATAAATGCATGAGCTCCTGACCATGGCTTTCAAGGATATCCATGATATGAATGCATTTATATTCTGTCACCCTTCTGTATGGATAAACTTGTTAGTAGCCATGTTGGTTTCAGTAGCATCATTGAACTCATTCTGTGTTCACAATGAATTACTTTATTATTATCCAACAAAGATTTAATCAACAAATACTACTTTCCATATACTGTGTTAGTCATGGGAGATACAGAGACATTTCCAGTTGTAGAAAATTTGAGATTATGAGGATTTTTAAGTACTTAGTATAAGGCAGGAATGTCATAAATTCAATTTTATAGGAAAACAGTGTAATGTACTCAGACAAGAGGAGTTGAAACACTTTGTGTGAGGAAAGACAACATACATGTAATAAAAAGATATAATAATAAATGCTGAAGTGGTTTTCAAACATGATTTATTTTTAAACCACAAAGTCATAAGGGAATTTATCATGAAACATGACCATCTTAAAACCACGATTTTCTCAGCAAGATCACTGAAGGTAAAAGTTGGATGTTTGGCTTTTGACATTTATATACAGTATTGAATAATCAAGAAAGTTCATTTCAGTTCAATGTATTAAATATATTAAATTAAGGGTTTCCCCTCTGTGGATAAATTATTCCTATCCCAATGACTTTTTAGTTGTAAAGATTTTTTTTTAACCTGGGTATTTAAAAGTTTTCATGTATTGTTTGACAAACATATATTATTTATACTAATAAATGTGTATCCCCACAACTGGATACGAAATGCAAACAGGTTCCTAAGGATGATGTTTAATGAAAACTTGCCAAACAGGATTTCTGATCTATGCATTCTGGGAGCTGGGTCTATCCAGCCCATGAAGAACAGCCTGCTTTGCAAGGGCTGAGGACTTCAATCCTGTCTTGTGACATTGCCTGACACCCGTTTTTAGAGCCTCATCATTGTGATATCACACAACATGAACAAAGAAATATGATGATATAAGCCATCATCCAGAGAGTATCACTGAGCCCAGAGAAAGACTTGAGACTCTTCCATGTGCTGGTGGCCCAAAAAGTACCATGTTAATAATAAAAATAATTACTCTTTAGATGGCATCTTCTCTGCTATAGTTCTCCTTCTTTTCTAGCAATTAAAGAATAGTATTTCCCTTTCCTTTTCTACTTTCATTTTTTTTCTTTCTTTTCAATGGCAAGCTTCATAAGCCAATGTCTATCTTTTATTCAGGATACAAATAGTTGTGCACTTTCCCTGATAGAGAAACTCCCAATAGCTATGGTTAGCTTTCTGTTTTCATATTTAGCACATTCTCATTCTGGTTCTCCTTCTGGCTTTTGTGCATATTATCTCCTTCAAAACCTTCTCTTTTATGGCCAGGCATAGTGGGTCATGCCTGTAATCCCAGCACTTTGGGAGGGCAAGGCAGGCAAACCACTTGAGGTCAGGAGTTCAAAATCCGCCTGGCCAACATGGGGAGACCCCCTTGTCTACTAAAAATACAGAAAAAAAAATTAGCTGGGCGAGGTGGGAGGCACCCGTAATCCCAGCTACTCGAGGGGCTGAGGCATGAGAATTGCTTGAATCCAGCAGGCAGAGGTTGCAGTCAGCCGAGATCAAGTCACTGCACTCCAGCCTGGGTGAGAGAGCAAGACTGTCTAAAAAAAAAAAAAAAACCTCCTCTTGTGGTTAACTACAGAGTGAAGTTATTGCAAACGCTACACATGCCTTCACAGGTGGTAAGCTGCACAAAGATCTCCATGAGTCAATGCTATGTGAAGAACTGCATGGCAGAATAACTTCACAGTCTGCTCACTTACTATATAAAATGATGAAAAATTTAAATGTTGTCAAATTTGACCAAACATCAAATATAAAAAAAATTCTTATCTGACTTGGAGTTTATTTTAAAAATTTTAATAACTAAGGGATTAAGAACAACTGACAGAATCATCAGAGGCTCTGCCTTTAAGTCTTGACAATTTGGCAAATTTTATTTTAATCCAAATACTTAAGGAGAGAATAAAACGTTGTTTTCCAGGATCTAATGTTAGGATGAATGTGAGATCCTAAAAAGGATTTTGTGTTAGTTTTTTTTTTTTTGTAAGTAACATGAAAGAAAAAACCAAAAATCTAAAGAAAAAAAGATGGATAGGAGAAGTCAATTTACTTTAAGTAGAGAAAAAAGAATACTGAAAATATAAGGCAATCAATTTTAAGGAACTGACTTAACCCCAGGATGAGGTTACAGCAAGTTTCCTTCATTTAACACAGTCCAGTCCAAACATTTTTCATGGGCACAACTGAAAAGTGTCACTCCATAAAGAAAAAATAATTGGTAATTTTATACTTTTATAAGAAGTCAGCCAGATGTATCCACACATCACCGTCACCAGAACCACAATCAACTTTTCTATTCCTGTACCTAAATTTTTCTGAGTGCTTAAATATATCCAACAACAGAATTAAGGGGAAGGGAAATGTTCTGGATTGAATTGTGCCCACTCCCTAAAAAATGATAAGTTGAAGTTTTAAACTCCATTTTCTCAGACTGTAAGCTTATTTGAAAACAGGTTCTTCACAAAGGTAAGTGGGTTGAAATGAGGTCATCAGGGTGGGCTCTATTGCCATATAACTGGTGTTCTTATAAAAATGGGAAATTTAGACACAGAGAAAACACACTTATGCAAAAAGAACACCATGAGAAGATGAAGGCAGAAATTGGGGTGATGATTTACGAGACAAAGAATATCAAGGATTGCCAAAGACCAATGGCCACTTGCAGAAACTAGGAAGAGGCAAATACAGACTCTGGAGGGAGCATGGTTCTGCAGAAACCTTGATTTTGGACTCAGATTCCAGAACTGTTAGAGAATAAATCTTGTGGTTTTTTTTGTTTTTGTTTTTGTTTTTTTGAGACAGAGTCTCGCTCTGTCGCCCAGGCTGGAATGCAGTGGTGCCATCTCGCCTCACTGCAACCTCCGCCTCCCAGGTTCAAGCAATTCTCCTTCCTCAGCCTCCTGAGTAGCTGGGATTACAGGTGCCCACCACCACGCCCAGCTAATTTTTGTATTTTTAGTAGAGATGGGGTTTCACCATGTTGGTCAGGCTGGTCTCGAACCCCTGACCTCATGATCCACCCACCTCGGCCTCCCTAAGTGCTGGGATTACAGGCGTCAGCCACCGCGCCTGGCCAAATCATTGTGTTTAAACCACTCAGTTGTTGATGCTTTCTTAGGGACGACCTAGAAATACAGAAGACAGAAGGATCGTGAGACAGTTCGTTATTGTTTGGCGAACTGTAGCTGGACTCCGGCTCATATAATGAAAGAAACTTAAAGGAATGCCTAAGAATATTACTCTACGAGTGTAAGAATTTGGTTTGTCAGTTTAAACTGATATCAGCAGTTACCTAAACCAAGTTTTTTAATAAGAACATCCAGGACTGACATAATGCTATTTTGTTCAGCTCTTTGAAAAACAGCACAAAGCTAGCATCTCTGTGACATTCATTAGGTTCTGTAGCACAACATCCCAGAGGATGCTTTTGGGCTTCCTGCATCTCAGTCACTTAGAATGAACCTTAAAATTCAGATTTTTCAAGGCTCATCCCAAACCTACCGAATCAAAGTGACTTCTTCTGTTGAGTAAGAATGTCTGAGGGTGGAGTGTTCTATTGAGTCAGAATGTCTAAAGTCATTTGTAAACTAATCTCAGATAGATAATCCTTGTATACATTAAGAGAACCACTGTCCTATGTTTACTTGACTGTTTTCATAATGTTTTCCTTCTGATTGTGGTAAAGTTAAAATTGTTTTGAGCTAAATGTGTACCAATATCAGTTTCTGCAGTATAAACAAAGCTTGATTATTTCAAGGTCATGCAGTGAGAACATTTATGCTGTGTGGGAGGAACCTCTAATTCCTTCTAATGAATAACACAAGCAAAATACAAGAAAAACAATGCAAACACTGGAAGGCATAAGTAAGCACATCTGTTTTTAAATGTTCTCCTCTCATTGATTCCTCTAATCAAGGTGCTTCTTTAGATAGCTTACACGTTGAATTATTCATGCATCTGTGCTTTACCAACTCCATGATACTGAAGAGTCTTTGGGCAGTCTCCTGGAGGTGGTAAAACACAAATGCGTGAAAAGGGGGCAGAGAGCATATCTTTGCTCTTGATGTCTTTTTAACCTCTATTGAATCCTCTACAAAACCTATTGCATGGCTTAGACACATTAAACACCCAATAAATTCCTGCTGCCTAATCAGAAGGAAGAAAATCTGATACATGAACACTCCCAGGATAAAATGGGGTGATGGCTTGGACATGCTGGTAACAGAGGTAACATTTTCTATTTCCAAATTGCAAGTTCACCCATAACTGTAATGGAGATGAGTCACTGGGTCAATGGTCATGCTGTAAATTTGTAGCTCTCTGCTAACACTTGAAAATAATTCTTAAAATGATTGTCTTCATTTTATTAGCATGACTGATGACTTGGAAGGGAATCTATAATTGATTACATTCTACAACCAACCTCTGTTACTCAAATGAGTGAAAGTGCAGTTATAAGTAGATAAATCTTGTCTAAGAAATGAAGATAAATTCATATAAATGCATAAAGGTGAAATTGTTATGTAATGGCTATGCCTAATTTATTAAGCATGTCATAATAAGCCTGACAAAAAGTCTAAAAAATATTTTTTGCAAGATACTGAACAGTAACAAAATATTTTACCTGTTGGATGTACAAAATCTTATTTTAACAGCTACTGAACACATTAAAAAAAATACAGCTTAGGCTGGGCGTGGTGGCTCATGCCTGTAATCCCAGCACTTTGGGAGACCGAGGCAGGCGGATCATGAGGTCAGGAGATCGAGACCATCCTGACTAACATGGTGAAACCCCGTCTCCACTAAAAATACAAAAAATTAGCCAGGCGTGGTGGCAGGCGCCTGCAGTCCCAGCTACTCGGGAGGCTGAGGCAGGAGAATGGCGTGAACCTGGGAGACGGAGCTTGCAGTGAGCTGAGATCGTGCCACTGCAATCCAGCCTGGGCGACAGAGCGAGACTCCGTCTCCAAAAAAAAAAAAAAAAACCTCAATATCAATATTTCCTGTATTTTATACTTAAGAATACCACAATTACAAAAGTCACAGCCACAAAAGTGTGAGATCATACAGCTGCCAGACTAAGTGTTCCCCCACAACTCTTTTAACTCACTTTTCATTTGTTCTGTAATCATGCATTCCATCAACAGCCTTTTTTTTTTTTTTTTTTAAATCTGGGCATTGTTTGAGTTGAAAAAAGCTGGGGGTTTGGAAGCAGGGAGGGTACTTTAAGGAAGATGGGTTTTTATCACCAGGTCACTTTCCATCCACAATTCCTTGGTATGGACAGAAGAGAAGGGCATGCCTAGAGCCTGAAGCTAGCACAGAACTCACTAGTTGAAAGAAACAAGGATGGTCAGTGGAAGGGGAGGTAAGGAAAATCTGGCCAGTGGGCTCCATGCCTTGGAGTCATGCTTAGATCCACCTTTGTGAAGGGGTGGACTGCCTAGGTCTTCATAACTACCTGTGCCAGCACTTAGCTCATAGTTGTCACTTATCATGGGTGGGTAAGTTACCAAATAAACAACTTCATCTGGTCTGGTTACTGGGGATTGAAGGATAAGAAACGGTATAGTCTAGGCTGGGTGCAGTGGCTCACGCCTGTAATCCCAGCACTTTGGGAGGCCGAGGTGGGCGGATCACAAGGTCAGGAGATCGAGACCATCCTGGCTAACACGGTGAATCCCCGTCTCTACTAAAAATAACAAAAAAAAAGAAATGGTATAGTCTAGTGTTTCTGGCTGTTAGTCATTGGTAAAGCCAAAATACTCCTGCCTTTGAAGTTTCCTGATGCCTTCTAAACATTATATTTCAATCTGGTGAAGGAATAGGGCTCTAATGAGTCATTTGTGAAACCCTAATCAATAGCCTTGTGGTCTCCCTCATTTCTTATTATCATTGCACACACTACATCCACATGACTGCTTGTAAGACTATTTTTCACCGTAAATTGAACTCAAAATTTGCATATTTCTACCAATTTTAAATTTTGGCTTATGTTACATTTTGTATGAACAAGTTGCTGCCTAGAGTAGAAAAGTGGCATCCAATTAGAAAAAAGGAATTTTTATTTGATGAGGCCCTGAGTTGTGATGACTGGGGTGAAAGGAGAGGTTGGGTGGAGGTTGCTCTATTGTTCTAGTCTACAAAACACCCCATATCTTGACAATGAGTGCCTTTAAAGGGCAAAAACTGAGTGTTCATTTCTTTTAAGTATTCCTGCCGGTAGCAAACATTCGTAATTTATGGGTCAGAACATTTCAGATGCTTTCTCTTCTGGCCTTATTGTCATCTGCCTTATAGCAATCTCTTAATCTCTCTTGATTGTCTTTTATTTTATTCAAGATGAATAATAGTGTGGCAGCTTTTGCTAATTCACTCCATTGGTTATCAAGTCTGGGAGACCCCACTTAAATGTCATATTTTGAAGATGAGGGGACTGAGGCTCAGAGAGGCTGAATATTTTTCGGTTCTTTACAGAGACAATACACAGGAGATCTAGACCTTGTATGCAGATCTTTGAACTCAAAGCCTATTTTTATCTTCAGTACAACAGGAAACATTTATTCAATTCAATTTATTCCCAGTATGGGTTTAAAATTAATTGCCCTTATATGCAATACATTTTATTATTTTCATATGGTTCCTTCAACCAAAAACATTTTTGAGATTCTCTTGTAATTTGTTCTGTCTAGAGGATCCCCTGAGTGACTTTTCAGGATTGCAGATTAATCAAATATTCAGATCCTGGGATCTGCTTCCGCTCAGAAAACAATACCCCAAGGCATGCCTCTTTGACATGCTGAGTACTTCCAACTAAAGAAGCCTTAGAATCAAGGTTGCTTTGACTTTCTTCTGTCCTGTGTCTTTTGCCCCTCTGCCTCTCCTAAAGCACAGGAAGGGGATTTCTTTGGAGTCTCCATGTCTGACTGTAAGGAAAGTTCCACCAGAAGAAAAAATGCATTTGCTCTAAACGCCTTCCTTGGAATCTAAATTAACCAGAGAAGGTGCAGGAGAGCATATTAAAGACCTCCCCACCCAAAACACTACATGCAGACAGACTTTTCATCTATTCTTCTGTTTTGTCTATTCTGCTGCCTGAGAGACTTTGTCTGCATAATAAGACCACTTTTGTTCATAGTGCATTCACTCTACCAACCCTCCCATAGCCTGTCACCACCACCCTCCAGGAGCCTTGAAGCCCCTATTTCTCTCTGTAGCTCAAAATGATATTTAAGAGTCAACCATCTGGCCCTTCTCTGAGTCTCATATTTTTGGGGACTCCTATGCATATGCACATAGTTTATATGCTGTTTCTTCTGTTAATCTCTCTACTATCAAGTTATCAAGTTTATTACAGAGATCGAACCTTCAGAGGATGGGTGGAAAGTTCCCTTCACCCCAATAGATCCTAGATAGATAAGAAAATAACAAAATATAGATTTTATAGTTTTTTTGCAGTGATGTTTCCAGTTACTTAATAGGGGATACAGAAATTTCTGTATGCAAAATTAAGTTTTAATTCTGTTCAGTGTTTTTAAAGCTACATAACACTTCTAAGTTTGAAGAACACAAGTTGTCTCAGGGAAAAAGTGGGGATGGGAGCTCATTTATTGAATGTATATTACATACCAGGTACATAAATTATCTCTTCAAGGTCTCAGCATATAACTTTTTTTTTTTTTTTGAAATGGGTCTCACTCTGTCACCCAGGCTGTAGTGCAGTGGCATGTTCTTGGCTCACTGCAACCTCCGCCTCCCAGGCTCAAGCAGTCCTCCCACCTCACCTTCCTGAGTAGCTGGGACAATAGGCAAGCACCACCATGCCTGGCTAATTTTTTGTACTTTTGGTAAAGATAGGGGTTTGCCATGTCGTCTAGGCTGGTCTTGAACTTCTGAGTTCAGGTGATCCACCCTTTTCAGCCTCCCAATATACTGGGATTATAGGCGTGAGCCACCACACCCAGCCTCAGCATAGAAATTTGAAGTAGTTATTATCACTCCATTTCACAGATGAGAGAAATAGGACCCAGAGAAATAAACCACTTGGGCCACCTAGGATGTGTCAGAGTTGGTATCTGACTCTAAGACAGTAAAACACGAAAGTTATTTTCCACTATAAAGTTGCTGTCCCTTATAAAATCAAGTTAGTAATAACACAGTGCAGCCAATACATAACTGTTTGAAATTTCACACGTGTATTCTACATGGCAGGGCCTGGGCCATGTTTTCCACCACTGCGCTTGCCATGGAGGGATCCAAATGGGAGCTCAATGCTCAGGAACACAAGTGGGCGGAGACAGGAGCACTGGGGGAATGACTTTTAAACATATACTGGGAATACATTGAATTAAACAAATGTTTCTGCCCCTCTACCAATGTGATTTTAAGTTTCCACCACAATTTCCAGATGAATCAGACTCAGTACAATGGCAGAGGAATGAAAGATTACATGCTTTAAATAAATGTGGTCCTGCTTTCCGAGGCACTCTGTGCTTTAGTGAGGACAGCACGTAGCTCATTCCCATCCTGTCTCACCTGCAAGCCCAGTGCTGAACGAGGTTGCTGGTACCATAGCAGATTCTCATGAGGCACAGTGAATGACTACCTGACTCAGGGTGTTTCAAAGCAGCCAACTGAAAACATTAAAATAAATACAAAGGTCTCATTTTTGTAGTTACGTGAGAATTGGCGCCTGATGGCATGGACAATTTTGCCTGAGGCTGCCATATTTTGGAATAAGGAAGGTAGAATCTGAAAAACACATTGTTACTGACTCATCTGCAGATATTCCCTGCTCCAAATTTTCTCTAATTTCAAAATATTTGGAATTGCAAGTGGCCTAAGAGATCATTGCCTCCAGGTTTCTCTTTCCTCACTTTCAGAAAAAGAGAAGACTCTCCTTTCACCCTCATGACTCATTTCAATCTTATTGATAAATTCTTTCTTTTAAAGTTGTATTTTGTCTTTTTTTTTCTCCCTTTTTGTGGAGAAAGGGGTCTCGCTATATTGCCCAGGCAGGTCTCGAACTCCCCAGCTCAAGCTATCCTCCCGCCTCTGCCTCCCTGAGAGCTGGGATTACAGGCATGAGCCACCGTGCCCAGCTTAAAGTTGTATTTTATTTTACTTTGTTCAGGTAAGCCAAAGCCAATAAATTTAATGCATAGGGATTTTCCTTTGCTGGGGGAGAGCTTCAGATGCAATGAGAAAGAGCTGATTTTATGGAAAGAGATAAGCTTGATGAAGAATTGACAAACAGGAGGTCTGAGATTTGTTTGCAGAAATATTGTTGACTTGCTCGGTGGATTGGACAAACACCCACTGAGTACTATAGCCTCCTTCACTTAAAAAGAAGAAAACTCTCTTCACTTTTCTCATAGCTGTCTCTAGCTGACAGCACATCATAAAGTGTGCTTCTTTTTTTTTTTTTTTTTTGCCTTTATTGCTATGTTTAAAGTTCTTGAGAATGCATTGAACCAGCTGGTTTGGTACATAATTGGAACTGAGTAGTACACAGGAAGGTTTAAAAAAAGTTATCCCCTTCCTCCAGAGGTCGTAGTCATGGAAACCTGCTAATACCTTTAAATAAAATATATCCATTCTTTCAAAGGAAAACTTGAACACCATGTATAAAGATAAATATTTTATGAAATAATGCAGGTTGGCTTGGAGATATTCTCCTTTGTTACAGTAATTATTTTACTTTCCCTTTTACACTGGATGAACGTATTAGTCAATGTTCTCTAGAGCGACAGAACTAATTGAATATGTATATATATATAAAGGGGAGTTTATTAAGAATTAACTCACACGATCACAAGGTCCCACAATAGGCTGACTGCAGGCTGAGGAGCAAGGAGAGGCAGTCCGAGTTCCAAAACTGAAGAAATTAGAGTCCAATGTTTGAGGGCAGGAAGCATCCAGCACGGGAGAAAGATGTAGGCTGGGAGGCTAGGCCAGTCTCTCTTTTCACATTTTTCTGCCTTCTTATATTCTAGCCGTGCTGGCAGCTGATGAGATGGTGCCCTCCCAGATTAAGGGTGGGTCTGCCTTTCCCAGCCCACTGACTCAAATGTTAATCTCCTTTGGCAACACCCTCACAGACACACCCAGGATCAATACTTTGTATCTTTCAATCCAATCAAGTTGACACTCAGTATTAACCATCACAATGAAGAAACCCCAATTTGATGGTTGATGTTATTCAGTTTATTTGCTAGTCACTGTTATACCTGCTTCCTTAGATCTTCCTTTAAAGGTCTGATGTTTGTTTTACTTATTAGAATGGAAATATTTCATGCAATATAATTCATTGCAATCTTTGAATGATGTATCATTGACAACCCTAAAATCTGGTTAATAAATTATGCATCCTATTTGTTCATTTTGACTTGAGTTAGCCTCTGCTACTCAGTCAAGAGAGAATAAGTCCATATCTAGAAATAGGGAATACAGAAATAAGTCAGTCCTTGTAAAGTTTGAATTGTTACCATTTGAAGATCCTCTCTACAGTCACACCTTTAGAACTCATCTATGGTTGCTAATCTTTGCATGAACTCTCAGAGCTTCATAGCATTTTCTTCATCTTTCAGATGAGGATGCTGAGGCTCAGAGAGATTAAGTAAAACGTTCAAGGTCACACAGCTAATAAGTGGCAGACCTGGGACTCCCCAGGACCATAACTATGCAGCAAGCCTCTCATATTAGTTTGTCATAAAACACACAAAACATTTAAACTAGCTATATGCCTAGTTTATATCAATATAAACTAGCTTTAATGACTGAAAAGTTCCTATACTCAGTGGCAATGCAACATAATAATATTTTAAATATAATTACCCTAATACAATGTATCCCTGCTCTCTGAAACAGAGCTACCACATTGCACAACTCCAGGGGCCACTGTCCCCATCAAATACTATAGGAATGATCCCTCTTGAAGTAATGCGCTGAGCTTGCAGGGCTGCTCTGACAGCCCTGGTGATACAAGGCTTTCTGATAAACAAGTTAAAAAACAATCTCACGGACAGTGGAAAAAAAACTAGTGAACCACAGGTAGTACAAAAAGAATTTTTCTTTGGATAATACGCAAAATCAAATTACCACATAATGTACCACACAGATATCCAACAAATTCTTGTTGAATGAATGTGTGTCCAGGCCCAGATCAGAAATAAGAGATTTCTCACTGAGTGTGATGTGATGGGTAAAGAAGCCAAAATTCTTGAGGTAGAAGCTGAGAAATACAGAAGCATCTGAGAAATACGCCTAAAGATGAGGGGCTGGGAGAGGCAGGGGAGTGGGGTGGGAAGCGTAAAATAATCAGCAAAAAGGACAAGAGAAGATGAAGGGATGCGTTGATTGAGGTGGCCCTGGCTTCCTGGCTGCCCTGTCTGGCTGTTCACATTCCATGACGACTGACACCTTCCCTGGCACTGCTCAGAACCCTCAACTACAGACAGAAGCCCAAACTCCAGCCTCCTGTGCCCCAGCTGTGTTTCCAGCCTCTTCTCATGGTACTCTTTTCACCTCCTACCTTGTGCTGTGACCCCACAGGGCCCAGCTGCTTCCCCAGGGCTGTCCTCCAGTGGGAGCCAGCACTAACCCCCTCGACTCCTCACATCAGTACCTTCAGCTCCACCTTCACCTGGTGAAATTCGCTTATGCCTGACCCCCCACCATGAACACCACCTTCTCCAAAACACATTCCCATTCTCTTCACTCAGAAGTCATTCTGAGCGTTCCTTCTTGTTCTCATCAACTCTCAAAACCTCCAGGACACCATCCTCCTCTTCCTGCCTCGTTATTTCATGACATTGCAACTCCCTCTGTTACATGGTTTACCTGCTTAAACACAGGGCTGTGTCTTAATCATGGTTTTAGCTTCCATGGGCTTGAGCACAGATGAGTTACATCAAAAATATTTGTATTGACAGGGTTTTAAATGTCTGTCATCTACCACATTTCTTGCAAAGTCGTTCCCGCTGAAACATAGGCCTTCTTGGCCTCTTTTTACAGCAAAGATGCTGAGATTCAGAGAGGGAACTTACTAAAATAGAAAAAGCTGGTGTTAAAACCAGAATTCTAGCACAGGTTTCATAAAGCCCTTGACCCTTCCATCACTATATCCTGTTTTTGTGACAGGAGAGAACAAAATCCACTTGGACAAAGTAGAAAATATTAGCCTAAAATATATTCATATCAATAGCCACACAAAGTCACAAGAGGGCCGTTGGGCCTACCAACCACGGCCTGGTTCTGTGGGAAGCATTTGGAACCTTAAGCATTTGCCTGCATTAAAGTCCAGGGTGAAGATTCGTGTTCAGAACAATGAGCCTGGGTTATAATGAAAATGTTTCATTTATTAAATTTGCTCTGCTTTAGAAAGCAGAGAGTTATACAATATGTCATTGATTTTTTTTTAGTTCATTAATGTGTTGACCTGATTGTTCAGTGCTCAAACAGTGAAAGGTAATTGATCAGTCCCAAAATAGTATAATCCAGTGATTTCCAAAGTTTCTCAATTCATAGCGCTATTAATGTCTCAGTTTTTTCTCTATACCTTATCCAGTTTGTATTTCAGAAGGAATATATAACAGTTACACTTATTAATAAGTTCTGTTTAAGCAACTTAATAAGCATTGATGCGCTAGCAACTTAGTAGCCCATTGAAAAAAATGCTATGATATTTTTGTTGTATTCTTCAATAACCATAATTACAAATGGGCTGTGTGCTCCTATTGGGTGCTGTAAAACTTACTTTTTTTGAAAAAAAATCAACTTTTATTTTAGATACAATGAGGTATGTGCAGGTTTGTTACATGGGTGTATTGTACCCAAGTAGTGAGCTAGCCCCCAATAGGTTGTTTTTCCACTCACACCCGCCCTCTTCCTTCCCCACTCTAGTAGTCTGCAGTGTCTATCTGCACAACTTCTTAAATCTTAGAATCAGATTGGACACTGTGCCATCACCCTCATTTCCTGTTCCTCACTGATTTTTCATTCAGTACTTGGTTAAATCATAGCAATTGCCAACAATGGCAACAACAAAAATATATTAGTAAAGTTAGGACTTCATTGAAAGGAAGATAGCATTATTTCATATGAAAGCTGTAAACTACCCCAACTTGGTAGTTTATGCAATGATCAGCAGATATCGCATACTGCTGTGTTTCCTTCAGAATTCTAAACTAGCTCATTGTGTCATTATGAGTTTGCTGTGGTGCCCTGTAGTGCCTCAGTGCATAGCTTGTGAACCTTGGATAATATCATTACATTCCATATATATTATTGTACACAAATAACGTTATAAACTTTCCTATTGTCAGTTACATTTGATATGCAGTTTCTTTATAGAAGCATAATTAACACAGAAAGGTATATAAATCATGAATAGATAGAAGAATTTGCAGAAAGTGAACACATCCACATAACTACCAATCAGATCAAGGAGTAGAACATTAACAACACCCATGAGGATCCCTCATGCCCAGGACCCAGGCACTACTCCCCTCCTCCCTAAACTTAACCAGAATCCTGACTTGTACTTCATATGTGAGATTCCTAAACAGGAAAGTACTGCTTATGAATACACCATATTTTTTGAAACATAGCCATTTCTGAGTTGCAGTGAAAAAAAAATGATTTTTTCCTGATCATCTTTTCTACTTCTCCCCCATTGTGAAGCAGCTATGAAGATTGGCAGATTGATCCCAAATTGGTTTAAAGGCTCAAGGCTGGACTTCTTATCTGAACCTAAACCAATTGTGCCATAGAATTTCCTGGCCATGGTAGTCAAATGGCCTAAGATGACCCAGTCAGAGAAACGGCCCAGCATTTTCCTCCCTACTCCTCCTTCTTCCTTCTTTGCTTTCTTTCTTTTTATGTTTTTAATAGGATACCATCTCTGAGCTGGACAAGAGAGCAGATGACCCCAGGAACCCTTGGCAGCAATCTTGCAAATGGAAACCGAGTGATCCCTGGGATGCAGCCAACATCACAGACGGCAGATTGGCAAAAATGAAAAACAAACAAAAACAAAAAATGTTCCCTGGTATCATCTTAGAACCACTGAATCATCATTGGACTCTACATTAATGTGTGCCAATAAACTCCCATTTTATATAAGTCCATTTGAATTTGGGTTTTCTTTAACTTACATGCTTACTAAATCATAAGATCAGCTAACTATCAGCTAAATGGAAACTTCAGTAATGTAAAACAGCCATTTCTCAATGTAAAAAAAAAAAAAAAACTAGCATATAATTTTCCCAACAGGAAAGAAAATGCTAGTGAACTAAAATTTCCATTTGAGAGAAAAATCAGCCAAGCCAGCTTCTGCAATAATTGGTTCATCTTTCTAGGACTCTGTGATTAACTCCACTCATATATCTTCCAAAACAGGGAGATTTAAACAGGTTAACAAAAATTGGGGTGCTTTTTTGTGGTTTTAAATTATTCTGTTAAGTGAAACCTTCCAGATGCAGCAAATATTCTCTTTTAATAGAGTTGCATTTTCAAAGCAAAATTTCCTAGCTGTCCTTGCCTTGCTAATGAAGTTTTCCACTTATCTATAATATGTGCAGAATGGTGATATTTGATGTGGCATTTTCTTGACATTTCTAGGCTACTATAATCATACTCTTTAATTGTCTCTGCCTAATCTGCATAGGAGACCTGACATCTCATCCTGGTTTCTGATTTTAATCATAACTGCATGGAGCCAGAAGGGTCACTAAATAGCATCCAAAAAACACTGTTATCAAAGACACTTTTGCCAATGCTTTTAAAAAGCCAAAGCAAATGATATTTTTCTAAAAAATGAGGTTGTTTGTTGTGGTGAAAACAAAGAGATAGCTTTAAATTAAATACCAAATGGGTTTTCTAAGCATTAAAATAGGATAAGTATAAAACCAGACTAGGGATACATCTCCAATATCACTATGCTGATAACATCACTTAAATTCGCTAGGCATTTATGGAAAACAATGATAATTCCAGTAAATGCCAGTTCTACTTTCAGAGTAGCTCCACTGAAATGAATGAATTACCTCTTATCAGGCCACCAAGGGGTACTGTGATTCCGGAAGCATGACAGTACCTTTGATAGATAAGCCCTCCCTGGAAGAGGAGAATTAATTTCCCCCAGCTCTGCAAAGGCCAGCTCTTGCTACATATCACACACCACACCTGCCACAAAGTGACGGAGACTTTCCTGGAGAAATGGCCATGGTGTGATGGAATTCCAAAGCAGAGAGCCAAAGGAAAGGAGTAGTAGCCAAGAGAGCAGCCATGGGCGAATCAGACAAGAAAGCTTGTCACCTTAAACCCTTTCCCTAAGCAGGGAATAAAGAGAGTGCAAGTCCTGCAAGGAGGGGTTGTGGTATGGTTGGAGGCATGAGCTCCAGAGCCAGACCTCCTGGCTCTCATCCCACCTGGGCAACTGCACAGCCTTCAGCAAGATGCTGCACTGTTCCGTGGTTCCATTTTCACAAGCATAAAAATGGAGAAATGAATAGGACCTAATTATTGGGGTAGTTATGAAAATTAAATAGGTTGATATTTGTAAAGTGCTTAGAACAATATCAAGTATGATACACATTTGGTAAGTAAACAAATAAATGGGACTGACATTTACTATGGCTGTTTACTGACATTTGCCCTTTTCATTGCTCCCACAAAGGAGAAAGGAACAGATGTTTTACTTCCTTTATCTCACTGAATTTCCCTTAACAAACTTCAAAATAGGCCTTGTTATTAGCCCTATTTTACAGAAGAGAAAACCGAGGAACAGAGAGTTTAAGTAACTTCCCCTGGGCACCATGATTTACATCAGGTCCCCATCATTCCCAAACCTGGTGTGTTATTTATTTGCTTGTTTTTCCATTGCACAACCTTATATCTAGAAGCTGGGATAGGATGGTAAAGGACTGAAGTTGAAGTAGAAAGAAGGTATTTTAAAATGCAGCAGATAAAGACAAATACTAAATAGGTTGAAGGCAAAAGGGGATGCTCTTTGTCATTTCTATCATATAATCAAAGTTAGTACACCCCATGGAAAAACAAAAACAAAACAGCTTTACATAGAACTGATTATACGAGGAAAAGAAAATGACAAGAAAACCAGGCACAATGTAGAAATTCACTTTGATGACAATACAGAGCCATTTACTATAAGCAAAGGGCAAAGTAGAACCAGATAAGGCATCGGAAATGCAAACACTAGATTCCCATCTAAATTGCCAGTCAACACTAAATCGTTTGCTGCAAGGAAAACAGCTGCCCACTCTCAGCAGTGAGGCAACCAATACCATTTTTAAGCACTTTTTACTACCTAGAAATGCCAAGACTCATGCTGTTATTGCTACTATTTATAAAGAATGAAAGGATTAATTATCTACAAGTAAGCCATCTCATTACTTCTGGCATTCTGTAGTAGATAAAACACCCTGTTATTTCATAAACAGATAAATGTGCAATGAAGTCTAATTTAATTAAGTAAAATTGCAAAACGATGAGGTAACTTGTTCTAATAATTTAAGTTACCTAAATAAAAATTATAGATAAAGGCTAGTCTTTTTATTTGGACTTTACAGGGATTTAGTGGTTAGTTTTATAATATTATTTATTACCAGAAAATGTCAAAAAAAAAAACGGGGCTAGAAAGCATTCTAAGGTTTTCGATTATGAGAGTGTTTTTAAAAGTCTCTGCATATATGTAAGAGAAATAATGTAAAAGAAGTCTACTGTAAATGATAAAAATGATAATATTTAAACTAGAGCATTATAATAATTTTGATAAATTTTCCATTAGAGAGAAGTTGGTTAGGACAAAATTTCAGGATTTACATTTGTTTAAAATTTTCAGGGTCTTTGAAGAGGCAGCTGCCTGCTTGAAAACATCTCTTATGGGTTCCGCAATATTCCAATACATTTGCTACAGTGGATCAAGGCATCTTCTTTAGAAAACCATCTTTCTCTTACCAAGTGCCAACAAGCCATCAGGGAGGGTTAACACATTAAAGCATAACCCCTAATATTACATCTACATTTCACAGCACAGGACAGAATGCAGAAGGAATAGATTTTTGGAACAAATCTATCCAGGCCAGGTATTATGGTCTGAGTTGTTTATGTCTACCCCAAATTCCTATGTTGAAATCAAATCACCAATGTGATAGTATTAGGAGGTAGAGTCGTTAAGAGGTGATTCCACCCTCCTCAACGGAGTAAGTACTGTTATAAAAGAGGCCCCAGGGGCTGGGTGTGGTGGCTCAAGCCTGTAATCCTAAGACTTTGGGAGGCTGAGGTGGGTGGATTGCCTGAGTTCAGGAGTTTCAGACCAGCCTGGGCAACATGGTGAAACCTCGTCTCTACTAAAACACACACACACACACACACACACACACACACACACACACACACACAATTAGCCAGGCATGGTGGCATGCACCTGTAATCCCAGCTACTCGGGAGGCTGAGACAGAAGAATCCCTTGAGCCCGGGAGGCAGAGGTTCCATTGAGCCGAGATTGCGTCATTGCACTCCAGCCTGAGCAACAGAGTGAGATTCTGTCTCAAAAAAATAAAAATAAAAGAGGCCCCAGTAAGCTGCCTTGCCCCTTCCGCCATGTAAGGACACAGCTAGAAGGTGCCATCTACGAACCAGGAAACAGGCTTTCACCAAATACCAAATCTGCCAGCACCTTGATCTTAAACTTCCCAGCCACCAGGGCAGTGAGAAATAAATTGTTGTTTGCAAGCTGCCCAGTCTGGGGTATTTTGTTATAGCAGCCCACATAGACTAAGACAACATGTGGCAGACATGGAAAAGTTAGGTGGGGCCTAACCAACATACTAGTAAAGTAAGCCATCACTGTAAGGGCTATAGGTTTGAGAAAGATCAGAAGATGAAACCCATAGGAGAGAAAGTGGCCATAATTAAAAAACAACAACAACAACAACAACAAAAACCCTCGAAATTATACTAGGGTGGGAAGAAGGAATATAAACCATTGATTCTCAAGCTTAGTTCAAATTGGGCCCTTCAGGGGTCTGTTGAAGATTAGGAAGGCTCCATGAAAGAAAAACACTCTTCAGACTCCTGGTGAAACAGAAGCTGAGAAAGGCAGAGATGAAACAAATCAGCTCCACCTTTAGCTAAGGATGAACAGCAAGAGAGAAGCTAGTGGAAGATATTAGGCCAATGTAGGAGCTCACCTGAGTTCCATAGACTTAGCTACCATGGGCATTTACACTGCCTATGGGGTGGATCTCAGGGGAAAATAAATGATGTAGCCTAGTTAATGTCTAGAGTAGTGATTGGGTGAAAAATGAGTGGGACCAATGCTGTTCTCTAATTTCACCAGTTAGTAGGGTCACCATAAAATTTGACAATCAAAGAGAACGATTTTAAGGAGTGATGCTAGTAATAATTATGGTGGAACAACAGGTATAAAAAGACTAGACTAATTCTTCTCATTCCAATGCTTGTTTGATATAAATTGCTCCATCACAGTTACAGAACATACTAAATATATATTTCTAATTAATACATGGTTTTAAATTATGCTTTTCTATTTTATGCAGCAGGTTTAGATCTAAAAGTATTTGATTGTTCACAGAAATTCTTTCTCAAATGTTAAGGTTTGTTGTTTCTTATTTTGTTTCTCAAAATGTTAAGGTTTGACACTATGAAAAGTCTTTAAAATGCTGCAGAGTAAGAATTACAAAAGAGAATTTCCAGCAAAGCTTTGAATACTGCCATATTCTAGAATAAAGGCGTGCACACTCTGCCACCCTAACAGTGATGAATTAAAAGGCAACATCTTTTATGTGAATGTCTAACTTGTAGGATATTCTTTATAAAATAGATCACAACAATTCATCTGTTATCTAAGAGTGCAAATTTGCATTTTAAATATTAGGTAGCTAGGCATGCTAGGCCTCACAAAAGCTTAAGGAACTGGGTTATAAAGACAAAAGGCCCTATCCTCGTTTTGCCTGAAGTACCCTACGAAGATAGTTGACCTCTCTGTCCTGGAGAAAGAAAAACCAAACAAAATAAAACCTTATTTATTGTCTGACTTAAATATTTTATCTTGCATAAATATGAAGAAAGCTCTAAAGGCTCTACATCATTTATCCAAGTTAGGCTTCCGGCAAACAGATGAAAAAACTGGAAAGAATGTTTTCCTATACAAACCCATATTTTTGAAGAGACAAGGTATACATGAAAAGCTTGGGTACATTAATGCTATACAGAAGCTCCTTTAGGGATGAACTTTCTACTTAGAAGTTCTCATGGAAACAATCTACCAGATGCCCAAACAAAAGCATATCAATTGAGTACTGCCAGCAGTTGATATGAATGGCTGTTTGTGTATTGTCTCTTTGGAGTTATAAATAAATGAACTGGTAAAGAGGCTTTCAGAATTAACATGTTAGGCTATAAATAAACATTTGTGCAGCTGCTTATTACCCAGATCATTTGTACCCTTGTATCTCTCCAAATCAGCACTCAGTATTCCTGATAAAGCATTCAGGATTCCTGACAAAGGAATTAACCTATAGCATATGGCTTAATTCTATATTTTATATCAGAATTATAAAGGGGTCCAATAAATACTGAACTGTCTTTGTGACATATTCTATTCGTTTACTATTAAAATACTTCCAACACTGTACAATTGAAACTCAAGTCGTTGGTCAGATCTCAGCCACGTATCAAAAGCTCATTTTAAATATTTAAAGTAAATAAGATCCTTGTTATGAATAGGAATGCAATAAGTCATCAATCCAAATCCAGAGAAAAATAAAAAAACATTTTAATGTCTTTGATTGTTAGCCTTGGATCCTTCCACTAAGGTAGAAATAGCAGGCCAGTTAAATTGCATTTTGTGTATGCAATTCACGTTGTTTTCCTGGCCTTACTTACTATATTAGTTGGAATACTTTATGAAATGAAGAACCTACCCTCATATTTTTCCACCAGTGACCTTGAGTTAGTATTGACAGAATAAATATTTCAAAAAACTCAAACCCAGGGCCGTGCTGAGGCATTTCTGGGCAGCCATAGACTACCTGAAAAATAAGATAAGGCCTTGGGTCTGGATAAAAATGGATCCTGCCAACGTCTACCTGGCTAACACCCATATAGAACTGCCTTACTAGCTGGGCTCCCCCTAGGAGGAGAGCTTGGGGGCTAGTGGCTATGCAGGCAACAGTGTTTCCTAATGATCTGGGATCACTGGTCACGCTTTCCCATCTATACTTTGGAGTCAGAATTGAATTCAAAATCCAGGTTTTCCACTTACTATTTCTGTAACTTAAATACATTACTTAGCTTCTCTTTCAGCCTTCCCATTCATATAACAGAGATAATATCACCTTCCTGTTGCCACTGCTGTGGGAACTAAACAAGATGATGTAGGTAAAGTAACTGCTATGGAATATGCGCTCGAAAATGTGACTATATTGATATATTGACGTCAGAAAAGGCCTGGTAAATAAATCCCAAGATTGGCATTGTGATGCTTTTTCATTTGGCACCTTCTCCGTATTTCACACTAAAACATGAAAAAAATGCACATATAATTGGTTTTAGTAGTCTTAAATTTTCTAAGAACCGTTTATTAATTCAACCATCAATTGTAACCACGAACATTAAACAATATTGATAAATCAAGTTTTATTTTTTAAACTCTCTTTAAAAAATCTATCTAGTACTTGATTTTCAATCTGTTTAATAAGATGGAGGACCCCACCAAATTACTCTTCTTTGAAAGTTGTTCATGTATAAGTGAATAAAATATATTTTACTAAAACTCATTTCCAACTGTAATTTTTAAGAATACTTAAAGAAGGGATATGTTCAATTCTACATTATTACATTTTTATTTAACCATTTTTAACCAGCATTATTTTGTAAGTCCATCACAACTATCAATTTCCATAAAATGTGGTACTGTCCTAGGTAGGAGTAGCCTATTTAGGAGGCAGGTAGGATCTGCATTCCCCAAAGACACATACATGAAGTGAAAAACAAATCATGACAACTAAATTACACTGAAGACAAGTGTTCATAAAATTTTAAGAAAAGTGATATTTGTGGGGACACAGGCTTGAGTTGTGAAAATATTACAATTATATGCAGGTAGCATTATAGAATCTGGATAATCAACAATAAGAAAAGCATAAAAATATTCTTAAAAATCTAATTTTTTGCAAGACTCACTTGGACTATGGTTAAAACTTTGTGATTTTATAAGATTAGGAAAGACAAGCACCTAAAATGTGAAAAAATAGCTACATCATAAAACCATATAGATTGTCATGAGCGTATAAAGACCTGGCCATGAATTCAAGGGTTTTTTTTTTGTTTTTTTTTTTTTTGCCACAACAGCAACAAAAAATTATCTCAGAAATTAGTTTCAGAAAACAGTTTTTCTACTCCTATAGAAGCAGACCCTCAGGCTACTTTTATCATCTTCAAAAAGGAGTTTAACCCTGCATGGAAGCTTAAGGTATGGAGGGAGCTGCCAATCCACTGGCAATTTCTAAGTTAGTTTAATTAAATGAACTGACTGAATTTCCATATGTGTATGTGATTTCTATTTAGAAAAAGAAGAGTTATACGTATGTGTGTTTCATTATTTATACAGAACTCATTACATTATGATGTTAAATAACTACTAAAAATAAAAAAACATAGCACTTGTATTAAAATGTTCCATGGACCATGTGTTAAGATGATTGCATTCCTAAAATGCAGAAAAATCCCATTATTTCAGTATCTTGCTGTGTTTCACTGAATCATCAGCATTAATCATAGATGACATATTCCTCATGCATTAGTACTGTCCTTCATGGTGTGAGAACATCTACTAAGGAAATGGCTTTTTCTTTGTTGTAAAAAAGAGTCTACGGTTGTAATAAAGAAACCTGAAAATATGTGTTTTTCATCTTTATCTCTCGCTCTTTTTCCAGCTCCTAGTGTCATCCTGTAAAATGCTATGCATAAATTTGTGAACAATAATTGCTATTCAGTTTACAACAAAAATTAACCAAACTATAAACTGAATAAGCTGTGGGACTTTGATGCAGCTTAAATATTTAAAAGTAGAATAAAATGATCTTTCAGTTTCCCATGTTCTTAAAAAAAAGTTCTCAAAATAGCTTCTTATTAGGCTAAGCCATATTTACCCCTCCTACCAAATCTGCAAGTGTTCAGAAAACATCCAACTGCTACCTAAGATAAGGGTTTACATTTCTGATTCTTAAAGACTGATCTATGTGCACACAGAAGACAGATGAAAATCCAATTTCAAGGTTAGGAAATTAATTTTGCCTGGAGAAGAAAACACTGTAAGTTCAATTTGATACTTAAGGATGCTTATTTGTTTGTTTTAATGTCAAGTTGACTATTATTTAGGTCTATTATAAGATTAATAAACCACTATTACCTGGGAAAAGTACAATCATTATTGGGCATTGTTTATTATTTTCTAGCTTTTCATAAGGATTTTCCATAACACCAGTAGCGCACAAGTTTTTCAATTTGGGTTTCTTTTGCTTCCTTTTCTGGAATAAAAGAAAACCTTTCCGGTTTGTGATGATCCACTCTACTTCCTGGCAATATCTACTGAAAAGCTATGACACAATAATAGTTCAATAACTTTCTCATATATTGAATCTACAGCAATCTTACACTGGAGTTGTGAATATCTCTCCATTAACATTTCAAGTCAGCGTATCCAAGCTGTACCCCAGGGAATACTGATGTTTGATTAAATATTTATAGGAACCCCAAAGAAAAAGAGTGTTCTGAGTCAAATACAAAAGGGAAACAATGAGTCAAAGTTGCGTAGGTCTTGCTGTTATTGTTTTTATTGCCAAATTTCTAAGAACCTTAAAAATGAGGCTTAGAAAATATTTTTAATAAGAGCAGGCCTTGCTCAGGAGCAAGTAGCATCTTTGAGATACTTCAGAAAACACATTACCTATCCATGTGCACATCACAAAATCTCCACTGAATGTCTCATAGACGTGTCAAACCCTTGTCTAAAACTGAACTCTTGATATCCCCCAACCAAAATCTATTCATGTTTAAACCTCCCCCTTTTCACTAGATTCCAATAATGGCTTTTCAGTTTCTCAGGTCAACAATTTTAGAGACACTCTTGTCTGTCTCTTTGTCTCTGTCTTTCTCTATGTATACACACACATGTATGTGCATGCACACACACACACACACACACACACACCAGTCTGTCATGAATTTCTATCAGCTCCATCTTCATAATATAACTTAATTTCTTCCTACCACTTCAACTGCCACCACCTTAGTCCATGCCATGATTGGACTCTGGCTTAGATTATTGTGTAAGTCTGCTAACTGGTTGCCCTTATTCCACTCTTTCCACCTCTAATCTAATCTCTACTTAGTATCTTCTTTTTAAAACAAGGTTCAGATTATATCACATTTCTATTAAAAATCTTCCAATACTTTCCCATCCCACTCCAGGAAAAAAAGGTCATGTTCTCACTATGACAGCTACTGCGCCCTGCTCTCCTATCAGTCTTCCTATCCCAAGTCTGCTGCTCTCTCTCCCTGTACTGAGAACACACTGGTGCTCCTGCTCAGCAGCCTGCCTTTTTCCAGAACTCTCCATTTGCCATGATGTTTGCTTCTCTTCTTTCATTTCCTTTAAGTCTCTGCTCAAATGTCACCTTATCTGAGAGGCTATTCCCGACCCCCATATATTGAAGTGTTTTTGTTTCATCACTTCCCTGCCCTTTTTTCTAAAACATAGCAAGTTTTAGCACTTAATTTTACAAATTTATCTTTTTCTTTTTATCACATAATTTATATAAGAAAGTTTATATTTTTACTAGTTTATTTTTATGTCACTCTGTTATTACCTCCAAGAGAGCATAATTTCATTTGCTTTTGTTTTGCACAGTTATCTTCAGTACCTAGAGCAATGTTCTGCATGTGGGCATCCTATGAAGAATGACTGAAATAACCAATGTGAACACAATATATAATATGTTTTTTTAAGAAGTCATTAATTCTGTTTTCATTATTAGTCTTAAGGAAAATTCATAGTAGACATCACCTGAGTCATTGATCAATGATCATCTCCCTCCACCACAGCATGAGATCCTAAGTGCAGAGGTGTATACTATGTTTATGGATATATAGTCAGTGCCCACAACTGATCCTGGCACATTTGTTAAGTGTTGAGTGAATAGCTATGATGTATTTTCATTACCACTCTAGAATCACGAATGAAATACATAGAAAAATAATATTTCTTGCATAAGAAGCCATATGTAAATCTCTTAGAGACACTGAAGTTTATACAGGAAAATACAATAATTTAGTTTTAGAAAGGCGAGAAGGTTCCTGATTTATTAGCAAAGACACATTAAGCTGGGTCTTAGATAGTTGTAGCAGAGATGGAAACAAATGGTGATCAAATCCGCAGATGTTAGTCCTGATGTTAATGAACAAAACATATCAAAGTGAAATTGCAGAAACAGATGGCAACCACTGTTGGCCAAGAAGCCAACAAGCAGAAGCACAGGATGATGGCAGGTTCATCAAAATAGCTCAGGGAGAAGGAAAAAGGGGTAACTGGCTAGCACCATGGATAGCGCTAAATGAAGCACTATGTTCCGATCTATTCAACCCAACACAAATAAATGTTTTGCTATTGCTATTCACAATAGCAAACACTTGGAACCAACCCAAATGTCCAACAACGATAGACTGGATTAAGAAAATGTGACACATATACACCATGGAATACTATGCAGCCATAAAAAAGGATGAGTTCATGTTCTTTGTAGGGACATGGATGAAGCTGGAAACCATCATTCTCAGCAAACTATTGCAAGGACAAAAAACCAGACACCACGTGTTCTCACTCATAGGTGGGAATTGAACAATGAGAACACATGGACACAGGAAGGGGAACATCACACACTGGGGCCTGTTGTGGGGTGGGGGGGAGGGGGGAGGGATAGCATTAGGAGATATACCTAATGTTAATGATGAGTTAATGGGTGCAGCACACGAACATGGCACATGTATACATATGTAACAAACCTGTACGTTGTGCACATGTACCCTAAAACTTAAAGTATAATAATAAAAAAATAAAATATATGTTTTGTTGTTGTGGGGTTTCTTTTATTTGTTTGTTTGTTTTTTTACCCACAGATGGAAAATTTGTACCTAAAGACTTCAACCTTAAGATCAAACATAATTGCTTTTAAGGATCTGGAGGTGTCACAGTGAATTTTCAGGTTGCTTGAGAAATACCTATCAGATAATTCTCGCCAGTCTTCCTCAGTTTTTCAATCTTTCTGGCACTAAAAGTGATTTAAAAAGAATCTTTTAATAATCACTTATTTCACTGAAGATATACTTTTCAAAACAGCTGTACAGGCCTGAGAGAATTAATGGGCTTTGAAATAATCAAGTAACTTACTGTCCTCTCTGTTTGGGATATATTGTTATTTATAAATTTTACTTTTTAAATTATAAAAAGTTACAATTTTGATTTGTAATTATTAAAAACTCCAATTCACAAATATAATTTTAAGTGGATTTTTATGCCTTTCATATTCACCTCCCACATGCAAAACAATTATCCATGAGTTTTTAGTTTTATGAAAGATGGAGAATTCTATGTTGATTATAAAGAAGAATAATGTACATTTTGTTTCCTACATTATAACGTGTTTTCTATACCTCATAAATACTGTACTATTCTTAGTCAATTTCACAGTGACTATTTCCTAAATCCCTTAGACAGGGATTTAATGATTAATGAAATGCTACAGCAATTCTTTTAATAAATAAAGTTTTCATGGACCATGCCATAGAGCCATGCATATATGTTTTTGTATATGTAGATATATAATTGTTGGCTTAAAGCTTACAAATACATTAATTAGGTTCATAGATTTAGTAGCATTTTAAATTAACAAATATGTTTTAGTCTTAAACTACTTGGCAAAGAGGTAAGCAAGCCTTCTGATTTTCTCCACAATAACATTTATGGGGCTTTAACTAGGTTCTCTAGTACAGGATCTTTTGTAGGAGTTAATTAGAGACTTCACTTAACTTATTGTTTTTAATCCTTTCGAATGTCATCCTGTAGTTATTTCACTGAGAACTTTTAACTATAAATTCTTGCCAAGTTCTCTGTATTACTCATTCCAAGCACACGCTGGATTTATTATAAGATTAATAAATTATCCCTAAAAGAACTCTGTCTCACCGTTTCTTCCAAATATTTTTGTCAACTTTTTGTTTGGAAATAACTTTCCAAAATCATATGAGCTGTGGTGCTCATAAAACAATATGAGTCAAAACTCGGAACACACAAACAAGAAAAACTCTAATTGAATCTCTGTTCACATTTTATGATTCGTGGTCTCACTTTGAGTAGAGCTAGCAATCACAGGGCCTGAGTGCTGCCACTGCCTACACCAAACATGGCAGACATGGTTCATCAGTTACTGACCACTTTTGGCCTCACAATTCCTTACACACAACCACAGGCAGCAACTACAGATTTATTGGGTTTTCACACAAGGTGAATTCTGCTTGCTCTTCCTAAACTGGAACTTTGAATTAGAATTTAGTGGCATACGCCTATATAGTTAAGAAAGGGCATGATTTTTAACAATTTTAAATACTTTAGAATGGGTGGTTATCAAAATCCTTTTTTTATGTTTACTCAACACTTTTTTTTCTAATTAAATGCCAAGTTATATCTATGTCCAATTACATATTAACAGTTGTACTTAGTGACGGCCTCAAAGTTACTTGACTTTGAAGGATGATTGTCCTTGAGGGAGGACTTGATCATGAGGTTTAAAAAGATGGCCATCTCTAGCACTGCATCAGTATGGGGCTTTGGGGTGGCTCATGCACAGGCCTGGGCAGCAGGCTCTCTATGCACAGGTCTCTAGGGTTTTTGACTTAGACAACTTGCTCTGTAGAAATGGGGGAGTGATAACATCCATTAGCTACAAATAATATTATAATCAGAGAAAAATGGCTTAAATAAATTCTGGCTTGTTAGGAGCCATGTGATCTCAATTATGTTATTCCTGAAATCTCAGTTTTTCACATATAGCATTAAGATAATAAAACATACTCCACAAAGTTGTCATGAGGGTTGATAAAGGTAATTTAAGTAAAATCGACAGAACATCTAGCACAATTGAATCTAAATTTAAGTGAAAAGAAACAGTACTAATGTGCTCCTATTTATACTAATGGAGCACATTACTTTTTAACCTTGGAGCACAATGGAGCACAATACTTCTTTAACCCTGCAGTTGAAAAACTTGTTTTGTATCTTTCACAGATAATGAATTTCTCAAGATTCGTTATATAACCAATATATGCTTTAAAATATGATCTTATTGAGATATAATTTGTATACTATGTAAAATTTACTCATTTAAAGTGCATAATTCAATACTTTTTTAAAATACTGAATTGGGTAACAATCACCACCAAATACCTAATATATTCTTGAATTTATTTTTCAATATCACCAAAGGATGTCTCTTCCATAAGGAAACAATCTGATGAAATCAGTGTAAAACTTCTATAATTGAAATGGCAATGACTTTTTAAAAAAAAGTTTGAATTCAGTTGGATTGTTGCTAGATTAAGGAGAATACAGTGGAAAAATACCAATTGAAATGTGTAGCCTATGATTAGTTCCTGGGCCTCAAACAGAAAAATTATGGACTTCCAGTTTCTAGTCTGACGTGCAAAGGTTTTCAAAGTTGTCACTCCCATTCTCGTAACAAGAAAAAGGCTGGATAAGCTAAAAATCAACAACACTGCTTAGATCTATAAGGGAATTGAGATCATAGGAACAACTGCTTTTCCCAAAATGGAGAGACAGGTGGGTACAGAGAATCACATGTAAATGGCAGAGAAACCCAGGGCCAGGTCCTACAGATGAAGCCAGTATCAGTAGGAACACTTAAGCTGTAATCGGTGAATGACTGAAGACTCAATGTGGACCAGGTTGAGAGTAAAAAATCTGAGGAAAGGGGCTAGTCTCGGCAAGAAGCCCACACTTTCTTAAATTTTACCTCCAGCAGCTTTGTGTTCTCAAAGAAAAATCCCCTCATGTTTCCTTCACGCAGGGAGAAGGACAAAGTGACCTTTTTGAAATATGTCCCCAAGGCCAGCTATTTTACCAGAGTCTAACTGATTAGGGTTTTGCCAAAGCATAACCCATGTAAAGAAGAAAAACACCCAATGACAGCCTCCTCTATTCTTCTCAGATAGCTGAGAGTACTTGTAAAGGCCACAGGCCAGGAGCAAAGGCTCACTAAACACTCAGACCTAAACATAAGCCTACAGATGCTTTCACTCCTTCTACACCTCACCACCATATAAATAGGGCTTCCATATAAAAACAGAGGATTATAGCTGAAAGAACTACAAGCCTCAGATGCTATTTTAAAAGTCTTTTGGGAAACCCAAAGCAATTGGGGGGTGGGGGACAAAAATAAGGCCAGTCACAGAAATTTTAGCCACTGACACCATAGCTAGAGGAAACAGTAAACACAGCATGTTAGCCAGATAAATATCAAACCTCATATTAAAGGGCCATTGACTCCAGTTCCTTTTGCCCAATTCATCATATCTGTTTTCAACAACAACAACAAAGTCATGCTAAGGGGCAAAATAAAACAAAACAAAAACCTCAGGCTAAATTATCCAAGCAAGAATCAGGACTCCATTCAGACATGACAGATAATTTGGAGTTATCAGACCAGAAATTTAAAACAATTTTGAACAATATGTTAAGGGATCGAATGAAAAAAAGTGAACAAGATGTAAGAGAAGATGGGAAATGTAAGCAGAAGGACAGAAATTCCAAAAAGAATCAAAAGGAGATGCTATAAAATAAGAACTTTTTAAAAAGAAACTGACAGAGATGAAGAATTTATTTAATGGGCCCATCAGAAAACTTAAAATGGCCAGGGAATCATTGGCCTTGAAAGTAAGTCAATAGAAATTTCCAAAATTGAAAACCAAAAAGAGTTTGAAAAGTAAAACAGAATATCCAGGAATTGGGGAATAATTAAAAAGGTATACCTTACACATTTTTGGAATAGCAAAAGGAGAAGAAAGAGAGAAAAGAACAGAAATATTTGAAGTAACACTGGCTAAGAATTTCCCAGAATTAACGATGGATGTCAAACTACAGACACGAATCTAAGAGAACACAAAGAAGGATAAATAGCAAAATATCTGCACTTAAATATATCATACTCAAACTGCAGAAAAACAAAGAGAAAGAGAAAATCTCAAAAGAAGCCACAGTGGGGAAAAACCTTACATATACAGAAATGATGATAAGGATTACACCAGACTTCTCTTTAGAAATCACACACTCAAAGAGAAAGTAGAGTAAAATATTTAAAGCATTGATTAAAAAAAAAAAAACCCACACAAACAAAAACAACTACCAACCTGGAATTCTATATCCTGAAAAATTATCCTTCAAAAACAAAAGTGAAATAAAGACTCTTAGAGTAACAAAACAAGGAAATTTTTTTGCCAGTGGAGCTGCCTTGCAAGACATGTTAAACAAAGGTCTTAAGAGAGAAGGAAAACAATATTGGAGAGAAGCTTGGATTTAAATGAAGAAAGAAAGAGCATTAGATAATAAGTAAACATAAAATATGTTCTTTTTTTGTACTTTAACAGATAACAGATTTTTCAAAATATTTTTAGCAACAAATAGATGAGGTATTCATAGCTAGTGAATAGTGAAATGTATGGCAGCAGTGTAATAGCGATGAGCAGGAGAGATTGGAAATACTCGAAGGGGCTTGCACTACACAATAAGCAGTATTGTGTTATTTAAAAGTGGATAAACATTACTTGTAAGAGTATATTGCAAACTCCTTAGCAATCACTAACACTTTTTTAAAAGAAGTACAATTGATAATCTCAGAGAAAAGAGAAAATGGGATTATATAGGATGCTCAATTAGAACCAGAGAAGGCAAAAAAATGGAGGAAAAAAGCAGCAAAGAAAATCTATGAAAGATACAGTTTGTGACGAGTTAATGGGTGCAGCACACCAACATGGCACATGTACACATATGTAACAAACCTGCACATTGTGCACATGTACCCTAAAACTTAAAGTATAATAATAATAAAATAAAAAAAAGAAAGATACATTTTGAAAAATGGGGAAAATATAAATATAGGTTGGCTATTAGATGAGATTAAGAAATTCCTTCATTTCTTACATGTGATAATAGTATAATGGTTACATGGGATTAAGACTTTATTCTAAAAGGATGCATAGTAAATAATTTAGAAATGAAATGTTATGATGTCTGAAACTTAATCTCAAATGATTTAGCCAGTGTGTATGTACATGTGTTTATGTGCAAATAAAGATAAAGAGAACAAACTTTCCAATGATTGTTGGTTCTAAATGATTGTTATATGGCATTTAGTGTACAGTTCATTCTAGTTTCCTACATGTTCAATACATGATAAAATTAAAAGTTAGAAAAATAAATAAATAGATTAATTAATGTCAGTATATACCTATTTTATTTGTTGTAGATTTGGTTTTACAGCAAAGGTCTTGATAAAAATCTATATTTTAACCTTTAAGGTGTCTTTTGAAAAATCTCAAGGCTTATGGGAGGACTTATTGCCAATGATCTTGATAATACCTGTTCTTCAAATTTACAAATAACAAGACTTTTTGTGTGTAATGCTGTTACTTATTTTTACTCCAATTTTCAGAGTGCCGTTGTAAGTTGGTTTTGTCATCGAGACTACCAAATCATCAGCTACCAGTCAGGTAAACCCATAAATTACAAATTGTGCAACTTTTATTTCATTTCCCGAGTAATATAATTGTGTAATTATATGTAATTTGAGATTTATAGGAACTTCAGGAAATAAAATTAGTAGCATGCAAAATTAAATATGAGCTAATATAAACACATTCTGCTAAATTAACAATTATATTTCATGCTATCCCTTATTAAAAATCTAAGCCCCCGAGTTAATTTCCTAGTTATTCAAAATATGCCTTGCATTCTATAGTATATTCCCAACATAATCAAAAGGCCTGTTACAGTCCTACTACAAATTTTGTTATGTAATTAGGCGTTACATATGCATACATATAATGCATATTACATTATACATTATATGGCTAATAATTATGCAATACATTATTTGGCTACTAATTACAAATATACTACTGAAACTGCAAGGCCATTATAAACACCTATTTTTCTACTTTAAATTATTTCTTAACCACAGGATAAAAATAATTATAGCAATTTGAATAGAGCATATTGTTAAAGTATCATAATGTCTGTTATCAATCGTTATATGTAAGTGATCATAAAAATATCTGAAGAGCAGTAATTTTCTAAAATTCATTGAAAGTCTCATTTTTGTTGTTGTTTTCCCTCTCTCTTTGAAAGAATTGTATTTGCATGCGTATGTTTTATGTGTGTGCCACTCAATATAAGATGGATATGTGAGGGATTTCTCTACACAGCATGGCCCTAAACCCAAAAGGTCATGGCTTAAGGAAAAGATAAAAGTTCTCAGTTACCACAAAATCAGAAGTATGCACATGATGCAATTCAGGAAAAGCAAAATAATTGTTTTTCAGCTTTGATGAAACAGGAGTGTGGCGGTGAGTCAAATATTCTGCCTAATGTTTACTTTATAACATACACTATTTCAACTTCTAATACTTAATTCAGTTTAACAAGCATGTAAGTACATTATCTTACCAATTAGAGTAATATAAAAATGATTAAAACTCATTTTTAACTTCAAGACAGATCAGAATCTAATGAGGGATAACGTATAAGCCAACATGTAACTGTAATGGAAGGCTGAGTACTAAAGAAAAGCGAAGCTACTGTGCCACAGAAGAGGAGAGAAGAGCAACTCTCTTCAGTCTCAAATCAGGGAATTCTGCCTAGAAGAGCTGGCATTTGATTTGGGCCTTGAAATGTGAAAGGGACTTTGAAAACTGCATCTAAACATTAAAACAATTGAACTCATGACATAGAGGGTAGAAGAATTGTTGTGAGAAGCTGGGAAGGGTAGTGGGGGGCTGGGAGTTAGGAATAGTTAAAGCATACAAAAAATAGGAAAAATGAAGAAGACCTACTACTCGATAGCACAACAGGGTGATATAGTCAATAATAACTTAATTACACATTTTAAAATAATGTAAAGAGTATAACTGAATTGTTTGTAACTCAAAGGATAAATGCTTGAGGGGATGGACACCCCATTCTCCATGATATGTTTATTTCACATTGTATGCTTGTATCAAAACATCTCATATACCCCATAAATATATACACATACTGTGTACCCACAAATATTAAAAATAAAAATAAATAAAATCTTATATTAAAACAAGAAAGGGAAAGCTTTTTGTGTTTTGAATAGGTACAAATTGCCAGATATGTGAAAAATGAGAGTGGGAAAGTAGTTTGAGGCAGATCATGGCAGACCTTGATGTTGGAGCTCAGTAGATTGTGTTGAGCATTGTGTTGATGGAGAAACTTTCTGAGGAGGGTAGTGACTAATTCCCTTATTTTTGGAATCAGACTCCAGTGGCAAAATGGATGACTTACAGAATGGAGACAAGGACAGTTGTTTGGGGGCTGAGTAATTCAGGTGAAAAATGATGAGGAGAAAAAGAGAAGTGGTCATGAAAACAACTAGGAGATGTAGCTGATAAACTCGGATTAGATTTGGGGGATGGATAAAGAAAAAGATGAGATAAAATATAACTTGGGTTTTGGCGTGGTTGAAATCTTGTCCCTGAAATGGAACTCAGAGAGAGGCAGATCTGAGAATAAAGAGCTGACCATTGGGAATTCATGTAGCAGCTCCCTCACAAATCTAGTTTGTAAGTAAGTTAGGAATTGGTGGTCAGTAAATAAAAGGCATTCCTGATACTTCAAGTGATCTCCTTTAGGTTTTCATTGCTCTTCCTTCCAAACTTATAAGTGACATCAAGGAAGCTGGTTTACAAAATTACTGCTGCATGGAACAATTTTCTCTACCTTCCAAACATAGAGAGGAAGCAACAGAAACCAATGGAATCCACCAGCACCCTAATTATAAAACAAGTGTAGGAAGGGTGCTCTCTGATGCCTGGCATATTCCTGCCTCAAGGCAGTTGCACCTGCTGTTCCCTCTGCTGAGGGCACCACTCACTCTCACTTTATTTAAATGCCATCTGATGAGAAGGGCTTCTGCAGCCAGCTGAATTAGCAGTGGTCGCTCAGCCGGGCACTCTTTTACTAGGCTTCAAAGCACTTCCTAGCAGTTTTCACCACCAGTCTTGATACTATACACTACTCCACATGTGTGCATTTATTGTTTATTGTCTGTCTTTCCCCGGTAGAAAACAAAATGTTCCATGACAGCAGGGCCTTTGTTTTGCTTACAAACAATGCTACACCATCTGCTTCTAGAACAGTGCCCACTATGCACTGAGTCTTAAATAAAAATTAAATGAATGGATGCTGCTTTGATTTTGGACTTGGAGCTCTCAGATATCCCAGTTTCAAGAGTTTTCAAGTTGATTGGTTACTACATGTATAACTCTCAATCACAAGACAACTATGTCCTATTTACTAAATTAAATAAAATTATTAATGCTAAGACTCATGGAGATAACTGATTTTACAGATTTTAGGCATTATAACAGTGGTTTTAAAATTTAAGCAAAGATCAGAATCACTTCTTGCTTAAAATCATGCTTAAAAGCAGATTGCTGGACCCCAGGTCTAGAGGTTCTGATTCAGTAGGTCTGGGCCAGGTCCAAAAATTTACTTCTAACAAGCTTCCAGGTGATAGAGATGTTGCTAGTCCGGGGAGCACACTGAAAACCACTGCATTACAAGCTATAACATAATTGCAGCATACACATGAGAGAAGTCTACAGAGTTTGGGAGTTTAGAAGTTGCAGTATTTTGGTGGCAAAATAGTAGGCCCCTAATAGAAGAGATTACTGTTCGTCTGTCCCCAAGGCTTGGGGTTTTTCAGCCCATTTTTTGAAGTTTTCTTTCTTATCTTTAGTTTTTAAATTTTTTACATTAATTTAATTGTGCATATTTAAGTACACAACATGATGTTATGGGATACCTATAGATAGCAAAACAGTTACTACAGTGAAGCAAATGAATGTATCTATCATCACACCCCTTTGTGTGTGTGTGCGTGGCCAGAGCAGCTACAATTTACTCATTTAGCAAAAAATCCTGAATATAATCTTTTACGATACTTGGAACTCTTTTGATTTGCTAATTGGGTTAAGATATCATATTCCATTTCATTCAGTCGCAATACGCTTCTCAAAAAAAACTAAATTCATATTAAAAAAAGCACTGATGCTCTAATGGAAAAATGAAAGATATCCTTAGAAGGAGAATGCACCATAGGACTTCTGCTTACTCTCAAGACAACATTAAAGAATATTGGAACATTTCTTGGTACAATTATGCAGTATAAGGCCCTGGGAATTTCCTCTTTAAATGTTTTCTCTTGGGCCCTTTTTTGATGTATGATTTAAGACCACAAAAATTTTAATGACTAAACATAATATAAATAGAAGGATCATGTTATTTGTCATACAAACCAGAACTCTTTGGGAGAGAATGGGGTGCTATTAATTACAGTGGGTTAATAGCTATCAAATAGGACTATCCAAAGAGGTATGATCATCTTAGATAGGTTAGAAAATTGTATTAGGTTCAAATCAGTTCTTGAAAGATTGTTGTTTATTAGTTGGATTTTGTTTTGTGATTCTGAAGTATTTCTGAAATGTATTTACAGATTCTGTGCAAGACCTTCAGTCAATGCTCCAGTCTACCCTCACACATTGAAAATCTTCACATCTGCACATAGGCTGGAGGCTCCCCGTCGGTGTATGCATATGATCATGATGTAATGGGAGGAACTTTGTAAGTGGCCAAAATGTAGTTTGCATGCCATCTCGGCTGTGTGGCTTTGGATCTCTCTGCACCTTTGTTTCCCTAGGGGTGAGTGGTGAAGAGTAATACCTATCCCATAAAATTACACACATAGCACAAAACACCTAGAGTGTCTGCTCTACAGTATGTGCTTATTAAACACCCATTTTTTTCTTTTCCAAAATACTTTCTAAAATCTCTATAAGCCAAAAATTTAACCCTAGTATTCTAAGAGGTTCACCTATTTATTAACCCTATAAATGATTTCAAACTATGCTTCTCAGAATCTCCAAGTGAAAAACCAAATGCTAAGACTAGGGAGAGGCAGACTGGGGCATAATTTATTTAGAAAGCAATCAATGAGAAAACCTCAACCTTATTATCTAATTAGTCACAGTACTCATTTTATAATTTAACATTAAAGAAGAATGTGCATTTTTAAATCTTCATCAAAGGTGATATAGATTAATAAGTGATAAGAAACACTGAAAGAAATTGATTAAATTATGAGTTGAATTTCTAGATGAGAGTCAAAAGAAAATGGAAAAAATCTAGCAATGTGTAGAGACTGGGTTAAAGACCAGAGGGCCATGGTGTGGTAGTCTGGGTCGCCCACAGCATCAGCTGTTTCTGCTTTTCATAGTCTCTTTGTTCTATTCTCCTCTTAACACACAGATCTCCAAAAGCAGCAAACTATTTTGCAAAGTAGCTCTTCTTGGTGGAAGCATCTGCCTCCTGGAGATAGGGGTGAAAGGCTGGGAGGACAGAAGAATCCATGAGTGGGTGGCTGCTTCGGAAATGGGACAATTACTTTATTCTCATTTCAGGAGCTTTGACCTGAATTCCACATTTCTCAGCTTCCACTAGAATTCCATGCCATGCACTTAACTATTCTTCATGCATTATCCTCAGTGACTTTTTAAAATGTCAGAGCTAAAGGAGCTGAGAGGTAAACTAACCCAAGACTCTTAATTTTATAGATAAAGAGAGACTCAGAAATGTGAGGTAATGGATCCCATCATATATACGATAAGTGAAGTGCCAGGCCCTTATCTTCTGACTCTTGAAGCTATGTTTCTGTTAGTGGTTCACACTATTTCTTCTCTATTTCTGCCACTAAGGATCCACTCAAAGGGGGTTTCTCCATAGGTCACTCAAATTCCTTGAGTTTCTTCAAAGCTATTCTTAACTCTGAGATTTAACAATAGGGACTTTTCTAAATACATGATATAAAACCTATATACTGAAGCTCAGTATATCCATTAAAAAACTCATGTTTGCCGGGCGCGGTGGCTCACGCCTGTAATCCCAGCACTTTGGGAGGCCGAGGCGGGCGGATCACGAGGTCAGGAGATCGAGACCATCCTGGCTAACACGGTAAAACCCCGTCTCTACTAAAAAATACAAAAAAAAATTAGCCGGGCCTGGTGGCGGGCACCTGTAATCCCAGCTACTGAGGAGGCTGAGACAGGAGAATGGCTTGAACCTGGGAGGCGGAGCTTGCAGTGAGCTGAGATTGTGCCACTGCACTCCAGCCTGGGCGACAGAGCAAGACTCCGTCTCAAAAACAAAAACAAAAAAAATCTCATGTTCTAGAACATTTCACAGCATGTGAAAATGCTTATATTGTTTTAAAAACAGAGTACAAAAAGTAGGTACATTATGATGCAAATATCTGTAAAGAGGCTGTATGGAAGAATATACACCAAAATATTAATGACCATTAACTCTAGGTGATAATATTGCAGGTAAATTGGCCTCATTTATAGTTTTGTGATTTTCACATATTCTTCACAAGTATGTATTTTTGTTACTATAAAAGAAAAAAAGGTATCTGAATAGCAGAGAAACAGTCCAGCAAGGAAATATTCTGAGCTGGCTTTATCTAGTCCATACTTTTTGCTTTCTCCCTTTATCGCTGGCTTTTTGGTCACCCTCAGTTTTCATCCCTGACTCCCATTATCACTGTGTTCCCAAATGCAAATGCTCATAGTGATCTCAGCTCACCTGCTCACTACACCTCTGATCTCAAAGGGAACTAATGCTCCTTTTTGTACTCTTACAATTTGGCTGTGATAGAAAATGCCAATGGAAATGTCCTATAATCAACTGAAACTATAAATGAGAGGCTTCAGCTGGAGATGAGATGGAAAGTCATTTATTTACTGAGGACAGCAAAAGCCTGGGGAACAAAAGCCAAGGAATCCTTAAAGGGCAGAGACTAGAACAAAAGTTCAAGGCTGGAGTTTAGGGAGAGGGTCATGATTTAGGGTTGGGATGAAGAATAGAGTCAGGAAACAGAGAGCATAAATAGCAAAAAGTGATGTCATGGAAACCAAGAAGGAAGATCTAAAGTATTAAATGTTATGATATAGGCAGCAGCAGGAGCAGAACAATTAAAGAATAAATTGAAAATGTTTAAAAGGATTCATAGGAAAAATATTGTATTGATTATTTAAGAACAATTCTGGGAAAAGGACACACTAAAAACATTTTGATACATTGTATTTTATGACTGGAAATAAGGAAAATCATCCTAAGCATAATACCTGGTTTCAGAGGAGGGATAAAATCCAGGAACAAAATTTTTGAGTGATGGATGCTCACCAAGAAAGCCTTATGACAGGAAAACCAGCAAGCATTAGGCTCAAAGAGACTTTTGGATCATGTACTTTCACACCTGGGTGCCCAGAAAATATAATATTTTTACTGGAATAAAGGGATGAGACCCTAAGTTCTGCCAGGTACCCTTGAGGGTTAGGAGATCAAATGATCCACATGTCCACTGCCCATTCTAAGAACATGGGTGTATCCCACACCCGTAAGAGTAACTCTGGAGCTGGGAATATAGATAAAGAGATATACTATTTACATTACATTATATGGTAGTACCTTGCAGGGACATAAGTCCTATGCCAGGGACATCACAAGTGATGTCCACTTAAAATGAAGGCCTAATTTCATCTGGAGTAGATTGGGAACGACTGTCAAGGAAATAACATCTAACTTAGAAACCAATGGATTTGTCAACAGAATAAAGAATAAAGAGAAGAGCACTGCAAGAAAACCAGAGAAAGAGAAGAGCAAAAAGATTAATTCCAAGGGAGGTATGCTGTGTCCTGTGCCCCTCATTTAGGTGGCAGGTGGGAACCAGAGACCCTGAGGCCAGGTCCCACATCTACACCTCCTGGGACCATCCCTGGCTGGTGCTACAGGCACTGCAGCTTACGCTTAGCTCTTGGGATGATCCAATTTCATGATTAGGAATGGTTTATTCCCAACACAGGAGGCTATAAAATATAAAACCTGTGGATGCCAGCTGTGTGCACACCCAGCAAGAGCCAAAAAAGTGAAATAAAACATGCCTGGGACCCTTGATCCCACTGCCAATGGAGAATGGCTTTCAGTAATTCTGTAACGCCTCAAGATTCCAGAAGCTGACTTTAAAAGTGTAGTTAAAAAAAAAATGGGCTTATTTCACAGTTAATTTCCAATGATGTTTACCAAAATCTGGCCATAGAAGATTGGATCCACGCCCATATAAATCTAAAAGACAAGCCAGTTTTTTCCTTTTGGAGAAAGTCTGCTGCTGTTATAAATGATAGGCACCACAGTCCTTGGCAGGAGTGTAACCTGAACCTGTTGAGGGAAGGTATAAAACTGTCCAGAAGAAGTGGAGGAGGAGCAGCCTACTGTGATATGGATAGTATCAAGTTGACTTTCCTTACAGCTGCAAACAAGTATGATACAATGGAAAATCTGAAGTTAGTTGTGAGAGCTCTGAATGCTGTCCAACCCAAATGGAATGTGCAGCCTACCAAAATATTTGCCCTTTTACTTGAAGAACAGTTTAAAATGTCAGGAACAGCTTCTAAGATTAGCTAGATGACTGTTGATCACTTTATTGCACCTTATTACGTAGCGCTAATGGGACTATCTTGTCTTCTTTGGTAAAGAGCCCTTATCAAGTGATTAGGAGCAATATAACTGCTAAGATACCTTACTTAGCTAAAACTATTTTGGAAAAGGATCTCATTCTGGCGTGCAAGTACTGCTGAATGCTATTGCTGCAGAATATTCTGCTTATCATCAAATTGATAATCACATTAAATTAATAAACCCAACAGATGATATGGGTAATATCAAGTTGACTTTCCTTACAGCTGTGTCCTTAGAGTTGACTTTCCCACATTAAATTAATAAACCCAACACTGCTTCCTGAAATTAACAGCAAAGTCACAGAATGACAGGCTTGGGAGTGGATATATGGAAAAACTCCAAAATTTAGTATAGACAGTTACTTTGTTATATGAACAGTCACGCTTGGAAAATTATTCATAGATACAAAAAATGAGAGAATTAAAATTTATAATATTAAAGCACCTAAGCTTTGGTTATCACTGGAAATGTATAACAAAGTAAATTCAAGTCTTATTGCCAGTAAGTTTTACCCAGTTGAAACGACTGTGCTAACAAATATATTGCTTAGAATATGTCCAGAAGACCATGTACTACAGAGGAAATTGAATACTCCCTGTGAATAAAGAGAGCCATGGGATTCCAGGTAAGTTTCTTAATGCTGACAGTTTCAATGAGAAAATAAAAATTTCAAATTAAAAAAAGATTCACTTGAGGGACTGAAATAAATTTGATGAGGCTGACTGGATTATAAATGTGTGTTTCTGTGCCTAATGGTGGGCAGGGCAGTGTAAGACATGAGCTGTCTCAGGAACCACGTAACTATTTCTATGGGAATACAATGCTAAGCTGAGGGACCATAGGCCACAAGATAAGCTTAGTTTCTTACATCAAAGATGTTGTGACCAAGTATATGTTTGAGTTTTTGTTGTTGTTGTCTGGGTGCTTTCTTTTTGTTTGGTTTGCTTGTTTCTTTATTGCAAGGGGTTAGCTTTTTTTTTTTTTTTAATTTGGGCATTGGGAACAATTTACATAGAAAATGCACATAATGCTAAGAAATACCTGAAGAAGCAAGGCCTGCTCTTTCCTTTGACAGCTTTCTTCTGGTTTCAAAAATGGCATCCTCTAGTTGGAACTAGTGGATATTTTAAATGCTTCCAATGCCCATATATATAGCCAAAATGAATAGATATTGAACTTTATAAGGAAATCGAAGACACCACTCAGTTAGTGATCAAATGGAGAAGAAATCCCGGCTTTTCAACTCCCTGGTGCTTTTGTTGTTTTCTCAAATGTCCCCTCTTGCTTTCTCATACCTCCCCAGAGAGTTATCTCTATGTTATTCCCACTGACAGGAAAGTTGCCAAGTTGATTCAAGTGCTGCTGAGTACCAGATTTCATCAGGGAGCTTGTATCCCATGCTTCTGCATTGACTAGCATTATTCAATCAAAATAACACAAATAAAATAAAATAGCATTTACTCCATCAGGTTGGAAGGTAAAGTATACGGTGACTTTAGGAGAGAGGGAAAGGGACATTCCTAATAAACTTATACTTGAAAAGGGTCTAGAAATAATTCCAGACATTTTCTGCTAGTTCGATTACATTTGAGGAGAGAAAAGAGATGAGTCACTTCAGAATGTTATGTTCAATGCAGGAGTAGACAACAGCTGTTTCATCAGACCAGACTGGAATGTACTAGGTTCACCATACCATAGACCAAGGGATGGCATATGCAAAAGTGTGACTGGGAGCCTTCTTTTGAAACCAGAGACACTTCAGCCAAAGTATTCTCTGTAGCAAAACAACCTGATCTTTACTGGAATGTGTGAAAACTTTAGTGATGCTCTCTCTCTATAACAACAAGCCTCTCTCTAGTTATAGTCCCTCGATGCACCAATGAACCTGATTACTGATTGGAACTGGATGTGAGGTTATCTTATTCCTCAGTAATTATCTTGACTGAGTTGCCTTTGGAGAAACAGGCTGATATGGTTTGGCTGTGTCCCCACCCAAATCCCATTTTGAATCCCATAATCCCCACAGGTCATGGGAGGCATCCGATGGGAGGTAATTGAATCATGGGGGCTGTAACCCCCATGCTGCTGTTCTCATGATAGTGAGTGAATTCTCACAATATCTGATGGTTTTATATGGGGCTTTACCCCCTTTGCTTGGCACTTCTTCCTTCCACCATGTGAAGAAGGATGTGTTTGCGTCCCCTTCTGATATGACTGTAAGTTTCCTGAGGCCTCCCCAGTCCTGTGGAACTGTGAGTTAATTAAACCTCTTTCCTTTATAAATTACCCAGTCATGGGTATTTCTTCATAGCAGCATGAAAATGAACTAACACACAGGCATTTATGTGGAGGCATCAATTCCTTTCCAAAGAAGAGATTGCATTAGGAATGTCAGGCAATGGATGACATTTGGACATATGATTTCATTTATTACTGGGATTTATTCTGAGAAAGTAATTCAAACTTTAATACAAATTGTGCAAGTTTTGCTTTAGTACCTGTTTTCCACAGAAAGGACTCCTTTTTAGTTATCATATCCATTCAGTGATGCTGTTATCAAAATCCCTACATGGATATATAATCAAATGCAAATAAGCCCAAGAAATGTCTATTTTGCTCTTGAATTACAGCATTCTCTATGCAAATAAGAGTTTTTAAACTTGCACAGAGATTTCTGTGTTCAATGCCAGCACCATACAAAACATTTAATGTGCACTAGGCTTCAAGGTTTTAATGCTTTTCATCTTTTTCTTTCCACAGAGCAGGAACAGTGCCAGTTCACAGATCTCTCCAATATGCTATGTATGTTTTTCTGACTGATGTTAGAAGTTTCTCTGATTTTTAAAGTTCAGTGCACATCAGCACAAGCAAATATGATATTTACAAAGATGACTGCTGAGAGTTCCAAAGTCATCCGAAAAAGGACATTAGATGACACGTTTTTAAAGGCTTCTCAGCACCAATAAAACACGGAAAAGTCCAATGATGTAAATTAATCTTATAAAACTAGCTAGTAAAACACATAAACCTGATATAATACATGAAATAAATGTCAATCTTTCCTGAAATACTATTCCTGATATAATTTGTAATCTGTTTGGAGAAATGGACCAATTTTGATCTCTCAAGCATTTCTGAGATAAATTAGGCAAAGCCTTTGCATAATTAAGGCCATCATGATAATCATTTGGAAAAGTCATAAGAAAAATTAAAGCAAATGAGAGCTTGTTCCCAAGCTTGCAATTATGTAGGGTGTTTGTATTGTACTTGTAATAAATACAACCACCACTCTTACTTATCTGTAAAGTGTACATGAGCTGAAATTACTTCTCCAGTTGTCTATCTACCCTCAATTTATTCAAATAAAATCAGTAAGTACTAGGTACAAGTTCTTAGTGCTACAAAGGGCTCAAGAGACAAATGGGACATATTCTGTCATTAAGAAGTTTAAAATCTTATTGGGGAAAATGTTAACAAGGGGAGAACCTGGGGAAATGTATACAGAACTCATTATATTTGCAACTTCATGTAAATCTGAAATTATTTCAAGAAAAATTGTTACAAAAAACTTATTTGTGAACTAAAATATATCCATGTGTAATTACAAAGCAATAAGGCATAAATAAAGACAGCTGATGAAGAACAGCAGGTGTTACTTGCCAATCAACAATACTGATGGTGAATACTGGGGGCCTTGGGATAAGCCAGCCAGTTAACCACAAGGTAGATCTGGCAAACCACTGCCTCAGTGTGAGGCCACCTATTTTCAATCTGTTGTCATTATGTAGTGAGACCCTGAAAGCAAACTTATTTTACAAATACCACAAAATATCATAGAAGTTTTGTAGAAACTCCTGACCTTTTTTTAAAAGGTAACTCCTTTTTTGTTCCACCCAAGCACACCCAAACCAAAAGCAACCAAACTGAATTTTGAAAGACACAAGCCTTTTAGTACCTACAATAAGCCAAAATAAATAACCAAAGGCCTTGAAAAATACCAAGGACTGAAATATGAGTCACAAAATCTTACTTCTTTTTTTTTTTTTTTTTTTTTTTTTTTTGAGACGGAGTCTCGCTCTGTCGCCCAGGTCGGACTGCGGACTGCAGTGGCGCAATCTCGGCTCACTGCAAGCTCCGCTTCCCGGGTTCACGCCATTCTCCTGCCTCAGCCTCCCGAGTAGCTGGGACTACAGGCGCCCGCCACCGCGCCTGGCTAATTTTTTGTATTTTTAGTAGAGACGGGGTTTCACCTTGTTAGCCAGGATGGTCTCGATCTCCTGACCTCATGATCCACCCGCCTCGGCCTCCCAAAGTGCTGGGATTACAGGCGTGAGCCACCGCGCCCGGCCAAAATCTTACTTCTTAGAGTGTGGTCAAATACTGATAAATCAGAAAGAAATCAATTTTCTAGAAAACAAAGGATATAACACATTTATAAATAAAGTTTTAAACTGTAATCCCCAGTGCAGCTATTTTAATTAGCATGGTCCTCTAAATTTGTTTTAGAGAAAACAAAAGGAAAGGAAGTAGTTGTTTTCATGAGTAACAAGGGTCTAAGGTATAACCTCAGTTGTGATGATCTCCCTCTGAATCATGAAATGGTCTAAACTGAATATAATGCTTTATGTATAGTGTATGTGTTCAAGTATTAATAAATCTGAGGTATGGTCAGCAAGTTGCATTTTGAGGCAAATGTGTCTCATAATCAAAAGCCATGAATGCATTGCATTTATTGTATAGATGTGGGAAATAGGGCACATAAAAACAAAACTGGGCAGAGTATAGAACAATGAGCACGTCTCTAGACTCCTAGTTAGTGAGCAACAAAGCATGAATCAAGACTGGCTAGGTAAGAGAGGTGAGTCCCACCTCGCTCTGACACTGTCCAACAGGTGGTGACATTCAGGGACTCTGTGACTCCATCTCTTTGTCAAGTGATGTTCATCAAACTCTTTATATTAATTGCCAAGGAGCTTATCCCTGTGAGAGCTCACTCTGAAAATGGAAGAGCTGTGAAAATGCCTCTGATTTTCATCAAAATAATCACAGGGGGTTATTAACTTTTCACTCTATATTTCTATATTTAAAGGACATGGTTCTCCCGGGGATGTCTTTTAGATAATATAATAATGAGAAAGCTATAATGAGTTTCTTCAGTACCAAGGCATTTTGTTATTTGTTGGAATAAAGTGGAGCAGATGAAGAATAAAGAAATCAGGGAATGGGTGTATAATACAAGAAGCTTTAGATTGCATTGGAATGGGTGTATAACACAACAAGCTTTAGATTGCACTGAGAATCAAGGCAGGGATGAGACCAGGCTACAGGTGAGAATGAATCATCCTATTTCACTGCATCCCTATTTGTAATTCAGGTAGAAATTACCATCCTCTAGAGATCCTCTAATTCCATCTTATTAGACAACACTATAATGATCGCCAAGAGAAAAATAAAGGAAAATCAGATTACCAACTGCCATCTAATTGGTGTGTATCTATTACGTATGCATGGGCTGCTAGAGACTGGCACAAATCTTTACTACCTGAAAGCAATGGAATGATCTTCTGAATATCTGTCTTGAAAACATATTGATCCACAGCTACTAAATTTCTTATTATTTCCCATGTGAGGAAAGACCTCTCCAAGTCACTCCACCTTTATTAAAAGTCATTTCTGTTGACTGTTCATTTGATGAACAGACCTCAGTACTCAACAGTGCTATTCTGCACTTCCTAAGGCATCTGTGTATTTTGGGTTCTATAAGTCTTCCCATTAAACTGTGATATTATAGGTCAGGTGCTAGAAAGACTTGACATCTTGCACTGGGAAAGTACAAAGATAGTGACGTTCAGTCATGTAATGTAATGTAATTCCATTGCCTTTGGGTCACACATTTGGATAATTGACAGCCTTTAAATAACAAGATGGTTGGTATATTTCTCAGTTCTTTCCACGTGTTTTTTTTTATTGCTCTCTTGAACTACAAAAATATGAATATGGATGTAAATGTTCATGTTTTCCAGGATGTGAGCAGCTGTTCTCTTGAACTTGTTACGGGAACTAATCTATTTAATATAAATCAAACACATTTTCAGTAGGGACTTTTAAGAACAGTGAAACTGATGTGTAATCACAACACAATTTAATTTTTGGGTGGGAAAGATCAAGAAAGTGTCATCTGTTAATTACTCCTGTTATACGATCTAATTTTACCATTTCTAAATCTGTATTATATCCTTAATAAAAATAAAATATATCCATTCCAATTTACAGAAGACTATTAAAAAATGTAGGTCAACTTGAATATTTGTTGGTTATGAGATTATAAAAAAAATTTCTCCTTTAATATAAAAGCCATACATGTCCTTTGAAGAAAACAAATGGAGTACAGATTTAAAAATTAGGGAAAAAGCCGTATATTTTACATGTTTAACACCTTGCTGTATATTCATTCAGGCTTTACCATGTACATTTGTCCTTCTGTGTATTGTGTGTGTCTATAAGATCATGCTTGAAATCATATTTTGTAACACATTTTTATTTAGTAATACACTATAAACTTCTTTCCATGTGAACAGTTTAGATGGGTGGATGGATGGATGGATAAATCGGTAATAGATATTTACAATATAATATTTGATGGCTAAATAGTAGTTAACTCTATTGGTAAATTTTCCAATCAATCTCCTATTGTCAATTGGTTGGAAATAGTTTTTTATCAGTTTGACGTGCATGAGTTTGTGGTTTCACTGTGCATTGTAATCAACATACTTGTATTGATATCTATACACATGTTCTAAATTATTTTACAATATGATTTTGGAAATAAAAAGTTTAGTCAAAATATATGTTCTTCTGAATATTTTTATGGGATTAAAAAATTGTTCTTCAAAAAGTCTACACCAATTTAAACATCCACCATGAGGATACCACCTTGAAAATTTCTGAACATCTTCACAATTACTAGTCATTATCTTTGAAAAAAAAACTAGTTGTTTCTTGTTTTAACATTTCATTGTGTTACTAATTTTAATAAGAGACTCAACTCATTTATAAGTAGGTAAACTACAGACTGGTTACTAGATTTCCAAAGGAAATAATCTAAAGAATTAAAAGTACCGTCACTTCTCTTTTCCTCTCCTTCCCCAACACATGTTTTAGAAATATAGAGGTTATTAGTGAAGCCTTCCAAAGCCATACAAAGATGATACAAAGAATGATGATATTTTCCAATTCTTCATAGAAACCTTGCCAAGGTTGACTATAAAATTTCATGATCTAAAAGTTCTTAAATGTTGAATGATGAAAATAATATACCTAGAGAAAAATGGAGGAAAGAATCAAGTCCTTCTAAAATTAAGCAACAGTGGAGCAGAGGAAAAGAAGATGGTACTGCTGCTACCTCTGGGCCCTATTTAGTTATTTTCACACTCCAAATGAGCTATTCTCTTTTTACTAGGTGCATGGTGGAAATGGCATAACTCCTCACTTTAGTTTAGAAACAGAACATTCTCTCACAGTGGGTTTTATATTATATAACAGGTTTGAAACAGAAAATAAAGTTGATGTGAAACCATCAACCCAAACAGTTAAAATGGCAGCATATGTCACCAGTGCATAAAGGCTGGGGCTGTTTCTACGGAGAGAGGAAGAAGCCTCGAGCACAACATTAGCCTGGTTTGGTCCACATTTTAGAGCACAGAGATGTGACTATCCCACAGAGATACCAGAACTAATAACACAACTAATCAACTTTGCCCAGAATCGGATTCCTGTTCTATGATGTAACCACTGAGAAAAAAAAGAAAGTGTTTATTTTTTATAAAGACAATGTTATAAGCTTTTATTTGCACAATATGTTGTTGATGCTGAACACAATCCTAGGGAAGTGATCATAGCTGAGTTTCTGGAAAAACCTAGGTTTTAAAGTTGAGGAGACTTAAGTCCAAAACCTGGCTTCATCACTTACCGGCTACAATACTGGGATATGTTAACTTCCCTTGATTTCAGCTTTCTCGTCTGTGAAATGAAGATGATAATAATGCTTTCCTGCCCAGATTACTGTATTTTAGATAATGCAACTGGCAACCGGCAAATGGCAGAATGGTGAAAGATAGGAAACAATGGGGCAGTATGTCAGAGTGACAGCCACTTGCTCAATTTCAATCATCTGTGGGTAGGGATGAAGGATGAGAGAACGTGGAGAAACTTACACTTAAGAAAATCAAAGTGAGTTTTTGTTCTCTTAACATTGCCTACATAAATCAGAATATGCTAAATTTAAGAACTGAGTATATTTAGAATAGGTTTTCTATTTTTAATAATGCCATTGTTCATTTTAGTGTATTATTTTAGTGATGTGCCCTTTATGAGAGGATGAGAGTCCCATCTCCATGGGAACAAGATTTTGAAAACTTGAAGACATTGTTTTTGTTATATTGCATTCCTCTGGGAATCATTTAGGATAGCATTGTTGTAATAACATTTTATTAATTGCCTTCTTTACTATATTTTCCTAAACACTATATGGAGAAAAGTACTGTGATTACATACTTTGAACCTTCTCTCCTGGAGCTTCCAACAAAATGTACCCAATATATTAAAAAACTGATCTACAATCCATATTCCTTCCCTTTTCTTACTTGATTATACCTGGGAGAATAAGACTTAAGTGTCTATTCCTAACGCTGCAGGAGTATGAAGCTTATTCATAGCTGAGAGCATAGAGAGCAGCTCAGACAAACCCAGGCAGGATCACTTCAGAATGCCTTTTGGAAGATGCTTTGCCATACGCAGGAGTATGAAGCTTATCCATAGCTGAGAGCATAGAGAGCAGCTCAGACAAACCCAGGCAGGATCGCCTTTTGGAAGATGCTTTGCCATACGCAGGAGTATGAAGCTTATCCATAGCTGAGAGCATAGAGAGCAGCTCAGACAAACCCAGGCAGGATCACTTCAGAATGACTTTTGGAAGATGCTTTGCCATACAGGGAGTGGCAGTCTTTAGAAGAGGGTTTCTGGAAGGATCACAGAAATGCGACCACAGAAGTGCAAAGTCTCCGGTCATCAAGCTCTCAGAGTGTTCTCTGCAACAATGTGACAGGGTATAATGATTCTATAAATACTGATCTCCAGCTCACCCATCTGCCAAGGAAATATTTTCCCAGCATCTGAATTAAGTGGAGAACTGCTTAACTAAAGGACAGATGAAGCAAATCATCCATCTTCAGCGATCACTCATGGCTTTGTTCATGAATGGTAATTTGTGGTAATAAATTCGTTCTTTTATTTTTGCTACCCAAATATGTTTGTTTGTTGAGATTTTTCTAGGTTTAGCTTGGAGACCAAAATGAGGGACAGGAGTAAAATATCACTGTCTTTTATCATGCTGCCACTGAGGGAGATGTCACATTCAGTTTTGAACAGTCCCTAAACTTTAAATATAAACTAATCAATTTGCCGATCCAGTGACCTGAAAATGCCTTGTGGAAATGGACAGAAGAGAAGGAGGGGCTGGGGGTGAAGGGGCAGAGAAGAAAAGATCATGGTCTCAGCTACACAAGCCATGAATATTATGAAAATTAAAATTTCATTATAATCATAATATTTCTCACTCCTGTGCTTGAGTCTGGAAAGAGAAATCAAAGTCTTTAATGCTACGGTGACAAGTAGTTACTCTCTGGTAACAATCTAGATTTCCTAGCAGGCCTTTGTTATGTCTGGGCCTTTGGAGAATTTTTCTCTAGATTATTTTGTCTGTGTCTGAAAGGTTCATACACATGCTCCTGCCAAAGCTTGTCATTTGGGGGTCATTTTAGTCACTGGCAGGATATAGCTAGACAAACATGAGGCAGCTGATAAAGGACAGGCAATGCCAAAAATTAAGGTCTTTCACAGTAGATTTCTGTTTGCAGTGAAATGAAATAGACTCAATACCAAACAAAGCAAAACAAGTTAAAAGTAAAGTTGTGTGGTCATGTAATATCTTGAGTTTTTGGAGTGTGACAAAATGAAGATGGTAAGAGAAGAGGAACCCCTCCCGCACTGGGGCTTGTGAGGATAGAGAGCAGCTCTCCCGTGGCACTGCCTCACTTTCTATTTTCAGCCTTTCCATCCATGCCCAGTACTGGCTCACATATGAAACCCGCCTCTTCTGGATGTCTGAGCCCCCTTATTAATCTCATCTCTGTTTATTCTCATAAAGTGATGCCAAGTGATCACCAATGGAGTTGATACAAGCCGGGGTATTCATGACTGCTAATGGGGTGATGAATTACCCATTCAAAGCATCTCCTCACCAATTTTAGTAAAAAACATAGATACTAACACAGAATCATGTAGTCCCAGCTACTCGAGAGGTTGAGGCAGAAAGATTGCTTGAGCCCAGGGGGTGAAGGATACAGTGAGATATGACCATGCCACTGCACTCCAGCCTGGATGACGGAGCAGAACCCTGTCACACACACACAAAAGAAACAAACAAAAAACACCAGAGATAAAAAGAAGTAGGACAGGGGAAAGAGAAGAGCAAAGAAAAAGAAGGAAATGATGTAAAAATTAAATGCACTCAGCCTTCTACATGTAGTATTTCCTGCTCAGGTGTGCTAAAATTTAATTTAAAAATTGGATCAATCATAAGCCTTTCTGAGAAAACCATGAGAATAAATGTTAAAAATACAGATATTTTAAGAAAATTACTGATTGCATGTATTACAGTTTTTCTAAGGATTATCTTCTTGGAAGAAAACACTGTCAAATGGTATTTTAGGTTTCTGTCACAAATTTTGAGGTGCTCACAAACTAACTGCTGTCTCGCTATGGAGCTGTTTAAGATGTTCCCCACTGAAACATGAATTTATAAATAAACAGATGAATAAACCCAAAGGAATTGTGCAATTCTTGAATAACAGAATCCATTGGCTGCACAATTTGACAATTTAAACACAATGAGTGATTTCCTAGGCTTAATCAGCCTTCCTCCCAATCTCAGAAGCGTAAGGTTGCCTGGAAGTGTTTATTTTTCATGTTTATTTGTTTCATATTCCCCTACTACCTACTAGGCTTGATCATATATGACATTTTATTTCATTGTTCGGACAATTGTGTCAAATAAGCATTTTATCTTTATTTTAAAACCAAGGATATCTTTGGGTGGAGAGATGACAGGACTTGCTTAGAGTCTAACAGCTTGCAAGAGGCATAATCAGGTTTAGAGCAGACGTCTTCCAATAGAAAGAGCACAAAGGAGGTCAAATGCTAATGTTCAATGAGTGATTTCTATATGTCAGGTACTTTTAATGTACTAATGAATTTAATCTTTACAACAAATTTAAAAATCTATAAAAGTATCATTTTAAATAAGAAGATAATGTGGTATGGAGTAGTTAATGAACATTAAGGTCAAACAGGTAAATGATGAGGCCAAGACTTAAGCCACAGCAGCCTGGCCAAGTTGGAATCACTATTCATAGTACCTGAACTGAATAGTGATGTACACATTGTGCACATGTACCCTAAAACTTAAAGTATAATAATAATAAAATTAAAAAAAAAGACTTCTAAACATTTTGGTTGACTAACATAGCTGTAATGCAAAAAGCAACTTTTAGTTAATTTTTAAATGAAAATTTTTTCCACTAGTGTAACAACTCTATAATATTCAGTATAATTTCACATATGTATAGATTGACCAGAACCAGGCATATTCCTAATAGTGCACGGAAAAAGCTAAGTATAAAAGATAGCCAGGAAGTGATAAGATTGTGTCTATATTTTAAGCATCATCGCAAGTGCATTGACTTGGATCCCAGGTAAACTAAAGCAAACAAAAATGATAAGCAATGCAGAGGAACCAATTATCGAAAAGTGATTTACATTCAATTAAATCAAGAGTTACATTCAACTTTTTCCTCAGTCCACAATAGTTGGAAATTTGAATTTAAAAAGACATATAATGGCTTTTGATTATTCAAAAACACAAGTCTTCCATTTTCTACTCCACAGTCACTTATTTCGTATGTAAATGATTATTTCATAATACAGAACAGCTAAAAACACAATAAATAAAATATGACAAACTTATTTTTTTATATTAATCGCCATGGTTCTTTGTTGCAGAAAAAAGATGGAAAGAGGGCATGAGAATTAAGAACGGTCATGTGTGTAAAATATGGTTGAAGTCTAGATTCAGTCAAAAAGATTTTTCTATTCTGCTAAACATTCATTTATTTATTTATTCATTTTGAGACAGAGTTTCATGCTTGTTGCCTAGGCTGGAGTGCAATGGCACAATCTCAGCTCACCGCTGAGTTCAAGCGGTTCTCCTACCTCAGCCTCCCATATAGCTGGGATTACAGGCCTGTGCCACAACGCCTGGCTAATTTTTGTATTCTTAGTAGAGATGGGGTTTCACCATGTTGGCCAGGCTGGTCTCAAACTCCTGACTTCATGTGATCCACCTGCCTCAGTCTCCCAAATTGCTGAGATTACAGGCGTGAGCCACCGTGCTCAGCCTGCTAAAATTTATGAGAAACATCAGCAGAATTTATACTTTGTTTACATTTCTAGATACTTTTATTTACCACGCATCTGTCTAAATAGAAAAAAGCTCTGCTTTCGTATCACCAAAGGAATATATATTTTTAAAATCTGTTAACTTATTTCACATTGTCACAGGCTCTACACTTGAAAATGTTTGATTGTCAAAAGATCCATAGTAGAAGAATGAATTTAAAAAACAGTTACCTTTAGACTAGCAAGAAAAATGTATACTATCAATTATACATTAATTTTTCTTATCAACCATTGTTCTTAGCAAAGAAAGACTGTAAAGTAAATTCTTTTCAAGAAAATTCATGGTAGGCTGTTTCTAAGTGTTCACTGGATAGGATATGTGGACTAATCATTACACATTCCTTTCTGCCCATCAAACATGGAGGCAATGCATCAGTGTCATGTCCAGACTGTAAACTCCCCATGGGGTCAAGGCCTGGAGGATAGGGTGGTAGGAACAAAACTGTCTCCTTCTGTGCTATTTTTCCAAAGATCCTAAAGCAGCCTTCCCAATAAAATTAAAAGCTCAATGCATGCTGTTACCTAAATAGAAAAAAAATCGACTTAAAGACACAATATGCATTTCTCTCCCTGGATATAGTCTTAGTTAAACTTATATTTTCAGCTTCAATAGCATTTCAGCAAGTTTTGTGCTATCTATTAAAAAATTGCAAAAACCAATAGAAATACTCTCCAAAATTTAATGTATTAGTGCTCAAAACTAGGCTGAGAGATTAGAGCACTATTATCAGTCTCTTAGGAAGAGAATTTTATGAATTTGGTATAATATCCCTTCTCAATAAGAGACAATAAAATTCATGAATTTTCATGAATAACAACTTGCATTTGAGTGGCCAATATACGCCAAAGCATCATTTTAAGTATTTTAGTTCATTTAGTCATCAAAATGACCTTAGGAGGTAGTTTAACTGTAATCTACATAATTCCCATTTTACAGTTGAGAAAATTGTGGTTTAGGGAAATTACAAAAACAAACTATTTTCTCTTCCTGCACCACAATATATATGACTATATGTATTATAAATTTTAACTAACCTGCTATCAGGATAATTTGAAAAGATTTTTAAAATTTTAAATATAATGCAAAATAAATATTTTAAATTTTAAAAATTAAACAAGGCCACTTAGAACAAACAAGGAATAATGTGAGACAACTGAGATTAGTTAATTGCTATAGCTGATTTTTCTAAAAATTTTTATTGTTGAACCAGAATTAATACAAATACCTAGACCTAAACATAATGTGAGCTGTATTGTACAGGTCTTAGAACCAGATTACATAGTAATATTTTTCTTTTATTTTCCAAAGGCAAAAGATTTAATATAAAGATTCAAGATTCACATCATGACAAATGATACAAATTTATGAAATATCCTTTCTTCTTCCTCTTTTTGTATTTTTTGTAGATGGTTTCACCACACTGCCCAGGATGGCCTTGAACTCCTGGGCTCAAGTGATCCATCTGCCTTGGCCTCCCAAATTGCTGGGATTACAGGTATGAGCCACCAAGCACAGCAGTGGCTTTTTCTATTTTAACTAACCTTGCCATCTTTCCCCCTGTGCTTCTCTGTTACTGCCCCCTCCTGTTTTCCTGCTACATTGACTGGTTATATTGACAGGTGTGCCCCTCCCCCAGTAGCATAGGATGTTTACTCTTAGACAAGCTAGGACAGTATAAATTCTAAAAGGACTAGTCAACTGCAGTAGTGAGATGGGGGCAAGAGGCAAGTAGAACAAGGAATTCTATCTGTAACTGACTGTGAACAATCAACTGAAATAACTAACTACCTTCAGACCAGCCTGTTTTTTTTAACATACACTTTAACTTTATTAACATCTAGGTAACATCTGTAATATTCCTTGCTCCTCATCCCCAAGTATGCTGCTAGCTGTCCATCCTTCTGGGTAGAAGTGTATTCTCCAGTTTTACTTGTTGATTTTTGGATGTGTGCTGGGGGAGAAAAGCATATTGTGTTTATAGTCACCCTAGACTGCTAAAGTATATTCTCCAGTAATTAACTCAAAGTGGCCATATGTGAAACATAATCTCTAAATTCTTCAATATCAAAAAATACCTTTGTTTTATCCCTAAAATCAAATGCTAGTTTGGCTGGATATAGGAATCTAGGATTAAAGCCTTTTTCCTGCAGAACTTTAAAGATATTGCTCCATTTACTGCTAGCATCCAGTGTGTCCAGTGATAAGTCTGCTGTCAATCTGATTCTTGTTCCTTGGTAGATTATTTCTCTTCTCTCTATAGAAGTCCTTATTATTTTCTCTTTATCATTAGAATTCCAAAATTTCACCAAGATGTGTCTAGGGTCAGTCTCTTTTCATCAATCTTACTAGGTACTCAGCAAGCACTGACAATCTCAAGACTTGAAACTTTCTTTAGTTCTGCAAAGTTTTCATCAATTATTTCCTTAATTATGTCCTCTGCTCCATTCTCATTATTCCGTTTTCCTGGAATTCCTATCAAATGAATGTTGGAGCTTCTGGATCTATCCTCTCTATCTCTTTGCCTTTCTTTATTAATTATCTTTTTGGTCGTTTGGACTGTATTCTTAGAGAATTCTTCAATTTGATCTTCTAGACTGTTCATTCTTTCTTCAAGTATGTCCATTCCGCTACTCAGATCATCTACTGAATTTTTAATTTCCAACACTCCTGGATGGGAACTTTTCAAATTTCCAATCTCCTTTTTTATCTCTCTGATGCTATTAATCACACTACCTCTCAAGTTTTCCTCTATTTCCTATGTTAAGTCTGCTTCTTTGGATGTCAGTTCTTCTGTTTCTAGAGTTCTGTGTCTCTCTTCTTCTGTTTTCTTAAAAAGTTTGGTGACTCCTGTTGAAATACTCAAATTTGTATGTGAATGTTTTTTATGCTTATCATAACCTATCTCTAGTGACTTTGAGGGAGAGGCCAAACATAAAGTTAGACAGGGTGTGCCAGTTCCTTGACTTGTGGGCACAACTGTTTCCTCTTCCTCCTGGGTTTTGTACACCACCTGGTGTTTCACCAACATTTTCTTCCCAGAGTCCGCAACCAAATAACTAAAGGGAATTTCTTTTTGTCTATGTGAGTTTTCTTTTTTCTCAGTCAGGGAGGTAGCTTTACCTTTCCTATTTCAGAGCCCTTTCCTTCCTCTTCCTCCTCTGGCTCAGAATCCTCTACTGAGTCAATGAAAATAGTTTCCATGCCATCACTGGTTATCTCAACTCCATGCTTTGCATCTACCAAAGTATGACCCTGAAAGGTTGAGTCTTATTCCTTACAGAACACTGAAGTCTGTTCCTCCTCCTTCTCTAGCCCTGAGGCCTCTTCTTCCTCTTCCTTCTCTGGCCCTGAGGTCTCTTCTTCTTCTTCCTCCTCCAGCCCTGAGGCCTCCTCTTCCAGCCCTGAGGTCACTTATCCATCGCCCTCCATCCCTGAGGCCTCTTCATCCAGCTCCTCTAGCTCAGAAAACTCTTCCTCTTAAGTCTCTAAGTTGTTCATCTACTCTGGCTTAGCAACTTTTTACATAGTAATATTTTTCAAATATGGCAGCTTTTTTAAAATGAGCTACATCTGAATCAATGTGGAACTTACAGATTACCAGATAACATTCCAGACCTGCTGAATCAGAACTTTCAAGTATGGGGCTTGCACATGTACATTTTACAAATACCCACAATGAGTTGCATGCTCAATCAAGGCTGAGAATATGTGTCATTATAATCTACCACATTCAAAGCACTTCCTTATCTATCAGTCCTCTATAAATACCAATCACCAAGTTTCAACTCATTGTAGACATTTTGCAAGGCATCATGACAATATGCTCAGCTTTGTGATGAGCCAACCTAACAGTCATGACAATTTTGAGAATATAGTCAGTTGGTCAAACCCTATCCTCACATCCTAACCATCCCAGATCTTCATCTTGAGGTCCAAGTGAATTGGAGTCCACCTAACTTTCCTCAGAAGAGAGTATCAGTAACTCTTGCCCTATCAGCCAGTAGGGTTTTAAGAATCACTTTCTTCTGCTCTATGTCATGATTCACGAGGGTTCTGCTGACCTGTTTCCAGGCAGAATCAGGACACCCTCTGTGTCTACCCACCTGCCTCCCTCTACTAGTGAAGACTTTCAGGGTCCTGAGTGCCCCGCTCGAGAGCATCTCCAGTGCTAGCCTTGTGCCTGACTTCCCTGATTTCTATGACAGATAAACATCCCATCTGTCCCTGGATACCCCTGAGGCTGATGTTCCCACCTCTCCCTTGGAGAAGTAATAACTTGCTTAAATTCCCATAAGCAGTAAGTAATGGAGCAGGTATTCAAACAGGTCTCTGTTTCCAAAGGTCACACTTTTTCTACTTTTAAAGCATACTGATTAAATGTTTCTCCCCAAAATGAGATGTTCTAAGCAAGCCTTTGGCAAGTGCTGAATCCTGAGACATCTGTAATTAAATTCTCTTCATGTTGTACTTGTACTGAAGATATGTTCCATTGCTTGTTTATGCAAGAACTGCACACTTTAAATACAGAGCTGGGAGAGGCAGAATTGTCCTTCTGTTAAAAGGATGAGAATTGGACTCGTATTGTTGCCAAGAAAGAGGGTTATTCTATTCAACGCAGGTGTGAACATTATGGATGCCTTTCATAGGAGATAATATTTAGCTCAAAACGAAAAAGTAATTTTATTTTTGTCAGGTGCTTGCCTACAGCAAAAATAAAACAAAAGCATGAAAGACTGCATTGTGTAACATATTTAGGAAAAACATACACAATACACTCATTAATTTATATAAAGCAGTCATTTGATAATCATGATGTTGATGATAATGAATAGTGTAGGCATACTAGAGTGAATTTCTGAGAAAGGGATGGGATTTGGAGGGAGTGTGGAGGAAATGGGCTTATTTGAGGGAGGGACATGAGAGTGGTTGCAGAAATGTCTAAGTTTATAGGTTCAGTAGTGAAAAGAGGAGACCTAGGAGGTAAGAGAGTGAGAGAATAGGCGGGTATGGTGGCTCATGCCTGTAATCCCAGCACTTTGGGAGGCTGAGGCGGGCAGATCACCTAAGGTCAGGAGTTTGAGACCAGCCTGACCAACATGGTGAAACCCTGTCTCTACTAAAAATACAAAATTAGCCAGGCGTGGTGGTGCATGCCTGTAATCCCAGCTACTTGGGAGCCTGAGGCAGGAGAATCGCTTAAATCTGGGAGGCAGAAGTTTCAGTGAGCCGAGATCACGCATTGCACTCCAGTCTGGGCAATCAGAGTGAAACTCTGTGAGAAACAAAGAAAGAGAGAGAGAGAAGGAAGGAAACAAAAGAGAGAGAGAGAAGAGCAGAAATGTCAGACAAAGAGTGGAAAAGTAAGATGATTAGAAGAATGGAACAGGATTTTGGGTAGTGCTAAGAGTACAATTGAGGTTGGTCATAACAAATTAACATTTTCCCAGTGTTTGTGACTTTCTCTAGCAGCATTTAGCAACTAGAGTGCAGGAACTCTGAATGTGAACAACTAGGTCACTACACAGATGGGATGTTACCTGACAAATACAATGTGTACTCAGAGTTAAGCTAGTTTAGGGCAGCAGCATGATGACCAAATTGAAATGGCACATAAGAAGGGAATGAGGAAATAAGATGTCGATGAACACAGAGATAAAAAAAAAAAGGCTGAAGAATGGCCTCGCAGGGAAAAGATAAACAAGAAGGTTGGAGGGAGAGTAGGTTGTGGTCAGAGTACAAGGTATTTGATTAGTGGTTTTGGAAGTGCATAGTTTTGATGACAAGCTAGGGGTATGACTACTGGGTGTATGTGCCTTAAGTGGAGGGAAGAAAAACACTGGAGATAAGGGCGCCAAAGAACAGAAGGCCGAGAGTAAAGGAGATTATGCATCATTACAGAGGAAGGAGATTTAGAGTTAAGAAGACAGCAAGTCTGGTGCCAAAGTCTTGGATAAAGGAAGAGCATAAGATGGATAGTGAATAGGAGGATGAAACAATGATATATTTCTATGACAACATTCTTGAAACATTCTACTTAGCTCATTTTGAGCTAAGTAGAGGCTTCGTAAAAGAGAGTAAGTGCGTTGTGCTCTGGTGGGAGTGAAGTTCAAGGTGGATATCGTGAACTCCTCACTCCCTAATCCTGGGGAAATGTGATAAGAGGAGAAAGAGCCCTTTGGGAGAACTGTAGAGGAACTCAGATTTCTTAACTCTTACTCTTTCTTGGTGGTGCCCTTTATGAGTAGCTGTGCGTTGCCTGTCACTCAGCAACAACCCTGAGCCACAAGACAGAGATGCCAGGTATCTGGCATAATTGAAGCTAAGGGAAGGACAATCAGCAAAAGATATGGAAAACTGGTTTGCTCTGGACCAAGCAGAGAAAATTGTTCATCAATTAAATTCAACATATATTTGGTGAGAAATTACTTTGGCTAAGAGTCCACAGATGAGATAATTTATACTCACTGCCAGAAATACCAAACTGTTTCCATAGCCCATCATCCTTGGGACCTAATGTGTGTATCTGATACAGGAGGCAGCCTATTCTTTTTAGATCATATAAAAGAAGGAAGCAGGAGCCATGACTTCTATTCTTAGTTCTTCTACTAATAGATCATAAGCAACTACCTACAACCCCAAACCCCAGTCTCCTCACCTAGAACATGAGTGATGATTAACTAGATGATCACTAATTACCATTCCAGTTCTCAAGATCAGTGATGTCATGATTCACGGGGACTCCCCAGATAGAACTGCCATATCTACTCTGCGTCCACTTGGGCAGACTTCCTGCCTAATTCTACCTTACTTCATGGATTCCCTCCCACAAACTTCCAGAATGCTGTTAAGCAGCACCCCCACCCCCCTTACTCAATGGCCTTACTAAACAGTCAAAAAGAGCTTCCTTTTTAATCTGGGCAAGAAATAGCCCTCTATTCTTTAAAGGACATAGCCAGTTGCCTCTACTGGAACTCCAAAAAAATGACAAGCAGGTATCATACCTTTGTATTGCCAGAACTCATCTCTTTAAATGAAAATGAGAGGAGAGGGAACAAATTAGGGGCAATTGGAAGATTTCCTAATCACAGGCCTTGAAAAAGAAAGTCCACAAAGCTGTTCAGTCTCTTGGAGTCATAAGAGCAAGGAATCATTGAGATGACAAGCTAAACTCGCTCAAAGAGATGGCATTATCAACCTCCCTTTTTTGTTGCTGTTTTATTTTTTCCTCACTCCATCTGCTCAGAGGAACCCAATCTTGCTGAATTGGTATGAAGATGGCTGGAGAATTATAAATTAATGGGAGGGATGCCAGAGAACATAAATAGATGACACCGTCTCACATGGCCAATACATTTATTCAGTTTAATAGCCAATGAAAGGCAAAGAAAGCCACTCATTTAAGATGTTTAAAATTGCACAAAATGTTAAGGATTGTATCATAGTAAAATAATACTCAAATGAAATATATGCCAGTTCCATTTTAAACTATAAAAAAGAGAATATCTTTGTATAAAGCCTCTGTATTAATAAACATTGTATTCCGTGTAAGTGCTTAATGTGTTAGATTTCAGCATGTACATTAAACTTTAAATGTAACTTCCCATTATGATATCTTAAGAAAATTTCTCAATCTATTAACAAATGAGAGGAAGCACCTTGTGTGAAGCCTTGTGCTGGGCTCCCTAGGACAAAGGCAAAGTTCAAGGAAGGGCCTCTACTCTAAAGAATTTACAGTCAATTAGGAAAACTGTACAAAAGTAGTAAAATATTTTCGGACACACACACACACACACACACACACACACACACAGCCAACAGCCACACACAAAATACGTAACATATCACCATTGCTAGGTAGTGTCTAACTGATTGCCAGATGTCTACTAAAGAATGTTACAGTTTAACCCTAATATCAGCTGTTCAAAACTCATTTGATAGGTAAGTAAATGAATTTAGAGCACTTATTCAAGGTTATATACCTAGAAAGAAGCAAACCAATATATGAACTTAAAGTCAAATTTTATCCTCCATTTACTCCACTGTGCTACCAACTAAAGTGCTACAGATTTTTAATAAAGGGAAGAACACGCTTGATTAAAAATAGAGATTAGACATCTCATGGTATAGAGCTCTTAATAGAGCTCTTAATAAATTATTTTTATAACAGTTTTATTGACATACAATTCATGTACCGTAAAATTCACCTTTTATGGTGTACAATTTAGTGTTCTTTAGTATATTCTTGTGGTTGTACAACATCACCACTCTCTAATTTTCAAAATTTTATCATCACAAAAAGAAACTACACACTCATTATCAATCATTTCTTAATCTTCCCTTTCCCCAGCCCCTGACAACAACTAATCTATGTTCTTTCTCTATGAATTTGCCAATACTGGGCAATTCATATCAATGGAATCATACAAGATGCAGCCTTTTGTCTGTCTTCTTTCACTTAGAAAAAATTTTTAAGGTTCGTTTATGTCATAACAGGGTGCACTGACAGGTACAGTAAGGCCTCACTTGGAAAGTTTAGGGCATTGGCATAAGGATCATTGAAATAATGCACAAGAGGAGAATAAAATAACAAGGTGTCAATAAACATGGGAATCTAAATGAGGTCCCAGTGGGAGAAGATAAACAAGAATGTTGAAGGGAGAATAGTTGTGGTCCCACACCAAGATATTTTAATGTCTTTTTATTGACAAGTAATATTCCATTGTGTCGATCTACCACATTTTATTTCTCCATTTATCAGTTAATGAACATTTCAGTTGTCTCCACTTTTACACTATTATAAATAATGCAGCTGTAAAATTTATGTACAAGTTTTACATGAACATGTGTTTTTAAAAAATTTTCTTAGGTATATAAAAATTTTCCTAGAAATAAAATTCCTGAGTTACTCTGTTTCACATTTTAAAGAACTGTATGTGTTTTCCAAAGTGTCTGTACCATTTTACAATTCTGCCAGCAACGCATGAGGATTCTAATTCCTCCACATTCTTGCCAACACTTATTTCTGTCTGACTTTTAATTTTGGTTATCCTAGGAGTGGGAAGAGGTATCTCATTGTAGTTCGTATTTGCATTTCCATAATGACTAATGATGTTGAGCAGTTTTCTTGTGTTTATTGGTAATTATACAACTTTTCTGGAGAACTGTCTATTCAAATGCTTTTCCCATTTTAATTGGGTTATTTTTCTTTTTAATGTGGTCTGTGTTTTTACATTCTGAAAACAAATCTCTCATAAGATACATGACTTGTAAATATTTCCTTCCATAATATGAAGCGTTTTTCACTTTTTGATGGTCTCCTTTGGAACATAAGTATTTTTAATTTTAATGAAGTTAAATGTATCTATTTTATCTTTTGTGACTTGTGATTTTTGTGTCTTTTCTAAGAAAACTTTGCCTAATTTACTATCATGAATATGTACACCAATTTTTCTTCTAAGAGTTTTATAGTTTAGGTCGATGATTCAATTTTTGTATATGGTGTGAGGTAAAGGTGTAACTTCAATCTTTTTCATGTGGCTGTTCAGTTATTCCAGCACCATTTGTTAAAATACTACCATTTCCCCCACTGAATAGTCTTGGTACCCTTGTCAAAAATCAATTGACCATCAATGTTAGGATGTACTTCCAGAATCTCAATTCAGTTTTACTGGTGTATATATATATATACATATGTAAAATGGAATTTATATATATACACACACACATATATAAACACACACAGACATGCATATATATATATTCATATAATTATATTATATATATGTCTACTCTTATGCCATGTATACTGGCATACTTCTTGATTTGGTTTGTAGTAATTTTTGAGATCTGGGAATGTGAATCCTCTAACTTCATTCTTTTTCAAGACTGTTTCGGCTATAAGTCCCTTCAATGTCCATATAAACTTTAGGATCAGGTTGTCAAACTCTAAAAATAAAATGCCAGCTGGGATTTTGATACGAATTATGAATTGAATTGAAACTGTAGTTAAGTTTGGCGAGTACTGACATATTGACATGTTAAGAATATTAAGTCTTCTAGTCTGTAAACATGGGATGTCTTTCTATTTATATAGGCATTATATAATTTATTTTGATGATGTTCTGTAGCTCTCAGTGAACAAGTATTGTACTTTTTTTCTTTTTTGGAGACAGATCCATCACCCAGGCTGGAGTGCAGTGGCATGATCTTGGTTCACTGCAACTTCTACCTCCAGGGTTCAAGTGATTCTCATGCTTCAGCCTTCTGAGTAGCTGGGACTACAGGTGTGTGCCACCATGCCTGAGTAATTTTTGTATTTTCAGTAGAGTCAGGATTTCCTCATGTTGGCCAGGCTGGTCTTGAACTTCTGACCTCAAGTCATCTGCCTGTCTCAGACTCCCAAAGTGCTGCGATTACAGGAGTGAGCCACTGCACCCAGACAGTATTGTACTTCTTTTGTTCAATTTATTTTTAAGTGTTATTCTTTTGATGATATTCTAAGTGCCATTTTCTTAACTTCACTTTCAGATTTTTCATTGTTAGTATATAGAAATACAATTGATTGTTCTATATTGAGCTTGTAGCCTGTAATATTGTCAAATTCATTTATTAGTTCTAATAGTTGTGTTTGTGTGTGTGTGTGAATTCTTTTGCATTATCTATATAGGGGGTTGTGTCATTTGTAAATAGAGTTAATTTTACTTCTTCAAATACAATGTTAAACAGAAGTGGCAAGAGCAGACATTTTTGTCTTATTCCTTGTTCTAGGGGGAAATCATTCAGTCTTTCCTAATTTAGTCTGATGTTGATGTGCTTTTTTTTGGTAGATGTCTTTATTGAAGTTCTCTTCTGTTCCTAGTCTGCTGAGATTTCATTGTGAAAAGGTGTTGAATTTTATCAAATGCTTTTTCTTCATTGATTGAGATGAGCATGCTATATTTTGTTCTTTATTCTATTAATATGGTATATTAAATTGAAGAATGTATGTACGTAACAACAACAGTGCATTCTGGGATAGATATTTCCATTTGGTTATGGTATATATTCTTTTTATATGTTGCTAGATTAAGATTTTTATATTTCATTAAAATTTTTTTCATTTATATTCATAAAGGATATTGATCAATATACTTATTTCCTTGTAATATACTTTTTTTGATATTAGAATATTAACTTCATTGAAAGAATTGGGAAGTGTTTCTTCCTATTCTAGTTCTTCAAAGATCTTGAACACATTAAGTAGAATTTTTTTATAATAAGCTTTTAAAAAAATTTGCTATCTTTTGGTCATTTTACTTTTCCCAGAACTGAGTTTAGTGTTCTGTATTATTTGTCGTCTATATTCTGTACATAAGTTTTATAGTTCTTAACACATTTAATCCAGTTAAATTAGTCAAGAATAGTGAGAGCACTCAATGGCTAGAAATAAAACTACTTTTCACTTTAATATCACTGGGTAGAGCAGTACATATAAAGGTTCAGACTTTAATTTTCCCTTATTTTGCATGTTTTTTCTTACTCTGAGTCATTATTTACATAAGAAATTGTTTTAAAGGTCACTTTTAAGTGAGGAAAAAAGCTCCTCACTATATAACACAACCAGATTTCACTTAGAATTGAACCCAGTGAAAGACTTTTACAACAAATTCTATTAATAGCTTGACTTAGATTCTGTTAATAGGTTGACAATTTGAGCTGTCTTTCTACCCATTGTAGTAAACTCATAAACCTAAAGGGGCTGTCTAAGAAATGAGAATAACTAGAACTTGAAGAGTAAATTATGAATATGTTTAATGTTCAGGCCAGGCTATCTTTCCTCCTTTGGCATAGTCAATTCCCAAGTCAAGGTTGGATTTAAAATCAAACTTTCTAGTAAGAGTAATTGGCAAACCATCTCCCTAATTAGCAGGGGTTTAATCAACTTGAGAAATAAAAAGAAACACACACACACATACACACAGACACACACATACACACACACATATATTTATAAAATAGTATAATATGCATTATCTATATTACATATAATATAGATAATGACTATATATTATAATTATTATAATTCCACAGAGGATTTTTTTCTTTTTTAAGCTTTAAGTCACAAATGTTCTTCTTTCAGTATAAATGGAGATTAAATGAGAAAGGGGGATACATAAGCAAATTTCTTCTAATATATACTCTTTCTACTATCCTAAACGGCTAGCAGGAAAGATAATTCTAACGATATTTTACACACCATGTTGCAAAGGTTTAAATTATCTTGAATTCCCCCAATTTACTTATTCCACACATAAAAGAAATGTCAAAAATGGCTAGTAAGTTTTCTCAAATCTATGAGAAATGTCAAAACTTTTTAGAAAATTCTAGCTTATGGCTATCTTATTTACTAAGCTATCCATCCTTTGCTTGACTCGGTATAATCTTGTTTGCTAACTATAGCCTTTTAGAGAAGAGAATAGTTTAGGACATTGTTGGAATCTGGACGTGGGTGCATGTGTGTGTCTTCATGCTTGACTGGGGCTGATGGGTTATCCTGTCACGATTTACCTGTATTTATTCTAGGCTAACCTGCAGGTGTTTCCATAGCAACGTCTCTCGATGACTATTATTGTTGTGACACCAAAGGAGGTGACAATCTTAGGGAGCCTTTTTATTATATAGAGAGAAACCAATAGAAGTTTATGTTCTCTGATTATTCATCACCCTTTATTGGCAGAGTGTGGCCACCTCTGGGTTTTGATTTGGTGTCCTTTCACTCCACTCACACCTAAATCTCTCTGCTGTCTGTTCTTGATGGTACAACACAACTCTGCCAACTGTCACTGTTAGAAAACCCCATAAGAAGGGAAGAAGGAAAGGAAAGCGTGTCTTTCAAAAGACAGAAGTTTTGATGCCTTTTCTTTCTTTCTTCCCGAATGGTCTGCATGCTTGTGCTTCCCCCAAATTTATATTGAAACCTAGTCACTAATGTGCTGGTATGAAGAGATGGTACCTTTGGGAGGTGATTAAGTCACGAGGGCAGAGCTGTCACGAATGGAATTAGTATTCGCACTGGACTGGGCCTTTACAAAAAAGACCCAGGGGAGCTGATTTGCCTCCTTCCACCAGTGGAAGTGAGAATGCACCATCTGTGACCCAGAAAGCAGGCCTTGCCAGGCATCAAATATGCTGGCATCTTGACATCGAATTTTTGAGCCTTCAGAATGATGAGAAGCAAGTTTCTGTCATGTATAAGTACCCAGGTAATGGTATTTTTGTTATAGCAGCCTAAGTTGACTAAAGCATTGATCAAATGCTTACTATTTATCAGATGCTTACACTTCTATAGACATTTATTAAGTGCTTCTAGGCACTTAAGTAAATACTCCATGTATTGAGGAAGCCACTGAGAAAATTAGGTATTATACTGACCCCAAGTTTTCATGTCAGGGAATATGGGGTTTTTTTTGTTTTGTTTTTCATCTTTAAAGCTTTAAATCACAGATGCCCTTCTTTCAGAATAATTGAGGATCAAATAAGGAAAAACTGGGAACTATAAACAAATTAACTTTTTGCCTAGTGAATCATTTTACCTAAAATCTTCCCTGACTGTTAATCTTGTGTATGGCATTCACGTCTCTCCTGAGCTTTGCAAGTCTACCTGCCTTGCTATCCTTAGAATGTGCCTTTTCTCTCCACAGGGGAAGGAGCATTCAGCTAAAAATGAGGCTCAGCAGAACACATTCTCTGGGCATGCTAGGAATCCACAGCTCATCGGTACAGAAATAAAACATGGCTGATTTATATACAAACAATGGTGACAGGATTGTCACAGCACACATGGTAACTTCGCTGGCTTGGAAATCATCCCAAAATCAACTAACGAGCACTTCAAAAAGGAGGGCAAAATGAGGCTCTCATGTTGCTTGTGTGTGTGTCTTTCTTCAAAGTCAAGTGCCAGATCTACTTAGAGCAGACGTTCTTATGTTTTAAAAGCTGATTTGGTTAATTTACTGCTGCTAAATGTAGAATCAGATATTTTCCCTTTTATAATAATATAACTTAGGATGCAAGATTTTTTCCATCTCATTCTCATTAACTAGATCCCCATATTTATAAACTGCCCCTCTTATATCTACTGATCAGTTACATCACAAATATTTTATCTTACAGCAGAGCTAGCCCAATGAACAAAATATTCTGAAATAAATGCATTTGAAAAATGAAACAACTTGAGCCAGTATAGCATCATGTGTGTAGATCAACATGAATTGTGTCATTACAAACAACTCAAAGTTTAAGCTACATTAAACTATAAGATCTCTACTGCCCATTACAGCTCCTCCAGGCTATGATTTTGAAGAACTTAGCCCAAAGCAGAAGCTACAGAAAAATTTGACTTTGAGATTTTATAAGACAATAAATTGAAAATCTTTGGAATAACATAATTTATGAAACAAAACTGTTTTTTAACCCTCCACTCCCATCACTTATCTATACAGAATGCAGTCCAAAATGGAAACAGAACTGATGTTTTCTTTGGGAGACCAGAATAAACATTTAGTAAGAATGGTGGGAAAAGGCTCTGGATTATTCAGTTCATTATTTAACACATCTTGTGTCTTGTGCCCCTGTTATGCATTAGGCTCAGTGCAGGATGCTAAGAATATAGGAGGAAGCAATAGAGAAATGATTGTTCTTGTCTTCATAGAGTTTATAATCTTGCATGGGGGACAGTCAACAAACAAGTTAACAAATACATAAACTACGGACTCCTCTTTTTAGGAGAGAAAAGTATTATGTGTCAAGTATACAATATAATTTTTAGCTACACTAGGTAACTGTATGAGAGATTTTTCATTTATAATACCATTATTTATTGAACCCCCAAATTCCTACAAACAATGACATACTTTAGTAAAAGAAGCATATTTGTCTATGGATAATTTGTTTTTAGATAATCTTATTGAAAGCCAAGAAAAACTGTACTTTGTAAAGTCTTCTTGGGTGGTAAAAGTTAATATGCTTTTCTAATCAGTCTGCCCCAGGTTCCAGAGATGAGTGTCCCAGGGAGCACATGCCCCCACATGCCTTCAAAGATGAGGCAGGGACCCCACGGGGTCAGTTTGTGTAGATATGGTTTTGAGTATCATTGCTGTGAAATAGCTGCAACCAACCAGCCAACCTTCAGCAGAAAGAAAGGACAACCAAGGCACAGGAAAAGGTCAAGTTCTTGAGACAGTCACCAGGCAATGAAAGAAGACTGAAACAAATACATTCGGGGGAAAGATTTGCATAAACATCATGGTTTCAGCACAGAAAGGGGCCTTAAGATGACTTCTGATCTTCTTTACAAAATCTTGAACAGTAGGAGCCCATTTCAAGAAGAGTCCAGGCGTACGGCTTCACTGATGTCTTGGGTTGATCCCTATCTCATCAATGTCAGGGGACAGCCTGAGTCCCGCACAGGGACTTCGGGGAAGCCTAGAGGAAAGGTGGCTGTGGGAGAAGGAGCTACAAACCTCCCTCCAGCTTTCTCCCTCAGAGTAATTGTCTTACTTTTGTTCCCATAAAAATCTAGGCTCCTGAGGTTATTCTCAATGGAAAATATGGTGTAAGCGAATACTCGGTATGAATTTCAATGAAATCATGTTGTACTTCTGATCTTACAGGGAAATATTAAGATCCATGTTACATAGAAATGCACTAGGCATTGCTGTCTCCCCATGAAACATGACTTAAGCACAGGATGTTTGGCAACAGCTTTATAACATAAGTCAAAATAAAATTGGTTTCCATGCCTCCCATATAGTTACATAAAAATCATAAGTGGCAGAAATGTCCATGTTTTACATTTATGCTTTATGAAGTATTTTGTGCTTTGTCCTATTATGTAACAACCCAGAAAGAATATATGCACCGGTCAATTTTTCTCCACTTCTGCATACTTATTTTGTACCCTTTAAAATTAGAGTCCTGATCATGAAAAAGATCCAAGCACAGACTATTTTTGTTGTAAAAATGAAATTAAAATTGTTCTTTATTATAATGAGGTGAATGTAGTTTGCACTTAGCAACACATTACACACCATTTATTCCTCACAACGCGTTAGGTTTCCTTATGCACTTATGATATTTGAAGCTCAAAAATGCTAAATTATTTGCCCACATTCGTACAGCTAGTGCTGGGGATTAGAATTCAGATCTGAGTTACTATAAAGCCATGCTTTTTTCACTAAAAGTTCTTCCTCTTATGCTCAATTTAATAACAGTTTAGTTAAATTTGAAACATTCCACTCTCATTATCATATTAGAATTGTAAATATTCCTCCAGAACTAAAAGACCAAAAATCTATATTTTCTTATTTGATTGAATTATGGTTAAACTCCCAATACAGATATAATGAAAACATAAAACAGCAAAAAAAAAAAAGCATAACAATATTGGCAGTCTTCATTTTGGACCTTTGAAGAGCACTGAGTCCATAAATGGGTCCCCTAAGACCTTTAGAAATGTATTTCCTTAAGGCCAAAAGGGTATGTATAACCCATGACAGGAATCTATAGTCAAACCTTTTCATATGAATTCTTAATCAAACAATTTATAAAGAAATGAAACATTAAGGAATAATGGTGATGAGATTTCTTTTCATTTGTTCATCCAGGTTTTAAGAGTAACAACAAAATTAACATTCATTGCCGTACTTTTCTAACATTACAAATCTGTTCATTAGCCTCCTGGCACAGGAATCATAAAAATGATGAGGGGATGTTGAATTTATAACATCAAGGGAAGGTGAGAAATATGCTGCTCTTGATATTCAACATGAAGATACTGATGACTGACTCCAAAACTCCTGCTGGCCCACAGCTCCACATTCTCCTCAGACCAAACAGCCTGCAGCACAGGACCTTACCCACTGGGAGCTTATATCCACATTGGAATCAAAATTACTGAAATGCAACTGCTTTCAGCCTTTTCTCTCCACTACCCACTAAATAGGGTTTCTATTTGGCTTTCAGCCTCTTCCTTCTCCCACTCTGCAAGGAGGGTCCTAATTTGTCTGACTAGTTCTTGTGCTCTGTGGTTCAGAATCAGAAAGAAATAGACAAAGTGGGCAACAAGAGAGGCAAAGAGAGCTGGAGGAATTGCACAAAAAAATAAAACACCTTGAAAAAAAGGTGCGAGAACAGCCATAGTAGCTGAACATACTGGATGGGAGAGAAAACTAATAGGGTCTTAAGGTATTTTGAGTAATGACATAGTTTTTATCTTCCTATGGCATTTGGAAATTCCAGTATAGAATTTGACTTATTTTGAGGCACATTTTGTTGCATGGTTGTATTTGGTTTGTGTCCTTTAATGCTTATACCCCAGTAGGGCTGCACTATGTGGGCCACCCACATATCAGTGTGACACAGTTTGGGGGAGAGCCAGGCAGGGGACATACACTATCACTGGCTTTTTGCTCCTCTTCAGGAACAACACTGACCCTTGCAGATGCACTGTCAAGCTGTACTAGGATGGCACCATACGGAGGCCGTCCATGAGGAAAAGACCATGGGGAAGGCAGCAGTAATCCCAGCTATGTCCTATTCATCCCTTCTGGATCTTCACCTCTAAGCAACCAAGATTTTATTCCCAGAGCTTTCTTCATGAAGCCTACCTGAGAAGGAACAATGACAAGGAGCTCACAGGGGCCAACTGTGGTCCAAGACTCTTCAGAGGATAAACTTCATGACAACAATCAAAACTTCACTTGACCACAGCTGTGTATTCACTTTCTGGAATTGCCTCATACACAAGAAAAATGCCTTGAAATAAGAAAATCCTTGAATACCCTACCCATAAACTTTAAAAGTTGGAATCCCTTTCCATGAATCCATATGCCAGTATTTATAGTATCTTCATGATCAGTTACTTTTCCAGTACATCTCAAGCATATTCTGATTTCCAGAACATTTTGAATCCCATCTTACTGTAACTAACCATGGAAAATCATGGTGTGACAAACAGTAACAAAGCCATATACCAGTATACAAATAAAGTAAAATAAAATAACAAATAAAATACAGTAGTTCTACAATAGAATCATCATGAGAAGTGGTGGTTAAAATGGGGCACATGACAAGGGAAGCCTTAGCTTAGATCAATTCCTGGGAGAAAAAGAAGCGTTCTATATTTTAAAAGAACACCAAGCTTAACAGACCCATTCAAATCAATATTTCAGCCTACGCTTGCGTGTGCACGCACACACACACACACACACTCATGCACGCATACTCAATGACACCATAAATTTCAGAGACTTAAAAGGCTTATACTCTTAGGCTTGTCACCTCAGCATTACTTTCTCCTGATCTGTAAAGCTGTTCTCAGGACAAGATCTGAGCTACCCATGCTGAAACATAAGCTTAAGAAAAGAGAGGAGAGCCTGGCACCGAGTTATATTAGGATGCAATGTCTATTCAGCAAGAAAGCTCACTGGCTCTAAAGCATTTATATCAATTTTAAAGATTATTTGCAAAGAATCGTTTGGTTTCAGCAAAACACTCTGAAACAATTTCACAATTGCAATTCAATGCACTTGAAACCAAGACTCCCTACCAGCTCAGCTCACAGCATGGAGACGTACAGTGTGGAGAGGTGGGGCCCATATATTGCATGGTGTCAGAACGCTGTCTGCCTGAAAAGCCATTCATTACAAAATGCTGCATCTCAGGAGAATGAGCCTAGAAAAGTGAGGACCGCACAGCAGAGGAAAATGCAAGCTCTGTGTTTGCCATGATTTCAACAGCTGTGCCTCTCTTCTTTCTGGGATCAATGCACTATTTTATCTAACAGCAGGAAAGGAGAAGACTGCATAATGTGGCAGCAATACAAAAGGAGAGAATGTTAATATAGAGGCTGCAACTCAATTTCCCTAGAGACTGTACCCTCCAGAAGCCCAGGACTCCGGGATACAACATAATGAGAGAGAGCTGACTCAATGGAGCACGACAAGTCATCACATTACAAGTCAGCTGGAACACCTGATGGAGTCACAATGTTTTCTCATTCTGTGGAGAGAACAATGAATGAGAAGGCTCTTAAGAGTTAGAAGCATAGCTATCAAGCAAGTGATTTGTATAAATAGATGACTTCTTCATGATACTGGCTGTTTAGGCCAACAGAGAGGATGACAGTGGCAGCATCGGTCGCTGCCATCTAAACATTCTATCTGGAAATAAGAAAGACATCTTCCTCCCATCTAATCCTCCGACTAGAGCTGCAATGAAGTTGAGTCAAGTGAGGCACTAGCCTTGGGCAAAAATGTAATGAGGTGCCAAAACATCAGTCACCAAGGTAGTATTCCAACATAAGAGCTATTTTAATGAAAATCAATGCAAAAATATCCATGATAAAAAAGTCACATTTTAAAATTAAAAACAGAAAACAATCTTACATCTGAACCACTCAGCTCACCCTCCTCACCCTAGTCCTGGTCCTGCCCCTCACAGGGATGTTGGTGGCATTAGATGATGGCTATGCCACGAAACTTTAAAAATAAAAAGCACTATTACCCTTGAGCACCTGCTGGAGTAAATGTATGGCCCCAGACTCTCTATGAACAGAGTCTCACTTTGTTCTTGTAAAATTTTGAGGCTTCCATTATTGTTCCATTTTGCAAATGAGGCACCTGATGTTCTTAAAAGTCAAGCATCTGGGCTGGAATTGAATCCTGGATGTCTAATACCATCTTCTGTGCTGTTTCCACCCCATCACGCCATTATCCACTAACAATGAAACTCATCCTAAGACTGGTTTAATGTATTTTAAGAACTTGAAATAATACGGAGAAATCAAGTGAGGTTGTCTGATGCCTGAGTTGATGAGTCAGACACTGCTCACCTTCTAAAAAGAGCCCTATGTCTCAGTATAGGAGCCTGTTAACAAAATTCATATCAGAAATAAGGTTCTAAGGATATGCAAGGGTGAAATCTGGGGTGAGCATAGAAAGAGGCAATAGAGGAGACTGTATGACTCTCTTTTTGTATTTACTTATATTTATTTTTATATTTTTTGCAGCCATGTGTTTGGATGAAGATGAGTACAAAGAAGCCAGGTAGCTTTATTTAAATGTGAAGTTTCTAGGAAGGGCCTCTCAACCCTTGCCCTATCTGTCCTGTCCTGCAACACATTTCAATACTAATTAGCTACTTGCTCTTGGGCTCTAGCCTGTATATGGAAGAGTCCCATGTGGCCTTGTAGAAGGTGTGACTACTGGTACCACTGGATGACTCAGGACAGTTGATCAATCAACAGCTTCCCCTGGACCTGAAGCCAACATTTTCAAATGCATTGCATTGCTAACTTTTACTTTTTCACTGCTGGAGTTATTATTAGCTTCTCTCTTTAGTTTCATGAGGAAGGAAGCTATATTTCTGTAATAACATCTTAATAACTTTTAGCACTTCAAAATTATTTAAGGTTTTTACTACAGTATCTTTCTCTGGAGTCAGAGGATAAATACGTCCCTCTCCACCTGTGTCTCAGGTAAAAATGCAGTTGCTTTACCAGACAGTCACCAATATTCCTTCTAGCTCTAAAGTGCTGTGTTGATAAGTCCAGGAAAATGTGCTAAAGACAAGGATCAAAGAAGCAGAATGTGTGGAGCACATAAAGGGGACACGAGTCAGAAAGGAAGGCCTGGGGAAAGGAAGATCAATGTAAGGGAAATCCCTCAGGTGTTATAAATTAAGGACAGAAAGGTAAATTTTTAACAGGAGCAAAAGAGTAACAGCTACAGGCTGTAAGCTGGAGAGGGGATGTGGGAGTGGGGAAATAGAGAGAGAAAAACATTATCCCAGGTATTTCAGACACAGGAAATGTGTTTTCACAAGCCCTTCTTATAATGACTCTGAGGCTCACTGAAGCCTGAAAACCACTGGGCTAAAGCACAGTGTCAATGCCTTTGTTTAAAGATATGTCCATCACATTTCTTATGTCAACATCAAAATGACTAGTGGGAAACAATATGTAAGGTGTTCTTGGTAAAAGAGGATATGCTAGCCAGTCTTATGTACACCACCAACACAGATGTCCCTACAATGTGCTAAGCAGGATACACCTCCTGTTCACATGACAGTTAGACGCAGAACTATTAATCTGTCCCATGACTGAGACTCTAACCAAAAGGAGGGACAAAGTTTACCTCCAGCCACTCGAGGGTGCTCCTGAAATGGGAGAGAGGGAAGCAGCTCAGGTTCAATCTGGGTTGGTTGTGGTGAGCAGAAACAATTTTCCAAACAACATCATATGATGTCACTAGGGGCATTCCATGATGCTATACCATAAGTTACGGTATTTATATGAAATTTCTGAAGATATAAGGAAGCAATAAGAAACTAAAGTTTGGATCAAAGAGGAAACAGAAGGAGGAGGAGAAGAAGGAGAAGGAGGAGGATGAGGAGGAGGACGAAGAAGAAAAAGAAGAACAACAACAACAACAACACATCACACCTTGGGTCAAAGCTATGAATTTCTACCTTCAGCTTCTGAGAAATGCAGAATCCTATGTCACAGATTTGAGAGCAATGAAGAATATTAACTTAGAGAAAGATAAAGGAATGCTAATATTTCCTCTTATATTTTAAAATTCTTGGAAAGATGAACTTGAGGAAAGAAAGGAGATTTTTCCTGCTTGGCAATCACAAATCTGAAAATGGTCAGAGCAAAATACACAGGGAGCATATTTTCAGAGTGGCATCCTTTCCAAATTCTATCTAGTCATCACCCTAATGGATAACCATGTTCATCAGTGCACAATTGGGGAAAATTATCTCTTGAGTGTTTGAGAGTTTGTTGGTGACTAATTACTATCATGGATTAAAAGAGAGACTATAACTCTTAACTAGATTTTATTATGAAGGTATATCCTATAGTTCTATTATATTGTATTAATTTTCTGTTGCTGCTGTATCAAATTATCATAAACTTAGTGGTTTTAATCTACAGAAATTTATTGTTCTGTATGTCAAAATTCCAACACAGGTCTCAGTGGACTAAAATCAGGGTTGTGTTCCTTCCTGGAGTCTCTAAGGAACAGTCTGTTTCCTGACCTTTTCTGGTTTGTAGAGGTTGCCTGTCTTCCTTGGCTCATGGCCTCTCTCCTCTATTTTCAAAGCCAGCAAAATTGCATCACTCTGTGCTTTTCCTCCATAAACTCATCTCCTTCTTGGACCATAGCCCTAATTATAATGAGCTGCTTGGATAATCCAGGAAAATCTCCCTATATCCATATTCCTAACATAATCACATCTGCAAAACCCTCCTGCCAATAGGAGGAAATAAGGGAATGGGGGAAAGATCATGAAAAGGACCACAACTACTAACACTAAATAAATACCTAGTGGGTACCTGGTTCTCTGTTCATCAAACGTCAGCAGTTTGCTAAATTTGTTAATAATTGTCTTGTTTCAAAATGACTATATAAACATTTATTAAAGAAAATCAGTTGCACATTAACCGTTGCAGACCAGTATCCAAGTGGATTGAGCCTAGTAATGGATTCCTGTCCTCAGGCTTGATAGACACCATGCTTGCCCAATGCACAGCAAGTCAACTCACTTCAGTACTCCCTAGAAAGTATAAATTTCCCTTTATATCAAATATCTCAAACTCCATGTTAATTCCCCCATTTTATACATCCAGTGTGAACAAGCAAGAAAGGAAAAACAATGTAAATGAGATACGAATATGAATAAAATGGATCTCTTGCTTGGTGGAAGAGGTGAGGTACAGAAGGAAATAATGTACAGCTAGAGAGATTGCTAAAAAGTCAAATAAATACATCTAGGCTGGGATCCAAAGGAAGATTGCATTATTTTGCATGAAATGCTTTATTACCCAAGTTTAGAAATGCTCATATTCAACTATATGATCATAAATCCATTCTAAAGCCAAATATGAATGGGTTTGGATCAACCACCATTAAAAGTATCTTAACTTCTTTTATTCAAAAATGGAAAGGGAATAATATCACCCAGTGTAACAGTTTGTCTTGGAATATATGTTATTAGTGAGCATAGCCATTTTGAGGAACTGCTAAGTTCCTTGACCATAGAATGACACACACCACAGTAGAAGAGATTGACTGAAGCCTGCTCCTAGGGTATGCAAAACTTGATAAATCAACATGAAAAACATTTTCCAGGGAGCACCCGGGAACAGTTATATTATCCATTTTTCTACCTCTAATTTCCTTGATTTCTGATTTTTACAATAGGAACCATACATTTTCACATTCATCATGAATAACTTGTTTTCAACAAATGTATTAAGCAGGGAGTTGGGATGTTCCTAAACCTGCAAGAAATTCTTAATTTTTTTATTCTTATCTTACTCATCTTTAGTTGGTTGTATTTGCTATATGCATTGGATTTCTACCCCCCACTGTGAGACAGTCAGATCCATTTTATGTCATAAAATAAAGCCAACATATTTTGAACCAGTGTGAAAGTTTTAATTTTTAATATTTTATATTTAAATGATTAAATGAAATATACATCCTATTATATTGAAATTTTATTTATTAATACTTGATTTTAAGAAATAAAGTTTTTAAAGTATTACATTAGCTTCTAGGAAAAACTTTCCTGTCCCATAAATACTATTTCTACTAGTACAAATGCTCCCATGAGTGATCCCAATTGCTGAGTATGTACTGTACCAGGTGCTGTACTACTGGTAGTGACATGGATTAGCTCATTTAATTCACACAGCAGCCACTTGAGATATGTTCTGTTATCCTCATTATGTAATAGGGGAAAATAGACTCAGGTAAATGACACAGCCAGGTCCCTTAGTGGGTATAGCAGGGAAGCTTGAACTTGAATTCAATTCAGATTTAAAGTCTATCTCTCGCCCACACATTCTGATATCTTCACTCTATTTTGTTGCTGTCAATAATTAAAGAGAAGCTTTCTGAGCCACTCATATTTTCCCATTCATTCTCCTGTTTCAAGATAACTTTCTTTTTCTTTCACCAGATGGAAAATAATTGAGTTTGTGGAGTGGTATGTCATCCCAAGAGGAGAAAAAGCCCACAGCTTCCGAGTGGGTCTCCTGGGGCTCCTGTAAGGAAGTACTACAGACCGCGTGGCTCAGAACAGCAGGCATTCATTGTTTCATAGTTCTGGGCGGTAGAAGCCAAAATCAAGGGGCCAGCAGGTTGGTCCTACAGCCTCTGAGGGAGAATCCATCCCATGGCCCTCTCCCAGCTTCAGAGGCTGACAGCAATCCTGGTGTTCTTTGGCTCCTGCGGTGCTGACTCCTGTCTCTGCCTCTGTCATCGCGTGCTATTCTAGATGTGCCTGTGTCCAAATGTTCTTCTTATAAAGATAACAGTCATATTGGATTATGGCCCACCCTAATGATTTCATCTTAACTTGATTACGTCTGCTAAGACCCAATTTCCACATATGGTCACATTAATAGGCACCAGAGGTAGGGACTTCAATATCTCTCTTTAGGGGATGTAATTCCCTGAAAAGTATCTTATCCGCTGAAAAGAAGATGTGGTACTTTTGGGGTTTTAATCCTTTGGGTGGCTTCCTCAGTCAGAGAAATCCATCCTCTGTGTAAACTCTAGAGTTTTCTTCCTGTAATTCTGCTTCGAGGCTCATCACTCTGCAGCCTAAAAGCTGCCATTGAGACACAAAGCAAAAATTACTTTGTGTTTACATGTTAAAAAAAAAAATCCTCTTCAGCATGCATCACGTTCCAGGGCTCTAAAAGTCAAACCAAACTACAGGCCTCTCTGAAAATGTTACCTGTGAGTTGTTGTTTCAATAAACAGCAACAGCAACAAAAATCCTATCCGTTCTTCAAGCCTCTTTCAAATTGTGATCTCTGTGAAGATCACAGAGATCTCCCATTACTCTAAAAATGTCTCTCTTGCTCCTCTGCTCCCTAGTGGGTTGTTTCCTTTGTACTGTTGAGCTTTTTATATTCTCCCCTATAATCCTCATGATCAAGTATTTCTTCCTTATTAGCTCACATTTTACTAGTTGTAGGCGGAGCAAATAATCATATTTGTCTTTTTTTCTCTTACATCTCCAGGTATACAATACCTTTTTACATAGAGGGTGCTGATTAAATGTTCAGCAAATTGACAGCTATACCGTCAAAAATTTCAGAAAATCTTGCATTTCCACAATGACAGTTGCTACAGAAACAGTAACAAAGAGTCTTATGTCACTCTATATCTTTGAGCCCTGACTTACACATCTGTAAACTGTAGATAATAAAAACTACTTTGCAATCATGTCACAAAAATACAGTGAAACGCTAGGAAAGCTTCTTTGTAGGATATATTGGACATGGCAAATTGGATGGATATTTGTTGGCTGTCAATGTGTTAATTTCCCAATTCTGCTTCCGTGTGTTAAAGCCCTGAAAGCTATTGAATCTTGGTGAAAACACATAAGTGAAAAGCTATGACATGCATTTTTGTTACTTTATCTTTCTGGGCAATCAATTTGGGGGTACCTGGGAAAATTGCAGTGCCTGTCTGCTGTTTCTGTTGGGTCCAGTGGTTCTCTATTGATTAATTTATGCTCTGACTCATTTTGCAAAGAGTTTAAGATGCTTGGATCCTCATTAAGATTGAGGTCTTAGCTACCATATTTCTTATTCTTGGTAGTAAAAAATCGCTTACCTAATCACAGATTGGTGCACCTGTTGAGGCAGAGCCAATGTTTACTTACCCACCCTACCATACCCAGCAGGTGCTCAACAAATAATGAACTGAATTGAACTCCACTCAAGTCGGTGATTTCTAATCTAGTAGCTCCAGTCCCTCCTTTTACAAACAAATATTGTATGTTGTACCTATTTGCCAATCTGAAAAAAAAATTTATATAACTTTCTCTTCACACATATTTTTTAAAAATTTAATGCCCTATAATATAAAAGAGCAAGAAAAATATAATTATTTAAAAAGAATGTGCATCTCAATATATAAATGATCAAGTTTGACTATCCTAGAAGAAATAATAGTTAACTACCTTGTAAACTATATGTTGTAAAGTTATAGAATAAACTTTAGAAAAATGGGAGTGTAATTAGTGTGAAATTAGAGTCATTATGACTATGACAGTTACAAATTCAAGCTGATACATATATGTTTTATTCCTATTGCTATTTGTGATAAGATTTTTCAAAATGGTGAACTTTTGGTAAAATTATCAACAAAAATAGTATGACCTTCTTTTGATTTAATGGTAAGTGAATTCCTTAAAAAAAAAAAACAGTGTATGTTAAGCCATGCAAAAATTACTTTGTGTTTCCATGTAAAAAAAAAAAAAGAGAGATTTTATTAAAAAATGTTTCCTTTACTTGAACTAGAACAGGAATTTTGAAAGTCAGAGTGTGCACAGCAATGACTTCTTCTGTGTGCAGAACTGTCTTTCACTGTAAAAGACATCTGGATGGGGGAAGGTCCTTAACCTCATAAAAGCCAGAAGTGCTTCCTTATTTTCTTCTAGAAGTGTCTCCTTGGGAGTGGGGAGAGAGAACTACCTATCTAGGTGAAAGTTCTTTCAGATCCTACCTTTGGACATGATTTCCTCACATTCCAACAGCATCCACAGTGAAGTCTCTAATTTCCTTCACATTTCTCCTTCACAAGTCTCCTAAGTTCCATTGCTTGAGAATGCACATCTTAACACTGTGACCAGCCAGCCAAAGTTCACTTAAAGGACTCATCTCACTATCCAACACAACAAAATGTTTGGTAACAAACGAACATACTCAAAGAAGAGCAAACTTTCCTTCCTTAGTCATTTCCTTATGCCTAAATTCTTTTGTAAAAGACTGAATCAATTTTCACATCTGAGTTCTGGTTCACCTACTACCTAGCACATGATAGGAACTCCTATGTGGCATAAAACATGGTAATGAGGCAGTCTGCATCTGCATGGCAGCTGACAAGGAATGCTTATACAAATATGGTATCACTTAGTAAAACAGGCACTTTCATGCATGACACTAACCTGTGAAATGTACACAAATTCATATCATTATCAATAAATTAGTACAATCTACTCAGCTGTTTCTCACTTCTGAGACACTGCAGTCTAGCTCAGTGAATTGAGAAGGTCGTAATCATTGTTCCTCAGTGACCTTGTCTATTCTTGTATTTAATATTAACTCTAAGAGGCACCTGTCACAGTAAGTACTTCCACCTGTTGGAATGTAATTTCCAACATGTCTTTTTTATTCAGTAATATATCCTCAGAACCTAGAACAGGGCCTGGCATATAGTAGATGCTCAAAGCCAAAAATGTCTAGAATGAATGAATAAACAAGTGAATGCTGTGTCCAATATGTGTGAATGCCATGTAAGCACAAAGGTAAAAAAAAGACAAACACCTGCCCTTGCAGATTTGCAGTTAAATGGAACATAATCTCTCTAATATTAGTGATGTGCCAACACATGTCTGTGTATATTTTAGGAGAATATAAAAAACAGAGAACTCATGTTTTTAGTGAGTGAGTCAATTTTATTCAGATGATTTTATTCAAAAGGCAGGCTGTTTCACTCTCAAAACTATGGATAGTTGGGGCTGCACAATTCTTTGTTGCAGAGGGCTTTGCGTATTGTAGAATATGCAGTACCAGCAAGTGTCAGTAGCAAACCTCCAGCAGTGACAACAAAAATATCTCAGACATTTGTGCCAAGAGAATCACTGGACTAAAAAATACGAATTTACCAGACGGACGAATGGATAAAGAGAAAAATATGAGCTTATGAATGACAGGGTCAGGACCATATTTATCTTTGCATTCTAGCAAATAGCATTAGTGCTGATCATAAAAAGAAATAATTAATGTCTTACATTGCTCTTTTAATCTGTCATGTCCATTCATACGCATATAATCCTTAAAACAACCTTGCAGGAAAATAGTGTTGATATTGACTCCTTTATTAAATAACACAATCCGGATAAGCAAAATGAAGCACCCAAGGTCACCTTTATATTTTAGTGGTCTTTGTTCTTCTCAGGACTTTTCCTCAATCGTACTTAAAGCCACTAACCACTCAGATGACTTATTCTTCCAATTGGAACCAGGCTGCATTAAATCACAATTGTTTAACAACTGTCAAACAACAGGTTTCATCCAACGCTTACTCTAGGCCAGATACTTTGCTAAACACTGAGGCAAAACCTCCAAACAATTTGCTTCTTTTTTAGAAGGGCAAGTACTTGACAGTGGATGAAAGTGGAACATTTTTCCCCTAGAGGGATCAAATTGGGGTATAACTCTAAAGGCAGGTTTGAGGGAGAAATTAAAAAGAGGTAAAATGCAGTATGGGACATGAAAATGGAAAACCTTCTCAAATAAGGCCAGTAAAGTGCAAAACAGGGTAAAAGCAAATATCTGACCGAAACAGTGAGCCATATAAGAAACATGAAACTAGATTAGGAACTAGGAAATCTGGCCTTTCCTTCCCACGGTTCCAGCATTTATCTTGTTGATCTTGGGCAAGCCATTTAACCTCTCTGGGTCTCACTTTAGATGGTCTCCAGCCCAAAGGCCAGCTTAACTGGCATGCATGTGGACTATCAGTGCGGCTACCACATCCTACCTAGCAACTGGATTGTTGTCATGGCTGCTGCACCATCCTTGTACAAGTGCAGCAATCAGAAGGATCTCTGAAATTACAGTGCTCAAGTTCTGTTAAGCTTTAACTCTGGGAAGCTATGAGTGGAACTGCATAGAAATGACACTGGAATGTGAATGCCAATGCCCAAAGTAAGGTGGCTCTGGCCAGCCATGCTAACTTGTCTTGAAGTCTATTTGCACAGAAGATACAGCTGGAACATGTGCTTTCCTCCACTTCATCTCACCTGGGGTCAAGACCCGGTTGGCCAGCTGACTGGCCACTGACATCCCCCTTGACTCCATAGGGAGCTGCAGTTGAGGTACTTTCCAAATGAATCCTGACTTACACAGGTACTCTCCTCCTCCTGGTAGATGCTGTCCTAACTGCTAATTACCCCTAAAAGATAACTGATTCCTTTCCTATTGTTTCTCCCCTAAACTGCAAAAGATGATTGCAATGATAAAAAAAAAAACTGCTTTTATTAAATGAACTTTTGGAAGAGGAACATATATAAATAAATTAGTAGTAGTCCATAAAAACCTGTCCTTCATGTTCAACCTAATGGGCATCCTAGGGCAACTATTTGCCAGATCATCGATCTGTTGAGAAAGGAATAAAAGCGAAGTCTCCTCTTTCGTAAAAAAAAAATGCACAAAATTTTCTATAAGTTTCAGGTGGCTTGGAGATACTCTGAAGCATTAAGTTAAACACAGTTTAAAAACTGCCTTAAAGTGATCATCATTTTAATTATTTCCAAACCCATGATCTCTCAAAGCCATTTAATTGCTGTAAAAGGCACTTTCAGGAGGAAAACAATCTCAAATTACCTTCCACCATCCTCCACCACTCAAGAAGAAGAAAGATATACATCGTCAGTCCCCCACAACTTTCCAACATCAAAATTTCAAGCATTTTATTTGGCCAGATGCATGTAGATCATTTACAGTTTAATGGAAATATTGACATATGTCTACCAAAATACTCTAGATCTATTGGAGAAATTTTGCCGATGTTGGTGTACTCTGACTTGCTACCATGGCCAGCAAATAGAGGTGTCTACTCATCCTCATTCTTATACAAGGACAGAACAGCAATAGTGGCAAAAACATGTGTCTATAACCTCACTGACGTTCCCCATCCATGTCTGTTAAGCTGACCTCAGAGTCTGAGAGTGTCAATTGAATTTTACTCATCTAATAATTTTGATATTCAATTTGTGTAGTTAAAATATACATTATAGGGTGAAGTTTCAAGAGTTGTCTCAGACACTTCCCATCAAGCATCTATGTGCACACAGAGGTAGACTAAGTATGTCACATCAGCTAAATATACATCCTTTAGGGATGACTGGAAAGGAAACTGCTATGCAGATGGAAAAAAAAAAAGCTGTAACCATAGATATAAATATATGTAAATACACACAGAAGTTTCAATTTTCACAGGATGCCTGAAACAGGAATGCTTGATCTCTTTCACGAATATTAGGTTTTTAGAATTTCATAAATGGTGAGGAGAAAATATAAAATGGCACAGAAGGCTGTGGTAGAAGAACTCAGGTAACATATAAAGAAACCATCAGGACAACTCATTGTCTGATTTTGATTACTGTGGAGCAACTGTGATCTCTATCATGAAAATTCCTTAACAAGCTAGAAAAAAAATTAAAAGACCATGCAGTGGCAGAATAATGGAAATGCAGAACATGTTACATTGTACATAGGGATCTTTGAAAAGGAAAAAGCACAAATTGTATGTATCTGGTTCATAATCATATTTGATCCCTGATACAGTTTAGAGATGTGTAATTATCTACATCTCTTTCCCATTCATTCTGGTTGTAAGTTTTAAGTTCAGCAAATCAACTGTGTGATTAAAGCAACTGAATTCAGCCTGAAAATCTTTGCTCTGCCATCTATAGGATAGTCTGTCTGGTAGCTACTTGGAGGCACTACAGCATTAAGCATGTCATTCATGCAGAAGGGCCCGGGGTCTGACAAGCCTGTGAGGAATGGCTAGAAGAGCTGAACAAGCATTCTCACAAAACCAATCACTTGGTAATTGCTGAGTTGTTATCACAGCAATTACCAAGTGATTGATCTTGTGAGGGTTAGAGAAGTGGTAAATCCTTGGCATGTTCTTAAGGACTTTTGTCAATGTCAAGATCTATTCTAACTCCCACTTCTTGCACAAGAAAAAAGAGATGCCTTTTGTTCTTGCCTGGGCAGGAAACACTGACTCTCCAGTTACCCAACCCCCTAACTCCTTTTTCCTAAGCCTCTCTCTAGTCAATTCCTACGGGGCTGATTTCTGGAAAGATAATTCCACTAAAATTATTAACATGAAAACCATATATCAATATCATAGAATTATAAACACAGATAGATTGTAGTTAACTGCACCTACAAATAAACATTATTAATATTAAAGCTTGTGCATAATGATGTGGGAAAATTAATGCTTATTGTCAGAAAATATTTTTGAGTTTATTAATATAAAGAACACTAAGAGAAAAGCTCTCACATGTTATTACTATTTTAAAGAAACATGAATTAAATGGGGAACCACAAAAAACAGGAGTATGATGTTGCGTCAAATAGGAAAAGTGAGTATAGCTACCCAGGGTTAAATCTGGGGTCTTAGTCATAAATCTTTATTTGACAATTTAATGCACCGTTCTGTTAAACTACCATTTTGCTTTCATTGTTCCTACCTCAAATGACACAATTAACAAATTGTGAGTGCTGACGGTGATATCCAATAAAAGGTGGAATATATTAAAAAGGTTTATTGAAATTACTTTATCACATCTTCAGAAAATTGTTGAAAAGTACAGGTGGATAGATGAAAAGCCCTAACATCTTTTCTACCATTAGCAAGGGATGATTTTAAAAATGTAAATAAATGCATTTGCTATATTTGAAGCATAATTTCTACATTGATAATTTAGTTTAGAATAAATGTTGCTATTCCAATAATGAATGTCTCTTCATGGGTACTGCTGTCATAATTACTTAAGAAAAAAATATTAATTGGTCACCAAACCATCTCAGCAGATGGATCTATTGGGGAGGTGTCAGGTTAGTGTTACATTTTAGCACAAAATTGTTGTGTGTTATTTTATAGTATTCAAATAATCAAAATCATACAACTCTGGACAGGAATTGGCGAAGTATACTCCAAATGGAAAATTCACACATAAAACTGAATAAATAGTATATTTTTTCTGGGTTGTAGCCTAGATAAGAGAACAAAATATTTAAATGAGAAAATTTAGAAGTATAATACATATGGACAGCAGGAAATGTCATCCAAAAAGGTCATTTTTGCTTTATATAAAAAATTAACCATTTTATCCCCTTCCTACCATCCCACACATACACATACATACATCTTGGCAGCTTCGAAATTTTGGTTTAAGAATAATAAGAATAATAATGCAAACCTAAAAGATTCTAATTGTAATCATTTCTGCTCTTGAGGGAGATTTAGCTATACCTTTAAAAAAAAATTACTGGCCTGTTCAGGACAAAATAAGGATTGAAATGTTTTAAAGGATTAAGAAAATGTGGCACATATACACCATGGAATACTATGCAGCCATAAAAAATGATGAGTTCACGTCCTTTGCAGGGACATGGATGAAGCTGGAAACCATCATTCTCAGCAAACTATCGCAAGGACAAAAAACCAAACACCGCATATTCTCACTCATAGGTGGGAATTGAACAACGAGAACACATGGACACAGGAAGGGGAACATCACACACCGGGGCCTGTTGTGGGGTGGTGGGAAGGGGGAGGGATAGCATTAGGAGATATACCTAATGCTAAATGACGAGTTAATGGGTGCAGCACACCAACATGGCACATGTATACATATGTAACAAACCTGCATGTTGTGCACATGTACCCTAAAACTTAAAGTATAATAAAAAAAATCATCTTTACAAATAGTTTTTCTCAACATTAAAAAGGAAATTTAAACCCACTTTTCATGCCTTCTATTTAGAAGCAAAAAATACATTTTTATGAGAAAAGAGTATGGGCCCTTTTAGTTGGTATGGTGCCAGTTCCTTTAGAAGGAGACTTTCTAAGCCCGGTTTATTATCTTAGTTGTTTAAAAAAAAAAAAAGCAGCAGTTGATATAAACTTTTCATATTTAACTGAAGTTTACTCTGAAGAGATTAAAAGAGTTTCTATTCCATGAAACGACTTGCTCCAAGTTTCTATGACTGGGTTTCTTTTGGCTGAATGGCCCAGTTCAAGCTGTTTAATGATGTGGTAGATGAGGAAACAGCATGGCTCTTAGGTCATAACCTTGCTCTGTTGTTCAAAAGCTGTTGCGATCTTAGGAAAAGTACCAATCTTATGTTTTGTCTTCTAGAAAAGGGGGTGTGAGGGAATAATAAATACCTGTACTGCATGGTTGCTGTGAAAATTGTATGGGATAATGGACACATGAAGAGTTTGCAGAGTGCCTGATACCTTGTGGTTAGTATACGGTAACTATCATTTTTTGTTACATCTTTCACTTTGGATTCCATGTTTTATGCCCACAACATTTGGAGGTAAATTATAATTTCCATCTTAGAGTCGGAGTCACTTAAGGCTTAGAAGTTCAGTGACTTGCCCGCTGTCGTGTATGACAGATCTGAAAGTCTTCCAGTTCCAAATCCAGAATTAAGTTTCCACTCCTCATCCTATCTGGGCAATACTTAGTGCCACGTAAGTGTTACCTGCTGGGGATGATGATGCTGCACCTGTGTGAGAAGGAGCAGGCCCATGCTATTTGAAATAACTCACTGGGAAGACATTCCCAGGGGAAGAATGACATTGACCTTTGGAAACTTATAGTAGCCAGAGTTTGTGCCCAATTCCAGAACCGAGGCTGTCTTCACTCAGGCACATTCCTTATGTTATTTAGCCTTTGCTTCCCCAGCTATGGAGAAAAAGAGGATTCTCTTATTGATTACTCTGGATTCCAACTCTAATTCCTCAGATACTGTCACATTAATTATTTAAATCGGAATAACTTCCCTTCCTAAAACAGCAGTCTTTTGATATTGCTGTATTTCAGCTGATAATGGGAGAAAAAAGTTAGATTCCAAGAAAGGGCAAAAATTATGATACGAAATAAAAAACTAAGACATATGTCTCCTGAGAAAACAATGTAAAAAATCAATAGTCAAAGAAACTTCAATCAACCATTTTAAAGGAAAATTTTAGGAAAAAAAATACAATCAATATAAATATGAAAGGATATTAATTTTGAACATGCCAGAAAATCCTTATAGGCTATATATAATTTTTAAATAAAAGACACAAACTTTGATTTGCACAATTAAATGTCCTTTCTTTTACCTCTACATTCTGAGTTTTAACCAGTCAATAAATGTGCTCTTTCTAGACAAAAATAAATCTGAAAATCAAATTTTTATTGACTTTAAAATCATTATTCCAGGACTGAGCACCCAGTGTCATTGGGCCTCACTGTCACTGTGAAACCCTTCTTTTTGTTTTGAATGGGATTACTGATTTTGAGTCTTCTAATAATATGTTCACTTCAAAACAACAAAAAAATAGGAGACAGAATTGGATTTCCAAAAGTCCAAATCATCATTAAATAAACATTGTTTGCTTGCCTGAGCATTACTGTTTGCATCTTACTCTCCTCATTCATATATTAAGGTTCTAACCACCAGTACCTTAGAATGTGACTTTATTTGGAAATAAGATTATTACAGGTATAATTAGTTAAATTAAGATGAGCTCATACTGGATGAGAATATGCCCCTAATGCAATATGACTAGCATCCTTATAAAAAGGGGAAATTTACACACACGCACCCCCCCACACACAAACACACAAACACACAATGTCATGTGAACATGAAGGAAGAGACTGGAGAGAGCTGTCCACAATCCAAGGAACAAAAGAGATTGATGGCAAACAACCAGAATCTAGGGGAGAGGCATCAAACATATTCTATTTCATATGACTGAAAGGTACCAACCCCACTCATGCCTAGATCTCAGACTTATAACCTCCACAACAGTGAGACAATAGATTCCAATTGCTTAATCCAACCAGTTTGGGACACTTTGTTATGACAGCCCTCCTAGCAAACTAATACAATGACGTTGTTTCAGCAACATGCTGCTGAGACTTAGTGTTCCATTTCTTAGTTATAAAAGCTATAAAAATATATGGAAAGAGCAAGGCAAAGTCCAAGGTACTTTATTTCCTTTCAAGGCTGAGTGGATGATTCAAATGTGTTAAGAGGAAAATAAATGAGAAATTTCTAGGATGTACTTATCCTTCCATCTGTATCAGGACACAGTATAGAAAAATAGATTAATAAACTCATAAAACTAAAAGCTTTCTGTATCTTATACATAAAACCACCTTGGGGGATGGGGAAGCTCTTATAAGCAAAGAAACAAAACTATATAGTTTTGGAGTCACACTTTATGGTCATCATCTCTTCCATCACCATAACCACGAACTTTTACAGATCACTGTAGAACTTGTAGCAACTACAAACGTTGAACACCTAGCACCCTGTAAACATCCAACAACTGATAGCTTTCAAGATGCCCATATATTTCTTAGGAATAAGCTGATGTTCTGTCTAATAATGATTGAGAAACAAAATTAATTAATAAATCTACAGATTCCTTAAGACTCAATGTAAATGGTGGACTACACCAAGTCACCAAGATGTCACCAAGATGATGTCACAAATATGGCAGAGTAAGAGACAAGCCTTCATCCCACACACACAAAAAGAAAAAGCGCAGATAGCTACTCACAAATCAGATAAACCCAGGGAAAGCTCAAGGGCTCATGAAAAAATTGGCAGCAATACAGTAGAGAGAAAAAAAACATAGAATATTGATACAGAAAGGATCACTGGTGGGATCAGCATACCTGAGACACCAGGAGACTGCTAGGACCAAAGAAGAAAGGTGGACCTATCAATATCAGCCCATGGTCTCATCTGCAGAGGATACTGGCATATCTTGCCACTGAGGTAACCAACAGCCATTCTTGATGGGGAACACCAGAGACAGGTATGGCTGCACAGCTGTATTAAGTTGCTTCAGGAAATTAGCTACCACGTCTCCCAAACCACCATTTATCTCAGTCTCAGAGCTGTGGTCAATATGCAAGTGCCCACATTACAGGCCCAGGCTTGGTGGCTGCGTTAAGCCCACTCATGTCTCAGGCACATGGAGTGAGGACTTAGCTCTGGGGCCCACAGTGTGAAACATCTCATTACATGTGCCCATGTTCCAGGCACTGGCTCAGCTGCCATAGAGAGCTAGGCCCCACCCCAACATTTAACTCTCACCCATCTGTGATCTCATTTCCAGATCTCTTTCTGCTCCACAAGTATCCATGTCTCACACTATGTTACCAGCATGGTAGTGGGGAGTGCCTGTACCCTGAGTATCATTGCCATTACTTTCCCGGATCCCAGAGCCACAGAAACTCTGTGCATGCCTGTACTTCAGGCCTCAGATCCACAGGCACCACACATCAGACACCAGTGCCACTGCCACTTCAAGTGAACCCACAAGCCAGACCCAGTGCCCCAAAGGACCTGCTGAGCCATAACTTCCCCACTGTGAGAAAAGGGATCAGGAGGACTTTGGCAGCCATCACCACCAAATACCCTACCAGTGCTCACTACCACTATGGATAGCACAGTGTTGGCTGCTGAGGATCCCTGCAACATTTGCCAACTCTGACCTTAGCTGATAGAGCTATACAAACACTACACAGCAGCACCCTTACTGGTGTCAGAACTGCTGCACCACAACCAGCAAGCATTCTCACATCCCCTCTCTCCCATAAAGGAAGGTCTTTCCACAGCAAGACTAGCCAGTAGAGTCTGAAAGTGGTGAATACTCCACCAAATACATACACATCAATGTCAATAAGAAGCTTGAAAAACCAAAGAGACATAACACCACCAAAAGACCATAATAATCTCTTAGTAGCTGACACAAAGAAATGGAGATATATTAAATGCTTAAAAAAATTCACAATAATTGTTTTAAGGAAGCTCAATGAACTTCAAGAAAATAGAGAAACAATTCAGTTAATCAGGAAAACAATGAATTACCAACACAAAAAGTTTAACAGATTAAAATTATTTTAAAAATTAATCCAATTCTGGAGCTGAAAAATACAGTTAATGAAATGAAAATGAAATAGAGGGCATCAACATAAGAATTTATTTGTATTCAGGAGATAATATCTATATACTCAAAGACAGGTTATTTGAAAATATATAATCAGAAAAGAAAAACAACAAAAAGGAATAAAGGAAGCTTACAGGATTCATAGGTCAACATCAACAGAGCAAATGTTTGAGTCCTGGCAGTTAAGAAAAGAGAGTGATAAAAAGCTGGAAAGTTTATTTTAAAAAAATAGCAAAAACTTTCCAAATCCAGGAAAAATATAAATATCCAGGTACGAGAAGGTCAACAGATTCAATCTAAACAAGACTATACCAAGACATATTGTAACCGATTTTTCAAAAATTGGATTTCTGAAAATTTTTGAAAATTTGAAAAATTGTAACCAATTTTTCAAAGACAGAGAGGATACTAAAAGTAACAAGAGAAAAAAAAGCAAATCATATATTAGAGAATTTCAATAAGGCAGCAGTGAATTTTTCATCAGAAACCTTATAGGCCAGGAAAAAGTGAAATGATAGATTTGAAGTGGTGAAGAAAAAAAAAACTGTCAACCAAGAATACCGTATCCAGCAAATATGTCCTTCAGAAATGAAGAGAAGCAGACTTTTTCAGACAAACAAAAGTTGAGGAAGTTCATAATCACCAGACCTGTTTTACAAGAAATAGTAAAGGGAGTTTCTCAAGCTGAAAGAAGAAGATGCTAATGAGTAACACAAAAACATCTGAAAGTACAGAACTCATAAATAAAAGTAAGCAGTTAATTTGGAGTACTCTAATACTGTAATAGTGGTGTGTACATCACTTATGTCTTTAGTGTGATGACTAAAAGACAAGTATTAAAAATACCAAGAGCTACAATAATATGTTAACTGATGTACAATATAAAAAGATGTAAATTGTAACATCAAAAAGCCTTATGGTAACCACAAAGCAAAAACCAATAGTAGATGCACAAAAGATAAACAGTAAGGAATCTTGGCAAAACACTAGAGAAAAATCACCTAATCACAAAGGAAGATAGCAAGAAAGGAACAAAGGATCTATAAAACAATAAGACAATAACAAAATAGCAGTGGTATTTACATATCAATAATTACCTTAAATATAAAGAGATTAAATTCTCCAATCAAAAGACGTAGAGTGGCTGAAGCAATAAGGAAAACGAAACAGAACATGATCCAACAATATGCTGCCTACAAGAGACTAACTTCACCTTTAAGGAAACACATGGACTGAAAGTTAAGGGATGGAAAAAAGGATTCCTTGCAAATGGAAACCAAAATAGAGAAATTATTTCAAATAACAAAAGAAAATTCAGAAAATTCACAAACATATGGAAATTAAACAACATGTTCCTGAACAACCGATCAATTAAAGAACAAATTAAAAGCAAAATTTAAAAATGTCTTGAGATAAACAAAAATGTAAACACAACTTATGAAAATGTATGGGGTATAGTAAAAGCAGTTTTAAGAAGTAAATGTATAGCAATAAATGCCTACATCAAGAAAATAAGAAAGCTTTCTAAGTGTTAGATATTTGCTTACTGCTTTATAAATGTTTAAGTCTCACAAGCTCTGGGGTAGACAAAAATTACGTCAGTTTCCCAGAGGAAAAACCAGAGAAGTTAATAAACACATATAATGGCTTAGAACTTGTACTTTGCACAGCTGGGATTTTGGAATGATTATATCATTATATAAAAAGTGAATAGAACTTAAGTTCTACTTCATTTATGTTCTGTTTCTTTTGTTTTTACTGAACTGTAAGTTCTGGTAAAGGGTTTCATCATTTTATCTTTCACATTTAACACAGTTCCTGGCACATAGTACTCACTCAACTAGTTTTAAATCAATGAGTGAAGGAGATTTTGCTTCTCAAATTCCTTTATATTGCAAGCAGGTAAGCAATATTTATTTCATGGTTGATATACATGTCACCATAGCTATGGACATTTACTTATAGATTTTGCAGCATCCTTAGGAACAAGACAAGACAGAATGGGATAAATTTGAGGCACAGAAAACCAATCTGTCATCACTGATGTGAGAGAATACTGAGTCACTTTTTAAAAATGTAACTTAAGAAATATTATGAGAAATAATAGTTAACTATGATCTTGATTAATTTTTTCTCACACTTTTTGATGTGGCATAATGTATCACAAAGAGTGCTTTTAAAAAATCAATATATTTAGAGGAGTTCCCTCCTAGAATTTTATCTCCTCTTTTATAGTGGACATAATGTTTAGACTATACATGTAAATTACACTTTACTAAAGCTATTTTGTAATGTGAGGAAGATAGTCCCATACCACTGTTTGGCCATCTCCCCTATAAGACAATGAATGAAGCATACTTAGCCACAGAATTACTGTCAGGATTAGAAAGAGTCCGTTTTCTTAACCTCTTCTCAGTCTGTTCCCCATTGGTTAGTGTTAATGTCAATTTTAATTACAGAGTCAGGTGTTTGGACTTTCCCTGGGTTTTCTCAGACTCTTTGTGGCATCAGCTACTATCCACCCTCTGCTGATACCAAGTATTGCTACATCCTTCAACTTTCTACTATACATCGCATCTGGATGTCTAAACTCAAATTCAACTTAGGGTATCCAAAACACAAGTCATTATGTTTCTCTCCTTTTCTACCTCTCCTCCCACCACAGAGCAAGGTGTTACTGCTTCCACATTTTCTAGGTAGTTATCAGAGTTATCCCTCCTTTTATTCATCCCCAATATGAAACCATTCATCAAATCTCATAAGTATTATTGCCAAAGAATCCTCTGAAACTATCACTCCCGCTTTCTGTTCCCACAGCCATGCCTTCATTTCTGATTTTCATCACCCATCTTTTTGAATCACTGTACAACCAGGTATCCATGTCTCACATTCCAGTCCTTTATCCACTCTCCAGTCCCATGGAGAAATACAGTTATTTCTAACTATAAATAAAATCTCACCATACCCACTTAAAGACTTAGCCAGTTCCTTAATTGTTTCTCACAGTTCAATGCCCCATTTGTAGCATACAAAAATCCAACCTAGTTTTTCAGCCTTATTTCCTGCCACATGCCTCATGCACATGTTTTTCTAGTCAATTTGAATTTTTAAAATCATCTCCAATACATGCTGAGGCTCTTTTGATTGTCTGCTTATGCACATACTATTCCCTGTGCCTGACATGCCTTTCCTTGACTTAACCTTTATGACTCAAATAAATTTCATCTGCTCTGTGAAACGTTTATTGCTTTCCTCTAGAGGGATTAATCTCTGTCTCTTTGTTGTGCTTTCATAGTACTTTGTTTGTTCTCCAAACATAAGTCAGTGGGATCTTTTTAAAACATAACTAAGATTATATCATATTCCTGTTGAACACCATTCAAAGGCTTGTTATCCTACTTGGAATAAAATCTAAACTCTTTACCCTGTTCTATTAACAAATCATCCCTTAGAACTGGGCAGTCAGGCCTCTGTTCTGCACCTAAACTTCAGCATAGTAATACCACACCCATGATACATTTATTAAAGGAGACATGCGTACTTCTGCCACTTGAGATTCAATGTTCAGTGGGGGCATAGCACAACACAGGGGGTGGCAAACCACACCTCTTTGGGCCAGACCCAGCCTGCCTATTTTTGCAAATAAAGCTTTTGTATTAATCTATTTTCATACTGCTGATAAATACATACCCGAGACTGGGTAATTGATAAGGAAAAAGAGGTTTAATGGACTCACAGTCCCATGTGGCTGGGGAGGCCTCACAATCATGGCAGAAAGTGAAAGGCACATCATACCTGACAGCAGCCAAGATAGAATGAGAGCCAAGGGAAAAGGGAAATCCCTTATAAAACCATCACATCTTATGAGACTTATTCACTACCACGAGAACAGTATAACTGCCCCTATGATTCAATTATCTCCCACTGGGTCCCTCCCACATGTGGGAATTATGGGAGCTACAATTCAGGATGAGATTTGGGTGGGGACACAGACAAATCACATCGGCTTTATTGAAACACAGCTATGCTCATTCATTTATACATAGTCTACAGTTGCTTTTGCACTACAATGACAGAGTTGGGTATTTGTTACAAATGGCCCAGAAAGACAAAGCTATTTGGCCCATGACAGAAAAATTTGCCAGCCATTGACACAGCCTATAACTCTTATCTGCCCTTGAGACTACCTACATTTAGGCTCAAAGAAACATAGTTCAACAATCATTTACCTTTGTTTTCAAAGCAAAGGCTACATTTTGTCCAATTGGTGCAAGAGTTTTCAGTTCGTGCCACTACCAACAGCAGAGATTAACATTTCTGTGCTTTTGGTAGAAAAAAGACACATTAATTAACTTGTCAAATCCTTCTCAGAGAATATGGATGCAGTAGATACTTACATAATAAAACATAATTTCTCCAAAGTGCTAAGTGCCCATTTTCCTACTTCATGGTCTCATTTGTGGTTCCATAAATACTCACAATACAGCAAATTATATGCAATAGTTGCACATGACAACTAAGAAACATTTCGTAATATTAAAAGCTGTATTTTTGTCTTAAATTTAAATATGAATAGGTCTAGAAAGAACATGAGAATCAGGATCCTACAGTGATTCAACAATGAATACCAGAATTATATTGTTTATATATATGTAAAATATAATACAGATATAAATATATTATAAAACTAAAATGAATATATATTTATATAAAATATAATGAAATTCTTAAAATAATTTCAATAGAATTATAACTAGTATTCTCCCTTTTATTGCAATAGGTAATTTTGAATTTTAGAAAAGTAATGATTTAGTATATTATATAAATAATTTGTTTTTCAACTTTTAAAATTTGCTTTGACATATTTTTATGACATTTAAATTTTATACAATTTGAATCCAATTACATTTTATTTCTGAATTCTTTAGATCATTGCTGCCAATAAAATATGGTTTATGTGACTTTTTATATTAGCTTAATTAGTGATTTTGCTAAAATGAAAGCAGAAAAAGTAAATTCAAAGGAGTAATGATATAATTGTTTATAAACTATGAATTTTTTAATCATATTATGAACACAAGATAACTGACCCATTAACAGAATATGAAAAAAATAAGCAATGATAACTAGATTCAGTCACCTTTAGTACTTTGCTAAATTTTAGTCATAAAAATCTTATAGTTTAATGAATATTTTACAAATTGTTATGATGAATGCTTATTTGTCAGCATAGGAAAGAATACATTTCAGTCAACAGTGAGTCTGATTGATAACTTTAGCTCTTTACGTGTATGGAATATGGTCTCCATTTGCAGTCCTGCCTCAGGCCCCACAATTGGATGGAGTAATTCTGCTATTAATAATAATATTTTCTTACAAGATTAATACTTTAAAGTATCTCTTCCCTAACCAGAATATAGTTAGTATGAGAACAAGGACCATACCTATTTTTTAATACTGTATTCTCAGTGACCATTATAGTATTTGAAACATAGGGAGCATGCAATAAATATTTGTTGAGTAAATAGCTATTTATGGCATGAATAGTGCATTGTAATCATCTGTGGCCATGAACTTATTTTTGTTGACAGTAATTTCTTAATGCATAATTCAGTGCTGACTGAAAAATATTTCTTGAATAAAGGAATAGATAAATAAATGATAAATAAAGTGACTGAATACATTTAACCACTGTAAGGAATTTATTCCCAATTCAATTAATAGAATATTTTAGACCTTGGGTTAATTCTTGAAGTGTCTTAATTTCTCCAAGTGCTGAATGTTGGGATCACTTTCCATCACTAAGCATACTTTGTTGTTAATTTGTGGAAGCCTGTGAAATTCCTCCACTGATAATCACATTACTTTATTATTGTTGTGTCTCAACCACCAGCTCAGAACATGTAATTTGCTAAGAACATGTTCAAGGCAGATGGACCTGAAACCTGTGAAGCTTTTATTATTTTCATTAGCACTTGTAACAAAGGACATGAGTCTCTATAATCAAACATTGCTACAGAGAAGCTAAGGCTTTGTGACAGCCACAGCCACCACAACATGTCTCCTGCTTATATGGATGTGATGGCTACTGACATAAGCAGAGATTGTAGTCAAATACCGAAAAAAGGATTATTTTATTAACAATCTCTTTGTTTTCTAAGGACTTCCTTGACATATACAGAAAGTGAATAACACGGAAATAAAATCTAAACACATTCTCCCACAAAGAAGGCATCTAGTTTGATTTTCTCAGTAATCCAACTCATTTTTTATCAGGTAAGGATCAAAAGTTTGTCTTCATATCTTCTTCCCTCTTGAGGAAAAGTAATTTCTTAACTTTCATCAAGGGGTTTTACCTTAGCCCATGAACTTAATGAAGTGTATAATTCCTATTTTAAAAAATGAAACTGGTATTTTATTATTAACAAAGTTGTATATTTGCATTGTAGAGAGTAGACAAATATAAAGGGTAAAAAATAAAACAATTATATTCTCCCCATCACTATTACCTCTTAGTGTGTCATCCCCAATAAATACTCACATTAATATGCATTTTTTCAAAATAAGATAATGCAATACCTAGTTTGTAATTTTCTCTTCAGTTAAGATGTCCATATCTCCATTTTAATGAGTTTTTTAATGTAATCTAATAACCAGTCTTACTCAAATTTGCCCTGAAATTTCCCCTACTGCTTATTTTTCTGAGTCCAAATCCAATGTGGTATCACATGTTGTTTCTAGTTGCCATACCTCTTAACTGCTTTTTACTCTAAAATAGTCAACATTTCTCATGATATCGAATTGCTCAACAGACCAGGAATTTCATCAGTCTTAACTAAAAAAAAAAAAAATAGAGATTTATGAAAAAAGATGACTATGTGGTCACAAGTATATAGCTCCATCTCATCAAATCTCCAGTGAAATAACAAGTTTTCCCAAATTGAGACTGGGGGCTGTATATGGTCTAGAAAATAATGATGAGGCTACTTCACATACCAGAACCAATAAAGAATGTGCTCTAGACCTAGAGCAGATTGAATGAGATTGAAGAAGGAAATGTCCTCTGAAAGTCTAGAATGTCTAGGAGGCAAGTGGAAGGACACATTGTCACATCATCAACTGGAGCAAGATAGGGGAATAGTCCTCAGAACAATACTACCAAGTGTGGCATCTCTTTCCTCCCTGCAAGCCAATGGCCTTTAGAATGCACCAATCACAATGAAAGACAGAGGACTCACTCTCACAATGAGTGACCACACCAACCAGCAGGCAAGGTATGTGTCTCTAAAAGGAAAACACTGTGGCTCACATGCTTTCTCAATAGCCAGCTTGGAGTATAGTTGTATAAAAAGCAACACAGAGCACTCAAAAATAGGCAAGGACTTAGAAAATGCAGGAACTATGCAAGTCTTCTAAATAATTCAATGAATGAGCTAGGCCAGAATAATAAAAGATTAAAGCAGGGCACAGTGACTCACGCCTGTAATCCCAGCACTTTGGGAGGCCGAGGCGGGTGGATCACGTGAGGTCAGAAGTTCGAAACCGGCATGGCCAACGTGGTGAAACCACGTCTCTACTAAAAATGCAAAACTTAGCCAGGCGTGGTTCTGCACGCCTGTAGCCCCAGCTACTCAGGAGGCTGAGGCAGGAGAATCACTGGAACCCGGGAGATGGAGGTTGCAGCGAGCCGAGATCGCACCATTGCACTCCAGCCTGGGTGACAGAGCGAGACTCCATCTCAAAAAAACAAAAACAAAAACAAAAAAAAAAGAAAAGAAAGAAAGAAAAGAAACAAAACAAACAAACAAACAAAACAAAAGATTAAAAAGAATGAATAAATTGCCAAGGACTAAAATCAGTTAAATACAGACCGGCATTCCTAATTTGAAAAGCTGAAATCCAAAATGTTCCAAAATTCCAAACTTTTTGAGTGCCAGCATAACATTCAAAGGTCATGCTCAAAGGAAATGCTGATTGGAGCATTTTGAATTTTGGATTTGTGGATCACAGATGCTCAACTGGTAAGTATAATATGATGCAAATATTCAAAAAAAAAAAAATCCCAAATCCTAAACATTTCTGGTCCCAGGCATTTCTGATAAGGGACACTCAACCTGTAAAGAAATAAATCTGGGCAGGTCGTGGTGGCTCACGCCTGTAATCCCAGCACTTTGGGAGGCTGAGGCCGGGGGATCATGAGGTCAAGAGATCGAGACCATCCTGGCTAACACAGTGAAACCCCGTCTATACTAAAAATACAAAAAAATTAGCCGGGCATGGTGGCGGGCGCCTGTAGTCCCAGCCACGCGGGAGGCTGAGGCCAGAGAATGGCATGAACCCGGGGGGCAGAGCTTGCAGTGAGCCGAGATCGCGCCACTGCACTTCAGCCTGGGCAATAGAGCGAGACTCTGTCTCAAAAAAAGAAGAAATCTAAACTAAACACGTTTTACACAGTTATATCACTGCTTCACATTTTTTGATAGCTATCCTCAATGTTTTTTAACTGGTAAATGTTTTTATCACTTTAAATTACATAAATAAAAAAGGAGAAATTTAAAAATCAGTAAAAATCCTTGATATTGATACAGGAGTTGGGGGAGCAGGGAAGTGCTGGGTAGATAAGGGCAGGGTCCCTGGCGAGGGCTCCACCCTCGGGCCTGTGCCCATGGACCTAAGTGAGGACAAGCACCCCTGTTTTCGTGCCCAAATGTTGCATTTTCCAAGACCACTCTGGCCCATCACGCTCCCATTCTGTGTCTAAAAAAACCCAAGACCCTATTGGGCACGCACACAAGTAGCCAGATGTCAAGAAGAACACACCAGCAGAAGAACACACCAACAGAGGCCAGCAGGTCATTGATGGCGGAACAATGCGGACGCCTAGGGGAGTTCGGCTAAGGGCCATGGGAGGAGAGCCCGGCAGCTGAGCAGCCGGACTCCAGGAGAAGAACACCTTCCCATTCCATCCCCATGCTGGCTCCACATCCATCGGCTGAGAGCTACTTCCACCACTCAATAAAACCTTGCACTCATTCTCCAAGCCCTTATGTGACCCGATTTTTCCAGTACACAAGGGCAAGAACCCAGGATACAGAAAGCCCTCTGTCCTTGCTTTAAGGCAGAAGGTCTAACTGAGCTGATTAAGACAAACCACTTGCAGACAGTAAAACTGAAAGAGCGCACTGTAACACCTGCCCACTGGGGCTTTGGGAGCTGTAAACACTGGACTCTAGATGCCGCCGTGGGGCAGAGCCCTGCCACCTGCCCGTCCACATGTTCCTCCCAGAGGTTTGCGCGTGGGGCACAGAAGAAACGAGCCACAGCCCCATGGCACGCCCTGAGAGGGGAATAAGGGAAAACTCCTCCCATTTCAATATTCCAAAAAGACAAAAATAGTGGGTTTTACTCACTTTTATAGACAAATAATGTTATATATTTAAGTATGTATCTGATGAGTCTTTGTAACCACTGGTAACAATGCTTATCATGGCAGACTGTATTTCCCAAAATGACCACGACATTTTCCATCCCACGTGCTCTTCTAAAACCTGGAGAGTCTTTGTGATTGCCTCATGAATAGAAGGCAGAACTGACACATGTGGCCTCCAGTGCTTGGTCACAGAAGGCAATACTGTCGAGTTCTGCCTGCCTCTCTCTTGAAACATTTGTTCTTGGAACCAAGCACTAAGCTGTTGAAAAGCCTAGGGCACACGGAGAGATCACATGTAGGTGTTCTGGCTGAAAACTTCACTGCTGTTCACGTAACATCCTCCATGACTTTTCTGACATATGAAGAGGCATCTGAGAACTCTCTAGCCACAACCACTGTCTGACTGCAAACTCATGAATACCCAAAGCAAGAAAGGCCTAGATGAGCCTAGTCAACACCCAGAAATATGAGATACAATGAAAAAAACATTTGCTTCACTCCACAAGGTTTATGGTAGTTTGTTATTTAGCAATAGGCAATTGGATAACAGTTAACAACAGCAGCAAAAAGTCTATGCAAAAAATAAGAATGGATAAAAAATTAAACCACAGAAAGCATAAAATATAAATAAATAACCAAGAAATTGAGTTGTGCCAATAAATGCAAATGATTTAAACATGGCTACCAACCGGAAAAGATACTCAGATGGAGTTAAAATAGAAAACTCTACTTACTAGCAAATAATAAATACCCAAAATAAAATTCCAAAAAGGCCAAAAATCAAAGACTAAAATGTAATATATGAGGCATTGAAAACAAAAAGAAAAAAATAAAATAAGCCTAACCAAAAAGAATATTTAATAAATATAGCAGCAAAAATACGACTAGTAAAACAGAAGCTAACAGTTACTAAGTTGATCTGAAAAACTTCTCTACACCATACTCAAACCCTTTTGTAAGTGTAATTTTCACTGACTAAAAAAGAATGAAAAACAAAACTAACATCAAAATGAAGAATAAAACCATTGGTGAATATATAGAGGCCATTTTCAAATTATAAACAAGCAGGTAAATGTAAACATTTGAATGAAATGAATCATTTGAAACAAATTTCAATTTCTCCAATTTATTCAAGCAGTAGAATGCCTGAAGAGAAGAAATGTAAAATATCATGCCAACTTACACAATCTGTTCCATAGCCAGGCTATTCTTTAAGTTGTGAATTCTTTCAGACCATTATGGAATATACTCTCAATGATAAGAAAAAATGTGTTCAGCAATACTAAAAAAGTGAAAGCTATCTAGTTTTATGCAAAAATATTATAATTTTCACTAAAAATTTGACCAAGGTGTTGCTTAAAACCAACAGCATTTCCTAAATTTTAATCAAAGCAGTTTTTATAAAATAACATCTGCATGAAGTAAAAATATGTTCTCTGCTAAGAAGAATTTGGGAAATTTGCTTTTAAAGGTATTTGTTGCTGTTGCACTATAGAATTTCTGAATCTATAATAAAATAATGAGGGTTATGAATCTCCAAGGGTATATAGATCAGTGCTTCCAAACCTTCCTTACTGTAAAATGCTTTGTATTCACATAATATTATTAATGTTCTATAACATAGTGAAATGAATGACTGTAGGACAAAATTTAGAAAATGGTACTATAAACCAATTTCTCTTTGGACATAGATACAAAATATGTCAAAATCAAGAAAGTAATATTGATATATTCCTATTTATAACATCTAAACATACTAATATAAATAGGTAGTTCTGTAATATAAGTAGTTGTGTTATAAATTGGTAATGCCCCTGTAAACTGAGCACTGTGAGAGGCCAAGATGGGCAGACTGCCTGAGTTCAGGAGTTTGAGACCAGCCTGGGCAACATGGCAAAACCTCATGTCTACTCAAAATACAAAAAATTAGCCAGGCGTAGTGGTGCACACCTGTAATCTCAGCTACTTGGGAGGCTGAGGCATGAGAATTGCTTGAACCTGGGAGGCAGAGGTTGCAGTGAGCCAAGATCACGCCATTGCACTCCAGCCTGGGCAACAGAATAAGACTCTGTCTCAAAAAAAAAAAAGTTCGCAATGCTAAAACATTAACCCAATAACATTAAAATCATGAAAAAAAGAATGTCTTTTATGACTAGTGTTTTATTCAGATCTGAAGATACAGGTAATGCAATAACATATAAAACATGAATAAGATTTTCAAATATTATAAAAGGTGGATAAACTGGTCAGAATTTGCAGATAATATGCCTATGTATTTCCCTAAAAGCAAGAGAATCAACTAAAAAAAACACTTAATATATTATGTCAACAATGAAGCTGACATGTCATGCGATGAACTATTATGCAGCTTACTGGCAATAATGTTTTTAAAGAATTTTTTGAGACATTTCCATTTAAGTAAAATAAAATTAGTAAACCATACTTGCTATAATTAAAAGGTTTTTTAAAGTACACATTTAAAAATGAATGACAATAAATAAAATAATGATTTGAGCAAGGAACATTTAATTTACCCAGTCACCCAGATTGGCCGAAGGATGTTGAAGAATTACGTTAGCTAAATGAATGATAGGTTTAGGAAAGAACTGATATTTAAGATGGGTCTTAGAAAAGAACTAAGGTACCACCAGGCATAAAACTTGGACAGTATTTTCTGTCCCAGTTTTATGCCTGCTGGTACTTTAGTTCTTCACAGAAAAAATTACTGCCTTATCAGAAGTCAAAGTAAAAGCTGAAGTAGGGCATAAAAATCAAACATCTTTAATTTGAGATAAAGACAGACATAATAGCCTTTAGATGGGTTCCTAGTCAGAGTACACTGAGCTAGCTGATGACCAACGTAATTGAAAACGTAACTAAAAAACATAAGTTGTTTAATACAACTTGGGGTCCTTCTCCAAGACAGTTTTTAAAAAGAAAATTGTTTGACCTATTAAATGGAAATTTGAAAAAACAAAATAATATAAGTAAAACAATATAAATATATATTATACTTATGGGAAAAGCATAAAAATGAAAATAAAAGGTAGCCTTAAAATAAAGGCATTTTCTATAGCACGAAATTCAAATTTGTGTAAGTCTTTTAATGATATAGTTGGCTCTTAATATTCCTGGGTTCTGCATCTGCAGATTCAACCAAACATGAACAGAAGATACTTTAAAAAATAATAAAAGTAAAAAACAATAAAGTATAACAATAATTTACAAAGTGTGTATATTGTGTTAGGTTTTGTAAGCAATCTAGAGATGATTTAAAGTATATTGAAGAATATGCATAGGCTATATGAAAATACTATGCCATTTTGTATGAGGGACATGAGCATCCCTGGATTTTAGCATTCATAGAAGTTCCTGGAACAAATCCCCCACAGATACTGAGAGATGACTGTATATGAATCCTAAAAAGAAAATTGAATGCTAATCATTATCATAAATATCAGATATATAATATAATGTCACTCTCTTTTCCACATGAAAATGTTTCCATTAAAGAATTCCAAAAATTTAAACCCAGTTCTTTGTTCCAAATAATATTATTATTGAAATAATTAATGTCTTTCAGCCAGCCTCCACATTCATCATCATCTATTAAGCCTGGATAGATTTCATGTCAAGGAGAAAGGAAGCTGTACTTCTAGAAGTAACCATAATGGATATAGTGCTTTCTTCCAGGATTATATATTACTGTAAGTGTTTATAATGTCAACTTGTGGCTCAAAGCAAATCATTCATATACGATCTACTGTGCTACATTCCTAGGAGCTCAATCAAATGGAGCCCAATACACTTGGCTCTTCCAATTCCAATAACTTATTTCAATCAACAACAATGTCCACAGGGTCTTTGAGTATACAATGACACAGTTTAAAACACTCCAAGATATTTCTGGTACATTGGTATCCCTAGAGTTATGAAAATTGATTCCAGAAGTATAAGGAAGATAACAGAAAATAACATGGTTTATTTTAAAATACAAAAAAGAGCAAAAAATAGGATGCACCTCATATAAGCATACATATAGTAGCCTTAAAATTAAGGCATTTTCTATAGCACACATTGTAAATTTGTATAATTGAGTCTTTTAATAATACTGTCAATCCTCAGTATCCCTGGATTCTGCATCTGCAGATTCAACCAAACATGGACAGTTAATATATAACTGTCCAAACCTAGACAATTGTCCAAATGTATAATATGTTAATGTATATTATATATTTGTAAATATTTATTAATATGTAATTGTCCAAACATGGATAGTTACTATGTATATAAAATATAAAAGTCATTTTTATTTGACCAGGAATTTACCAAGTTATCAAATAACATAATGAATAAACCATTAATCATTTTAAAAATCATTACCTATGGATATATATTCTAGTAAAAGCATATTTAGACAGTTCAGTTTTCAACATATTCCAATCCACTTTTGTGATGTAGATTTTGAATAGTGGATGTAGCTCTTGGCTCTATTTTACCATATTTCACATATAGCTAGTTAAGAATGTCAGCACAAAATAATACACTTAAGTAATACATTAATAATAACATTTGGCTTAAAATATATCCTGGTTTTAAGCAGGAGGTTATTAACGTATCATGAATCCATACCAATTATTATAGTAGAATGCCCAGAATTTAAAATAGGAGGATAATTCATAGTGGTAATATTATTTTTAAAATGAATCTTAATTCAATATCTAATAAGTGCCTTACTATGTAAGTGAAGTCCTTTATCATTGTTACTGTAGCATATGATTAGAGAACACATTAAAAAGCTATTGCTTTCCTGACATCTAATTTGCATCAGGTTCTTAATTTTCAACTGGATACAAATTAGGCACTCAAAAATAAAAGAACCAGTTAAATTACCTTATCAATAACAATACTTTTCACCAAAGACAATTAAAAGTAAGGACATTGACAAGCATGGATTTTTCAGCATCAAATGTATCTTATTGTTTAAATTCATGTTTATAAAGCTCCCATTACATATGTTACTGGACCCAAATAAATAACACAATGTTTATTCCCTCCAATAACCTTCTGAATTTCCAAATGATACATTCAAACAGTGTTTCCAAAGTTTTAACAAGGAAGTATTTCTCTTCACATACAACTCTCTCCTTGTTCTTAGGAGTTCTGACGGTCTTTCTCTAACTAAGTGATAATTATTATTGAATCCTAGTTGTGCTTCAATTGAAATATCTCTTGCATCTGCAGAATCCCTGTCTCCTCTTAAAACAAGAGCTCCCCCCTTTGTACCTAGGCTGTCCATGAACCTCCAGGCCTCTGCTGCTCTCTCCAGTTTCTCCCCATCCTCACAACCCATGCTTGAATCATGAAATGTGCCTGCTCAAAAGCTGCACAGTTCTCCGTGGCTTACAGAAAGTAAAAAATTGTATTTAAAGCTTTCCACAGTCAGGCCTTAGATTACCGTCTCACCATGTCTCCTACTGCTTACCAACCAAATCTCTTGTCTCCACCTCACTTCTTAAAACTATGTTTCTGGAGCATAGCAGGGCTTATGAAGTCACATTTTCCCCCACATCCTCATGAACAGTAGTTCGCACAAAACAAGCAACATATATGTGATATTTGGATTTATTTCAACTGATAGGATCATCAAAAGGCCATTTGGGAATTGTCAATTATTTCATTTTATAACTATGCGTATTTAGTTGCATGGTAAAGTAATTAAGTCACTTGTAAATGACCACTCAGCTACAGTGACCACTCAGCTTGACAAATCAAAACCAAAATTCTGCCTCATGGAAATAACACTTTTTTATTATTTCATATTATGCAAATAATTTAGAAACATTGATAATAGTGATGAATAGGATGTAATGAGATGCTTTCTTTGCTCAATAAAAATATATTGAGCTTCCCATTTTCTCAACTCCTAATTGGGTGATTGCACAAAAAAAAAGATCCACTTAGTGTGAAAACAAGCCAGTCAAATAGAGCACTTCAGTGACCTTCCCAAGAGCACGCTTCCCAAGGAAAATCAAATTGACCATTTAAAAATGCACAGTCAGGGGAGACAAAATAACAAAGAATACAAAGGAATAAAGCATGCCTACTAGATCTACAAAAACCTCAAAAAGGCAAATCTAGTACTTACTGGCCTTAAAGAGGAGAGACAGAGAGAGAGAGAGATTAGGGTGGAGAGTTTATTTAAAAGGATAGTTACAGAGAACATCTCAAACCTAGAAAAAGTTATCAATACTCAAGTACAAGAAGGTTATAGAATACCAAACAGATTTAACCCAAATAAGACTACCTTAACACATTTAATAATCAAACTCCCAAAGGTCAAAGACAAAGAAAGAATCCCAATGCAGCAAAAGAAAAAAATAAACACATAACATACAATAGCACTCCAATACGTCTGGCAGCAGACTTCTCAGTGGAAACCTTACAGGACAGGAGAGTGGCATGACGTTTAAAGTGCTGAAGGAAAAAAATGTTACCCTAGAATAGTATATCTAGAGAAAATATCCTCTGAACATGAAGGAAAAATAAAGACTTTGCAGACAAACAAAAGCTGAGGGATTTCATCAATCTCAGACCTGTCCTATAAGAAATGCTAAAGGTAGTTCTTCAATCCAAAAGAAAATGACATTAACAAGCAATAAGAAAACATCTGAAATAAACAATCTCATAAACAATCTAATGAAGTATCTTAAAGAAGAAAAGCAAGAGCAAACCAGGCTGGGCACGATGGTGAGAGGTGACAGCGTGCTGGCAGTCCTCACAGCCCTCGCTCGCTCTCGGCGCCTCCTCTGCCTGGGCTCCCACTTTGGCGGCACTTGAGGAGCCCTTCAGCCCACCGCTGCACTGTGGGAGCCCCTTTCTGGGCTGGCCAAGGCCAGAGTCGTCTTCCTCAGCTTGCAGGTAGGTGTGGAGGGAGAGGCGCGAGCGGGAACCAGGGCTGCGTACAGTGCTTGCGGGCCAGCTGGAGTTCCGGGTGGGCATGGGCTTGGCGGGCCTGCACTCGGAGCAGACGGCCGGCCCTGCCAGCCCCGGGCAGTGAGCGACTTGGCACCCGGGCCAGCGGCTGCAGAGGGTGTACTGGGTCCCCCAGCAGTGCCAGCCCACCGGCGCTGTGCTCGATTTCTCGCCGGGCCTTAGCTGCCTTCCCGCGGGGCAGGGCTCGGGACCTGCAGCCTGCCATGCCTGAGCCTCCCACCCACTCCATGGGCTCCTGTGCGGCCCGAGCCTCCCCGACGAGCACCACCCCCCTGCTCCAAGGTGCCCAGTCCCATCAACCACCCAAGGGCTGAGGAGTGCGAGCACAGGGCGTGGGCTGGCAGGCAGCTCCACCTGCAGCCCCAGTGCAGGATCCACTAGGTGAAGCCAGCTGGGCTCCTGATCTGGTGGGGACGTGGAGAGTCTTTATGTCTAGCTCGGGATTGTAAACACACCAATCAGCACCCTGTGTTTAGCTCAAGGTTTGTAGTGCACCAATCGACACTCTGTATCTAGCTGCTCTGGTGGGGCCTCCGAGAACCTTTATGTCTAGCTCAGGGATTGTAAATACACCAATCGGCACTTTGTATCTAGCTCAAGGTTCGTAAACACACCAATCAGCACCCTGTGTTTAGCTCAAGGTTTGTGAGTGCGCCAATTGACACTCTGTATCTAGCTGCTCTGGTGGGGCCTTGGAGAACCTGTGTGTCAAAACTCTGTATCTAACTAATCTGTTGGGGACATGGAGAACCTTTGTATCTAGCTCAGGGATTGTAAACGCACCAATCAGCGCCCTGTCAAAAAAGGCCACTCGGCTCTACCAATCAGCAGGATGTGGGTGGGGCCAGATAAGAGAATAAAAGGAGGCTGCCCGAGCCAGCATTGGCAACCCGCTCGGGTCCCCTTCCACACTGTGAAAGCTTTGTTCTTTCGCTCTTTGCAATAAATCTTGCTACTGCTCACTCTTTGGGTCCACGCTGCTTTTATGAGCTGTAACGCTCACCAGGAAGATCTGCAGCTTCACTCCTGAGCCCAGCGAGACCACAAGCCCACCGGGAGGAACGAACAACTCCAGATGCTCTGCCTTAAGAGCTGTAACACTGACCACAAAGGTCTGCAGCTTCACTCCTGAGCCAGCGAGACCACGAACCCACCAGAAGGAAGAAACTCCGAACACATCTGAACATCAGAAGGAACAAACTCCAGACGCGCCACCTTAAGAGCTGTAACACTCACTGCGAGGGTCTGCGGCTTCATTCTTGAAGTCAGTGAGACCAAGAACCCACCAATTCCAGACACAACGGCTCACGCCTATAATCCCAGCACTTTGGGAGGCTGAGGTGGGTGGATCACCTGGCGGGTGGAACTCCTGACCTCAGGCCCTGAAACTACTAAAAGAAAACATTGGGGAAATTCTCCAGGACATTCACCTGCACAAAGATTTCTTGAGCAATACCTTAAAAGCACAGGTAACCAGAACAAAAATGAACAAATAGGATCACATCAAATTAAAATGCTTCTACACAGTAATGGAAACAATCAACAAAGTGAAGAGACAACCCACAGAATAGGAGAAAATATTTGCAAATGATCCATCTTACAAAGGATTAACCAGAAGATATAAGGAGCTCAAACAACTCAATAAGAAAAATTTGAATAATCTGATTACAAAATGGGCAAAATATCAGAATAGACATTTCTCAAAATAAGACATACAAATGACAAACAGGTATATGTAAAGGTGGTCAATATCATTCATTGATCAGAGAAATGCAAATCAAAACTACAATGAGATATCATCTCACTCTAGTTAAAATGACTAATATCCAAAAGACAGACAATAACAAATGCCACCAAAGATGTGGAGAAAAGGGTACCCTTGTACACTGTTGGTGGGAATGTGAATTACAACAACCACTGTAGAGAACAGTTTGGAGGTTCCTCAAAAAACTAAAAATAGAAATCCCATATGATCCAGTAATCCCACTGATAGGCATATACCCAAAAGAAAGCAAAACAGTATATCAAAGAGATACCTTCATTTCTATGATTATTGCAGTACTGTTCACAATACCCAAGATTTGAAAGCAACCTAAGTGTCCATCATCAGATGAATGAAGAAAATATGTATATGTACACATTTAAATTCTAACAGCAATATTTTGACAAAGGAATTGAACTAAACCAGTGAGTTTTCATGGAAAATAAGACAAATGTGGTATATTTGTGTTAAATAAGGCATGTTTTTTAAAACAGGATTTAAATTTTTCCTCTGTAGACTGTAGTACAAAGACCTATTTTCATATCCTATTTTCATGAATAATGCCATGAAGCCGAAACTACAACAAAGGTTAAGTCCAGTTGGTAACTGGTTCTCTAAGGACTGCAATCTTGTTTGCTAGAAAACAAAACAAAACAAAACACACACACACACACACACACACATAAAAACATCACTGAAAGGTTTTCTAAGCTCATCTGAGGGAACAGGCTGCCATCCTATAACTTTAGCAGTGAAATAAGTCATAGTTTACACCAGCAACAAAATCAGCCAAAGTACTTTCTCTCTAAATCATAGGTAAACATCACAGAAGGAGAAAAAGATGTTTAACAAATAACCAAACAAGGGTTATCTGCTACCCTTAGAAGCAAGTGTGTGCACATCGTGGGTGGAAAAGTAACAGCACGACAAGGCAGAGAGAACCAGATCCAGATTGCAGGGCAGATTTAAACATCATGTCTTTGTGGATAAGCAAAGGAAAAACTACCGAAGCCATTTTTTCATTATACATATAAATCACAGTAAAATGTGTCACAGGGAAGTTTCGCTTGATGATCTGATGCTTCAGCTATCTTCTGGAGGATACTCAATTTTAGATTGATGACAGTCATCAATTTGCCTCCAATTTGCTTTATACTGTTCTCCCCCTGTTTACTATTTGTTTTACTTTTCCTCCCTCTTGGTATTTTTTATAATCATCACATTAAGATTAAATAACAGAGCAAAAATCTTTCCTTCAAAAGCAACAGTAAACTGAGATTTATCACTGTCTTTCTTGGGTCCATTTGTATGAGCAGTTTTTCCGGATGTAATAGAAAGTGATCCGTTTACTTCTTTTCTGCATCACTTCTTTTTCCATTGATGGTAGACAACTAGATACAGACACATCCTATCTTTCTCTACTCTTCATTTCTCCATAGGAGATACCTACTGAGTAATGATATAGTGGCAGTTGTTTCTGTTTTTCATCATTCAAGATGTAACTATATAGAGATCTGGGCAATCGGAATAGGAGGAAGTCCAATTTTAGTCCTGAAAAATTGTAATAGACGCAATCTGCTGTGGGAGTGGTGGGAATTACACTCTCACGAACAGACTTACTATTGGCAAAACTATCAGGGCTAGAACAGCCGTTCCCCTCCAACCCCCAGCATATAAAAAAGTAAATGGAAAATATAAATAGCAAGGACTCTATTTATACCACCGCAAAATAAGGAGGGAAATCATGAAAATTGAGAGGCAGAGCTCACTGCTGTGATAAAGCCTTACATAAGGATGCAAGTAAATACGGTATTTGTGAAAGAAGAACAGAAAATCACAAAGCAGGAAAAGGCAATGTATAAAGGCATTATAAGAGGCAGAGATAGAAGGGGGAGAGAAGATGGAATTTCAGGACACAAAATTGCCATTCTCATTGGAGATAGCAAAAAGTAGCATTAACTCTTGGGGAAAATTGGGTCATTGATTTACAGAACAATCTTTAGAATCTTTCCCAGAAGTTATTTAAAATCAATAAAAATTGATTCGTAAACAATAAAGCAGAAAAGGATACATAAATAAATAAATAAAGGATGGAGGGCAAAGTATCACTCTCAGAATTATGGGATTCATAAGGAATCATCAAGAACAAAAGTAGCAATTAATAGCCCAAAGAAAGAAATATTTAACTAATAGAAATCATTTAATACAGGGCCCTACAAGTTCTTAACAAATTTAATGATAGCCCTTCCCAAAATTCTACCAACACTGTCAACTAAGTAATACAGGATAAGGGAGTGTTATACACTGAATTTTAAGGAAAACTTTTACAACTCATTAATCTTCCCACAGCCAAGTTGCTTTAATGTGTGAGGAAAACAGAAAGACTATTTTACATAAGAAAGGACTGGCAGCATATTATTCATTTACGCTTTTGTAAAAATTACCTGAAGCCTCACTCAAATGATAGAAAAAGAAAAACAAAGAAGTTAGGAAATAGAGAAATAAGAGTTGTAAATTGAGGTCTCAAAATCAAATGTCTTACTGGAGGAGGGCTAGTAATATAAATGTGTAAATTGGGCGAAGAATGGCAATAGAAAGTGGTGATATTTGTGGCAAACTGAAGAGTTCATGCCCCACCTAAAGGCACTGAAATGCAAATGCTGAAAATATATCTTACTTCTTACCGTATCTGTTGCCTCCACCTAGCCAGAGGCTGGCAGATCACTTGAGGTTAACAGTTCAAGACCAGCCTGGCCAACATGGTGAAACCCCATCTCTAATAAAAATACACACATACACAAAAATTAGCCGGGTGTGGTGGCACATACCTGTAGACCCAGCTACTCAGCAGGCTGAGGCAGGAGAATCATTTGAACCCAGGAGGCAGGGGTTGCAATGAGCTGAGATCATGCCACTGCACTCCAGTCTGGGTGACAGAGCAAAGCTCCATCTCAAAAAAATTAATAAATAAACAAAAATTAAATAAATTGTAATAAAAGATGATGGGCAGCACATTGTTGCAGTGGTTTCTGAGTCTGTCCCTCCCCATGCACGCCTATTCCAACATGCAGCAGGCAGCAGGCCACAGCCTTCACCATATGCTTCCTGTGGAATTTAGGAGCACCTTTGATGATGGATTATAATAATCACAAGATTTGTTCTGTTCCAGTGGTGCCAGCTAATAAAGCCCAACATTTATGTATAATTGGGATCCTGTGCCAAGAAAGTTAAATTTATCCAATAAAACATATTTCCCCTTTTGAAGCTATATAGAAAGACATTATTGCCAACTTCATTGCAAGGAAATTTTTCAAAACATATAAAATCAGTGACTCATTCATTCCTTAAACCTTTCATTAGTTGACTAAATCTTTCATGCTAACTGGGAAAAAGCAATAACAATCAAATGGAAGATCTCTCTGTCATGTAATTTTTATATCAAAGGCCTATGATTATACTTGCATTAACATGTTTAAAACTCTGTATTTATAGTTGAACTGTGTAAAAATTAATGGAAAAACAAAGACCAAGGCCTTGATCTGAGGGAGATGGGGGATTCCCTGGAGCTAAGGAAAGATCTTGATGACAGCTTTTTCCAACAGGGAAATAATAGTTGTATCATTCTCAATACCAGGCATATTATTCTCATTCGCTCCCTCTCTCTCTGCCCTTCCCAACAAGGTCTGAGACAGTTTCATAAAAGAAGGAAGAGCTATCTTGTCTTTTTGAGACAGGATCTTGCTGTGTCACCCAGGCTGGTGTGGAGTACAGTGGTGTATTCATGCTCACTGCAGCTTCAACCTCCTGGGCTTGAGCATTCCTAACACCTCAGCCTCCAAGTAGGTGGGACTACAAGTGTGCACCACCATACCTGGCAATTTTAAAAAATTTTTTTTGTAGAGATGGGGTCTCACTATGTTGCCCAGGCTGGTCTCAAACTTCTGGACTCAAATCATCCTCCTTCATTGGCCTCCAAAGTGCTAGGATTATAGGCATGAGCCACCACGCCCAGCAGGGCTATTCTTTATGAGCTCCAGGTTTACACATTTGTTCCTGGGGGAAAAATATCGTATTCTTTCACCCAACTCCCTACCTGGCGAGCATTCTTCTGAACCATGACTCTCAGATATTGACACCTGGAAAAATACAACTATTCATTAAACAAGTTTTGAATTCCTAATGTGGCAGGTGTCATGTTAGACACTGGAAACACAACTGTAAACAAGATAGATTTAGTTTACATCTTCACAAAATATTGAAGTAAAGGGAATACTTCTAAACATTTTATGAGGCCAACATTACCCTGATATAAAAGCTAGAAAACGACACTACAAGAAAAGAAAGTTACAGGCCAATATCCCTGATGAACACAGATGCAAAAATCCTCAACAAAATATCACCAAACCAAATTCCACAGCACATTAAAAAGATTATTCACCATGATTAAGTGCAATTTATCCTAGGGATGTGAACATAGTTCAACATAAAAACATGATCCACCATATTAGTGGAATGAAGGATAAAAACCGTATGATCATCTCAACAGATGCTGAAAAAGTACTTGAAAAAATTCAACATTCTCTTATGATAACAATTCTTAATAAATTAGATATAGAGAGAATGTCTCAAAACAAAAAAGGCTGTATATGGCAAGCTCACAGCTAACATTATCCTCAGCAGGGAAAAGTTGAAAGCTTTTCTTCTGAGATCAGGAACAAGACAATGATGCCCACTCTTCTCAGTTCTATTCAACAAAGTACTGGAAGTCCTAGGCAGAGCAATTAGGCAAGGGAAAGAAATAAAAGGCATCCAAGACAGAGATGAAAAAATTAAATCAGCCCTGTTTGCAGATGATACATTCTTAAACATTAAAAACTCTGAAGACTTCACCAGAAAACTGTTGGAACTAATAATTTGGTATAATTGCAAAGTACAAAATCAACATTCAAAAATCAGTAGAATTTCTATATGCTAACTATGAACTATCAGAAAAAGAAATCAAGAAAGCAATTCTGCTTACAATAGCTACAAAAAACTTAAAATACAATTACCTGCTGCACAATGAATTTGGTTAATGACAGAAAACATACAAGACAGTGGCCCTATAAGATTATAATCAAGCTGAAAAATTCCTATCATCTTAGCACAATGCATTTCTCATGTGTTTGTGGTGATTCTGGTGTAAAAAAACCTACTGTGCTGCCAGTCATCTAAAATATGTAACACATGCAATTATGTACAGCACATAATAGTTGATAATTATAAAAACAACTGTTATTTGGCTTATGGATTTACTATTTATCCAACTGGCTTGTGGATTTACTATACATTTTATCATTATTTTAGAGTGTACTCCTAACTATAATAGACAAGTTAACTGTAAAACAGCCTCAGGGGAGTCCTTCAGGAGGTCTTCCAGAAGAAGGCATTGTTATCATAGGAGATGACAGTTCCATGCGTGTGATTGCTCCCGAAAACTTTCCAGTGGGACAAGATGTGGAAGTGGAACACAGTGATATTGAAGATCCTGACCCTGTATATGCCTAGGCTAATATGTTTCCATCTTAGTTCTTAACAAAAACATTTAAAAAGTAAAAAAAGTAAATGAATAAATTCTAGAAAAAACCTTACAGAATAAGAATATAAGGAAAAATATTTTTATAGAGCTGTGCAATGCGTTTGTGGTCTAAGCTAAGTGTTATTACAGAAGAGTCAAAAATTTAAAAATAACAAAAATTTTATGAAGTAAAAAAGTTATAGTAAGATAAGGTTAATTCGTTATTAAAGAAAAATATTTATTTTTAATAAATATAGTGCAACCTATGTGTACAGTGATTATGAAGTCTACAGTAGTATGTCCTAGGCCTTCACATCCACTCACCACTCACTGACTTACCCAGAACAACTTCCAGTCTTGCAAGCCCCGTTCATGGTAAGTGCCCTAGGCAGGTGTATCACTTTTTAATCTTTTATACCATATTTTAATGTACCTTTTCTATGATTAGATATGTTTAGATACACAATCACTTAACACTGTGTTACAATTGCCCACAGTATTCAGTACAGGCATATGTTGTACAGGTTTGTGGCCTAGAAGCAATAGGCTATGCCACATAGCGAAGGTGTATGGTAGGCTATACCATCTAGGCTTCTGTAAGTATTCTCTGTGATGTTTGTACAAAGATGAAATTGTGTAATGACACATTTCTCAGAACATATCCCCATTGTTAAGCAACACACAACTGTTTTGGGGAAAAAATTTAACCAAGGAGGTTAAATATTTGTACACTGAAAAACTGTAAAACATTGATGAAAAAAATTGAAGACACAAATAAATGGAAGACACAAATAAATTGAAGACACAAATAAATCCATGAACATGGATTGGAAAAATTAATATTGTTAAAATGTCCATACTTTCCAAAGCAATCTCTATCAAAATGACATTTTTCACAGAAATATCCAAAAAAAATCTTAAGTTTTTTTTATGGAACCACAAAAGAACCCTGAATAACCAAAGAAATATTGAGCAAAAGGAACAAAGCTGGAGCCATCACATTACCTGACTTCAAAGCATACCACAGAGCTATAGTGATTAAAACAGCAAAGTACTATCACATAGAGTAATAGAACAGACACATACATCAATGGAACAGAATATAGAGCATAGAAATAAAACCACATATTTATAGTCAATTGAGGACAAAGATGTCAATAACACACAATGGGGAATGAACAGTATTTTCATACATAGTGTTGGAACAACTGGATATCCACATGCAGAAGGATAAAATTATATGCTTATCTCATGCCATATACAAAAATTGGCTCAAAATGGAAGACTTAACCTAATAAATCTTAAACATTTGAATGTATGACACAAGTTATAAACCACTAGAAGAAAACATAGAAAAAAAGCTCTGTGACATTGCTCCGGGCAATAACATTTTGGATATAAAGCCAAAAGCACAGGCAACAAAAACAAAAGAAGACAAATGGGATTATATCAAACTAAAAAGCTTCTGCACAGTAAGGGAACAATCAACAGAGTGAAGAGACAGTCTGTGAAATGGGAGAAGATATATGTAAATGCATTTGATAAGGGGTTAATATCTAAGATACACAAGGAACTCATATACCTCAGTAGTAACAAAAGAATGAAATTCTTAAAAACAGGTAAAGGATATGAATAGTTATCTCTCAAAAGGAGATACACATGGCTAACAGGTATATGAAAAATGTTCGGCATCACTAATTATCAGGAAAATGCAAACTAAAATCACAATGAGATATCACCACACACCTGTTATTTTGGTGATCAAAAAGATGAAAGATAACAAATGTTGGCAAGGATGTAGAAAACAGAAAACTCTTCCACTGTGTTGGAAGGAATGTAAATGAATACAGCTTTTATGGAAGACAATATGGAGGTTCCTCAAAAAATTAAAAATAGAACTATCACATGACCCAGCAATCCCACTACTGGGTCTGTATCCAAAGGAAATTAAATCACTATGTCAAAGAGATTTCTGCTCTTCCATGTTTACTGCAGCATTGTTCACAATAGCCAAAATATGAAATCTACCTAAGTACCCATGAACAAATGAATGGATTTTTTAAATGTGGTATATATATACAATGGAGTATTATTAAGCCTTAAAAACGAAGGAAATCTTGTGTTTGCAACAACATGGATGAACCTGGAAGACATTTATAGTAAGTGAAATAAGTGAGGTTTAGAAAAACAAATACTGCATGTCCTCATTCCTATGGGGAATCTTAAAAAATAAAAGCCACAGAGGTTGAGAGCATAATAATAGTGGTTTCCAGGGGTACGGGGTGGGGGCTCAGAAGATTTTGGTCAAAGGACACAAAATTTCAATTCAATAGAAAAAATAAATTCAAGAAATCTATTGTCCAATATGGTAACTATAGTTGATAACTATGTATTATATTCTTGAAAATTTCAAAATATTTTAAGAAGTTCTCACCACAAATATAAGTACACGAGGTGATGCAGATATTAATTAGCTTGATTTAACCATTCCACAATGTATACATATTTCAAAACAGCGTGATGTACACTATAAAAATATACAGTTTTATTTGTCAACTAAAAACAAGTCAAACAATACACACAAAAAATAAAAAACTTACAGTCTAGAGGAAAGACTGATAAGTAAAAGACTAAAAAGTGTGATTATAATACTATGAATATGTGCAATCTGTATCGTAATGCAGGATGCTACAGGACTCTTACGAAGACATCTAGCCCAATGAAGCAGGTATCAGGGGAGGCTTCTCATCCAACTGCACTATGGAAGATGAACAGAGGGGTAGGATTTGACGCTGCAGAGGGATGGAAGTTCATAGAGACCCAGCAGTTGGAGACAATGTAGCACAGCTATAGAGAGTTAAAAGCTGGAGGAATGGTGAGCCATGACGTTGGAAACTCTCGACGTGTATTAAGAACTCGAACTTCATTCTCTCAGATTAAATGAGGAAAGCTAGCAAAGAGTTTTAAGGAAGAATATAACATGATCACATTCACCTTTTAGAAAGAGTTCTACATTCATGGTGTAGAGAAAGTGGCAAGGTTGAACTCTGAGAAACGTGGTGGCTAGAATCTGGGTAAGAAGTCCTGTGGACAATGGGAAGTAGCTGTGAGAACAGTGGAGGATATAGAAATGGTCAGGAAGAAAACCCAACAGACTTGGTGGTTCTTCAGACAGTGTTGGATTTAGGTTGCAGTCAGAGCTGTCTCTGTCCTCCTGTTCCTCAGAGCTGAAGTCTTTGCTGATGGTCACCCAGGGAGCCCTTAGGTAGTTAATTTTAGTGGCCAGTTCTATTTTCACCATCAGTCTCTTCCCCAGAGACACACAGGATCTCTGCCACTGGCTCCTGTCTTACCATGCTCTCGTTTTTGTTAAATTCTTTCTTCCTTAGCACCAACTTAATGCCCTTCAAAAATCCATGTTTAAAATGTATGCTTTTTCTACAGAATGAAATACAGTTTACTCTGAACTTTCAGGAAATCATGGAAAAAGAGAGTTTGCACATTTTCTTTCCCAGAGGAAATCATATTAAAGTTAAAAAATAAGTTATTCATTGATCTATTCAATAAATATGTATTTATTTACTTTTATTATTTATTTATTTATCTTTAGAGATAGAATCTCACTCTGTTGCCCAGGCTATCCTTGAACTCTGAACTTCAAGTGATCCTCCTGCCTCAATCTCCCAAAATTCTGGGATTACAGGTGTGAGCTACCATATCTAGACTCAATAAATATTTATTAAGTGTCTTTTATGCGCCATGTACCATACATGATACTGGGGCACAGCAGTGAACAAAACACAGAGAGTCTGTGTCCATGGAGCTCGTTCTTCAGGGAGGAAACCGACTCTGTACATCACAAATACTATACGTACACACTGACTACATATACACACATACATATAGATAGATGTGTCAACATATATTAAGTCTGATGGTGATAAGAGGGAAGGCATTGTTACAGTGTGCCAGGGAAAAAGCCTCATTATGAAGACGACCTTTGAGCAAAGACCTAAAGAATATAAAAGAGGAAACACAGATATCTGGGAGAAAAGTAGTCTGCAAGCAGGATCAATAAGTGGTGCCTTGCCTGGCATGTATGAGACATGGCCAGTAGACTGTAATAGCTGGAGCAGAGTGAGCAAGAGGAAGAAGCTGGGAGATGCATTCATGACGCACCGGGCAAGGATGGGGTGGGAGGGAAGAAGATCATACAAACTTGCCTCCTCTTTTCATTGACTTGGGAAGCCACTGGAGTGTCTGTGTAGAGGCCTGATACCATTTGACTTGAGTATTAACAGGCTCATCCTCGTTTCTACTTAAAGAAAAGATTGTAGGAGGGTAAGGTAGAAGCAAAAAGACCAGTTAGCAAGCTTTTGCATCCAGAAGACGACGATGACTTGGGCTGGAGTTATGCAGTGGAGGTGGTGAGCAGTTGTCATGTTCTGGTTATGTTTTGATGAAATGTCTACAGATTTTGCTGAAAGAACCAGGGTGGGTGCCGGCGACGTCAAGGATGATTCCCAGGTTTGGTGCTGCAGTTTGCTTAGAGAAGTCTTAGACAAGCCTTTTAGACGAGTCTGCTGGGGCCATCCTCAATTCCTCCAAATACGCTTTCTCACCCTTTGACTGCTGGCTCTCCTGCTAGCCATTTTCTCCTTTTAAGATGAGGATATTTAATAATCACTCTCTTGATTCTCTACCCATCTTCTTCCAAAAATCAACCATCCAGTTTCCAAATGTGTAAAATGTGTGGGAAAATCAAGCTATTTTCAAAAGTGCTGTAAGTGATTACAACCTAAAAGGATAAATGTTGGTGTTTTGTCTACACAGCCTCTCTTTCTCCCTCCAGAACTAATTGTCAATGTAGACAGCAGAATGAGGATTAGCTGGGCTCCAGAAGAGTTCATCATGTTCTGTGGGAATAATCTAATTTACCCACATTTGTGAAAAGTACCTTTATTAGATTTGTCATATTGTGCCATTGAATTAAAGACCAACTAACATTTGACTCTCAGCAGAAAGCTATGGAGACTAAGCATCACTAGACTACCCAGGGGAAGCCACTAGGCAACCAAGACCACAGAGGACTTCCTCCAGCAAAAGGGCAATGACCCATTCCTTTGCATGAGGGATGTTGGGATGTTCTAATAAATGTATTTGGCCTGAAACCTTCTTCTCACATTCAAGGACAATTAGAAACATTTTAAAGAGAAGGTTGAAATAGCAGGAGGCAAAATAGTAAGTCATGTAAAAAAACAAACCATAAAAGATACCTGAATTAATGTACTTGAGAATGAGGAAGGCTTCTCCTTCTATTTGGCTAAAGTGAAATTGTTGCCCTTCTTGGCCATTCATTCAGCCAAAGCATAATCCTTAAACCAAGTAAAAGAGAGAATTGCATCATCTTGCCTTTGGGCACAAATCCCTTGAAACTCTGAGTAGATGCCTGAGGTGTTTAAGAATGTATCAAAACCTTCAGGTAAAGGAATAACACTCTGATTACAGGGTGTAGGCATCAACTAGTAAGGAAGACATGTTGGAGGATACCAATAAATGTTCAGGACATTTAACATTTTCCTTTGCCTTTACTCTGGTTGTGATGTTTTGCTCACGGCCACTGAACATTCATCGACCTTCCCACTGGCTTTGGTCAAAATATCCCCAATGATATTCTCTATCATTTCCTGAATCTTTCACTTAATGAAAAGATTTTCATCCCTGCTCTTTTTAAAAAAAAAATTGTGGCCTTATTATCAATTGGAATAGATACTCATCCTCTGACATTTTACGAGTTTAAGATTGTCATTAGTTATATAATTATCTTATGTATTTTAATTTATTTACATTACTATGACATGTGTTTTTGTCCTCCATGTAGAACTACAAACTCTTTATATCTAGGGATAATATCTAGTTGGTAAAATGCGCCAAAACTTTTAGGTAGTGTTATGCAGACGTCTATATTAATTGAGAACATTAATTATAAAAATTGTAAAAGCAAAAGCGGAATGAGTTTCCAAGTGTAAAATTATGATTCAGATTTAGTTTCTATAAATGGAATCATACCAATACAGCAATATTTTGTTTCAACTAAAATCTCTTAAGTAACAAACATTTAAAATTAGCTATAATTATTTAAGCAGTCAAAACAAACAGGGAAGCCAAAAATTCCATATCAGGATGTTATGAATTTACCCATTCTGACATTACTATACAGGAGCTGTATTTAAAATTACCTCTAAGAAATTCATGATGCAATTTCAAAATGGAAAATAAAAAAAGACTACCACATTTTGTCAACAGCACTCTAAAGAGGTCCTGATGCAGATACCTGTGAATTATTGTGAAATTCTATTATCTCATAGAAGGGGCTTAAGGAAAAAAAAAAAAAAAACAGTGTACTTCAGTTGGCATTTGCAAAGCTCTCTAACACAACTATTCCTTAGCATTATAAAAAAAACTCTAAGCCATGTCTTCTCTTGTTAGCTTGTATTCATTACAGAAGAGAAAGCAGTGATAACATAATATAGAACTGGCATTCTCCAAATGACTTTAATCCATCTTCCCAAAGACTAGTTCTCATTAATTTCAATAACCAGAGTCACAACCAGAAAATCAACAACCACAACAAAAATGGATAAACAAGTGACTTAAATGATGTGTTCTGAACCCTGTAAAATGCAAAACTGAAAGATACAAAACATGAAAATGGGGCCAACACTCGGCATGAAAATAGACGCGTACATTCCCATGCCTTGACAAAGTATAATATTCCAAACTCAAATTAATGGGTCATCTCTAAAGAGTACTTTGGGGCCGGGCGCGGTGGCTCACGCCTGTAATCCCAGCACTTTGGGAGGCCGAGGCGGGCGGATCACGAGGTCAGGAGATCGAGACCATCCCGGCTAAAACGGTGAAACCCCGTCTCTACTAAAAATACAAAAAAAAAATTAGCCGGGCGTAGTGGCGGGCGCCTGTAGTCCCAGCTACTTGGGAGGCTGAGGCAGGAGAATGGCGTGAACCCGGGAGGCGGAGCTTGCAGTGAGCCGAGATCCCGCCACTGCACTCCAGCCTGGGAGACAGAGTGAGACTCCGTCTCAAAAAAAAGAAAAAAAGAGTACTTTGGTAACTCATTTAATAATTTGAATGAACCAATTTTTCTACACAATCACTTGCTTTGGTTCTTTCATCCAGCTTCCACAACCATCCGTCTAACAAAGCCAAGAAACCTGGAGTGTTCCTTGATATCTTTCTATCTCTCCACTTCACAACTAATTCCTCAGCACATTTTGTCTACTCTACCTTCAAATATTTTAGAGCTACTTACATGACCACCATTGCTATCACCTTGGTCCAAGCTTCCGTCATCTTTTATCTGGATGGCTGCAAAAGCTTCATGGTCTCTCTGTTCCATCCTTGTTTTCCTTCAGCCTATTGTCAACTCTGCAGCCTTTCAAAATCTGAGGATTGAACTCTGACCGTTTTTTTTCTTCTTGCCCAGATTTCTTTCTAAGAGGGCTGGGGAATTATGTCTTACAAACCATAGTATCTCATTAAGTGTTGGGTTTTTTTTTAAAATTAACCCAATATAACTTGGCTTACTTTCCAACCTGACTCTGGTATAGCATTAAATGACAGATAGTAGACCCCCTTACCTTAAACATTCCTTTCTACTGATGTCTCAAGTCTTTAGACAAAGCTTAGCTCTGACAACCAACTGCCAACGAAAGAAGCTCTAAAACCCACTGACAACTTGTAAGGCCGTGCTTCAACATGCTTTGCCTATTCAGGCTGAACCAATGTATACCTTTCATGTATCGATTTATGATTTTACCTGCATTTGCAATCTCCCTAGAATGTATAAAACTAAACTGTAAGCCAACTGCCGCGGGCACACTTTCTTGTGCTCTCTTGAAACTGTTTCCACAGGTCACAGTCACTCATTGACTCAGAATAAACTTCTTTAAATATTTTGGCAGAATTTGGAGTTTTCATTATTAAATCTAAGGCAATTGGTCATTTATTTCTTCAAAATTATGAAACTGAAGAAATAGTGTCCCATTTTGCTTAAAGTAAAAGCCAAAATCTCTATATCCTTGAAGGCCCTATAAGATTAGTCTCTCTTAATCTCCGAGTTCATCTCCTAATTCTCTACTTTTCTCTCTTGTAACTGGCCTTTTTTTTTCTCATAAATTATATCTCATCTGAAGCCTTTGCTCAAGGCACCTCTCATCCTGGAATGTGCTTTTCTCATATTCAGAAGGTGAAGTCCCTCATAATTGCTAAATGTTTACTTAATCCTATCTTCCTACTGAGGCTTGCCCTATTTAAAATGGAACTTCCCACACATTTCCTAACCTCTAACTCTGTTTCTTTATTTTTCTTTTGCACTCATGATTTTTTAACATACTCTATTGTAATTATTCTTGCCCTACTAGAATATCAACTCCATTTTGGTAAGATGTTTTGGTCTATTTTGGGTCACAGTCATATGCCCCAGCACAAAAAACTAGTTACTGGTAAATATTTGTTCAAAGAAATTCAATGAATAACAGAATAAATTACTATTCTTTCTTTCATTTAGCTTCCTTACTAACAAGACATTTTTTATTCCATACTTTCTTTTCCTTTTATAATAGAGATTCAGGGAGAAACCTTGTGTGAACTACTCATTAAAATGATTAGCGTTATCTGCTAATCATTTCAGGACAGAGCACACAATTAAGGTCGGTTCTGGCATGGAGAAATAAATACTATTATAACACTAATACAAATTATACATTGTCAAAGGAAGCAAGTTGTTGAGGCAATCACAGAAGGAAAAGAATAAAAACCCCAGCAACAGGACGACTTTAAAGATGTATTTCCAGATAACTTGTATTCCCTCATGATCAGCACAAGCGAAATGCACTGATGGAGCAGAGCCTCCTTGTCCAGGTGTGAATTTTCTCATAAACGTGGTAGATGGAGTGCTTTGTTAAGTGAAATAATTGTGATACTCCTTACTACAAAAAGCAAAACTGTCAGAAATGGCTCCCCAAACCCTTATTAATACTGATTTTCAATGCCTCCTACTATCACAAGTTTTGGACTTTATTCTTTAAGTGAAAAGTTCCCCCACAACTCCCAGCAGTTATCATTTGACTGTCCCTGAAATTATCTTAGGAAATATCATTGACCAAATTTGAAACAGAGCAAAGTTAAACAACGGACATTAACAAGGAGTATAATTGGCCTTAGCATTTACCACCTTTCCTCTGCCCCCTTTGTGCAATACACGCTCTACATACTTTTTTGATCAGTAAAATTCACTTCTATTTAGACTAAAGCTAAGTTTTTCTCTTTCTCTTTCCTTTTTTCCCCCACCTCCTATGTGTATGTGCTGGTGGGGGAGGGGGAGGAAGGAAGAGCTGAGCTACAAAATTAATCAGCTCCAGGTATGTGCCAGGCATTGTACTTAATCCAAGTTCATTGAATCTGAAAACAATCCTAAAATGAAGATTCCCTCACCCCAAATCCCTCAACTGGTAAATGCTAGAGAAATAACTTGGTCTAAGTTTAGCAATTTAAATTTTTATATTATTTTTCTAAATCAATTTATTGTCCCTGTTATAAACAATGGGAGTGATGTCAAACAATTTTCTGGTTAATTATTAAGAGAATAAACAGTGGAATAAACAGTGAGTAAGGCAATATTTAACAATGGAAGACATAGGCCATTTCCTAATTTGATTTCCAGAACAATAAAACTGATTTCACTAATTTCTCTGACAATGTATTATCCTGGGGAGTTAATAACTTATTTTTATTAAGGTGAGAATAAATGTACTCAGGTACACAGGTGGCAGAAAAAGCTCATATATCCAATTACCTGCATAATGAAACCAATCACTTAACTTCTTCTTTGGCTGTTGGAAAGTCAGAGGTGCTAAAACCAAATTTTCTCAGTCCCTTAAGATGGACTGAAAATCCTCAAGCAAAAATCACTCTACCTTATATATGGAGGAAAATCTGAAGACAAAGGAATAAGGCATCTTAAGTTCTACTCCAGGAAGTTTGTTTAAGTTGCTGTCTTGAAAACCAAGCCTCTGATATTTTCTTAGCTGTATTAAATTGTAGCTAAAAATAAATGGCTATTTAGCATGTGTTTACTATCCAAGGTCCATAGAGCAAGCAAAAGGGCAGGCTACTGCTTTTAAAACCCATGTAGGGATTAATTAACAGAAGGGCACTAGCTAGCAAGTTATGCTAAATGACAAGTCTTGATTAAAAGCTAAAAACAATGCTTATTTCAAACCTAACTTCCTGGTCTATAGTTACTCTCAACTTTAAATGCAATTTGCTAATTTCAACTCCAAATACATATATATGCCCTTGGGGTTAAGAAGTGCTTCGGTCATGCCTGTAATCCCAGCACTTTTGGAGGCCGAGGCGGGTGGATCACAAGGTCAGGAGATAGAGACCATCCTGGCTAACCAGGATAGAGACGGTGAAACCCCGTCTCTACTAAAAATACAAAATATTAGCCGGGCGTGGTGGCGGGCGCATGTAGTCCCAGCTACTCGGGAGGCTGAGGCAGGAGACTGGCGTGAACCCGGGAGGCGGAGCTTGCAGTGAGCCGAGATCGAGCCACTGCACTCCATCCTGGGCGACAGAGAGAGACTCCGTCTCAAAAAAAAAGAAGTGCTTCCGACCTTATTTTATCAAAGCCTTTCATTTTCCAAATGAGAATTTAAGGTATTTTCTCAAGAAAATTTTTATGAAACAACAAAAAACCCGATGTTTTTAATCTCAGAATCTGAAGATCACCTATGCTAGAACCGCTATACAGTAGACAAAGAATTAGTTTTTTCTTTCCTCATATTCTGTATTTCAGGCCCAAATAATCTACCCAATTTAGAAGGGGAAAGATGTTCATTTTTCTTAATGTGTGATGGAATTTCAATATGTACAATCATAACTTCTTTGAAGATGGGCTGGCACACATAGAACTGTGCATTAGGCTTTTAAAACTTTCCAGGATTACGTAGAGTGAGTAAAGGCGATTGACACAGGAGGCAGTCTGATGATGTGGAGTGAATTGGGAATCACAGCATTCCCCACAAACTGCTCAGCTGATCTTTCTGTATTACCTGGAAGCTCCTCTATGAGCCTGGCTTGTAGCATTTGAGGTCAAGAAACCAGTCATTAGGACGTAAATTTGTCATTTGTCAGAGGAACACAGAGATCCAAAAATAATCCTGCCATAATGTAGTTCATTAGATTAGCTGGTTTGGGAAATAGGTCACAGGACTGATATAAGTTGATGGGACTGGGGTTAGGAAAGGTCTTTGTGTAATTCGCAAAATTATATACTTTGATGATCCCTAAAGTGTGAAGATCTATGCAACCTGAAGTAGCAGGCAGACTGAAGTCAAGTCAGTGAAGCATCAGGGAAGGAAGAAAAGAGAAGAGCTGCTACAATTTAAGGGTTTCCTAGCAATGGGACCTGGGGCAAGATTCCTCATGTGTACCTTGCCCAGAAATAGTAAAAAATAGACTGTAATTTCTTTTTTTTTTTTTTTTTTTTTTGAGACAGATTCTTGCTCTGTCACCCAGGCTGGAGTGTAGTGGCGTGATCTCGGCTCATTGCAAGCTCTGCCTCTCTGGTTCCCGTCATTCTCCTGCCTCAGCCTCCCTAGTAGCTGGGACTACAGGCACCTGCCACCATGCCTGGCTTTTTTTTTTTTTTTTTTTTTTGTATTTTTAGTAGAGTCGGGATTTCACTGTGTTAGCCAGGATGGTCTCGATCTCCTGACCTCGTGATCTATCCACCTCGGCCTCCCAAAGTGCTGGGATTACAGGCGTGAGCCACCGCGCCCAGCCCAGACTGTAATTCTTAACACAGAGCCTAGCACAAAGCAGGTGACATGCAAAAATAGTATTAGATGTTGTCTAAATTAGCTTTACCAACTCTGTGCCTTCTCTGTGTCAGATAATACACTTTTTACATTTCAACTCATTTAATACAACAACCATCTTACAGTTAGGAAATGAAAATTCCAGAAATAAGTATAGAAGATGATATGTATGCAGATGTTTGCCTGATTGTAAAGCTCATGGCTTTTCTACTTCTCTATATGTATGTAAAAATAATTTTGAGAATGACTTATGGTGGTTACTTAACTTTGCATCAGTTCTGTCATTTAATATTCATATCTATCTTATGAATTTGAAATTATTATCTTATGTAACAGGAACTACAACCAGAAAGGTTAAGTGCCAAAATCATACTTTTTAGTAAGTGGGTTAGTTTCCTGTTCGGGTTCGTTTCTCTATGATACACAATTGAGACATAGGTACTCAACTGTCAACCTGCAATCAGTCAGAGACTAAGTTGCTCCTGAAATTTTGTCACTTTAGAAATGCTGTAGTTTAATGAAGGCCACTTTAAAAACAATCACTGCCAAGTTGGGAAAAGTAATAAAAATGGTAACTGTGCTAAGCAGAGAGAATTACTTATTTTATATTAATGAAAATGAATCTTAAAGTGTGGCACACATCACATGTAACATGTATTTTTTAAAAGTTCATGTTACAATGTACCATTTGCATAACTTAGAAATTTAATGTAATTAAGTACACCAAATGCAGTGTTATTTTATTCATCAAGATATGGAGTAATATTTAGGTCAAAAATACCACATTTTCAAGCTTTATGGTAAAAGATACTTCACTGCAATATTTTCTAACTGAGAAATCAAAGTCAATCCATAAGGTATTTGACATATACAATTGAAATATACAAATATGTATTAAACTGGAAAAATATATAGATTTAAAATTCTATAATCTAACATTTAGACATATATATCTAATCTAATAATTTTTCAAATTTGGGTACTTTATATTAAATTAAAAGAGACACATGTTTGTGTCATACAAACTCATATCATAGCAAATATTATAGAAAATGCTTGCCGTAGGTCAGATACAAAGATGAGTACATTATACATAAAGTTCTTCATCTAATCCTGAAAGTTACCGTATAAAGTAGGTACATTCTTGATCCACATATTGTAGCTTAGGAAACTAAAACACCTAACCAGAATTTGGAGCCAAGCTGTCAAGATTTCAAAGATTGTGCTTCTGTAAAAGGAAAGTCAAATCCTTTCTGGTTCAACTTTACCTGTTGAAAATACTTCTAAAACCCAGTTTTCTGCCATCATAGATACAGAATTCAGAATACAATCTTAATTTCCCACTGGAATGTTCCAGAGTGTAGGGAAAACTAAGAACCAAGGTAATCTATTTTAAATATTTGTTTGCATTCATTTGAGTCTAGCGTATATTTTATGATCACAACACAGCCAGACTGTGTTCTGTTACCAATTGTTTCCATTCTCTGAGGTCAAGGAGAAATTGTTTAGCTCCTATGTAAAAAGGGTAGAAAATGTCTAGAAATGTATTACATTCTATCCAGAAGAGGGCACTGGCAGGTATTCAACCCAATATCTGATATTTCAAACAGAGGGAAGCAAAGCTCCAATGTAACAAGTATCTTTTCAGTAAGATGGGCTTCCATTCATGCCCTGCAGTGTGACTATAAGAAGCACTAATATACCTGGATAAAATCATGTTTTGGAAACTGATGCTAGTATTTTTAGCAGTTAGCTAATTTTAACAGCTGGCATAAGATTGCACTTTTAGTTGATATTACTGCCTAAACGTTCCACATTTTTCCTAAGTTTTACTTTCAAGGAAGTTTACATTATTTAGCATTCAGTTATGAAAGTTCTGTCAACCATTACACAATGTACGTAAGGGGGCTATGAATCAAATGTGCCTCATGATATTGACTTTTTGAGCACAATTCTGTTTCATCAAAACTTACAAGACATAGAAATTGAAAAGAATCATGGTTTTGATGTCTGATTTCCTGAGTGGCTGAGACAAGTGGTTTATCAATCATATAATTTCTGCAGATCATTTTAATTAGTTTTCTCTTACAAGCAGTTCTTTTCTGCACTGTGTAGCTATGAAAGTACTCTTTATTTTGTGTCCAAGGTTTATACTTAGAAACTCTCTGGGAACAACTGTCATTGTCAGGCCTTGTCTTTGTTATTCTTGTGTTGTGAAATTCCATTTGCCATATCTGAAGCTTAAATGGCAACAGACCCTGTTGAATAATTGTCTTCTAGTGTTAGATGATTAGCTTTATATGTGCAAAATGGCTTTTTAGAAAAACTACCTAGATAAAAAGGTCAAAATCAAAATGGACCAATTTGAAAATTATCATTGCAACAAAAATTTGTTGTGGACACATACTCATTGAATATATACAACGTATATTTACTGAGACTATAATATGTGTCAGCCATTTCTATTACAGGCTTATTGAATTTTTCAAGTAATCGATGGCAATTAATTTGTCACATAATTGTACTACTTGCAAAAATAATCTCCTAAAATTAATGACTTTGTCTCCTGTGCTACTATTCGAAGGCAGAGTGGAAATGGCTTTTAGGTTATAGAAAAGAGGCAGAGTGAGTTCTCTCACTAGCTGTGTCTTAGGTAAGTTCCAGGTCTCTGCAGTCAATCGCCATATCTATAAAATGAAGATGATATTACTACCTGGAAATGTTGTGTTTACAACCTTTATCAGAGTAGTTTACTGCTGTAGAAGCTCGACCACTGGTAACCATTGTGTTTAAGTTTAATTTTCACTAAAAGCCCAGGCTCTGACTGTAATGGTCACTCAGAGTTGTGCCACTGAAAGGGCACAGATGGCAGTGGTCAAGTAGGCCACGTCCTCTGCGTGCCTTTTTCGCTTTCAGAAGTAGGGCTACGAAGCTGAGGACAGCCAGAATGACTGCTGAGATTCACATTTCCATTAATGCCTGTCCATTCCAAAAAAAGATCAGTGTATGCCAACGGCGAGATGCCTTCCTCAATGAAGTCAGAATCTAACAGCGATGAGATCCTTTGTGTTTACAAGCCTTGAAGCTGAGATCAGATGGCATTGCCATTGAGTCGGCTAGGAGCCAGTAGTCTAAAGTCTAAGTATATATTATACTGTCTGAATCAACTTAGTGGCTCTCAGTTCTATCATATTTGAAACTCATTTTTATAATAAATATTTGTTAATGTCTCTTTTGCTATTCCAAAATGAAATTGCTAACTCCCTCTAAGAATAATCTTAAATCAATGTAATATGTTAATAGTGACATAAAAGACAATAGTAAGAGATTAACACATACAAATAGAGTACTAATAGTATAATATGCAAATGCTTAGGTACAATTATACCAGATGATGTGGTTATAATGGGTAACTCTGGATTTAGGAAGTGTAAAACAATAGCCAAATGTGCCAGTTATTTACTCTTTGTCTCTCGGTTCTAAACTTGCACTTCTATGCTCTGCTTTATGCTGCTGGGGCTGAGACCCTGCAAACTACATTCTGCTTGCCAAGATTCTCTCTGTTAGGATCTGCCACTAGGAGCACCAGAGACTTCAAAGCTGGATGAGGTGGAAGAAACTTGCCCCTTCCTGTGTCCCTCTAGGGGAGCTCCTTGGCTGCTTGTGGATCTTGTGAGCATCACTCTACGATGCTTCAGTCACCCCCCACCAACAGCAGAGCCTCCTTGTGGCAGCAGCTGAATACAGTTTGCAATTTTGTTCAACACTTGGAGAACCAGGTTAATTGTCTCCTTCTTCCCTCAAATACCAGCCGGCCATTGGTCCTCCTCAGAGGTCTGGATTCCAGCTTCATGAGTCTTTCCTCTGAGCTCAGAGATACTAGCACCAGCCGAGCCACGCCTTGCTTACAGGTCTGAGTTTGAGTTTCACTAGACCTTCCCTCGAAGTTTTTTGTTTTCCTTTTTTTCCCCACAATTCTGGGGGTGGGAAGCAGCTGCTTCCTGAAGTTGCTACTTCCACAATACCTTAGAGTTTCTTTTTCTACCCTTTAAGTTACCAGCTGACAACTTTTTACTAATTAAGAAGTGTTTGTATTAAATCTTCTCTGTTCAAATAGCTGGTATCATTTCTGCCTCCAGAGTGGACTCTGACCACTACCTCTACTGAATATTGTCAACATTATTTCTTTCCTGAGATGAACATTTTATTGGACATTTGAAATAAGGCCTGGTGATAAGTTTATATATATGCATAAAATCATAATAAATGCAACAGCTACTGGTACTGACTGATGTGGGGATGACACATTGGTGGCTGGGAAGCCACTAGCAGCATTGCCATTGCTAGGTTCAAAAATGATGAACAACTCTTGATCTCTTGATGATGTACTAGACAGAAACTACAATCTGCCCTGATTTGTAGTGCAGTTCCATTCCTGGGAAAGTTAGCACACACTAAAATGGGGGAAAATACACTTTGTGTTTTTATGTAAAATATAGCCATGCCATACAAGATATGAAAATATTCATTGTTCAGGACAGTCTTATGCATTGCTGTTTGTCTAAAAACTCTCACTCTTACCCACTAAGTGCCATTGCACTTATCCCAATTACGGGTGACCAAAACTGTGCCCACATCATGTCTTAGAGTAATGTCATATCTGTTCAGAATAAAATAAGGCAGAGGCAGAAGAGGCCATTTCCTTTATGAATTTAGTTGAGGATAAGTCATCCCATGGGTCTTCCACACTGAAAGGGCATCTCCTCATGCTTCTTTCCACTTGGCAAAAGTCTCAAAGTCTAAGTTATAATGAAGATAGTTTTTATGAAAAGGATAATATCCTAAAAGAAATTCTTAGCCCCTATAAACACATTTTACAATCAATATATGTTAATTTTAACATGAAAGAAATAAAACTAGTACAGGTAATAACAATAGTAATATTTGTGCATAATCATATTATAATACATAAATGCCTAGGCACAACTACATTAGATACACAGGGTGAACACAATTATCAGTCTAGTTACCCTGGAGCACCCTAACACAAGACACCAGAGCGGCCTTTAAGGTTTGAGAAGAAAAGGGAAAAAGACAGAAAATGATTCTAAAAATCAATAAAAATGTTATACAGCAAAGGTTTTATGAAGAAGAAGGCAGCATGAAGCATAAGGTTAGGATTAGAGGGCCCTCAAGATTAAGCTGAAGTTAGGGGAGAAAGTACACATGCGTGGTTGATATACATGTGTATTTTTATTCGGGAAACCTGTTGGTGTGGACACATATATATACAGACAACCCTTGAACAACACGGTTTGAACTGTACACATCTATTTCTATGTAGAATGTTTTCAATAAATGTATTAGAAAAATTTGTGGAGATTTGTGAAAATTTGCAAAAACATGCAGAGAAACCATGTGGCTTAGAAATATATTAAAAAAAATTCTTAGGTGTGCCATGAATACATAAAATATATGTCAATACAAGCCTATTTGATGATTTGCTACCATAAAATTTACACAAATCTATTGTAAAAAGGTAAATTGTATCAAAATTTATGTATATACTTACTGACCAAACATGGCATCACTGCAGTTGAGAGAATTATAAACACACATAAAGATGCAGTATTAAATTATAACTGCACAAAATTAACTGTAGCACATACTATACTACTATAATTTCATAGCCACCTCCTGTTGCTATTGTAGTGAGCTCAAGTGTCAAAAGTATCCACTTAAAATGCCATGTAATGCTAATCATCTCTGCATGAGCAGGTCATAACCCTGGTAAATTACATATCACAATAAAAAGTGATCTCTCATGTTTCTGGTGTATTTTTTTAAACATGTTTTAATGCAATAGCATAAACCTTGAATAACATATGAGACCCATACAAACTGCCACTAGTGATGCTGGAAATGCTCTTAAGAAGCAGAGAAAAGTCATGACATTACAAGAAACAGTTAAATTGCTTGGTATGTATTACAGATTGAGGTCTGCAGCTGTGGTTTCATTTCAAGATAAATGAATCCTGTGTAAGGATCATTGTTTAAAAAAAAAAAAAAAGGAAGGAGAGAGGAGAGGAGATAAGACTCATGAAGCCACTGCTGCAGCTATGCCAGCAGGCATGAACATCTTGGACTTTTTGCAAAATACCTTTTTATCTTGAATTGAAAATGCAGCTTTTATGTAGATACAGAATTGCTATAAGAAAGGCATATCTATAAACTCTAATATGATTCAAGAAAAAGCAAAGTCATGGTATGACAACTTAATAAAGGAAGGTGAAGGATCTAAAGCTAAAAAAGGAAGGAGAGGAGAGGAGAGAAGACTCATGAAGCCACTGCTGCAGCTATGCCAGCAGGCATGAACATCTTGGACTTTTTGCAAAATACCTTTTTATCTTGAATTGAAAATGCAGCTTTTATGTAGATACAGAATTGCTATAAGAAAGGCATATTTATAAACTCTAATATGATTCAAGAAAAAGCAAAGTCATGGTATGACAACTTAATAAAGGAAGGTGAAGGATCTAAAGCTGAAGAACTTAATACCAGCAAAGGATGGTTTGATAATTTTAGGAAGAGATTTGTTTTAAAAATATGAAGATAACAAGAGAAGCTGTATCTGCCAAACAAGAAGCAGCAGATGATTTCCCAGACACCATTAAGAAAATCACTGAGAAAAAATGGGTATCTACCTGAACAGGTTTTTAATGCAGACAAAAGTGCTCTATTCTGGAGGGGGCAGGGAATCCACAAAGGACATTTCTTAGTAATGAAGATAAGCAAGCACTAGGATACAAGGAAGGAAGGGATAGGTTACCCCTACTGTTTTGCACAAATGCAATTGGATTTATGATTAGGACTGCCCTTTTTATACAGCTGCTAACTCCCAAGCCTTGAAGGGAAAAGGTAAACAGCAGCTGCCAGTCTTTTGGCTGTACAAGAAGAAGAGCTGGACAATGAGAACCCTTTTTCTGGATTGATTCCATCAGTGACTTTGTCCCTGAAGTCAGGAAGTACCTCATCAATAAGGGACTGCCTTTTTAAAGTTCTTTTAATACCGGACAATGCTCCGGCCACCTAGAACCCCATAGTTCAACAATGAACACATTGAAGCAGTCTACTCACCCCCAAACACAATGTCCCTAATTCAGCCTTTAAGTCAGGGGGTCCTAAGGATTTTTCAGACTCATTATGCATGGTACTTTATGGAAGGGGTTATCAACACTATGGAAGAGAGCTCAAATAGAGAAACATCATGAAAGCCTGGAAGGATCATACCATTGGAGATACCGTCATTGTTATAGAAAATGCCCTGAAAGCCATCGATCCAGAAACCATAAATTCCTGCCGGAGGAAACTGTGTCCAGATGTTGTGCATAACTTCACAGGAATTATGACAGAATCTATCAAGGAAATTATTTAAAATATTGTGGATATTGGGGAAAAAAAGTCAGGATGAAGGGTTTCTGAAATGGATCTTGGAAAAATTCAAGAGCTAATGGACCGCCAGAGTAGAGAAATTAACAGAAGATGACTTGATGGAGACGACTGCTTCTGAATCCGTGCCAGACAGTCATCAGTTTGGCAGAAGGGTTCCAATTATCCGAGATTCCTTTTGACTTCTTTTACGACATAGGCCCCTCTATGAGACAGGAGGCCCATGAAAACAAAGCAAATGGTGAAAGAAGGATTGGTACTTACAGAAACATTTTTAGAGAAATGAAAAAGCAAAAAGTTATACAGAAATTACAATGTATTTTCATAAAGTTGCACTAAATGTGCCTGCCTCTCCTGCCTTCTTTTCCACTTCTTCCACCTCTCCATCTCTGTCACCTATAAGACAGCAAGACCAGCCCCTCCTCATTCTCCTCCCCCTTAGCCTACTCAATGTGAAGACACCAGGATGAAGACCTTTATGATGATCCACTTCCACTTAATGAAGAGCAAGTATGTTTTCTATTCTTATAATTTTCTTAATAGCATTTTCTTTTCTCTATCTTACCTTACAGTAAGACTACAGTATACAAAACATATACAAAATATGAGTTAATCAACTGTTGATATTAACAGTAAGCCTTCTCAATCAACAGTTAGTAGTTAAGGTTTTGGAGAGTCAAAAGTTATATATGAATTTTCTACTGTGAGTGGGTCAGCACCCCAAACCTTCATGTTGTTCATCAATCAACTGTACATATTTAAATACAATTTGTGTGTGTGTGTGTGTGTGTGTGTATATATATATATATAATATATTTCTTTATTTGACATAAAGAGGACATTGTTTTGTATCTTATTCAAAGTTATTAGAGTTGGGATACATTGCCTTATATATACAGTATATCAAAGAAAAGTTATTAGGTTAAAATAGAAATAATGACCTTTTAGCAAAGGTCACTCAATAAATATCTGTACAATTAGGAATGAACAATAAGTTATAGAGTGAGGAGAGTGAACTAAAAAGAAACAAAATTATAAATGCTGATGATGCTGATGTCCAGATGATGAGCAGAATTAACTAGTGGTGAAGCTCTAATCTCATTTACTCATTAGAATTGAGGACTAGTCCTCCTTGAAAAATGGTGACCAATGTCCTGGTATGCCAAGGACAGTCTGACTTATGCCTGTTGTCCTGGTCTTTATTAATACTTTACTCTTTAATTAAAAAAAAAACACACCACTAATTTGGATAATGGTTAAGAAAACTTAGGAAAACTGATAAGAACAAGTAACATTCACTGAAAACTTAATATGCGCTATGATGATATTTTCATGTTTTTATATGTGATTGTATTTACTTATTGTAACAACCAAGAAAGGCGATTATATTTACCCTGTTTTACATCTTAGGATTCCCAGAGACTCAGAGAGGGTACTTGAATTTTTCAAGCACGTGCAGTTTCCAACTGTCAGAGGCAGGATTTCAACCCACAGCTATCAGATTTCAAGCTGCCATTAAACATGCCTGGGATATCCCTTCTGAGAGGAGAGTAGGCACAAAATACAACTAACCAGGAAACAGATTCCTTATGCAGTCAGGAAGAAAAAGAAACTGGGCCATATATAAGCTAGGACCTTGCTTGAACAATGGGAAATTTAAAAAATAAGAAGAAGAAATTATCCACAAGACATGTTTTCAGCCAGACTAATTTATGACCACTGTCAGCCACTGTAATTGCCTATTTGTACATAGTCTGTACTCATATAAATTCCCATACTTGCAATGAAATAACTGTCTGCTTCAGGCAAATGACTGGAGGACTTTTTTTTTTTTTTAAGCACTGTAGTGTGGGGTCATAAGAAAACACAAAAACAAAAACCTATATTCTTGAAAAAATCCCTCCCAGGTAGAACTAAAAAATCCTAGGTGGTTATCACAAGATGCCTAAGACAAACTTTCATCACTTCACAATTTTGACTATGTTAAAACTCTAATTGGTTAGCATGTTGCTTTCAAAATATATTCATGTGCCTCCTATTCTAAAATGACTTAAGGCTTTTAGAGCAGAAAGATCCAGAATTCAACATTTTCCCAAATTTCCAGAAAGGGCAGTACTTATAAAAGCATTTGGTCAGAGACAGCGTTAGAAATATACTATCCCTTGGTGAAGCTGTCTGGGACAAATAGTTTTCCAATATGCTTTTAGACAAATTTATGGTTTAATGAAGTATTTTGCCTACTTGATCACAGTAACAAATCAGACATATTTATCACCTTCCCTTTTAACAGGCAGCAATTCTGTCTCCCAAGTAGACTTGGCTGACACTTTGCCATATTCTTCATGGTCCAAGTGATTAAAGAGTCCAAAATCTTAGACTGACGCAGTAACACTCAGACGCACAAAAGTAACTTTGGAGCTGAGGGCCAAACTGGGGACACAAAAACCCTCTGGTGGGTATAAGATGACTGAACGAGTTTGTCATTTTTCCATTTTCAAATTGCCAACCTCGCCCCCTTCACACACAGGAAAATTGTATTTTTCCCAGAGCACATCTGTCAGACAATACTCTGAGGAGTGTTTGAAGCCACTCTGTGTAAACAGAGCAGAGACGATCAGAAAATAACAACTGCCACGTGTGTAAAGCTCCCTGCTGATATCTGTGAGAGCACATGGGTGTCAAAACCATGAGCTAAGAGCCCTGCTCCCATTCGTCACCATCAGCAGTCAACCCGAGAAAAACTGCTGAGCCTCAGCCCAAGTCTGGAGACCTGCTGCTCACTGGAATGCACTAGGGCTCACCATGCAGCCCAAATGGCCTCATCACAGTCATGTGTGGCTTTCCCTCTTCAGGTGTAGACTGAGTCCCATCTCCAGCATTACCTGTACACCTGTGATTGGACCTGCCCTAATTCTGCACATTTGATGAAACTGTCTCAAGACCCCCACCAGCCAGTTCTGCATATCACCATCAGCAACAAGAGTTTCCTTTCTACCTCCAGCACCCTGCATCTATGCAGAAAACAGACAATCTGTCAGTAGTTTGCTTTTTTATTTAGCACTCCATTTCTAGAAAGTCGTGTCCCTAGATATTTATAATCAGAATGATGATTTAGCTGATATACCCAGGTGTAATACCTAGACGATCTCTTAAGATTTGTATCTTACAAAGGATCTATCATTTTTTTGTGAGTAAAATATAAGTATCAACTTTTTTATTATTCATATACTTTTTATGTTTTTATGCTAAGGCAGTGTGTGACAGTTTAAGGAAGATGTTCTATTTACAGCTATTAATAATTTACTCTTGCAACTTTTGTTAAAATATTTATACAAATAAGTTGTGCATGATAATTGCCTTGATTACATTTAGATACTGAGCTGTGAAATAAGCAAGCATTTGTTCAGAAAGCAGGAGAGGTTAAAATGTTATTAGAAATGGCTGAGACTAGAGGAGGTCAGAACTGGGATGAACTAAGTCCTGAGGTCTGTGTGCTTTGGGTGTGCCCCTACTCCTTCATTTTGGAGAGGACCTATCAGGGGACATTGACTAGTGCGCTTTTAGGACAGAAAAGGCTCCCCTGCAACCAGGTAACCTCCAATGGGCCTGTTGCCTAAAATGATTTTAACTAGAGGTAAAGTCTTTTATATTAAACTTAGACTTCAAAATGTAAACACCCCAAGAAGAGAAAACAGATTGACTTGAATCTACCTTAAGATGTAAAGGACAGAAAACTATTTTCTCTCAGTTTTCCTAGAAGTGGGAAGGAAACTATAGACTGCCATATGTGAAGCAGGCAGGAAGGAAGCCTCTAGAAAAAGAAAAGGATATAACAGTGAGGGGCAGGGCTCTGGAGGGGGCCACCTCACAGCTTTGCCAAGGGGGAGGGTCATTCCCGTTTCCTCCTGCTCCCCATCCCTTCTCAGCTGAGGGTCTTCTCCAATTGACCATACACCATATTTATATGGGCCTAAAAGTCATAGTTTTTCAGGGAGAAGAATGGACACAGAGAGAAGATAAATGGATGGAAAAAGGCAAGCAATGCATATTTTACAAGGGCCAAAATTAGTGGAAAGAGGACAGAAATAACAGAGTGCTTGCAAAATGGGGTATTTACGTGCAGAGAAACAGCGTGCTCTTGCACCGCTAAGCACTGTTCTTTAAACGTCTCTCTGCATCCCACTTTCTAAAATCCTCAACCAACTGCCTCTTAACCACACAAGGGTTCTTAGAGCCAGATTGTCAATGATAAAAACAAAATAGGACCAATTTATTAAGCATCCATTATTGAGCAGACACTGCACAAGGAAGTTTATGCAGTTATATCACCTAATTCTTATAACCATCTGCTGGCCCCATTTTTTTTTTCAGTTCAAAAAAGGCTCAAAGTCATATAATAAGCAACTAGCAAGTAGGAATTTAAACCCAACTTGCCCTGGCTCCAAAGCCCAAGCTCTCTCCAATTCATTATAAATACCTCAAAAACATCTCTTATTTGTTAATAAGATGCACTATTTATTATTAAATTATTTGTTAATAAATGCATGTGTATATTAGTATTTATTTAATAAAATTCTTAATAATTATTTGTCAGTAATATTAATAAAATAATAATGACTATGATATATAGTTAGGTTTAGTAGGGCCCTAGCAATGGGATATTTGATATTCAGGTACATTCAGGGTAATTCTTTTCCCTGGAATATTTATTCACAGCTATGGATTTATTTAGGTGTGGAGGAGTCTTCTGAAGAAAGCAAAAATTAGACTCATGTCTTAAATTGAGGCTTAGACAACTATAGACATGCTTGATGAATTGGGATGAGGCTAGGAGAAGATAAAAGCTAGGTTTTTCTTATTCCATGAAAGACAATTCATCATGAGACAAAAGTACGGTATGATGCCTGGATGCAGTTCCAGGGTCTAAGAATCAAATCAAATGATATATTCAGGTGGAAAATGACAAATGCCTTGAAACCCTCGAGACCTAGCCATGAAAGCAGAATATATATTCCAAGAGTCAAAGAAAAATTATATATGCAAACCAAAAAAGCTGCCTTTCAAGATCTGCAGATTGGGTTCCAAGCAATGCTGCTGTGGAACCCTCCCTACAAGAGCATACCACAAGGAGAGAGCCATTTCCTTCCCAACCTTCAGCAAAATGCCACGCCCTCCTAGCAATACCAGACAAGGAGTTAATTGCTTGAGGCTGACCTGCAATAGCAGCAGATTCCTGGCTTTGCAGAACAGAAGGAGGTGCTTCCGGACCGCTTGTCCAGCCAGCATGTCAGGTGCACAGACAAGGCTTGTCAGTAGTAACAGTGATATCAGTGACCAATGATCAGAACTATCTGTCTGAGCACTAGTAACAAGCTGCTTGCTACTTGGGGATACTTTGTTGAGACTGGGCAAGACACAAGTTGGTTCTTGGAAGCAGAATGATTTAGCCTCCTGTTGAGAGCAAGCTCATTTGTGCATACACAGCATGGGAGCCACTATACTGGATACCTTACACACATTCATTTGTTACATTCTGCAACAATTTGTTAAGAACAGTACATTATTCATATCTTAAAGATAAATAACCTGAAGCTTAAAAAGGTAAAGTGAGGCTGGGCACGGTGGCTCACGCCTGTAATCCCAACACTTTGGGAGGCTGAGACGGGCAGATCACCTGAGGTCAGGAGTTTGAGATCAGCCTGGCCAACATGGTGAAACTCTGTCTTTACAAAAATACAAAAATTAGCCAGGCATGATGGTGGGTGCCTGTAATCCCAGTTACTTGGGAGGCTGAGGCGGAAGATTTGCTGGAACCCGGGAGGCGGAGGTTGCAGTGAGCTGAGATCACACCATTGTACTCCAGCCTGGGTGACAGAGCGAGACTCCGTCTCCCGCAACCCCAGGAAAAAAAAAAAAAAGGTAAAGTGACTTGCCCCAAATCACACAGCTTTAGTGTTCACATTCTTTCTACTATATCCTGTGCTTTTTCATGACCCTTTACTTATCTCCTCATATTCCTCAGACTAAGTCCCAGATATTCTAGCAATGACCTTTTATTCAGAAAAATTGTTATTTGGGAACATTATGAAATATTTCATAAATTTAACTATTTACAGTTACATACATACCTGGGCCTTCCCCTATAATTATTTTGTAATTCAACAGAATATGATATAGTAACCAGAGAATTTCCTTTGAATGTAGAGAAACCCAAAGGTAAAGATGAGCAAGCAGATAATTCATGGGTATACCTCACAAAAAGAGATGTCAGCCAAATTTATCATTTATGTCCTTTTTAATTGTCTGCTGGACATAATTATGGTACAACTTTTAAAAGGCAATAAAGTGTACCCATTCTTTATCTCAAATACACTTTGCATTCATCCCAAAGCAAAGTGCAGTTCCAAAGAGTCTAAAAACTTGTAGAGAAGAGTCAGGTGTACAACATATACTCTTAGGAGTACTAATGAATGCTCAACATTCTATCAGTTCCCCCCAACTTTTTTTTTTTCTTTGAGATGGAGTCTCACTTTATTGCCCAGGCTGGAGTACAGTGGCATGATCTTGGCTCACTGCAACATCCACCTCCCAGGTTCAAGCGATTCCCCTGCCTCAGCTTCCTGAGTAGCTGGAATTACAGATGCACGCCACCACACCATTAATTTTTGCATTTTTAGTAGAGATGGGGTTTCACTATGTTGGCCGGGCTGGTCTTGAACTCCTGACCTCAGGTGATCCACCTGTCTCGGCCTCCCAAAGTGCTGGGATTACAGGCGTGAGCCACCACACCCAGCCTAGTTTTCCTTTATGAACTACACCCTGCAAGAGAAGGAAGTTGCCTAATACTTATCCTACTCAGCATTCCTTCAAGGAACAAAAGACAAACTCTAATGAAAACTGATCCAATACAGTTGGTATGAGTGATTAACTTTGCACAAATGATCATATATGTATCAGGCATTTTCCAAGTGCTCTCAGCTAAACCATTTTAAGAGAGCTCTAACCCAGTAGTAGCAAGAACAAGGTGTAAGAAGAAATGGCAATGAAAGGCAGTTTCTTGTCGAAAGTCACCAAGAAATCATGAGTTTAGAAGTGGGTTCCTTACCATTCTGGATGGTTCTTGACTTGATGGGTAATAAACTGCCTGTGGTAGTCCAACAAGCAATGGCAATGTAAGTCAGAAAAATGGAAGTGCTGTTTTTGGAGAATTGTATTGCCAGCTTAATACAGAAAGTAGAAAAGCTCATGATGCTTATTTGTTGTAACCAGCAGAGTTGGGGAGTAGGAGCTTTTGCCCAACCTCCTCATCAGGGAAAAGCTTGAGGGGCAGAAGGCCACTATTTTACCAATGACTTGATCAGCACTGAACATCCATCAAGACTCCATGGTGCCCTGCCCTGCCACTGAATATCACAATAATTCAGACAAGTCAGTGGGTGACAGAATCTCCCATGTAACTCAAATACCACTACTGATAGTTTGAATATGTATTCATAAACTTTCATATGCATTTTTCATGGTATCCTTCTAACCTTCTGTGTAACTAAAACAGGTATGATTCCATTTTGCAGATAGGGTAACTGATGGTCAAAGAGTAACACAAAAGCACAAAAGTAACTTACATTCAAGTAAAGGACTCTGTCTCTTTAAAATCTCAAATACAGCAACCTTTCTCCCCGCAGTATACTCAGGGATTCTTGGGCCAGCTTCCAAGCCTGCAAATCCTCGTTCTAGTACACGGCCAGGAGGAAAGAATTCCAGGGAAAGATCTAAATTACAAGAGAATCTGTGACATCTGCCTGGCAAAATATTATTTCTTCAAAAAGTCCATTTTTTCAGAAATGACATTGAAGGTCTAACAACTTGCCATCCTTCAAAACCTGATGAAATTTGCTGAGGGAGAGAGAGAAAAACAAGAGGTGAGGACAGAAAGAATAAGTAAAGGTTCCTGATTAAACTCTGTAGAACAACCAAGTAGGAGAATGAATACCAATGGTAAGTCACAGGCTCACAGGCTAAAAGTAAAAGCTGCCCAGGAAGAAAGAGAAAGTTCTGGAAGCAAAGAAATCTCAAGTTTCTCAGTGGGTAATGAAAATAACTGTGTCATTTTAGATCACACACCTTACAGAATAGAAAGAAAAAAACTTATCTTAAGATACACTCAAGTTTTTTGACTATTTTCCTGAAACCAAGGCGATGGTACTCTGATACTCTGCTAGGATATAAATAAGATTTTGTTTTTTATGAACTGAGCCCCTGATTTTTTTTGTCTAATGGTACAGTGCACCTCAGGTTATAAGTAAAATTATATTCCTATTCTTTTCCAGATGTTATTTTCCTCGTATTAACAAGCCATTGATGTTTACAGGAATAACCAGCAAAAATGAAGCAACATCACATGTAACTTGCTACAAATGCAAAGCATCAAAGCCCAACAAGATCTCCTCAATAATAATGTGCATTTTAACAAGGTCTCCAGGCAGTCTATTTGCACACTGAGTAGCACTGTTTTAGAGGTCCTTTACCTGAGCAGGTTTTATTTTAGGTCCTGGCCCCACCCTGCTTTGGACTCTTTCTCCCGTTCTCTGCCATAGAGTAATGCAGAAGTCACTGACCATCAAGAAATCCAGGATGATAAGCGCCAGAGGGTCCTTCTTCATTATCAAAACCTGGGGACATTGGCCATGGTCATCCACCAGGTTAGTTGCAGAGGCTGAGGCTCAGTCTTATTTCTCCAACTTCCTGCTTCAGGGACCTTCTCACTTCCCACTGTGTTTTTGCTGTTTGCCATCCCTGCAATGCCCCTTCCCTCACTTACGCACTCCCTAAAAAAGGATATCGAGCAGGCGTGACCTAAGTCAAAACTGTCAAGTAGTACATTTATCTTCAGTAACCCCGAGGACTAAGGATCCTTTTGGTTCTGTTCTTTCCCCTAAACCAGCCATCAGCACCAGTACTGTCATTATACTCACCAACTTGTACTGAAGTTGCAAAGAAGTTTTGATAACAATAACAGTAATAGCAACCAACATCTATTAAACATGCATGACTTGCCAGGCACTGTGCTAAGCACCTTGCCCATTCATTTCTGACAATATCTTCAGAACAATGACCCACCATAACACAAAATTCTATCATTAATTCATTTTGTACATAAGAACACTGGAGGTAGAAAACCACAGTATAACTTGCCATAGGTCACACAATTAGTGGCATTTATTTACTTATCTTCCGCTATAAATAATCAATGATTTAAGAACTCTCACTGCCAAAGGTATTTGCATTCTACAAGGCACAGTGTCTCTTGCCTGTAATCCCAAAACCTTGGAAGGCTGAGACAGGTGGATCACTGGAGCCCAGGAGTTGGAGACCAGCCTGGGTAACATGGCAAAACCTCATCTCTACAAAAAATACACACACACACACAAATTACCCAGGCATGGTGGTGCATGCCTGTAGTCCCAGCTACTCTGGAGGCTAAGGTAGGAGGATCACTTGAGCCTTATAGGTAAAGGCTGCAGTGAGCTGTGATCTTGCCACTGCACTCCAGCCTGGACAACAGAACGAGACCCTATCTAAAAACAAAACAAAACAAAAAGTCTTAGGAGAAGAGGAGCTACCTGGTAAAATTTCAGCAGCCACTGGCATGAAGGTTTTCCTTTGCCCCTGAAATCACCATCCTTGCAGTAGTGCCCTATGTACAAAGACATAGGGGTATTTAGAGATTAAATTAAGAATAAAACACATTTCCAGAATCCAGATTACGCTGTAGCAAGGACTGTGTCCAGAAACCAAATCCAGGATACACAGCAAAATATGACTTATGCAAAGGAAAATATCAATTTTCTAATGTAAGGAGGTTCTGCTCCAACCAAACACTTGCCCCACTATTGTGATGGAGAGGACATTTACTAAAAAACAGAAAAATGAGGCTAGTTGGCTCTTTTCTTAATGTCAGTAAACTAATGATTGTGTTCTGAAGGCAGTGTATTATGATCTGCTGATGGAGGTTAGAGTTTCACATTGTGACTGAAAGTATTTTTCCATTGTTTCAGGCAAAAATCCTTATTTTTTTAAGAGAAAAGAAGAAAACTGCTGCCAGTATTAAGTAGGTCTAGAGAAATAATTAGGCATTTTTCCCTGATTATTTAATTGACCATGGTTGACCTCTATCGGTGACAATTATATTTTTTTCATGAGGAAACACTGACCTATTTTATTCCATTTGCCTTCCAATATTTGAAAAAATGGGGGAAAAATCTAGCTTGAATGTAAATGTTTATAAATCCCTAATCATGGAAATTCGGAGGCATCTCTGGGCATTTTTATCACTGATAATCATTACCTTCAATGGAGAGTTTTCTGCATTATTGGAGAGTAGATTTCTAAAAGCGTGAAATATTACAATGTTAAATATAGCTAAGTGGGACATGAAAACTGTTTCATTTATTTTGTTATTCCAATAGGGCTTAGCTGACACACTGTTCTTGTAATATAGTCAGTGATTCAGAACCAGTAGCTTATTAAGCGGAAAAAATTAAATAGGAACTGCCTGTCATTTTGTAAACTCAATTTTCAGAGCATTTCAGCACATTCAACCAATGAGTTAGGTAATCAGAATCTCAGGAGATATTGGATTCAATGCATAATGTGTTTGTTTTAAATTATCAATGGCATTATCTATTAATTATTATCAATTGCCAACATACATTTCAACATATTGCAATCAATATTTTGCATACTTAATAAATATTTATGAAAGATGGTGGTGGATTACAGACTGTAATAAATATATCATTGATTACAGGGTTTCCACCTATAGCATTTACATTCAAAAAGATCAACATATTTTTACATTGGACCACAGAAAGGAGATCTAAGATGGTTCAGCTAGAAAAAATATTATTCCCAGATAAACATATTTATTTTATAAAATAAAATTTAGTTTGAATATTTTTATGTGCAGTAAGTCAATGTAGTGCTGAGTGATTGCTACTAAGGTATCCACACTAATTTGCATGTACTTTGCTTTAAATATAAAAGATGTAACAGTAATTCACTCTTACTAACTGAAAAGCCTTGGCCAGGCGCAGTGCCTCACGCCTGTAATCCCAGCATTTTGGGAGGCCGAGGTGGGTGAATCACTTGAGGTCAGGAGTTCGAGACCAGCCTGGCTAACATGGTGAAACCCTGCCTCTACTAAAAATACAAAATAAATTAGCCAGGCACGGTGGTGGATGCCTGTAATCCCAGTTATTTGGGAGGCTGAGGCAGGAGAATTGCTTGAACCCAGGGAGGCGGAGGTTGCAGTGAGCCAAGATCGCACCATTGCACTCCAGCCTAGGTGACAACAGTGAAACTCTGTCGAAAAAGAGGGAGGGAGGGAGGGAGGGAGGGAGAGAGAAAAAGAAAGAAAGAGAGAGAGAGAAAGAAAGAAAAGAAAAGAAAAAGAACTGAAAAGCCTTTACCCCCAAAGGACATGATCACAAGGTAGACATTTGTGTGCAAATATTTCTGTTTGTGTTTATAAACAGTATCTTCACATATTTCTAAGAAGGCTGGTTAAGAGAAAATATGCTTACATGCTTTCCTGAGAACATAGGGGAAATACATTATGGCTTGTAGTTTATAAATAAAAGTTAACTGCATACTCATTTCATCTTTACTTAAACTAAATAATATTCCATTAGAGTAAATGTGGTTTGTGAGTGAGGAAAATTAATCAGGTGGTCCACACCTGGACTGAGGCAACAGTCCGATAGCTCACGGAAGCATTTCAAGAAAACCATTTAGAGTGTGGACTGTTTCAGAATGTGAACAACACACATTAATGTCCTGTTGATTTTCTTTGATGTTTGGGCTTATTTGAACTTCAGTTTGATGACTACTAGCCATATTTTATATGAGATGTGGTTTAGAGACAACTTTTATAAAAACCAGTTTGCCTTGTATTCCTAAACCTATTTTTTTAAAAAAACGAATTAAACAGAGTTCAGTATAGAAATTTGGCAACTGTCTTAGTTGCTGACCCCTTAGAAATCTGGTTCCAAGTACTGTTGACAGGTTGTTATGGAATTTAAATGAGTGCCACAGTATTTAAAGCTCAGGTCAGAAGTAATAAAAACATATTGAAGAAGCAGGCTTTAATTCTAAGGAAAGACAGCTGGAAATCTGGCAAGTCTCTTTTGAGTCGATTAACCCAATTGCATCTTGACAGTTGTACTTTTCATAGTGAGTAAAATTTGATTCAACTCAATGTACATTAGGAGCATGGTGAGATATTCAAAGGTGAAAAAAAAGAGACTGGCCCCTGAGGAAGTGGAGGAGAATAAAAACAAGAAAAATGCCAGTATTTATTGAGCTCTTACTAATCCTTAGACACTATTCCAAGCACTAGTCATGATGGAATGCATAAAGAGAGATGTAACTGGTCATGTGTGTTTGCATGTAGCTGGTGCAGAGGGAGCAGCAATGATGTCAAAATGAAGTAACTGGCATTGGAAAATTTCTTAAGATGGCATGATTCAGAAGTCAGAGAAGAAAAGGATGGCATTCTGGGCAGATGGAATCGCATGAGCAAAGGCACACTTGCAGCAGAAACTGCAAGACATACTCAGAAAACAGAAAGTCATATGGCTTGACTCTATCATAGGCGTGCTGGATACAGAGGGAACTTTTGCCTTCCTTAGCAATAGAGATAGTACGTTATGTAGTTTTCACAAAGATATTTAATCTCATTTGGAAATTCATACTATGTAAAATATTCTCATGGTTCTAATGAATTATGTGAATATATTTTACAGCATTTCTTCAGGACATTTATAAATTATTTAGACTAAATAATGGCATTAAATTGAATTATATTTAATAACTTATGAAATAGTCATTAAATAGGAGTTTAGTAAATATGATTACATAGTTTATGCTATTTTTTCATCTTTGAAAATGATCAAAATTATCTTTGTGCTCTAGATTAATTTTTGATCTTATCTATTGTATCAATTTTGGAGAAAATCAGTACAATTTTTAAAATTTTCTTTCCATGCCATTAACCCTGTGTTGCAAGTGTAATTTTGCTCTTTATGAACCACCCACATTTTCCTACTTATTACTTCTCAGTGATTTTCCCCAGAAGACTGGATCTTGCATATGTTCGTATTCCTAACGCTATACCTGAAAGACACAGAATTACATAGTAGTAGATATCGGTCAAACAAGCAAAGGGTTAGAAATGTCTCCTACGGGGAGACGTGTTTAAAAAGTCAAATCTAGAATTAGATTGGATCTCTGTGAAACATGTTAAGATATTGTGTGAGCTCTTTCTAAAGATTCTTAGCCTCTGAAGACAGGTTTTATGTCTTAATCTCCCCAAAGGTTAGGTGTATATTTAAACCTATGTGTATATACAGGTGGATATGCATAGATGCAAGGGTGTGTATATAAGTTCATGTATAGAAATAGGTATGGATAATTGCACATTTAATTGAACAGCCCTTGTTCATAGATGTGAAGTTTTTCCATTCTTAAAGGGCTAATTTAATTTTACTATAACCTATCTGGTTTACCATATAACAAACAGGATAAAAGGATTTTAAAGAAAAGCCCCTCGTTGGCTTTAAATAATACTTATGAGACTCAGAACATGTCACACAATAAGATGTTTCAACTTAACACATATTGTCCTTATGTTACTTCATCTTTTATACGTATAATGTCAAAGACCTCTCAATCTGACTTATCTTTTAGATCACTAACAAGGAAAAAACCAGAGGCTTTCAGCTAGGTTTCATGATGGTCATGAATCCCTTGAAATTGTATATATGCATGTACACATAAACATATAAGTAAAGTAACATGTGTGTGCATGCATGTGCAAACATATTTCTAGAGAGGTCTTTCATCACATTTTCAAAAATATCACAGTCCCCAGAAGTTTGCTTCTGAGTGTGACCCTAAATAGCTTTGATTCGAACTCAATTATAATTAAAGTTAAAATCATAAGATTTTCAGGAAAATCTCATGGAAGCAGAGTAGACTGGTAATTACCAGGGATTGGCTGGGGGGTGGTCCTGGGGAGGTTTTGGTCAAAGGATATGACATTTCAGGTAGACAGGAGGAATAAGTTCAACATATCCATTGTAAAGCATGACTGTAGTAATAACAACGTTTTGTATACTTGAAAATTGCCAAGAGAATAGAGTTTAAGTGTTCTTACCACACACAAAACACTATGTGAGTTAATGCACATGTAATTAGTTTGATTTTGCCATTCTATAATGTGTATATATATCAAAACACCATGTTGTATACCATAAATATATACAATTATAATTTGTCAATAAAAAATAATATAATCACTATTTTTTGTAATTTTTAGCAGGAACTTTAAGAATGCTTGATAAGTTTTTTGTTTGTTTGTTTGTTTGTTTTTGAGATTGAGTCTTGCTCTGTCACCTAGGCTGGAGAGCAGTGGCGCGATTTTGGTTCACTGCAACATCGCCTCCCAGGTTCAAGAGGTTCTCCTGCCTCAGCCTCCTGAGTAGCTGGGACTACAGGCACCTGCCACAACGCCCAGGTAATTTTTGTATTTTTAGTAGAGATGGGCTTTCACCATGTTGGCCAGGCTGGTCTCGAACTCCCGACCTCAGGTGATCTGCCTGCCTCGGCCTTCCAAAGTGCTAAGATTACAGGCATGAGCCACCACAGCCAGATGGTAAGTATTCTTTAGAGATTGCAAAACACTGCATTATTAATTAAAGATTAAGATACATAGATACTGGAAAGAGACAAATAGATTAAAGATAAATCGATTCAATGGATGTGGATCAGAATCCATAATGTTCTAACTTGAACTGTTGTTTTTCTGTATTCCGTAATCATAAAATTGAGGTTTTCTCTTAAGTCTACTTGCTAAGATAAAGATATTTCCTATTAATATTAAAATTTATAATAGCTTCAAAAGACTTGTTTTAGAGCTTTAATGTGATGAGATTTGTTATAAAAAATGACATTTAATGGAATGTTTCTGGTAGAAAGCAGTGTTTTTTTCCCCAAAGCTGTGCACAGTGTTTGCCATCAGGGGTTGCTCTTCTGTCACACTTTGTGACACTCTCCTCACAATTACCTGCTTGATCTAGTGATAATAAATCCCATCACCAAAAAACGATGCACAGCTACATTTATAGAAAGGAATACATTTGCAGGATCTCCAGTGGTCTGCAGACCACAGACCACAGGCTGACTATGGCCGCAACTTGTTTTTGTAAGGAACGTTTTACTGGAGTGTACCCTCACCCATTCCTTCAGGATTTGTCTGTGGCTGCTTTGCGGCTGGGATCACAGCATTGAAGAGTTCCAACAGAACAACAGAACCACATGTTTCACAGAGCCACAGATATTTTCTAACCAGCATTTACAGAACAAGTGTGCCAATCCTCACTCTAGACATTCATTGATTTCTCAATGTCTGTCATACACGCCTGTTACGTGATCCTCAGCTTTCAGCCCCCTCGCCCCTTAGATCTCACAGTCACCAAGCCTTCTAGGGAAAGAATTTCAAGCGCCCCTCCATCTTCTTCATTTATTCGCTGGCTCAGTTCCTCTCTACCCTGCAATTGTTTCCTTTTTTGCCTCTCCTGCCTCATTTCTTCCCACTTGAAAATAATAATTTACTTTTCTGGAAATACCATTACCTGCTACTCTTGCTATAAACTGACAAAGGTTCCCATTAGCCTTAAGAAAATGGTTAGAATCTTTATCCTGACAGAGGCGGCCTTGAAGAATCTGTTCCTGAGACCTTCATTTACAGAATCCTCTTACAGACAGCCCTCTGCCCAAGACTGCCTCTTCTACCACCTAAGTCCTGCCCACCCCTGCTTCAGGTTGCCCCATAATGCCTCACTGTCAGTCAGGCCTTTCACAGCCTCCTCCACCTGCAGGCACCACTGCTTCCTCCACACCCCTCAGCCATCACCACCTCTCATCTATACATGAAACGGAATATCCCCTTCCATTGGTGGATGCTGGGTTTGAGTTTCCCTTTCTACCTCTTCTACTAGAGTTAAGCTCACCAAAGCAAGAACTCTTTTATATCTCTTGACAGCCTCAAAACTTAGCCTAGTGCTTTGGGCAGAGTTAAGTTTAAAATATATTCTCATGTGTGGTTAAGGATAGCTGCAATACTAGCAATTGTTGACTGTTTACTACATATCAAGATTGTCTCATGGGTTAGGCATGGTGGCTCATGCCTGTAATCCCAACACTTTGGGAGGCCAAGGCAGGTAGATTGCTAGAGCACAGGAGTTCGAGAACAGCCAGAGCAACATGGCAAAATCCTGTCTCTACAAAAAAATACAAAAATTAGCCGGGTGTAGTGGCACAAGCCTGGAGTTCCAGCTACTCGGGAGGCTGAGGCAGGAGGATTGCTTGAGTCCAGGAGGTGGAGGCTGCAGTGAGCCAAGACTGTGCCACTGTACTCTAGCCTGGGCAACAGAGCAAGATTCTGTCTAAAAAAGAAAAAAAAAAAAAGATAGTCTCATGTACAAAGAATTTTGTAGGCCAACCATCAAACAAAAAAAAAAAAAACCAAAGCAAAACAAAAACAAACAAAATAAATCCAGTCCTTCAGGAGCTTATGGTCATACTCTGACCTTATTCTTACCAACTTTGTAGTTTATTGTCTCCTGTGACATGCAAGAACTGAAATTTTCTTTAGAAATAGTTCCTATACTTTTTAAAATTTAATTTGTATTTTCCCCACTTAATTCTCATGTTATCCTCAGTTTGGTAAGTTAGTCTACATATCTAGCATCATAGCTCAAATAAAGTCTAACATACTTTAAACCCAATTAATAATTATTATTAGCATTTATTAAGCATTTGTTTATTAAACACCAGTATTATTCTAGTACTTCATACTTATTATCTCACTTAATCTCTCAAAACTCTGAGCGAGGTATTATTTTTAGAGATGAGGACACAGAGGTGGTGAGGTAATCTGACCCAGAGAATAGAATAGGTCAGGCTTCGAGCCCAGGTAGTCCATCTCATAAGCTCAGGCTGGTCAGGACTGCACCGTGCTACCGCAGCTAGACATGAATCTACGCAGGTGGGGCAGGGGTGAGAAGCTCAGGTCCCCCGCCTTCTCCACACCTGCCACCCCCCAGCCCAAAGAGCTGTCCAACCAGCTCAGTGTTTAAAATCCGAGTCACTTCTCACGCATGGAATTCTCACACACCACCCGCAAGTTTTGTATTGATTTTTTTTCCTGAAGATTTTTAAATCATTTGAAAGGTATATTTACTCTCTTTCAAAACCCATGTTTTGAATTAACCATTTATTCATTCATTGAATCAACATTTACCGAAAGTCTTCTGTGCTCCAGGCATTTGGAATAAATAAATAAAACCACAGCTCAAATTATCTTGGGGCATGATATGATTAAATAGTTAATGGTTCTGGGATATCTTAATGAAATCCTTAATAGTAATGACAATAAATTAATTTATCAAATTATTTGATTTTAAAACATGTGCAGCACTTTATAGTTTCTGCACTCTACACTTTAATTTCTGAGCCTCATAATAACTCTGCAGGGTAGGTATGTAACATTCCTTACAGATGAGAATATAGTTTCATCAAGCTTGAGCAATTTTCTCATGGCTCTCTCAAGACTGAAGTCTTCCAAGTTTGGGTTCAGTATTCCAAAGATTGGGGACATAATGCACTCTAAGACATAGTTCTTGTACTCTTGAAAAAGTAGGTCATATTTCTACAGAAAAGGTCAGATATTTAGCTATACACTTTACTGACATCTACTTAAATCAGAAGTTGATCTTCATGGAGTACAATTAGTTTGGTTTTTACCTGTGAATTCAATTAGCAGTATGAACAGATCTAAAGACAAATATTTCACCATGTACTTACTTTAAGATCTAAGTTCTATTAACAAGCATGCTTCTCTGTTGAAAGCTGTACTACAGATAAACTGAATTGGATTTGCTGGTATAACAGTTAAAAGATCAGAATCAGTTTGCAAGAGGAACCACCTTCCTGATTGATTTGGATTCTGTATTCATTAGGATCCTAGACCAGGGCTTCTCTCTTCATCCCTTTCTTTTTCTCTGCTTCCTAACCTGTCCCTCTGTGGTGTGTGTACATCCTTCAGGGATAGGACATCGATCAAACCATGCAGCAATCCCAGAAGGTGGCATAGCAGAATACAACACCCTTCTTTAAACCACAAAGATCCCTGGGGACTATTTACTGTAAAATACAACTACATGGAAAGTATCTTAATTATAACATAATTCAGTTGTCAATATATCTATATTCTACATTGACTCCACCTAAAACTTTGAGTTAGAATTACTTTTGGAGCTTTTTCAAAATGCACACATCAAGGACTATCCCCAGACCCACCAGTTCCAAATCTCTTTACAGTATTTGTTACAGCCTAATGGACGGTGCTGCTGTGTAGCTACATTTGAGAACCACTGGTCAAAGGGTTGGGACATGACCCTTCCACCCCTTTACCCTCAGAGTCATAAACAGAAGATGCTGATGTTAAAATTAAGATGTGTTTACACTGAAGAAAACTATTTTAGTTTATATATCTTCCAATTTCACAAGTAGTAAAAGGAATAAAATTATGGGGAAAATCATTACTACTTAGGCTACCACACTCCAAGAAACAGAAATTCAAGAAAAGGCATCAAGGCCACCATGTTGGGGCTCACCTCACTGTGGAGACGGCTGATTTTACCTCAAGGTGAGACAGGAACCTAGTCCAGTCCTAACAAGATCCAATCCTTCAACCATCAAGAGGCAAAAGAAAATATCACAAGATTGGATTGGTCATTAGATCAAACTACAAGGGAAGGAGAGTGGTGCAAATAATCTAGTCCAAGGAGGAAAATGAAACTAAAAGAGTGTCTTGTTTGCATTTCTTGGATGATTAGTGACATTGGGCATTTTACATATACCTATTGATTACTGTATGTCTTTCTGAAGAAATATCGAGTTCTTTGCCTGTTTTCTAAGTGGGTTATTCATTTTTGGGTACTATTGAGTTGTAGGAATTTCTTATATATTTTAGAGATCAACCCTTTATCAGATACATGATTAGCAAATATTTTCTCCCATACCGTATGATGCCTTTTCACTCAGTTGACTGTGTCCTTTCCTGTGCAGAAGCTTTTGAGTTTGATGTAGTCCCACGGTTTATTTTTGTTTTTGTTACTTGAGCTTTTGGTGTCAATTCCAAGATAATTGAAATAAGAATCTGGAAGAGATATCTGCATTGTTATGTTCATTGCAACATTATTCACAGTAGCCAAGATGTAGAAACAACATAAATGTCCATCAACATTTATGTTGTCATAAACATAAATCAACAGAGGAATGGATAAAGTGTGGTGCACATATACAATGGAATACCATTCGGCTTTAAGAAAATCCTCTGATATGTGACAACATGGATGAGCCTTGAGAACATTATGGTAAGCAATATAACTCAGTCATGGAAATACAAACACTGCACAACTCCACTCATCTGAGATATCTAAAACAGTCAAATTCATAGAATCAGGGAGTGGAATGATGGTTACCAGGGGCTGAGGGAAGGGGGAGAGGAGAAGTTACTAATCAAGAGGCATAAAGTTTCAGTCAAGATGAATAGCTCCAGAGATTGGGGGTACAACATTGTACCTATAGTCAATAATTATATATTGAACACTCACAAATTAGTTAAGAGCATATTACATGCTCTTACAGTAAAATAAAATAAACATTTCATTGTATAGCCTTTTAAAAGGCTGAATTGGACAGATGGGACCAATGGTAAAGGATAATATTTGAGAAATGAGAGTGGAGAACCCCTGCCCACCAGGTAAATGATTTAGAGGGCTGCTTCTTCCTTGATTCTCATGGTGATGACAGCACAGTTGCTTATGCATGAATGGGATCAATAGAAGCCTTCTTGTTAGAGGTTACCCTGGGGGAACAGGTTTTGTCACAGAGGTAACACAGAAGCACAGCTGTCCCCATGGTTCTCCTTCCCTTCCCCGCTTGTCCCCACCCTCTCTGTGCTTACAACAGGAAGGCTTTATCATATCCATACCACTGCAGTCTTATCACAATCATCAGACACAAGACCACTGCTCAAAAATGAGCAATTATTATTTTAATGGTCATTTTAATGGTAGCCATTCTGACTGGTGTGAAATGGTATCTCATTGTCATTTTAATTTGTATTTCTCTGATGATTAGTGATGATGAGCATTTCTTCATGTCATTGCTGACCACATGTAGGGCTTCTTTTAATAAGTGTCTGTTCATGTCCTTTGCCCATTTGTTAACGGGGTTGTTTTTTGCCTGCTGATTTCTTTAAGTTTCCTATGGATTCCGGACAGGAGCTAAACATTGAATCCACATGGACACAAAGATAGAAACAGCAGACACTGAGAACTGCTTGAGTGGAGAGGGTCAGGGAGCATGGGTTGGAAGGCTACCTATCGAGTATTTTGCTCAATACCTTGGTGACAAGATCACTTGTACACCAATCCTCAGCGACACACGATTTACCCATGTAACAAATGAACCAAAAATAAAGTAGAAAAAAACAGCAGGGTGTGGCGGCTCATGCCTGTAATCTCAGCACTTTGGGAAGCCAAGGCAGGTGGATCACCTGAGGCCGGGAGTTCAAGACCAGCTGACCAACATGGAGAAACCCCATCTCTACTAAAAATACAAAATTAGCCGGGCTTGGTGACGCATGCCTGTAATTCCAGCTACCAAGGAGGCTGAGGCAGGAGAATTGCTTGAACCCAGGAGGCAGAAGTTGCGGTGAGCCGAGATCAAGCCACTAGACTCCAGCCTGGGCAACAAGAGCGAAATTCCATCTCAAATAAACAAACAAACAAACAAACAGAATAAAACACAATCCACCACTTCATATCACTAGGATGGCTATTATAATAATTTAAAAAAGGAAAAATAGCAAGTGCTGCTGTGGATGTGGATAAATTATAATCCTTGTGCATTGCTGGTAGGAATGTGAAGTGATGTAGTCATTATGGAAAACAGTTTGAGAGTTCCTCAAAATATGAAACATGGAATTGCCATATGATCAGTAATTTTACTCCTAGGGGTGTGTGTGTGCGTAGTATAGTGTGTGTGTGCATGTGTATATATGCACGTATAGGAGTATATTCTATATACAATAAATTATATTTTATAATCATATGTATAACATATACAATAGAATGTTATTCTTCCACAAAGAAAAAATAAATTTCTGATGTTATGTCACAACATAGATGGGTCTTGAAAATATTATATTAAGTAAAATAAGCCAGGCAAGAAAGGACAAATCTTGTATGATTTGATTTATGTGAAGTGCCAGAATGGGCAAATTAATAAAGACCTAAAGTATATCAGAGGGCGCCAGGAACAGGGGCATGAGGGAATGGAGAATTATTGCTTAATGGATACAGAGTTTGTTTGAGATGATAAAAAAGTTTTAGAAACACATAGTGGAGATGGTTGCCAAATATTCCAAATGTAACTAATGCCACTGAATTTTAAAGGTAAGAGTGGTTAAAATGGTAAATATTATGTTATACATACAAGTATTTTATTACAGTAGGAAAAGAAAAGCCCAGTTAAGCTCCTCTTAGGTCCACACGGCCCTACCTTACCTCCCAGCACCAACACTGAATGATCAGCCCACTTGGGGTCATGGCCTTCGCTGCAGAATGCAGTCTACCCCTCACTCCACCTGCAGACAGGCTCCCACTCCCCTGTCCTTGGGAACCTCATGCCAGCCAGGTAGGGGTCACTCACTTTCTGAGCACCTGAGCCTACGTTTTGCCTCCGATCCCCAGGTCCTTTTCAGCTGTTCCGAGCTTCTTGTCTGCTTTTCTCCTTACCTAGCTTGCCTTTTTGGTTTCTATAATATTTTTTCTGGTGCTGGTGGTTGGCCCAGTCTTTGCAGGGACTATTCAGCTCTCTGTATTTGGCTTTTCCAAATGTCTTGTCTGTTTACTTGGCTTCTGCCCTTTATCTGTCCTCATCCTCCCACCTCACATAGCCCAACTCTAGTCTGCTCCCGTCCTGACTTGCTCCTGTCCTGACTTGCTCCATGTTCTGGGCCTGTCATACCTGAAACACAAACTTCTTTGTGGTTCTAAGCACCTGACTTTTAAGTGAGCCAATTCACAATCCTAAGTTTATTCCAGGAAGCCTCAACTCGGCTTCGTAGAGGAATCACTTGGAGAGCTTTGAAAAATACTGGTAATCAAGGTAGAAATTTACCCTGAAGACATATCTCTAGAAGTACAAAATACTATAAGGCACAAGGAGGCATTGTTTATAATAGGAGAAGCCAGGAAACAACTCAAGGGTTCATCCCGAGGGTACTGGTAGAATAAACAGTGGCACACCCATCCACTATGCAGCCAGAGAAGAGGATGAACAAAGAGAGCGGTGTTGGAATGATCCCAAGGATAAGTCGTTTTAAAAGAAAAAATACTGTGTAGAATGATATATATGGTGTGCAACATTTGGTAAGGACAGGGAAAAATAAGAAAAATATGTGTAAGTTTACGTATGTGTATTTGTTTATTTTTTCAAAAAGAAACAGTGGCAGTATAAATCAGAAGCTGACACAAATGGTTACTAAGTAGAAAGAAAAATGGGCAGAGAGGCTAGGGAAAGAAATAATTTTTTGTGTGAACCTTTTTATTTAATTTCAATTTTGAGCCATGTAGATATTTTACCTATTTTAAATAAAAAACTACAATAAATGAATATAACTGTATGCCAAATTGGTACCCAATCACAAGAGAACATAATTATTTCAAGTGGCTTTTTAACACAGAACTCTGTGTATATACTCAAGACAAAGGAAAATCTAATGTGAAATTTTGACAGTAGTTTTGTTAGTACTAATGTTGAAATATTAATTTTGAAATTATTATATTCATTGTATAGGATAAATAAATATATTGTATACGATAAATAATTTTGACATCATTGTAGTTATATACGTATGGGATAAATAAATATATTGTTATTAGGAACCAAGCTTGTTAATGTTAAAAAGAGAGAGAAAAATAATTTAAGAAAACCCTATAATATTAAATATTAAATTTTGATTTAAAAATAATTTTTTTAAACTTTGACAACGGACCAAGAAAATAATACCCCAGTGACAATAAAAGCCTCTATCACCCAAATATTGGTTACTACAGACTATTTTATACTCAAAGGATCTTGCGTTGCTTAGATAAATGGTGGTCCATCTATGTTAGAACAATTTCAAGATGAGCCTGAGACATATTGTGCCAGAAACCAAATAACTGATCAGACATTAACAGTAGGTTTTCAGAATAACTCATGAATGAACTTATGGGGACTCCCACTTTGCAAGTTTGGAAAAAAAATTCACTATATTTCCTTCTTTTTATGATTGAATAGTATTCTATCATATATGTATATATACTTCAAAATATCATGTGCATATTAAATACATACAATTTTATGTCACTTAAAAAATAAATCTGAAGATATTTCATATTTGTTTACAAAGCATAAATAAGTATATGAATTCACACTTACACCAAAAAATTAAATTAAATTTACTAGATATAATTGTTATACAATTCTTACTCTGAAAAAAATGGTGGTCAAATGACAATGATTATGCCTTTACCTTTACGTTGCTGGAGTAAGAGTAGTTCATTCCCAGCTAATAAATTTAGAAGAATGATAGACTCCTACAACCCCTAATGAATTCAGTAAAACTGTTGATTCAGCCAAACATCATCACTGGATGCTAGGATCTTTATAACAGGGGGATCTGTCTAACATCAACTTGAGTATCAATAATAGTGACCTCATGGGCCTCTAGTGTGTTGCAATATGAAGTCTACAGCATCATCTATGAGGTATCCTTGCCAAAATGAGTAAGCTGAATCTCATCAAGCATTTACGCTTACCTTCCTTATTCCAGAGAAAATAACACAGAGAAACAAACTAGCCAATACTTTGAAAAATCACTCAGATCTATCCTGAACACAGGTACTCTACAAGACAACTGGCTGAGTCTTCCAAACAGACTATATCGTGGGGAGAGGGTAACTAGGGAGATTGTTCTAGATTGGGAGAGACTAATGACACACAATAACCAATGCAATGCAATAACCTTGATTGGATCCTGGATAAGAAAATTACTAGGGATGACAAAACAGGAAATCTGAATATGAACAGAATACTAAACGAGGCTAAGAAAGTATTTTTTAATATTCTAAGGAGAATAATGGTATGTGACTATGTCAGTGGAAGTCCTTATTCTTAGAGGTGAGGTAAAATGATGTCTGCAGCTTCCCTTCAAATGGTTTAGATGGAAATAAATAATATATATGTATGTCTGTGTGCATATATATATTCTATATTCACGCACACATAAAAGTATGTTATATATGTATGTATGTGCACACACGTGTGTTCCCCTGCATTTGTGCATGCACACCAAATATAACAAACTGTTAACAATCATTGAAGCTGGATAGTGAATAAGGATGTTTATTGTTCCAGTTTTTAAATGTTTCCGTATGTTTGAACACTTTTATCACAAAAATCAGAAAAAGTACAGAGAGCAGGATCCACCCAGAGAGATTCAGATGAGCCAGGATGGGGCTTGGGCATCAGTACTCTTAATAAACTCCCATGTGATACTGATCTACAGCCAGTGTTGAACATTGCCCTCACCCATCATGCCCCACCATCCTGCCACCCAACCTCACTAGATTCTGGCATCTCCTGGCCCTACAGACACCTCCTCAGAGCTCTTGATGCCTCGTTGAGCCCCTTGAGTCAAGACTCCTGGGGAGCTCTTTCTTCAACTCACTATACAGGCCTTTTTGGACGGCCAAACAAAATCCCACCAGGAAGACATTCATCAAAAAGAGAGGTGTCATGGAAAACTGCAAAGGCAGACAAATGTGAACCATAGGGGAAGATATGGGCCTAATATGGGAAGCAGCAACACTAAACAAAGCCGTAAACAACTCAATGAAAAGACCTAGGGAAAAAAGCAAAGAAAGTGGAAAGCTATACTGATGAGAGTCCCAAAAGTACCGCTAAGCCATGAGGTCATGCTTAGGATTTATTCATGTCAGCGTCATGAGTAGTGTTAAATGAGGAGAGCTATCAGAGAGACCTTTGTTTCAGGGATTCAAAAGCTGGGACCCAGGGACACAGGACATAAGTAGATAGGCCTAGGCCACTACCAGTGTTTTCACTAGAAGAGAAAGTAATTTTGGAAGCAGCACAGATGTGTGTCCCCAGCTGCTCTGCCTCCCCTTCCCCTCACAAAGACGTCATCCAGAACCCTGGTGAAATGCAGCTTTCCAAAAAAATGGTCCACAACCTGTAAGAGATTTGACAGTACAACACAGCATAGCCTTGCGGCTCATCTACCATAGAAAAGTGATTTTTTTTTTTTTTTTTTCGAGACAGAGTCTCCTTTTGCCGCCCAGGCTGGAGTGCAGTGACACGATCTCAGCTCACTGCAACCACCACCTTCCAGGCTCAAGCGATTCTCCTGCCTCAGCCTCCCAAGTAGCTGGGATTATAGGCGCCTGCCACCACACCCAGCTAATTTTTGTATTTTTAGTAGAGACGGGGTTTCACCGTGTTGGCCAGGCTGCTCTCAAACTCCTGATCTCAGGTGATCCGCCTGCCTCGGCCTCCCAAAGTGCTGGGATTACAGGCATGAGCCACCGCGCCCGGCCGAAAAGTGATCTTTAAATTAGGGACTGAGTACTTCCGAGCATACACACTTTCCAAGGTACTCAGGCCAGAATGATTTCAGGATCAGATTCCAAATCGTTAGTCCCTATTTTTCCACAACTGACCTGCTTGAGCCAGCACCTGCTGTGGGGGTTGCATGCCTGTTTGGAATCTGCTTGCCCACAACTTCCTTCCACAAATGGGCTTCTCACTTCACAAAGGAAAGCCATACTTCTCAGTGGTCAGGAATCTTACTGTGGGGCATTGCCTACAGGTGGAAAATCTTATCAAAGGGAAGTTCAAAATATTTGTGTTGGCAAAATCTCCTTTGCCCAAGGGACCATACTCTTCACCATTTTTTATCCCATCCATCTCCAGAAGAGATGTGTACCTTAGAAAATTAGTTTTTATAGTTAACAATTACTAAATATTTTGAATAAAAAAATCTATTTGATTCATCATTTACTACTAATAAGCATAGTAAAACTAAATGCAGAAGAAAAAGTTTAACCCTGGGAACCTTATGTCCCATGAAAATTATTTAATTAAGTTTTTATTTGTAATCATATTTTGTTGCCAATAACTATGTGTTATAGACTTGATCCAAGTGGAAATGTTTACTTATATTAATTTATACACCCTTGTATTTTGCTGTAAAAATAGTCTAAAGTATATATGTTGTACATACCCAAATGCTTCCGTAAGACTTGAAAGCGTGTCTTTGAAATTGAGGACGGGAATGTCAGGGAACAGCTTCTGCTATATCGAGTGTGTTCTGAACAAAGTTAATGGAGTGTAAATTCATCAGGCTCCTAATCAAAGGTTTGTCTCATCTGGCTTAAAGGCAATTAAACATAAAATCCAAGATGTCTAACATAAGCAAAAAGAACAGTTTAGCTTTTTTGGAGTAGCCTAAGAAAACGGCTTTCTGCTGAAGAAACCTTATTCTGGCATTTAAAAGTTAGGTTTCAATGGAATGAAATCAAACGTAAATTGACAAAGACAAAATAAGAAACCATCAATGATTGAAATATTGTTTGTGATTACACAAATTCATGGGATATACTAGAGTCATGAGTTTTGTTCTCCTGGGATGTATTTGCAATTAAAAGCAACAGATTAAAAAGCAACTTAATTTATTCACAAACTCACCCAAGAAAAATGCCATCCAACACACTGAAGATTTCTATTCATTCAGGAATTTGCTAATTTCCCTGTAGTATATGAGGCTGGTATTTTTATACTCAGCCCACATATTAGTAACAGGACTTCTGATCCTAGCTGAAATTCTCTTTTATTATCCAAAGGCTCGTCAAACTGGATTATCTCGAAATCCTAATCACATCTCATCCCTCCACTCCACCTCTGACTTTCAGCAGATATCTTGACCTTTCATCTCACAGCTTCCTGCTAACAAGCCCCTAGCCCATATGTGCCCACAAATATCATTTCCCCTTGCATAGATATTATGACAGCGGGAGTAGCTCATCATATAGAGCGCTCTCCCCAAAATAACCAGTCTTCATCTTGTTGTTAAAGCCAGTGAGTATCTTTCAGTTGTTATATGACTGCCAAATGACTCTTTGGCAGCATTTTACACTTCTGAAAATCAAAATGCAACTTTTTATAAGCATTTTGATTTTAATAGAACTATTTAGTTACATGCCCTACATGGCATTTTCTCTAGCAGGAAAATGAACAGTTTGGTCTTAGAAAGATTTTTGATATAAATATTTCAAAAATAAATGATAGCAAATACTTATTGAGGATGTAAATATTCCAATATTTATTTTAAATACTTCATATTTATTAAAGCATTTGATCCCCCAGATAACTCTGTAAGATGGGTATTTATACTCTCTCCATTTTACAGATGCTGAAGAGAAAGTGTAAAAAAATTGCTCCAAGTCGCAGAGGTGGCAAGTGTTTGATCTCAAGTTGCCTTAGCCTGCCCTTTACCTACCAAATGCTGCCAAGTTACCTGTAAAATTCACTTGACCAGACACATCGAGCAATCAGATTAATTGAGATTTGATTTTAAGATGGGCAGCATTACAAAGAATTTATAGACAGGTAGTGAGATACCTAGAAAGACAGACGGATGGTAAGAATGAGCTGATTAAGAAGACACCTCCATGTGAAGTAGCTATCAGTTGGTATACCAAAACCAAATCACAGAAAGATTAAAGAACTTGGAGGTTATCAAATCAAGCCTGGAACAGAATTTTCTAGGTCATATGCAGCCAACAATGTTTCCTACTAGACTGAGAAGAAGCTACATTTTCTTTTAAGCACTTTGCTAAGTAAAATTACAAAGATGGTAGAAAGAAGAATGCAAGGTTAATCAATAATTAAGTTAGAAAATGAAGTTTTGCTTAAGATATTAGATAAAAGCATTCAAGCAATTAATTGAAATGCATATAATGCTGCTGCTATAGAAATTTAGGTAACAGGCAGATTAAGTAAAAATTGATTTTTCTTGCAAGACACTAACACCCAGAATATCAAGGGGTGGACAAAAAAGAAATAGTACTAAACAAATTTTTTTGAACCCAGGTGATCAAAATGTTATACAGTTTTCCAAATTCAAACACTATGAAGCTGTCCTTAGATAATGGCCCTACCATTTTCCCATTACTTTGCAACTTTCATATTGCTCTACATCTTCAAAGTTTTTCTATTAGAGATAGCGGATATCACTAGTAGCTTTAAAATAAGTGATTCTTGACCCCCATCCGGATATTAAGTGTTTTGCATGTTCAGACTCATGTTAGGTTTAATTTAAAGAGCTAGTGGTTAGGCACTCCATAGAATAAGTGTGAAACAATAGTCATTTACGTGAATTAAATGTTTGACATTAGAAGTGTTTTGAGCCTAGAAACAGACACATAAATGATCGTAGTTAATGGAAATACTGCCATGCTTAAGATCATTCAGCACTTCTCCAGAATGCAAAGTATATTTAGAATTAGATGCAGATTTACATGTGAATAAAAGATTTTCTCCAGCCTTACTCTCCAACATCCAGAGTAACAACAGAACAGCAATGAGAAAGAGAAAGTGACATGAAAATAATTTGAAGGCAAAAAGCAAGAATGAGAAATGTTCATGCTCAGGTAAATTCTGAGAACAAGGTAGTGCTATAAAGAGGGGAAAGAATAGAAAGAAGTATTAATTAATAGTCACTAAAAATTAAAAAGCTGTCCCACTTGAAAGTATTAACTGGGTTATTAAGAGAAAAGAGGAAAAATTACTGTGGACTGTGCGGTGTGGATCTGGGACAAAAGGTAGTATAGGAAAGCATAATTTATGGAATAGAAAGCTATATGGAGTTTTAAAAATAAGCAGTAATTTTGACCACCAAAATAGAGATGATTATACTCTTAAGAGGAAAATGTTGAGTTGTAGCCATAGTGGGGTTCTGTTACAGCAAAAGTACAAGACAATGGAATATGCAGCTATTAAAAATTAGAAGAGACAAGGCCAATTTTCTGTAGTACTGGAAGGTTTTGGTATTCACTAAAATTAAAGATTTAAACAAAAGGAAAGTCATCAAATGTCTTTTACCCTTAGAATGCACCAGTATGGATACAGTTCTGGAAATGTACTGTACAGGCATGAGTTCAAGTCCTCTGATGGGCCAGATGGATTTTTATCTCCTCATCCAGGAGCAGGAGGGCCAGCACATTTCTTGCTTTTAATGATCTGAGGCTTCCAATGTTTTCCTTTTGTCTTTCTCTAGCATCTCTGGCTTGTTCTTGAGCCTATTTACTCTTGTTTCATCTTCCTGTTATTTATATATATTCATAGCAAACATTCTTCTGCATTCATTTTAGGAACAAAAGCTTATGATGGTATATAAAATTCTTATCTTTACCTTCCTTCTCTCTATATTGAAAAATAATTCCTTTACCTTTTATTCTTAGAAATACTATTTCACTACTCTAGTATTCAGAACATACCTCAATTTCTCCAGGTTAAGTTTCTGAAGTTCAGCAAACTACATGGAATTCCAATAATTCAAAGTAGAATAACCATATGGTTTCACAACACACTGTTATTGTTTTTTGTTTATCTCTTTTGAAAAACTTTAAACTGTGGATTGCTTCATCTTTTGGTAAGCTAAACTCACAGATATTATTGTTTAATATGTACACTTGATCAACTTTTCCCATATTGCATTTCTATTGAAAATTTATTTTGCTAAGGTTATCAAGCTAGTTCTCCAATTTGTTAGTCAATTATATTTTTGGTTTTGACAAGTAAGAAAGCTTTTATTGAATTTTCTTATTACACATGCATTTATATTATTTAAAAATACATATTCATAGAAAAAAGAAAACATAGAAAACCGTAAGAGTCACTCAAAATATCTCAACTTGCAGATAACCATTGTTAACATTCTGCTATGCATCATCATTTAGAATCATAGAGCCAATTCTCAAAGAGTAATAGACACAACGCTTCACCTACTGTTGTATAAAAACTGGCCCATGAATTAACATAGAAAGAAAATGCTGGTTCATGATAACTATTGCTGTATGTGTGTCTCCATCAACCACTGGATACTACCTATTCTTCTGGGGATATGGGATGAAATATTCTCTCTCAGGAAGACACCTGGATAGCAGGGCAGAAAAGCCATTTTACATTCAGCCTTTTTGACAAAGAAGTAAGCACTTGAAAAATTATTGACTTTTTCTGTTTTATTTTCTAGTATAGCATTCAATTGATTTGAACTGTTTCTTTTTAAAATATATTTTGCATAGTGTGTCATGGTGTAAAACACACAACCATTATTTCAACAAATATTCATTGTCTAACTTTCCTTTTGGCAACTGATGCTGTGGATATAGTCGATGAAATTTTAACTTTAAATAAAAGCTCTGTCATATCTTAAGAACTCTAAAGCTATACAATTTTAAAATTCTCAAATTTCAGGGGAAAGCTTGCATGGAGATTGGATTATTTACTTCTCACCCAAACCAGCTCTTCTCTCTCAATTCCCTGTGTCCATGGTTACCAGCATCATTCACTTGCTTATCTAAGCTAAAGAGGCCTTGGATCTTTTCTCTCCCTTCATCCCAACCATTATAAAGTATACAGTTCAGTGGCATTAATTATATTCAGAACATTGTACAACCATCACCACTACTTTTTCCAAAACTTTATTCATCATCCCAAACAGAAACTACCGCACCCATTAAGCAAGAACTCCCATTTCCTCCCTCTCCTTTGCTACTGATCATCTCTAATCTACTTTAGGTCTCTATGAATTTCCCTATTCTAGGAACTTCACGCATGTGGAATCATACAATATGTGTCCTATTGTGTCTGGTTTATTTCACTGAGCATAATGTTTTCAAGGTTCATTCATGTTGTAGAACTTCACTCATGCATCAGAACGTCATTTCTCAAATATTCTATTGTATGTAGATACCACATTTTGTTTATTCATTCATCTGTTGATGGACATTTAGTTTCTGTCCACCATTTGGCTACTGTGAATAATGCTGCAATCAACACTGGAGAACAAGTATCTGTTTTCGTCCCTCCTTTCAGTTCCTTTGGGTATATACCTCGGAGTGGAATTATTGGTCAGTATGGTAATTTCATATTTTTTTGAGAAACTGTAAAATTGTTTTAAAACATATTTGCAACCATACTTCAATTTTATATCACAATTTAATAGTTAAATACCAACAGTAATCTTTTAATAAAAGTACCTAACTCTTATGGATCATTTCCTGTATGCCAGCATCTCATCTAATTTTTCTCAATGATTCTGTGCAGTAATTACCATCATTAGCCACATTCTACCAAGAAGAAAACTGGGACTAACAAAAATCAAGCCATTTGTCCCATCTGGTGGTAGACGGGATTGGCAGGTAATTCTGTCTGTATAAAATACCTAAAGAAGATTTAACTGTTGTCATTTTACAGGTAGAATCAGGGCCACAATGGCTAGAACAATTTGCTTTGAGGTAACAAGCTGAGTAAGTAACTGCAGGGTCACTAGAACTGCAGAGTTACACTAGAACTCACTTCTTAATGACTTGCCCAGCTCTTCCATTGCACCAGGATGCCTGCCTCACTCATATTATATATATATACATATATGTAAAAGATAATATTGTGATCATTGTATAGCTACACATTCATATTTACTCTTAAACTGAAGTCCATTTGTCTCATAAGTAAAAAGAGAGAAAAAACTGGAGACCAAGATTATTACAATTATAATAAACCTGAAGTATTTATGGAATAATGCATTTGTACTAAGCATCACACCAAATGTTTTACACACATTATCTTAACTTCACAATAAATCTATGAGCTAAGTGTTATTATCACTTCCTCTTTCTGTATGAGGTATAAAGTAGATATCAGAAAAACCAATGAACTTGGAAAAGTGTACACAACCACTAAGTTGTAACGCAAGGCTTCAACTCTCAGTGCACCCAAAGTCAAAGCCCATGATGTTAACTCTTCTTATTCTGTAAGAGTTATCTATCATAAGGAAGAAAATCAGATGCAAAGAGGATTTGTATAACTTTTACTCACACTTAAAACCATAAGAAACCCTAACTCAGAGAATCATGAATGCTTATGATTTTATTATTTAAAATTTTTATGTCTTAATGTTCTATTCTTTTTGTTACAAGTGTTAAATTCATAAAATGTTGGTTGATCCTAGATTCCTTCTAGGAAAGGCAAAATGGGAGAAATTCCTCACCACTGAGCAATGCCAATGACTTGAATGAAGTGACTAAAATAAATTAACACGAGTGGTGTTCACAATGAGATTGTTAGAAGTGCTACATATTTTTTAACAATGATTCTTTTGCATCATGTTAGCTATGGAGTCTCAGCTGGCAGCTATCAGCTGTCTCTAGCTGTAAATGACAGCACAAGTGAGCAGGGCTCACCTACACTTGCTCTGCTCCCACTGATCCCTCCATCCCCATCTCGCAGCGGTGGGGAAGCACCTGCCCCTTCCAGGAAAGAGAACACCTTTCTGAACACTGCCTGCCCCAGCTCTCACAGAGAGGCAGTGGGTTCAGTGTCATAATGCGGTCTTCACTCCACATCCCGGATATCCAATCCTGACTACACCCCTTACTAACAAGGGAACCTTGGACACGTTGCTTAACTTCTCTGTGCCTCGGCTTTCTCATCTATAAAAAAGATGATGATAGAAGCATTTAATCCATAAGGCTGTTGAGAGGGTGGATCCTTCAAATAGTAGCCCATACTAGGAGCTCAGTAGCTGTCGGCTAATATCATTACTTTTATCATTAACACTATCTCCCAGGAAAGGTTAGCCATTCAGGAACTCCAGCCCCAGTAAGAAGGTGGACAAATATGCCTGTGGCTGACAAGTGGATTGGCCAAGTAGAGGTAGGAGGTCCCCGCGGTGTTACTGTTAACAGAAAGCTGAAGTTGATTCTGTAATTCCCATTTGGCTCTGAACCCACATTCTATTGAAAGGAAGTTTAAACTTGTTCTAGCAAATCAAACTTACTGGGCTTTTAACCACATGACTCACCCCAATGTGAGTGCTAATTCTGAAAAACTCCACCCTCACTTCCCCATGAACACATGTTATCACTCTAGAGTCACTGAAAACAGACAAAGGGAAATGAAGCATGAAGCTCATTCTAGGTCACTGGCAAACGTATGTGAAAAAGTGCTGTCTTCTGAAGAGAAGTGATTTATGTTGGAAAAGGTTAATGGCATTCTCTTTGACATAGGCAGGCTTTTCAGTAATACTGAGTTCTCTTAAAATTTAAAAATTAGGCTGGGCAAGGTGACTCATGCATGTAATCCCAGCACTTTGGGAGGCTAAGGCAGGCGGATCACTTGAGGTCAGGAGTTCGAGACCAGCCTGACTAACACGGTGAAACCCTGTCTCTACCAAAAATACAAAAATTAGCCTGGCATTGTGGCAGGCGCCTGTAATCTCAGATAGTTGGGAGGCTGAGGCAGGAGAATCGCTTGAACCAGGGAGGTGGAAGTTGCAGAAGTTGCACTCTAGCCTGGGCAACAAGAGTCAAACTGTGTCTCAAAATAAATAAATTAATTAAAAAATACAAAACTTAGCCGGGTGTAGTGGAGTGCACTTCTGGTCCCAGATACTCAGGAGGCTGAGGCAGGAGAATCACTTGAACTCGGGAAGCAGAAGCTGTAGTGAGCTGAAAGCACACCACTGCACTCCAGCCTGAGTGACAGAGTGAGACTCCATCTCAAAAAAAAGAAAGAAAGAAAGAAAGAAATTAAAACTTCCCTTTAAGGATTTTTTTTCACTCCATGTTGAACTGATTACTGAGGACATTGACTAAACTTTGAAGCAGAGCAGTTCATTAATAAATTTGATGTGATACAGTTTTACATGTTTAGAAGAATTCCACAGAGTGGACGAGCGTTGAACCTGGCATCAATTCTCTCCTTTAGCAAAACTTGGAAAAATATTGATATTAAAACTCTGTTACTATTGGAAGAGATTTCTGTCTCTATTTGACACGAATAAAGAAATGTATATTACATGAGTATTTCCCTTCCTCAATTCCTTACAATGTGTACACACTAGTTCTCTTTGGGAAGAAACAAGCCAAGCACAAGTTTCAAAAAATTCTTACTGATAATGCACACAGGAAGGGGAACATCACACACCGGGGCCTATTGTGGGATGGGGGTAGGGGGGAGGGATAGCATTAGGAGATATACCTAATGTAAATGATGAGTTAATGGGTGCAGCACACCAACATGGCACATGTATACATATGTAACAAACCTGCACATTGTACACATGTACCCTAAAAGTATAATAATAAAAAAAAAGAATTAAGAGCCAACCTGGTAAATTAAAGTTCTCCATTGCAGATCTATTCTATTGGGTAATAAAATGTGCTTTCCTTGGGCCAAAATCAGCAATAGAGTGTTACATTAGTTTCCTGTTGCTCCTGTAACAAATCACCACAAATGTAGCAGCTTAAAACTACATAAATTTATTATCTTACAGTTCTAGTATCTCATATTTAAGGTTTTAGAGAAAGTAGAACCTTGAATAGTAGTCCATACTAGGAACTCAGTAGTTGTTGGCTAATATTATTACTATTGTCATTAACATTAACACTTACTATCTCACAAAAATGGTTAGCCATTCAGGAACTCCAGCCCGGGGAAGAAGCTGAACAAATATGCCCATGTCTGACAAAAGGACTGGCAAAGTGGAGGTAAATGAGTCCAAAATGGGTCTCACTGATCAATAGTCAAGGCAGGGCTGTGTTCTTTCTGGTGGCTCCAGGGAAGCTGGGTCTACCTGCTTTTTCCTGCGTCTAGAGGTTGCCTGCATTCTTTGGCTGGTGGCCCCTCCTCCATCTTTGCCCGAAATGATGGGTTGAACCTTTCACGTATCACATCCCTCTAAGCTCCTCTTCTGCCTCCCTTCTCCAATTTTAAAGACCTTTGTGATTACATTGGGTCCACCTGGATAATGCAGGCTCATTTCCCTAGTTTCAAGCCAGCAGTCTGGCAAATAAATTCAATATGCAAATTAATACCCCCTTTGTCAGATAACTGAACATATTTATAGGTTTCTGGAATTAGCCTGTGGACACATTTTGGCAATGACGGTTCTACCTATCACAGGTAGAAAATAAAAAACAAGAAAAATAAAGTAAAAAGAGAGCGTACAAGGGAAAGCCAAATGCCCTAGGATGACACTTTCAAACATCACATCCACCTGTCTTAATCTAGGTTGTTGAAGTGAACAAACAGCTGAGGGCATGGTATATTTAAGCTTCTGTGAGGGAAGGACAGGCCTCCCTCAGCCCAGGACTGAAATCCACTATACCCGAAGGCTATAATAACAGATCAAATGCTCAGATTTTACTCTGAAGGGCTGTTCATAGTGTAAATGTTGCCCAAGAGCCATTAAATACATTTGCCCCCACTTTTTGCTTAAATGGAAATTCCACCAAGTGAATAAATGCATAGCAAAACTAGGTGCATTCTTGCATTGTGGACAGTCAACACACCTAAAGAGTGTGACTCAAAACTAATTGAAATTAAAAGCAAAATTCTCCAATTGATGTGTTTCTGGTGTCCCCTCATAGACATGAATTCCCTCCTTTGCCTCTCCCTTATGTTTCTGCCTAAAGCAGCAGGCAATGAAGGCTAAACCTCTGAAAGTGAGCAGCTGAAAAATTGGGATATATTGCTGGCGTACTTGCTACTTGTGAAATATCTCCTGTGCCAATAATGAAATCCATCATGTGACCAGCTGTCTTTGCAAACCAAAGAGGTAGAGCAAGTTAAATTTCTATTTCAACTGATGCTTTTTATAAAGAAACCACAGCAGCTCTCATTGTTTATTTAAAATTAGTGCAAATGAAAGCTTTTAATTGTCTCTGTGATGTGGCTTCCTTCCTGCTTAAGATGAGCTCATGGTGCCTCCTCCATGATCCTCTCCCCTCCCCAGCCTGGTCTGCTGTCTCAGCCGTATGCGCAACTCATTCTCATCTCCATGGTGTCACTCATGTTATCTGGCCTGAAATTGTGCCTTTTCTCTAAGCCATTTCAATAGAATAAATTGGAATACTATTTTCTATATGAAGCTTTGGTCAAATACTACAACTCAGATTAATATAAAACACTCCAAAATCCTATAGTATTTAATGCCACGGAGATTGCTACCTAATTTGTTTATGTTTTCTTTTTAATCTTCTAAGATGTTCTAGGCTTTATTTGACTGCATCCCACATCTTGTTTCGTAATTTTCTTAGGATTTAAGGCAGAACCTAATGTTCAAACTCACTGGTAATCACGGAAACACAAATTACAACAGTAAGAAATGATCAAATAACGTGAGATTCATCGAAATAGCAGAAATAGGAAAGTCAATATTACCAACTGTGACTAAAGATAGGAGGAATTAAGTACTCTTACGTCCTTGTAAAGTTGTGCAGCCATTCTGGATCAGATTGGAAGGACTTGGGAAAATAAGTTTTTTTTGTTTTGTTTTGTTTTGGTTTTTTTTGCCTTAAGACACAATACACTCTCTCCTGAATATCCCAGAGATATTCTCACAACATCCATCAGCAGACACAAATGGGAATGTTTTCCATGGTCTCCTATGTGGGAATGGGGAGTTGGCGACCACCCCAGGGTCCATCAGGGGAGAGGAATTGTGAAATATACTGGAAACACACTGCAGAATAGTGTGCGGCAGAGAGAGACAACACGGGGAGATCTTACACACATAACATTAAAAGAAGAAAGAAAATACAAAATATTTTCTACCACAGTACTACTTTTGTAAATTTAAGACATATACACATAAAACATTACATATTGGTACATTTTAAGACATAATTAACTCAATCTGAGGTCCAAACTAAAGCAGCTAATGACAGACAGATGTGGACATACAGAATCTAGCAATGTCATGTGAAAGTCATAGGCAGTTTTCTGTCTCGTCTCTTAAAAGGCATACTTTTCTTTCTTTCTTTCTTTTTTTTTTTTTTTGAGACAGAGTGCCCAGGCCTGAGTGCAGTGGCATGATCTCAGCTCACTGCAACCTCTGCCTCCTGGGTTCAAGCAATTCTGCCACAGGTAATTCTTCTGCTGCAGCCTCTCAAGTAGCTGGGACTATAGGTGTGCATCACCACATCACTTGGCTAATTTTTTGCATTTTTAGTAGAGACAAGGTTTCACCATGTTGGCCAGGCTGGCCTCGAACTCCTGACCTCAAGCAATCCACCCGCCTCAGCCTCCCAAAGTTCTGGGATTACAGCTGTGAGCCCCTGCACCCGGCCCTTAAGTGGGTTTACTTTTGACTAAAGATAACATTACTTATCCTTTAATTAAATCCAAAAGTGAGCAATGAAACAGTGAGCGGAGTTGTTAAAAAGATTTTCAGGTGTTCTGTTGAACCTGAATGCATTTCCATTTGAGCACTTGCATTTATCTCTGAAAACATAGCCACCAGGGAGCTTTAGAACATCTGCTATCAAAACCATCAAAACTGAAAGCCTTTCTATTCCATCTCCTACAATTATATTGAAATGGATTGTTGACCATTATTTTCTATCTTCAACACATTTATTTTCATCAGCGATTTCCCACCAGCACAGCAGTATGACATTTAATGGAATAGCTATTGTGAAATAATTATGTTTACCATTATAATTCTAGGTCTGCACTGATTTTAATCAAACTATTCCAAATAGCTTTTTGATCATAGTTATTATATACAATTTAGAATAATCTGATCAGGTTGGAATAGCTTCTCCTAATTAAACAAGTGTGTACATAAAAGGTGTATATGAATGGCTGTTTACATTTTAAGGAATAAAAGAAAATCAGACTTACGAATGTCTTATTAAAATGAACAATAATTTGGATTGTGTTAAATCAGTTCTCTATAACATGTGTGCATTTAAGTATGTATATATATTATAGAAGTGTGTATATGTATCATAGAAGACTAAATATATGGTAAAGATTTCTATAGAGCATAATATGTAAAGTAAGAGACTTATATAGAAATGGAAATTCAGAAGGTAAAATTTCCCAAGGAAAAATATTCATTCTAATATATCAATCATGATTTACTAAGTTGCAAATCTTTTTAAAACAGTCCCAACATTTTAGATCAATTGTTAACCGACAATTGGCTTACACGAGGTGGATTAATTAGTTACTAGCTTCATTTGTGCTTTCCAAAAGCATGTTTTAGCTTTTATTTGTCATACAACAGAGTTAAGCATGGGCTACCTTGTTTAGAATTCCCTCGTTGCTGCATGTGGAGGTTAATACTCATGTCATGAGCACCAAAAGTCTGGTCAGTGTGCATGGGGAATGGACTATTAACATTGTTTCTTCCCTGCTGTTTCTTCTAGGAAAACTGACACGCTTCACTTTTCTTGATCTCTTTCTACAAAACACACAAATTAAGCAAATATCTGAACACACCAACAAACAAAAGCAATAAACAAACACTTCATTTTGTCATCTTTATTTTTATGTAGTGTTTATTACATTAAAACACATATGTTATATGTATGTCTTGAACAAGGCACTGGGCTAGACACTGAGTATTGAACAGACAAATAAGTTATAGTCCCTGCCTGTAAGAAGACTAAAATCTCTTCAGAAAAGTGCAGGTGTCATGCATTCTAATGAAGGACATGGTAGGAAAAAAGCCTGTGAGAGAGAAGTGTGTTCAGTCAGGCTCTAGGTTATTTCAGTCCCGTCTTTCATGGCTCCTTATTCTTCCCATTGCTTAGGAAAAAAAATCCCTAAGCAGTGTTGCTTGACCAGACCTGTGTGCTTGTCCCCAATATGCTCAAGAGAATGATACAGGTACTTTTCTGCCCACCTTGAGATAATCAATTGTCCTGAATGGAAAATCAGTGCTATGATTGGCAGCCCCATACAGGCAAGCATGTATGTTATACCTCCACGGGAATCAGTAATGAAAGTAATGATGGGCATCAAATATTATGTAGCCTGTCTTAGCATTTGTGCCTTTGCACACAATAGAGTTAATATGAATCATTTTGGTGTAGAAATTGTGAGAACAAGGTCACTGTGTAAACTGACAAAGAGCTTTCCTCTCAAGTGACAAGTTGGACTAATTGCCTGGGGCCCCATGCTGAAACTCAACAATATAATGACCAGCGTGTTCCTTATAGTGACTGATATGGCATCTGAGATGGAGGAATTCAAAATTGAGTATTTGTTCGTTATCATTTTACAAAGTAGCTTAAATTAAGGATTTTTTAATTAAACAACAAAAATCTCTGTTGATACAAATGTTTCCTGGTCCCTTCTAGATTCTTAAACCAAACTTTTTCAATGTAGCCTCGGGCCAAATTTCTTTGAACTAAAAATCAGCCAGGTTCAGTGGCTCATGCCTATAATCCCAGCAATCTGGGAGGCCGAAGTAGAGGGATTGCTTGAGTCTAGGAGTTCAAGACCAGTCTGGGTAACATAGGGAGACCCCGTGTCCACACACACACACACACACACACACACACACACACACACACACAAATCCGCGTGGTGGTGTGCACCAATAATACTAGTTACTTGGAAGGCGGAGGCAAGAAGATGACTTAAACCCACGACTTCAAGGCTATAGTAAGCTATGATCGCACCATCGCACTCCAGCCTGGGTGACAGAGCAAGACCCTATCTCAAACAAACAAACAAAGAAAAAGACAGGATAAAAGTCACAGAAATGGTCTACACACTAGGAAAAAATGTGACAATTTTTTCATGAACACAGCATTGTCTCCTCTTCAAAGCCCTCCATGTGCCCCAGCTAACATCTGGTATCAAGTCAATTACGTGGAACAAAGTCTGCTTGCACCATGAGAAAGCTCAGCAGCATTTAGTTTCTACAAGCCATACGAACAAATAGCACATTTACAGGAATGCAATTACAAAAAAGCTTTATCTGAGTTAAACTTGGAATTCTCATTAAAATTTTTTTAATTGGTTGTTTTTATTACAAATAGTACAGAGTTAAAAATGATAAGATACTAGGACTTTGGTTAACAGCTCTGTAATGGAGTTTATAATATTTGGAAAACTGCCTGTAAACAGAATTTCTCTACATGTGGGATTTGAAGTGCAATTGCAATGAAATATTGTTTGTTTTTGGGACGGAGTCTCGCTCTATTGCTCAGGCTGGAGTGCAGTGGCACCACCTCAGCTTACTGCAACCTCTGCCTCCCAGATTCAAGTGATTCTCCTACCTCAGCCTCCCGAGTAGCTGGGACTACAAGCATGCATCACCACGCCCGGCTAATTTTTGTATTTTGAGTAGAGATAGGGTTTCGCCATGTTGGCCAGGATGCTCTCTAAATCCTGACCTCAAGTGATCTACTCACCTTGGCCTCCCAAAGTGTTGGGATTATAGACATGAGCCACCACGCCCGGCCCCCGTTAAATTTTAAATAAGAATTTTGCTCTAAATCTTTTTACTTAATTTACATATCTTGATGCATTTGCTTGGAGAGCTATATTCCCTAAAAGAAGTAAGATCTTCAGCAGTAATATATCATATTGTGACCCAGAACTCTTTAGCTTAATGATAATGATAGGATTTTAAAATTTAATGCTCCATTCTATGTCATTTTACACCTTAACAATAAAAATATTATTCATATCTAGAATGCAAACACTGATAGTTGATATTTATCGTGAACTTATTAGATGCCAAGTACTAGTTTACCAATTATATGTGTTTTAAATCTTGGAACCCTTACAGCAATCCTGTGAAGTAAGTGTTATCATCATAATTATTACCTGTGTTTTAGAGATGAGGAAACTGAGGCATGGAAAGTTTAGAGGGCATGTCCAAGATCACACGTTAAGTGGCAGAGCCACCGACTGGACTCAGGTAGTCTTATTACACATTTGAGCTCATGCCTCCCATAACAACAACAACAAATCAACAGAAAATAATCAGCTCCAACACACCCACAGCATTGCTTAGAAAATGGGCTCCCTGATTCAAATGGCTTTAATTGCAAAAGGCACTATAGCAACCACAATGATCCTCTTGGAAGAGTTAGTTCTTCTAGGATCAACATAGGCAGCAAGCCTAGCTGTAAAGCAGCCCACAGATTAAATAAATTCTATGGGAAAAAAAAAAAAAAAACCTGAGACTGATAAAGTTAGTCCATAGGTTTGAACCATGAAATAATCCAAAGTAAGTATGACTGATCTGAATATGGAAATGTACTGTGTTCAGTTAGCAAAATAAAAGTGGCATATTCTTCTCCATGTTTATCTTAACTAGCTCATATGTATTTGATGTATGCCAGATAAAAAGAAAACAATGATCCAGAGCTATGCCCTGCCTCTCTCCCATACTTGGCTAATGGACCAGTCATGGAGTTTTTATCAAGACGGGGAGAAAACCTGGGACATTAGATTACTTAGTCGAACAATATTTACGAACTTTGTGACAGTGATAAGAGCCTGAAACTAGGCCATACTGCTCTTTATATTTTAGAAACAGCAATGAGGTCACTTTTAAACTATGCTAAAGTTTGGCTACTAATGTGGTGTGGTTGCTTCATTATGCTCTTAAACAGCCACACCAGCCATTCCTTCAGCACTGTCTATTGGGCACTCTATAAAAATCCCAACTTTTGTTTTTCCAGTGATCACAATATATTCATGCTGAAGCAACCTCATTTCAGACATCTATCCCTCTTGGCAACCAAAACAAGATAACTGACAAGGATTAAAAGCCAAAATTTATGACTAAATAGTGTTTATTGACTTTGCACAACTAACTGCAAACTTATCTCATAGAGATATACTCCGGACAAGCAAATAAAATTACTTGAGCAAAAGTATCTCGAAACTACACATAGTTGTCCAGGCTGTAGATTATTCCATAATAAAATATATGCAACCAAGTTGTTTGGTCATATGCCTGATGTGTCCCAAATAAGTCTGGACTCTGGTAATTTTTAAACTTAGATGAGGAATCCCTACAAAGAAATGGACTTAAGCTTGGTGCAACCCAAGGAACTTGTTCTGGACTGTCAACACCTTGAATTTGTAGGTGAAACATACATCCTAGTTCTTGTTTACTTTCCAGGCATAATAATTAATAACTCCTCATTTTACTCTCAAAATGTCTTTGTTTGAATGAATTGTAGTCATGACACATCAGTACCCTTCAAGTCTGATAACACAAACCTTGTGAAATTTATAGATCTTGTACTATTGTGTTATTGTCTTTTAGGGCCATAAGTTAGATCACATCCTTCAAGTGGGTAAGGCTTTGTCTGAAAAGAATGATGGTCTCATTGCCAATCAATGAAAAGGATGAGCCTTGAGATAAAACATGGTGACACAGGAGGTGGGCCTCAGTCCAGGGTGATGGAGGAGAAAAGCGCTCAGCCTAGGACTGGGATTTCAGGTGGCCTCAGACACTGAAGTTCTGAGAAGTCCTTGTGAGGGAAAGTGGACCGTCCCAGCTGAAATCCCAGTCCTAGGCTGAGTACTTTTCTCCTCCATCGCCCTGGCCTGAGGCCCACCTCCTGTGTCACCATGTTTTATCTCGGGACTCATCCTTTTCATTGATTGGCAATGAGACCATCATTCTTTTCAGACAAAGCCTTACCCACTTGAAGGATGTGATCTAACTTATGGCCCTAAGACAATAACACAATAGTACAATTTCTATGACAGTCCAGAACAAGTTGCCTGGGAAACATGGAAAACAGTGCAGAGCTGGATCCTGCCATCCAAGGCCAGAGTGGCAACACAGGAGTGGCCCACAGGGAGAGGCAGTGTGGTGAGGTGTCAGTCCATCCAATGCCTCAGCCACCGAGGAGGCCCTCAGTGTCCTGAACAGGCTCATCCTTTTCATTGATTGGCAATGAGACCATCATTCTTTTCAGACAAAGCCTTACCCACTTGAAGGATGTGATCTAACTTATGGCCCTAAGACAATAACACAATAGTACAATTTCTATGACAGTCCAGAACAAGTTGCCTGGGAAACATGGAAAACAGTGCAGAGCTGGATCCTGCCATCCAAGGCCAGAGTGGCAACACAGGAGTGGCCCACAGGGAGAGGCAGTGTGGTGAGGTGTCAGTCCATCCAATGCCTCAGCCACCGAGGAGGCCCTCAGTGTCCTGAACAGGACAGAGGAGAGGACACCAGGTACTTCCTCCTGAACAGAAGGAGCTGGGCAAATTAAAGGGTGCTCATTTCTAGCAATAAATGTGCCATTAAGTGAAGCAAAGTTATTGTGCAACATGGGAGTTGTTCACAAATTGTTAGCAGCTTACATAACTGATCACAACTGGTATTGTTTTCATACAGTAAAACCGTGTTTTAGTGTTTCAGTTCTTACTTTATAATTGCTTTGGGATCTATGATCAAATGTAAAAGCTATGAGTTTTCTGAGTACTGTGTACTTTTTATTTATCACTATGCACATTTTAAAGCAAAAGTGGTTTGTATTGCCTAATATGTAAAATTCCCTTTGATGGTCTTGCTACAAGTTCCATGTAAACAATGTATTCCAACATCCCTGTGGTCTTTTTTGAAGGCAGAGATGGTTGCCCTTGTCAAGATAGTATAATCCCTGTGATCAACAGATCTGAGTGTGAATCTTGGGTCTTCCACATTGGAGCTCGGAAGAGTTTGAAAGCTCATAACTCATCTGAGTCTCAGTTTTCTCATCTATGAAATAGAAAATACCACTAGCCAGGCGTGGTAGCACGTGCCTGTAATCCCAGTTAATCGGGAGGCTGAGGCACAAAAATCACTCGAACCCAGGAGGCAGAGGTTACAGTGAGGCAAAATCATGCTACTGCACTCCAGCCTGGGTGGTAGAGTGAGACCCTATCTCAAGAAAGAAAAAAAAAATAGAGAAATGGAAAATAACATATATCTTGCAGGATTAGTATAATGATTAATGATAAAATATGTAAAATGCTTAGCAAAAGAGATTAGCTAATGATAATATTATTATTAATCCAAAGAATGTGTCCCCATTCATCGCCTCATATGTCCTATGAGCAATGCTCCACGGATGACTGCTGTGGAGGGGGGGATGGCATGGAAGAGATAATGCTAGTTAAGGATGGAAGGAGAGGGACTTAGAATAGGCTCTTAATTCCTAGAATCAGAGGGCACTGGGCAGAGGAGTGAGAAAATCAAAGAGTAGTCAGTTATGTGAAGAAACGAGGAAAGACCAAGATGTTTCTATCCCAAGAAGCTTTCAGCAGCTTTCAGCAGCTTGATGCTGCAGGCTGGAGAGCTATGGGAACAAATTCACCCACTCAACCCCTCCCCTGCCAGCCTGCTACAAACCAAGCCAGGGCAGGAACGGCATGCCTTCCAGGGGTGCCTGATATACCAGATATTTTCATTGTCATGTAATTGTTTTGCATGAAACACAGTGGATTGAAAATATCACATAAATGTCATTACGTACAAGCCTTCGTGTAACATCAAGTTTATGGTGGCAGCTTTAGGTCAAACTCTTCAAGACCCCCCCCCCCCCTTACAGCAGTAAGTCATCCGTGTTTGGTGCTTTGGTGGAAAATGGTGACAGAGTAGTAAGATTTGGAGAATCTTATTAGTTGTGTGGCCTTGGGCAAGCCCTCCATCTGTGCTCATTTATAATGGGGATAATAATGGGGTCTTTGAAAAGTTGTTCAAAAAAGTTGTAAAAGTTAAAACTTGTACTAGACATAAATAAAATGACTACCCAATACAGTATCTGGTATATAGCAGATACTCAATAATGTTAACTAATTTTGCTATTATATTTAACCAAAACAGACTCAGTGCTTTCTGTGTACTAGGCACAATGTTTGATGTTGGATCATTTCAGATGCAAAAGAAATGTGTGCCTAAGCCACCCAGGGATTTTCATATTTTTCTCCCCAACTTTTACTTCAAAAAGAAACAAAGTGTATCATTCCATTATTTTAGAGATAAAAGGCTGAAAACTACCTGTAAAAGGTAACAGACTGCTATGAAGGAAGTCCAGTGTGCATGTGATTTATCATTACCTATGCTGATAAGGGGAGTGAGAAAATAGGAAAATCCAAGGTATTTAAAGAAAGACAGCTGATACCTCTAAATAGGGATAAAGTAGCAGAACCTGAACTTAATAAAACCTCAAGATGAATATGAAAGAGGTCACAATTTTTTGAGGAGACTCCCTGACCCTTTAGCAGAAACTCTGCCCCCAGTACTCAATCTATAAACTGGGTTATGAGAAAATTCAAGAATAGAAACTGACAACATGCCTTGTTGTATTGTCGTATTACTTCGGCAAAAAGTGATAGAAACTAAACTCAAACCCAAATTAACCTAAGCATACTAAGAATGTATTGTGTTACCAAATCCAAGGATGAATTAAATGACCAAAAAAAGAAAAGTGGGGTTATAGGAAGAGCAGACAGCTGCATCCTCACAACAGAAACCAGAGGCATTAATGCCACCAAAATTTTCTTTCCCATTCTTAACTCACCACCAACATTTGACAGTAAACATGGCTACCAATAGTTTTTCAGAAAATATATTGTAGGGCTTCCTCTACTAGAAATAGACCTACTCTCTTTATCAGCACTAGTTTCAGAAATCCCAGGGGAGGATTCTAGTTGGCTTGGTTTGGACAGGGAGTCTATTCCTGGCCCAATCAACTTTGGTCACCCAGGAAAATGGACGTGTTGAATGAAGGCAGTGACTGTTTCAGAGACACGAAACAGAACTGGTTGTACACCCAGTAGATGTTCAGTGGAGCCATGAGTTCAAGAGCCATTTCTATCTGGGCCTTTTCTATGAGGGTCAGTTACTGCTACGTTAAACAAGACAGTTTTCTCTTTCATGTAGCTTTCTAGTGATACTTATCAGTACAAAAACAAGAAACAGTTTATGAACGAATGCAGCAATTTAGAAGAGTTTTTAAAACAGATTTCAAGACGAGAAAATGCATTTGTGGAAAATGTACTTACTTTTTCTCAAAGAATAACAGCATTTTGCTGGACAAAAGGAACCTGAAAATCATGAGGAGTTATACTATTGTAATTTCAGAAGTTTCTCTAGCTAGATAACTGCTAGGGTTATTTCTCCAATACATAATTGTGATGCATTTGGAAAACATATTAAGCTCAATTACATAGGATTTTTCTTTAAGTATAGGTATGAGTTAACACTATTTAGTTATTTGGATGCTGAATCATAATGTACCGAAAGAAAAAAAGAGGCAGCTTTCTCTGACTTACTGCATAAATTTATGCATCTACCACTAGAGGGCACAAATAAGGCTGTTTTCTGGGAAAAGGTTTTGAAAATGACAAAATTCCATATTTTGGAACGGTGACTGAGTTAAGATATGTAGATATGCATGTTTTCTTTAAATCTGAGAAGAAAAATCAAAACATACTCATACTTCACCGTGTACCATTTTGTTCTCTTCCCTCTTTCTCTCAAAAATAAAGTACACATGCATGAGGGAAATAAGAAATATCAATGGTTCATAAGATTTTAGACACAAATAATAAAAATTAAATGGCTACCAAGAAATAGACTAGCACATAAAAATACTGCTACAGCAACATGGCAAAATGCCACAAATTAGCAAAAGTATTCATATTTGTCTACACCACACTTACAATCTTTGGAGTGATTTTCTCCTAAATCATCAAGCACAATACAGTTCACAAAACTGATCCCAAATCTTGCAAATATTAGATATATATTGCATCTTTTCTTAACAAATGTAGCACTGTGGTAAAAATAGGATATGATTTGGTTGCATTTTCACACAATACTGTGCTTGAGTCATGCTCGCAGAATACCTCCATCTGCAACAGCTGTTTTACTCCTTAAAAAAAAAAATGGAAAAGGAAAAAACCCAACTTCTCCAGAATAAGCAAACAGTCCCTAATCTTGTCACCCTGGATGTCTGACAAGTACTAATAACTATGACTAGGTTTTGATAACTTCCTTGATTTGTTTTCAGGGTTATTATTATTTTGCTGGAAAAGGGCCTTGTGAGAGCCAATGATTGTATTGGAAATAAAGCCAAAACAAAGTTCAAAGCTTGCTGAGATGCCTCTAAGGTAGAAAGGGTAGCAAGGTGAATGGCATGATGAGGAAAGTGAAAATGCTGTCGCAAATTGGATAAAAGTGATGAGTTGGTAGCTTCCATACCTTTCACACCTTGATGTTTCCCATCACTAATTCACAGTAGCATCAAGAATGTATCAAAATGTAGCTTGTCTTCACTTTATTAAAATTTCTCTAAAACACAAATTTTGAATGTTATAAACAAGGAGTTAATAGATGTTCATTCAATCACTCAGCTTAGTCCCTTCCAATGTTTCCTTTAAAAACAACATACGCTTTTATTCTCTTTTTAAAAAATGCTCTACTAAAATCTACACACCTTCTGCACCTTCTATAAACATTTTGCTCTAGTCCAATCCTGTTTCCTTTCCTGCTTCAGGTTTTGTCATTTTCCTCCTGATGCCAACTTGAGATTCCACCATGGTTTATCCCCATACATGGCTGAATCCACAGAAAATGGCAATTATGACACAGATACCCACTTATCCTCCCAGTGATGGTCATGCATGTAGCAATAAGAATCCTTTTTAAGAAACAGCACGTCTCAATCTGAGCCAGAGGGTAGAGTTTCCTCTACAAAATACTTTCAAATGCTTTGTCCTCTAGAATTTCTTGATTATTAATGGTTTTCACAAGTATGGGGGGTTAGGTGGGCCACAAACTGCTTCCAGGTGGCAAAATAACTATTAACCCTTCTACTCAGATTTAAAAAAAAATGTGTGTGTGTTTATGCATGCTATGTGCTTATGTAATATATTAAATGCAAATATGTATTAGTACATATAAAACTTCCTAATTAACACCAACAAAGCCTTCAAGAGTAAAACTGAGGGGTATGGTGAACATTTTGAAACTAATTATGACCCTCTACTAAAATATTGCCAATTCATTCTCCCTGAGGGGAAAAAAATACACACTTGTTTTTCGTCTTGTGCATTAATAGTCTAAGAAATTGACCTATTGAGTAGAAATCAAAGGAAGTTTATATCTGCCCAGTAATTTCTGGATTTGAGAATCAGTTATTCAAGCTTTAACCCATGTTTCTACTGACTTGATAGAGTCAAATTGACTTCAAAATTAATTTAACCCCGAAGACACTATGTTTCAGACCTCTATCTAAAATACATATATAAAGAAATACACAAATTAAAACCGTTGCTTCCTTTTGGTGGAGTGGATCTTCCAGAGCCTGGGGGATGTTTGTACCTCCTCTCTCTTGGCTGTCACACCTTGAGCATTTGAGTTTACAGATTCCATAGAATCACTTAGGTCCTCTAAGTTACCAATATTATTATACAGTTTCCTACAAAGTAGAAGTGGTCCAGATTATCATGAGAAATGCCCTCAAATTTTAAAGCCAAAATATGACACAGCACGCATATTATTTTACTTATTTTAGAGACAGGGTTTCTCTCTGTTGCCCCGGCTGGAATGCAGTGGTGCAATTATAGCTCACTATAGCCTTAACCTCCTGGGCTCCAGTGGTCCTCCCACCTCAGCCTACTGAGTAGCTGGAAATACAAGTGCACACCACTGTACCTGGCTAATATATATCTATGGCATGAGCTACTGTATCTGGCCCGCCATGCATAGTAAGATTAAAAAATTTTTAAAAATCCACACCAAGCATATGTTACAACCTAATCTCTGAACAGTTCTACTGCTTCCATCTTCTCCATGATTTTCCTTCAAAAACTTTTGATTAGATCAGGATTTTTACACTGAACTGCTTATCCAAAAGAAATAAATGGAAGTACATAAAAATGATTACAGTAAAATCAATGATTTACTTTATAAATAGCTATCATATATACATTTACATCAAATTTATATTAAATGTATTATAGTATATGATAGCTATTTATAAAGTAAATTATTGATTTAATATAAGTGTGTTATATATGATAGTTATATATAAATAAAAGAGAATAGAGTCCATATTTACACAAAACTTTGAAATAATTATAGTCCTTCTGTCATTCTCCTAGCTTATTTATGTAGTACATCTGAGTTGTAGAGAATTGGAAAAATCATGAATCATTCAAATAATTGTGAATGGTAATTGAACAGTTTTCCTTGCAATATTCTTGAATTGCATTGATCCCAGAGTCCAAGAGAAGACTGACAGGAGCTTGATGCCATGCAACACAAAGCTTAAGTCATCAAAAGTACATGTATTTCAAATAATTTTCATCTAAAAGAACATCACATAAACACAAATGCAACAGATTCTAAAACTATGATCTAAATCAGAAAAGGTAAATCATTTTAAAAATGAATACGTTTCTATTTATCTGCCCACTTATATATTTATTTTTAAGCAAAATGAATATATAAAGACTACCAGGTAATTCTTCCGTAATATTTGAAAAATAAATCCCTAAATAAACATCCCTGGATTTTGTTATGCTATCTGACTAATGTGATGGGTGATTTGGGTTGCCAACAGTTATTATTTTCTTTCTTCAATTTTAACAGAACCTCGATGTTGTTCAAAGTATTGTGGGTAGGCATATGAATCCTCCATTTGGAGGAGGTTGAGCCCTCCTTAGCACTTCTATGTGATTTCTAATTAAGTTATGACAATCATGGCAATTGGGTTTTTTTGGCAATGATTGATTTAGAAATCGGCATGAGACTCAATTCTAGCCAATGAACTATATAAGTTCTACTAGAAAAGGAGGGTGTTTTGGGCATTGTTGGGTGACGTCTGGATCTGCTAAAGCTGTCTTGCACCCATAGGGCTGAAGCCAACATACCCATGGTGGCAGAGTGGTAAGATGGAAAAAACAGAACCTAGATGAATGTCATTATGCTGCTGAATTAACCAACACTAGAATTTCCCTTCCTCCAGGCTTTTAATTTATATTTAAGAACATTTTAGCTGGGTTTTCTGGTTTCTCGTACTGACTTATGTTAAATCATATAATCCATGCCTATTTTAAATATGCACTTTCCTTCAGTGTACCAGTTACACCTGTTAATGATAGTCTTTATATTGCAAAATCACTGTAGTTGTTATGCTGCATAGCAATAGCAAAAGTGATATATATGCCTTTTCCCCAACAGCTATGTTAGGCCCCCAAACCACCTTAGGAAATATCAGTAGATTAATAAAATTAACCAGTGCATTGGTTATCTTTATGCATTTAGCACAGAAATCCTCCTACAGGGAGAGAGAGTATTTAGAGAAGTATATAAACATTATTTTATTTGAGTGCAAGAGATATGAAATCCATTTACTATGAAAGAAACAAACCAGACTACATCCTTGCAAAATCATTCCTATTTATTTTTCAATAGCATTCTACTTAAGCTCCAAAGATTGTGCATTAGGAGAAAACAGTGAGTATATCAGAGAAGAGCAGATCCAACCTATTAGCACTCTGATAAGCAAAGCAAATTACTGAGGACAATTACCCAGGAACTTTTATATTCTGCAAGCCTTGTTCTTGTGATTCATAAAACTCTTCCTGGTTGCTTGTACAAAGTCACTTCACAATGACTATCAGTGTCAGTTGGGGAAAAAAAGTTTTGTTCTATTTTACCCTTCTCAGTGTAACATGTAATTTACACGCAGTACATGTTACCTTAGATTGATGCTAGTGGCTCTTGGTAGGACCTTGAAGAAGTCACTAGCTGATGAAGGTCAGTGTTGATTTTGGTGGCTGACAAATTATTTTGTGGGATGAGCAACAAAGTCACATTCATTTTAAGGTAAGCATTAGTATAGCATGACAATGTCATTAGCTCATGGGTTTACAGAAATAAAAGTGGCCCCTTTTTATGTTTGACATGTGCAAGAGAACTTAAATACAGCAATATGTCATTACTTTCCTAATTCGTTCAACCAATACTTTTGAAGCTGCCTTTATAACAATATTACAGAGTAATAAATACCGTAGCTAGAAGACACTCTTTTCCATGGTCTTTGTAAGTGGGAAAATGGAAGCCCAATGAGATAAAGAAATTTACACTAGTACAGGTATTTAGTGTCAGCAACAGAACTCAATTCTGAATCTCTTAACATCTAGGCCACCACTCTTTCAACTACATCATGATACTTAGATAATATAAAAATCCTCCAAAAAACTGCCTGTGTTTAATTAAACCAAGAAAAAGCATGAGTTTCAAACGATAAAAATATACATTTTTTCCAACCAGCCCTGGTAATCAGACACATTCATGAAGACCACTAATGAGAACGAATTGTATGAAACACAGGGAAGACATCACATAAAATAACAGGGCCCATGAGGGAAAAGAATAAAGTCTGAAGTGCTGATAGAAACTTAGTGATCAATCCTTGGTTCCATTTTAGCTTCTGCCAGTGGCTGGCAGCCTATATTATGACATCAAAAGAGTTATCAGTGATGCTCATTGATGGAAGCTCTTTTAATAAATAAATAGCATCCACTAGTAGCCCCACAGAATATATTATGGTACAATTTAGTGGTTATAAAGTATTTTGTTGAATTATTTTAGGCCACCCTTGGAAAAATATTTATTGAAAATATTTATAGAAAGAACCTTACTTGTGTCTAGTCAAGACCCTTTGCTAGCAGATGGGGAAAGTGAGAATCAGACTGAAGTGACTGACCCAGGGAGCCTGGAAGCAATTGATAGGATTCAAATTCTGGTTTTCTGAACTCTTTGTCCAAATTGATTCTGTCCTGAATTTGACCAGGTAAGATTCATGGGCTTGTTACGAAGGCAGTCCAGGCCTTCTGAATATGCAGGTGTATGTGTTCATAGTGCAGGCCATTTATTCAGCATTTCCATATGCCTGACACTGGTGGAGAATGCAATGCACAGATGAATAAAGCATGCCTACTTTCCAAGAGCTTATGTGACACAAGGAAGGCAGACAAACATATTTCATTGTCATGTGTTAAATATTGTGACAGTGCAGAGATACAAAAGATTACTAAAAGGACAACTTTTAAAAGCCATCTCTCTTGTACATGTCAAAAATGTCATCAAAATGCCACTTTCTGGTACTACCTATTTAGACCTTTGAAATGCAAATATTTCAGCACAGAAGCCCAGAGTCCTTGGGGAGGAGGTGGATGGTCTGCCTGCTTCACTAAAAGGGGAGTGGTAGAAAAGGGGCTGAAAGGACTAAAAAAGCTGAACTTGAGTTAATTTACCTTCCTGTCAGTGATCTCAAGTTTGTCTCATAGGAAGGTTTTGCATGCCAAAAATGGTTCTTTTGTTTAATCTCAATAGGGAAAAACTGTGCAGGTTTTAGTTTATTCTGTATGCCAGGCCATGCATTTAGAGAACTTCTTATGCACACACACATAAGTAATAATTACTCTTCAAAATTTGGCAAATGTCCAAAATGTAGCAATTTCCCATACCTGGAAGGTATGTAATTTTTTAGCAAAATCTTTTTTTAATAAATCTGAATTAAAATGTTTTGCCAAGCATAGAGCCTCCAAGGCTATAAGAGATAATGTGTCAACGGTCCCTGCATCGAAAATGAAAGTTTCATCCTACATGAGAAGCTCATTTATCTTCTGTGCAGTTACTCTCTAAAATCTTATCTTATATTTAAATTCAATGTAACTTGGGGGGAAAAAAAGTCATTTTGAAACTCCAAACTAAGAAACTGATTGAGCACTCAGAATTATTTTTTGCAGAAATAATTATAAAATCACTTTAATTGTTGTATTGATTATATACAAGAATTTTTGAGCCTGATTTTTTAAAATGATACTTTCTTACTATATATTTTAATTGTCTTATAATTTGGTTCAATATTGCCCTTTTAAAAAATGAAAAAATCATCACATCATATAGAGTGAGGGATCAAGTTTGTGTTAGGAATAGAGTTTTAAGCCAAAGTTTCCTGAGGTTCAATTTACTCTGTATAAAATACATTCGATGGCCAGGCGCAGTGGCTCACACCTGTAATGCCAGCACTTTGGGAGGTCTAGCCAGGCAGATTGCCTGAGCTCAGTAGCTCGCGACCAGCCTGGGCAACAGGGTGAAACCCCGTCTCTACCAAAATACAAAAAATTAGCCATGCATGGCGGCATGCAACTGTAGTCCCAGCTACTCAGGAGCTTGAACCCAGGAGGTGGACGTTGCAGTGAGCCGAGATCGCACCACTGCACTCCAGCCTGGGCAACAGGGCGAGACTCAGTCTCAAAAAAATAATTAATTAATTTAATTTAATACATTCCATTATTTGAAAAAAATCCACACTCATTGGTTATCTGGACTGGATTCTAAATTGGGAGATAGATGGTGAGCCTCTTTGTGATCACTGACCAGCGCGTACCTGGAATATACAATGTGTGCTGCAGTGCCGCACATGTATACACACAAACACACTTTTATACATATTAGGATATGCATACATTTGTCAGGGAGACATAGAAAACTGCAACTTTTTATTAGTAATAGCCCACATTTATCTAGTACTTACTATGTGTTAAGCTATATGCTAAGTGCTTTACCTGCATGGGTCAAAACAGAAATATCTAAGGCAGCATGTCATTAATTAAAGTAATATGAATAATTAAAATAATATCATTATTTTAAAATAACTATAATTGCTTTTTATATTTATTAAAATAATTATAAATAAATGTTTGGAACACTCATTGATATAAAATGGCCTCTCTTATGGCGAATTCTAAGAAACACTAGGTTCTTTGACTGCAAACAGGTGTTACTTAAAAAAAGAAAGGTTAAGTAAGTTTAAGGAAGGATAAGATAAAATAAGTCAACAGGCTTCTGTACCATAGCACTTCTTAAAGCCTTTATTATACAACTACACACAGTACTGTGAGAGAGAGACAGAGACTGAAGACCCTGACATCACACTCATGCAAGGACACACGACATCTTAGAGCCCATCTCCGACCTGATATACACAGAGTACACCTTGGAAAACATTAATACAAAGACTCAAAGTGCAACCTCATGGAAGAGTCAGGTAGGTGGAAAATGCTCATAAAGGAGATTAGATGTGACATTTGTTTGAAAGGAGACTTTCCACTTGACTGATTGGTGGGGAGGGGAAGCTGAAGTTGGGGGGAGTAATAGGGACAAAGGCACAGAGCCCAGACAGGGCGACGAAGTCGAGGGACATCAGGCAGCAAGAGCAGCCCAGGGCAGAGCTCCGGAAGCCTTGTAAGGGGAGTTAACGAATTGGGTAATACAGGGAGCCCTACTTGGACATGATTGTTCCTTTAAACCATCTCTTCTTTCCTTTACTAGGGAGAATAGACAATCACAGGCCCCTGTTCTAAAGCCTCTACTTAGCTATGACAGCACAGTTTTTATTCAAGAGAAGCTTGTCAACAAATTCGAAGACAAAAATCATTATATATTTATATATATGTATTAGAACCATGTATAGGAACCAGGATCTTTAGGGCATGTCTTAGAATGTGAGTTGAGGGGAAAATGCTACCCCAGTTGAAGCGGAGTAAGACAGTGGAAAGAGCATTGATCAGGGAACTGAGAAATTTTTCTGGTCTCAGTTCCACCAGCTCCATGACTGCAGTCAAGTCCCTTAGCATCTTTGAATCTCGACCTCAGAGATTATCAGTAAAGGCAGAGATGTGGCTGGACGATCTAAAATCTATGAAGCCCTAAATGTCTACATTCTCTAGAGTGGTTTCTGTGTATTTGTGTTTTTAGGTTTTTTTTTTTTCTTAAATAACAGAAGTAAACATTGTGACATAGAGTGGGGATGATAATATCAACCTGACAGAGCTGATATAAGAGTTTAATATAAAAGACTAACAACATAAATGTAAATTGTTACATTATTTCTCTAAGGCATGGCCACTTTTGCAATGGGTTCTTCATGTGCCCACCATTCTCACTTACGTTATTCCAAGTCACACCTCTCACTCCATGCTTTGTGGTCGTTATTTGTCCTATGATTCCCGATTCTATTTGCCTCCTTTAAACATGACAAGCCAAGGAGTAAAAAGATAAGGAAGATAAGGACCAAAGGGTGAAGGCAGAGGTTTTTCTCATTTGAGCATCAGCCTGCTCATCTCATTCTCACACTCTTGCCTGGAATTCCTCAAAACATCTTTCTCTTGGTGTAGACCAGTGGTTCTCAAATGCAGGTGATTTTGCCTGCCAGGGAATATTTGGCAATCTGGAGACATTTTTGGTTGTCAGCTAAGGGTCTAGGAGGTCTACTGGTATGTTGTAGATAGAGATCTGGGTGCTGCCAATCACCTTGCAAAGCATAGGACAGCCCCTACAATTAATCATCTAGCCCCAAATATCAGCAGAGCTGAGGCTGAGAAACTGGCCCAACTGAAGTAGGGAGTTTAGCAAAGAAAAGTATGTGTTGGGAATGCAAAGAAAATGGATACACTAGCAGTAGATAATGGGGTTATGAAGATTACGCTTTTTTAAAGCACTTTTGCATTTTAACAGTTTTCAATGAACTTAGGTTACTTTTAATTTTTCCCCAGCTATCTGGTGGAGCAGAGGAAGAAATGCTATTGGAAAACTTCATTGTGTTTGAGGTTTTATTATAGTACAAAGCCAAGAGACAGGTCAGCAGGGGGCTAACTTATTTTAAGTTCTTTTATTCTTTTATACCATAATGAGGTATATGCCATGGAGAAATTGCTAAATCCTAATGGAAGTAGCAGCTGTGTGCCATGTTGATTATGTGATGCTGGGGGTATCCAGCGTACCCCAAGTAAGACCCAAAGTACCCAAAGTAAGTGATGCCTGTTTTTTCTCACCTATCCTGGTAGGCTTCCATCATCTTCTTACGCCTTATTTTAAAAGCCCCCTACTCCCAAAACGAGAGTACTTAACATCTATACTAATGTCAAATCGTATGCTGAGGATGAGATACCTTCAGTTCCTTTTTGTTTGTTTGTTTTTTGAGACAGAGTTTCACTCTTGTTGTCCAGCTGGAGTGCAATGGTGGGATCTTGGCTCAATGCAACCTCCTCCTCCTGGGTTCAAGTGATTGTCCTGCCTTAGCCTCCAGAGTAGCTGGGATTACAGGCACCTGCCACCATGCCCGGCTAATTTTTTGTGTGTTTTTAGTAGAGACGGGATTTCACCATGTGGGCAAGGCTGGTCTCGAACTGCTGAGCTCAGGTGATCCACCTCAGCCTCCCAACGTACTAGGATTACAGGCATGAGCCACCATACCCGACCTCCATTTTTACCTTCAAGTAAACAGTCCATGTAAAATAATGACTCACATTAGTAGATAATACTTACATAATATTTATATTTATGTAACTCTATAGCTTGTAATAACCTAGTATTTCATAAATGTTAGCTCAATTATTCCCCACAACAAGATTACAATGCATTATTAGCCCATTTTACTGCTGAGGAGATTTCCAGGAAGTTGATGTTCACAAGGCTCACAGGGTGTTCAAGCCCCTGACTGCCAAGTGGTGGCTTTTCATTCTACCCAATACGAAGCACGGATATTTATGGTATTTCATCACACCCCACACTCAGGAACACAAATACTGGTTTTCTATACCTGAAAGTGAAAATGGTGGTTTTCTTTATCAAGGCTAATTTTTTGCTACTGATGACAACCTCTCATCATGATTTCATTAGAAATTTAAGACTTGGTAAAGCTCCTAAACATCAAAGCAAAGGCTTCACTGGTCATGTTAGTTTGCTAGGGTTCCCATAACAAAGTACCACAGATTGGGTTGCTTAAAGAGCAGAAATTACTTTCTCACAAATGAGAAGTTAGAGTCCAAGATCAAGGTTGAGGTCTTCTGAAGCTTCCCTCCTTGGTTTGTAGACACCATTTTCTCCCTGGGTCTTCACATGGTCTTCCCTCTGTGTGTGTCTGTGTCATGATCTCTTCTCATAAGGATACAAGTCAGATTGGATTAAAGCCTACGCTGGTGACCTAATTTTGACTTAATACCTATCTCCGAATACAGTTGCATTTTGGAGTATAGGGAGTGAGGACTTCAACCTATGAATTTTAGGGGGACGCAATTCATCCCACAATACTGGTGTCAGGGAATTTGCTAGAGCTCAGATCTGGGATCCATAAGTAACTGAAACCACAATGCCCAAACAGAAAGATCTTTTTGGAGTTATGCCATGTTCCGCTTTACCTATAATTTTTACATGTTAAAAAATATATCTAAACACTGCATTTTATTCTTAGAGCTTACCTTTGTGCAGTGATGTGGAAGATGTATTGACATGTTAATGAACTAATGTTTCAAGTTCTGCTGAACATTTAATTTTAAAAGATGTGAGGGGGCCGTTTAAGAGGTCTGTTTTTGGCTGCTTGGGAAACCACTTTTTGACTTTCTATGTGACTTCATTCTCCCTCCTACACCGTGGCAGGCCCAGGTCCTTGCTAGCATCAGGCTGTGCACAGCTTGGGTGGAGCTGCTGGGAGCTGCAAGGCTGCTGCTCTCCTCCTTTCCAGGTGCATTAACCTGAATTCGCCTATAGAGTGAAGCGATTAACCGAATTCAAAATTATCTCAAATAGGACAGAGCTTTTGTAGACATACCTGACATTTTTATATTTCAAGGGAGGCTGGAGGAGAAAGAACATCATAGACAACAGAACTAACTGCCAAGATTAGCTGCTGCTCTGTTGTTCTGTTGAGAGAGAAAGAAAAAGAACTAGAATTTTTATATGTAGATGCCCCTGATACGCATACATATTTTTCTCTGAAATAAAGATGATGGCAATTGATCTAGAGAATAACAGCATGTATAGAAATAGAAAGAACTTGATTCTTGGCTCATGAAGTCTGGCTTATATCAGCAAATCTGGTATTTGCTTCTTGCACGCCCTTGAGCAAATTGCTCCCCTCTGAGATTTATTTTCCATATGCAATAGGATGGGCATCATCTCAGTGAAGCCTATTTATTTTACAGTTTTATATGGATCAAATGAGATACAGTACATGAAATGTAAGTAAACAATTACCATTTTGAGAATTTTGTTTATTTTATTTTTATTGAGGTAAAAAATGTATACAATTTACCCTATTTATCATTTTTAAATGTACAGTTCAGTAGTAGCAAGTGCATTATATTATTTTTCTTCTTCAGTTCTCCCTCCCTCCTTGCCTTCCCAGCCTCTGGTAACCACCATTCTACTCTCAGAGTTAGCAATGTATTTCTATTCTCTCTAGTTGGAAATCCATCTAATCTCAGAGAATGAGAGAGAAGGACGAATCACAAGTAATCACAGATGCAATGAAAATAATATTTAATAACCTCTTACTACACCTGGGCAGTATATTAAGCAATTTATAAAGGTGGTCTTATCTAATTCTCACAAAATCCTTTGAGATAGGCATTGTTCTTCTCTCTATTGTAGCTTCAAGGAAATCAATATTTAAAGAGGTTAAGAGTCAAAGGCAGACTTTGTCTCTGGGTTATCCAACTTCAGTATCTCTGAGTTTAGCTCGTATTCTATATGGTATCCACGAGAATAACAACAATGTAAATATAGTTAAATCTTTGAACTCCCAATCTAGCAAGGCAGGCCAACATTCAAATTCAGGAAATACAGAGAATGCCACAAAGATACTCCCCGAGAAGAGCAACTCCAAGACACATAATTGTCAGATTCACCAAAGTTGAAATGAAGGAAAAAATGTTAAAAGCAGCCAGAGAGAAAAGTTGGGTTACCCACAAAGGGAAGCCCATCAGACTAACAGCGGATCTCTCGGCAGAAACCCTACAAGCCAGAAGAGAGTGGGGGCCAATATTCAACATTCTTAAAGAAAAGAATTTTCAACCCAGAATTTCATATCCAGCCAAACTAAGCTTCATAAGTGAAGGAGAAATAAAATACTTTACAGACAAGTAAATGCTGAGAGATTTTGTCACCACCAGGCCTGCCCTAAAAGAGCTCCTGAAGGAAGTACTAAACATGGAAAGGAACAACCGGTACCAGCCACTGCAAAAACATGCCAAATTGTAAAGATCATCGAGGCTAGGAAGAAACTGCATCAACTAACGAGCAAAATAACCAGCTAACATCATAATGACAGGATCAAATTCACACATAACAATATTAACCTTAAACGTAAATGGGCTAAATGCTCCAATTAAAAGACACAGACTGGCAAATTGGATAAAGAGTCAAGACCCATCAGTGTACTGTATTCAGGAAATCCATCTCACATGCAGACACGCATAGGCTCAAAATAAAGGGATGGAGAAAGATCTACCAAGCAAATGGAAAAAAAAAAGGCAGGGGTTGCAATCCTAGTCTCTGATAAAACAGACTTTAAACCAACAAAGATCAAAAGAGACAAAGAAGGCCATTACATAATGGTAAAAGGATCAATTCAACAAGAAGAGCTAACTATCCTAAATATATATGCACCAAATACAGGAGCATACAGATTCATAAAGCCAGTCCTTAGAGACCTATAAAGAGACTTAGACTCCCACACAATAATAATGGGAGACTTTAACACCCCACTGTCAACATTAGACAGATCAATGAGACAGAAAGTTAACAAGGATATCCAGGAATTGAACTCAGCTCTGCACCAAGCAGACCTAATAGACAACTACAGTACTCTCCATCCCAAATCAACAGAATATACATTCTTTTCAGCACCACACTACACCTATTCCAAAATTGACCACATAGGTGGAAGTAAAGCACTCCTCAGCAAATGTCAAAGGATAGAAATTATAACAAACTGTCTCTCAGACCACAGTGCAATCAAACTAGAACTCAGGATTAAGAAACTCACTCAGAACCACTCAATTACATGGAAACTGAACAACCTGCTCTGAATGACTACTGGGTACATAACGAAATGAAGGCAGAAATAAAGATGTTCTTTGAAACCAATGAGAACAAAGACACAACATACCAGAATCTCTGGGACACATTCAAAGGAGTGTGTAGAGGGAAATTTATAGCACTAAATGCCCACAAGAGAAAGCAGGAAAGATCTAAAATTGACACCCTAACATCACAATTAAAAGAACTAGAAAAGCAAGAGCAAACACATTCAAAAGCTAGCAGAAGGCAAGAAATAACTAAGATCAGAGCAGAACTGAAGGAGATAGAGACAGAAAAACCCTTCAAAAAATCAATGAATCCAGGAGCTGGTTTTTTTAAAAGATCAACAAAATTGATAGACCACTAGTAAGACTAATGAAGAAAAGAGAGAAGAATCAAATAGATGCAATAAAAAATGATAAAGGGGATATCACCACCGATCCCACAGAAATACAAACTACCATCAGAGAATACTATAAACACCTCTACACAAATAAACTAGAAAATCTAGAAGAAATGGATACATTCCTCGACACATACACTCTCCCAAGACTAAACCAGGAAGAAGTTGAATCTCTGAATAGACCAATAATAGGCTCTGAAATTGAGGTAATAATTAATAGCTTACCAATCAAAAAGAGTCCAGGACCAGATGGATTCACAGCTGAATTCTACCAGAGGTACAAGGAGGAGCTGGTACCATTCTTTCTGAAACTATTCCAATCAACAGAAAAAGAGGGAATCCTCCCTAACTCATTTTATGAGGCCAGCATCATCCTGATACCAAAGCCGGGCAGAGACACAACAAAAAAAAGAGAATTTTAGACCAATATCCCTGATGAACATCAATGCAAAAATCCTCAATAAAATACTGGCAAACCGAATCCAGCAGCACATCAAAAAGCTTATCCACCATGATCAAGTGGGCTTCATCCCTGGGATGCAAGGCTGGTTCAACACACAAAAATCAATAAATGTAATCCAGCATATAAACAGAACCAATGACAAAAACCACATGATTATCTCAACAGATGCAGAAAAAGCCTTTGACAAAATTCAACAGCCCTTCATGCTAAAAACTCTCAATAAATTAGGTATTGATGGGACATATCTCAAAATCATAAGAGCTATTTATGACAAACCCACAGCCAATATCATACTGAATGAACAAAAACTGGAAGCATTCCCTTTGAAAACTGGCACAAGACAGGGAGGCCCTCTCTCACCACTCCTATTCAACATAGTGTTGGAAGTTCTGGCCAGGGCAATTAGGCAGGAGAAGGAAATAAATGGTATTCAATTAGGAAAAGAGGAAGTCAAATTGTCCCTGTTTGCAGACGACATGATTGTATATCTAGAAAACCCCATTGTCTCAGCCCAAAATCTCCTTAAGCTGATAAGCAACTTCAGCAAAGTCTCAGGATACAAAATCAATGTGCAAAAATCACAAGCATTCTTATACACCAATAACAGAAAAATAGCCAAATCATGAGTGAACTCCCATTCACAACTGCTTCAAAGAGAATAAAATACTTAGGAATCCAACTTACAAGGGATGTGAAGGACCTCTTCAAGGAGAACTACAAACCACTGCTGAATGAAATAAAAGATGACACAAACAAATGGAAGAACATTCCATGCTCATGGGTAGGAAGAATCAATATGACGAAAATGGCCATACTGCCCAAGGTCATTTACAGATTCAATGCCATCCCCATCAAGCTACCAATGACTTTCTTCACAGAATTGGAAAAAACTACTTTAAAGTTCATATGGAACCAAAAAAGAGCCCACATTTCCAAGTCAATCCTAAGCCAAAAGAACAAAGCTGGAGGCATCATGCTACCTGACTTCAAACTATACTACAACGCTACAGTAACCAAAGCAGCATGGTACTGGTACCAAAACAGAGATATAGACCAATGGAACAGAACAGAGGCCTCAGAAATAATGCCACATATTTACAACTATCTGATCTTTGACAAACCTGACAAAAACAAGAAATGGGGAGAGAATTCCCTATTTAATAAATGGTGCTGGGAAAACTGGCTAGCCATATGTAGAAAGCTGAAACTGGATCTCTTCCTTACACCTTATACAAAAATTAATTCAAGATGTATTAAAGACTTAAATGTTAGATCTAAAACCATAAAAACCCTAGAAGAAAACCTAGGCAATACCATTCAGGACATAGGCATGGGCAAGGACTTCATGTCTAAAACACCAAAAGCAATGGCAACAAAAGCCAAAATTGACAAATGGGATCTAATTAAACTAAAGAGCTTCTGCACAGCAAAAAAATTAAACTAAAGAGCTTCTGTTCAGAGTGAATAGGCAACCTACAGAAAGGGAGAAAGTTTTTGCAATCTACTCATCTGACAAAGGGCTAATATCCAGAATCTACAAAGAACTCAAACAAATTTACAAGAAAAGAACAAACAACCCCATCAAAAAGTGGGAGAAGATATGAACAGACACTTCTCCAAAGAAGACATTTATGCAGCCAAAAGACACATGAAAAAATGCTCATCATCACTGGCCATCAGAAAAATGCAAATCAAAACCATAATGAGATACCATCTCACACCAGTTAGAATGGCAATCATTAAAAAGTCAGGAAAAAGCAGGTGCTGGAGAGGATGTGGAGAAATAGGAATACTTTTACACTGTTGGTGGGACTGTAAACTAGTTCAACCATTGTGGAAGTCAGTGTGGCGATTCCTCAGGGATCTAGAACTAGAAATGCCATTTGACCCAGCAATCCCTTACTGGGTATATACCCAAAGGATTATAAATCATGCTGCTGTAAAGACACATGCACACGTATGTTTATTGCGGCACTATTCACAATAGCAAAGACTTGGAACCAACCCAAATGTCCAACAATCATAGACTGGATTAAGAAAATGTGGCACATGTACACCATGGAATACTATGCAGCCATAAAAAATGATGAGTTCACGTCCTTTGCAGGGACATGGATGAAGCTGGAAACCATCATTCTCAGCAAACTATCACAAGGACAAAAAACCAAACACCATATGTTCTCACTCATAGGTGGGAATTGAACAATGAGAACACATGGACACAGGAAGGGGAACATCACACACTGGGGCCTGTTGTGGGGTGGGGGTAGCGGGGGGGGGATACATTAGGAGATATACCTAATGTTAAATGATGAGTTAATGGGTGCAGCACACCAACGTGGCACATGTATACATACGTAACAGACCTGCACATTGTGCACATGTACCCTAAAACTTAAAGTATAATAAAAAAAAAAATCTTTGAACTGATCCAATGGCTTCATTTTGAAAATTCTAAAATTAGATCTGGAGATCTACAAACTGGTTTATAATTTTTGCACTGTGAAATCAGAGGGAATAGACCAGGAAACTACTATAAATTATATAACAGGAATCACAATTGTACTATTATTTGCCACTATTAACAACATTCGGCCAGGTGCAGTGGCTCATGCCTGTAATCTCAGCACTTTGGGAGGCCGAGGCAGGTGGACCACTTGAGGTCAGGAGTTCGAGACCAGCCTGACCAACATGGTGAAACACCGTCTCTACTAAAAATACAAAAATTAGCCTGGTTATGGTGGCATGCACCTGTAATCCCAGCTACTCGGGAGGCCGAGGCAGGAGAATCACTTGAACCCAGGGGATGGAGGTTGCAGAGAGCCAAGATCATGCCATTGCACTCCAGCATGGGTAAGAGAGCCAGACTCTGTCTCAAAAAAAAAAAAAAAAAAGAAAAGAAAAGAAAATTCAAGGGGTTCACCTTCTGTTTTTACATGAACATATGAAAAACTAGCTGTAATAGAATATGGCAAATGTAATCATTAGTGATATGAACAAATGATTATAAAGGAAAAAGGAAGGCATTAATTTAACCTGCTGCCACCCAGCAAAGCTTCATAGCATTGACATTTTAGTTGGGCCTCAAAGATGAATCGGTTTTCTCCAAATGGGGAGATGGGATAGCAAACACGGCATCAGTACAGAGTACAAAAGTGGAAGACAGATGATAGAATTCCTCATTAATTGTAGCTTACATAGTTCCCAAAGGAAAATGCCAACTCTTCTCCACTGTTATTAAATGGGCTTTCAGAAAACCACACCTCCAGTGTGGCTTTTCGAAGACATCTCAACAAGAAAGTCGGAGGCAGAGCTCATCGTGCACTCTTCTGTTGTCCCACCTATCAAACTGTAGCATAATTGTGTGCTTATTGCCTTATGAGATCCTATCTTATTTATTTTTGTATGCCAAGCATCCTGCATGGTACCTGACCCACAGTAGAATTTAACATGCATTTGATTAAGTGCCAAATTACAACATACAGTTAGTATTGGCTGAATTTCTAGTGATGCTTTATTTCCTCTTTCAAATTTTCTCTGTAAGAAATCTTACAATTTAAAGTTATCTGGGTCAGATACTAAGAAAATTAGCATTTGTAACCAGTGTATTTAAGTATCTCATCTCAGTGAGGTATGCCACTGAAAAATAGTTTTATTTTTTCCAATCAGCACTCCTAAATATGCTATGTCAAATCCTTTTTTCCTGCTGGGTAGAATATTTCATTGTGAAAACTTAGTATAGGTCCATTTACAGCTTCAGTCTCATCTCTTATTCAAGGCTGTCTCCTCTCTGCACGGAATGCTCTGCCCTGGCACACCTTCCTCCATCTCACTCTCCTAGGCTCCAATATGGGGGGCTCTAAGAAGGGAAGGAAATAAGGGTACGTTTTTGGTTCTTTCCTTGTTGTTCCTTGAAGGTAATCAAAGACAGCACATGATGTGGAAGACCCTGGTGCCTCCCTAGCATCCTCCACGCTTCCTCAGATTCTGCCTCCTGTGGCCCATCCAACTGTTTCTGGATGCTGGTCTCTTCCCCCAGGGACAACCCCCTAGATACTGTCATAGTAGGATGGCTCAAGCCCAGCTATGTTCTACATCATCCAGTCCACCCCCCAGAAACAGCAGCCTCATCAAACCACCTGTGGCAGGAAAGGGCTGCTACGTCCACTACTGTGTCTTCTCTAAGCCTGATCTTCTCACACACCCGGCTCTCTGCCCCGACCCTTCGTCTCAGAGAAACTTAGGAACACATGAGCAAATCTTAGCCTTATCTGATGTCCAACTAAAAAACAAGATATAATTTCCCCCTCTTGGCAGATATCGTATGCCTGACAATAGCTTCTCTTGGAACACCACTCAGTCGGCTTTGGGAAGATAAAAACATGTTCCACAGAAAACAGAGGGACTGCCCTTTCACAAAAAATGCTAGAATATCCTCAAGATCAGCAAACCAAAAGTCCCTAGAATAGGATAAAGGAGAATTCCAGAGATAGTAGGGCTTGGAGAAGAAGACTGAATGCTCACGGTTGGCCACATCTATTTTTGGTGGCAAAAAAAAACAGTGCTTATAAAGTGGTAAAACAATGAATGAAGCTCCTCATCCAACTTTTCCATTCAGTTTCAGCTCAAAATGTAGTGTTGAATTACAACTCAACGGAAGAACTCACAACTGAACCTCAGCACTTCAGTTAGTCTTCAAAGCCACTTCAAGTCATGCGTGCATTTCTGCTTAGAGGATATTAAAAGTCATATTGATAGTTCAAATCAATATGGAAAAAATAGAGAGGAAAATAAACAAAGTATTCCTAAGAGAGAGAAAGAAACAATGGAGGAAGGCAGAATGTAAAGGAAAACTGTTTCTCATAAAATTTACATGGATCATTAATGTGAAAATATCTACAATGTATCAGGTACTAAGTAAACATCTTGAAGAGATGAATGCATAAGTACAACAAAAAATAAATTAAGGAGAAAGAAAGAGAGGAAAAAAGGAAGAGCGGTTGTCAGAATTTCAGGTCCATGTTCTGTGGAAGATTTTCCTCCCTCTAAACAATGAATTATTATCATTCTCAAGGGAAAAATAATCCTGCCGTTCCAGTTGCCACTGGAGTAACTGTGGCTGTCTTGTCACCACTGTATCCCTAGTGTCTGCTGGCTAAAGAGATGAGAAAACAGAAAATATTTCTTTCCAGAGAGCAAATGACAGCAATCGTCAGTCAGTGTAAGCTTGCCTTTGCAAATGAAGGAAAACTCTTATCTTAGTTGTAAAATATCAATATTCTCTATGCAACCAACTTTCTGTGAAGAAAGAAAGAAGAAGAAGAAGAAGAAGAAGAAGAAGAAGAAGAAGAAGAAGAAGAAGAAGAAGAAGAAGAAGAAGAAGAAGAAGAAGAAGAAGAAGAAGAAGAAGAAGAAGAAGAAGAAGAAGAAGAAGAAGAAGAAGAAGAAGAAGAAGAAGAAGAATAGAAATGTGTTTAAGAATTCCTCAATAAGACTAAGCTCTATGTGGGCAGGAACTGCTTAATTCATCATTGCGTTCCCAATATAGTGCGCCTAGAAGATAATTAAAAAAAAAAAAAAACCTGGAGAATGAGTGAATGACATTGCTCACTATATGGACCTAAATTTAATCTCTTTATCAAGGAAAATTATAACTGTTTTCTTTTTTTTATCCTAAAGGTAAGCAGTAGGGTTTCAAGAAACACCTCCATGAGCCTTTCTGATGTGTTAATATTACTCTATAACTTAGAATATAAATGGAACAACAAAAATCTGACACTTGGGAGACATTTTGTCAGTTAACAAGCTTTTTTAGGAGTTATCTCCTGTTTTTTAAAAGATGCTAAGAGGAGGGACTAGAACAAGTTTCTGAAACTTGCAGCTAACTGGGAGGCGGTTGGCACTATGCTTCCAAATGATGCTCTCTCAATGGCAACTGAAGTCTCAGCAAACTCAGAATCTCTCGGTCAAAGGCTGAACAAAGCCTGCTATTTTAGGCATTTGGTAATAAATTATAAGAATGGATCACAGGAATACATTTACTGAAAAGCAATTGAAGAGAAAGCTTTTAGAAAAACAGATTTTTGGCAAAAGCGGCCATGAGCTATTCTGGTCTTTGGTATTATGAAGCCCACAGAGCAAATTTCCAAAGCAATTAATATAAATGAACATCACATTTAAAAAATCAATTCTTTTATATGAGATGCAAAAAGATAGAGACTAATATCCAGGCTTACAAATAGGCACTTTGCATCATTAAAAGTATCACAAAGGTTTGAACCAAAAGGGCCTAAAGTATCAAGTTTATAATATTACTACTATCATATGCATTACTAGGCAGACGTCCTGATCTTAAAAATATAACACAGTTTATGGAATGCTTCAATGTAACAAAAGACTTCATTATGTGTTGAGAGTGAAATTTGGTTTATAAATGGAATAATAGAGACAGTAAGCTACACAAGAAGCCATAGCTGTTTCTCTGGGCCTCTCCAGTGAGTTGAATGCTGTGGAAAATGTACCCCAGCCTTGTGTTGAAATGAGCTGCCAGGTTTTTTCTATTGTATGTGCAGTGAAGCCTTTTTGGGAGGATACTAGAAGTCTGGTAGCTCTTTCTCTGGTCACTGGCAGTGGTTAGCAGCGTCCCCCTCATTTGTATGTAGGTTAGTAGCACCGACACTAAGGGAGAAAATGAATGATGGTTCTAATTCTTGGAGAAACCTATCTGATTGGAAAATGCCTCTAAACAAGCATGCTGTAAAAATACATCCACATATTTCATATAGAGGGATTCATACGTTTCCTCAAAGATACAATATATTTGATTTTCTGTTTTAAAAAGCTCCAGTGCTTCCAAACATAGCCAGACTCTCAATAATGTAAATACTTGTAAACATTTTCTGTCCAATTCCATTAATAACCTGTCATAGATGAATTATACCTGTGGTGACAAATAAATGCTTACTGTATAGTTTAGGGCTATCATAGCCCTTGTGCCTTTATTTTGTAAATTATCCTCTAGCACAGAGGTATTAGAAACCACATGCCATGCCTTGTGTAATATGGTCTACCGGAAGAGGGGTTTTCCTACTTCTCTTCCATAGAGGAAGGATTTATTAAGCACCAGCTGTGACAGGCACCATACTAAGCTCCAGGGTTATAAAGGTGAGGAAAGCAGTGTTGAGGCTCTGCCATCGAGGAAGTTTAGAGCAAGTGGAAGGAAGGCCGTGTAAACCCATGAATACGATGAACTTAAGAAATGCTCTATAACAAGAGTTGTGTACCGTGTCTTAGAGAAGCACCAACTAGGATTGAAATCTCTGGGGGGTTCTCAGAGGTCACTTTGATCTGGGTGGATGGTTATCAGGGACCAGTATTCGAGGAGGTGATCTGGCTGGCTGCAAAGGCAATTGAGGAACACAAAAGTATAGGGTGTAGGGTGGGGAAGTGACCAAGGGAGCCTGGATTGGGAAGATTCGCAGGGACCATGTTTAGGAGTTTAGGCATTTCATACACAGAATGGGAAGTCTCTGAAGGCTTTAGTTCAAGGTAAAGAAATAATCAGACTTGCCCCCCCCAGAAAACATTCTGGAGGCCACTTAAAGTCTGGAACAAAGTGAAGCATGGAAAGATGGGTTAATGAAGCCATTCCAGACATGAAAAAGAAATAGTGAAAACCTAACTTAAAAATCTGATTCCCGTTGTAGATTATCACGTTTTACCAAATGTCCTCATGTCCTTCATGCAGGAAGACCATGTCCTTTCTCCCTGTTGACCTCAGCAGTGACCAGGCATATTGCTTTGTCCAGTGTAATGTCACTTACAGGTAGAAGTTTTCAGAGGCTGATAAATCAGCCAAGGTCCTGGAATAACAGAGCTGTAGCCAAGTCACAATGCCATAGGACCACAGGACACGAGCAAGAAATAAATCTTTCTCTTTGTATGTTGCTGAGATTTGGGGATCTTTCTGTTCCTAGCCAAGCCTGACTTCTAAAATCTCCAAAGCAGTGTGCATTTTATTTTTCCTGTTTTCTTGTGGTGAAAAGCACTGCTGACAATCAATGAATACATATTTATTAGGCCTCTACTTGAATATTAGACACTGTGTTTACTGATGACCAGCTTTTTTCTCCCTTAGAGACCTTGCGACCATGCCAGGAAGAGATGACATTAAACAAACAATATCTTTGGGAATTCAGAAAGCACAGAAATTTCTTCTGCCTGAATGGGATGGATCATGGATGGTTTCCCACAGGGTGGAATGAGAATAGAGAAAAATGAAACAGGCAGGCAATTAAGACCAGGATGGGGAACAAGAAGAGGGTAAAGTCATAGAGACAAAGGCAAGAAAGGAGAAATTCCTACATAATCTTTGGGACAGAATGAGCTAACTATTCTTAATCGGTAGTTAATGTCTGTGCTGTCCAATAGATTAGCTGGTTCCTCAGTTTGACTAGTCACGGTTCAAGTGTTCACCAGCTGTGTACAGCTAGCTCAGTGCAGACAGAGAGCATCTCATCATTGCAGAAAGTTCTATTGGACAGTGCTGGTCTAGGAAAAGATATAAAATAAGAAAATATAAAGAACCAGAGAGTTTTTGAATGTTGGGATATTTTCTTTTACTTAAAAGTTCAAAAGTTAAGATGCATAGTGACAATATGAAAGTAATTGAAAAGATTAGTATTAGCAAGAAGGGAGAATTAATGAGACATGGCTGGAGAGGAGAATAGTGAGGGGATTTTTCAGCAACCAATGAGTGACCTAGATCAAAATGGTGATGGGAAGAATAGAAAGGAAGGAAAAAATGCTCATCACTGGCCATCAGAGAAATGCAAATTAAAACCACAATGAGATACCATCTCACACCAGTTAGAATGGCAATCATTAAAAAGTCAGGAAAAAACAGGTGCTGGAGAGGATGTGGAGAAATAGGAACACTTTTACACTGTTGGTGGGACTGTAAACTAGTTCAACCATTGTGGAAGTCAGTGTGGCGATTCCTCAGGGATCTAGAACTAGAAATACCATTTGACCCAGCCATCCCATTACTGGGTATATACCCAAAGGATTATAAATCATGCTGCTATAAAGGCACATGCACACGTATGTTTATTGCAGCACTATTCACAATAGCAAAGACGTGGAACCAACCCAAATGTCCAACAATTATAGACTGGGTTAAGAAAATGTGGCACATATACACCATGGAATACTATGCAGCCATAAAAAATGATGAGTTCATGTCCTTTGCAGGGACATGGATGAAGCTGGAAACCATCATTCTCAGCAAACTATCGCAAGGACAAAAAACCAAACACCACGAATTCTCACTCATAGGTGGGAATTGAACAATGAGAACACGTGGACACAGGAAGGGGAACATCACATACTGGGGCCTGTTGTGGGTGGGGGGAGGGGGGAGGGATAGCATTAGGAGATATACCTAATGCTAAATGACGAGTTAATGGGTGCAGCACACCAACATGGCACATGTATACGTATGTAACCTACACGTTGTGCACATGTACCCTAAAACTTAAAGTATAATAATAATAATAATAATAATAAAAGAAAGTAGATTCCTGGTTGCCAGAGGCTGGAGGAAAGGGAAACAGGAGGAATGAGGATACTTATAAGTATGGTTTTCTTTTCCTTTAAAAAAAAAATGTGATTACAGGTAAAATTTTTCATTTTAACCATTCTTAAATGCACAGTTCTGTGGGAATAAGTACATTCACTTTGTTGTCCAGCCATCACCATCGTCCATCTCCAGAATGTTTTCATCTTCCCAACCAGAAACTCTGCATCCATTGAACACTCCCTATTCTCCCCTCCCCAAGCTCCTGGCAACCACCATTCCACTTTCTGTCTCTCTAGATTTGACTACTCTAGGTATGTAAGTAAAAGCATACAACATTTAAAAAAAAAAAGAAAAGAAAAAAGAAAGAATACAGTCTATTCTCATAATTTGTGAAGTTTGTATTTGCAAATTTGCCATTCACTTTATTTTATTTTATATTTAGTTTTATTACTTTACGAAATTTATAAATTTCGTAAAGTAATCTATTAAATAGATTTATTTTACAATTTATATTATAACCCCAAAATCAATACTTGCGGGACTTTCTCCGTCATTAACAGACAAGTGCAGCATAGAGGAAAATGCCAGTCGTCTAGCAGATGCGTGCATTCCCAGCTGAAGTCCAACATGGCAACGCTCTGCCTTCTTGTTTCAGCTCTCATACCGTGCACAAGTGTCCTTTTTGAGTTCATTTAGTGCCATATTTTTTGAGTTTTTGGAGTTGGTGATGTTGCTGTTTAAAACGGCCTCCAAGCATAGTGTTTAAGCGCTTTCTGCCATTTCTAAGTGCAACAGAGCCGTGCTGTCCCTTACAGGGAAAATACGTGGGTTTGATATGTTTCATTCAGACATGAGTTACAATGTCGCTGGTCATGAGTTCAATGCTAATGAATCAACAATAGGTACTAAAATAAGGCGTCTTCCAATAGAAACACATATTAAACAAGGTTCTGTGTTGAGGGGCTGAGGAAAATGTTGTGACCGGAGATTCACAAGAACCTAGCCGTGTATTTCCTCTTGAAACAGAGGTTCAGTATTTGCTAATTCACTGTTTTCAGTGACTTTATAGAACATAACTACCATGAATATCAAGAATTGGCTGTTTGGGGAAGAGGTATTGCAAACAGAGATAAAACAGAAGCTGGGCACGAAGAGGCTAATAAAGACAAAGCGAATTGGCAGGGTGCAGTGGTTCACCTGTAATCCCAGCACTTTGGGAGGCCGAGGCAGGTGGATCACCTGAGGTCAGGAGTTCGAGACCAGCCTGGCCAACATGGTGAAACCCAATCTCTACTAAAAATACAAGGCTTTCACAAACTAAAAAATTTTTGTAAAAATACAAAAATTTGCTGGACATGGTGGCATGCCCCTATAATCCCATCTACTCAGGAGTCTGAGGCAGGAGAATCGTGTGAACCCTGAAGGCAGAGGTTGCAGTGAGCCGAGATTGCACCATTGCACTCCATCTCAAAAAAAAAAAAAAAAAAAAAAGGAAATTGTTACCTCAGGTTGCGTCTATTGAGACAACATGGTACCAAGTTCCAGACCAGAATTTTATTTTAATTAAAGCATAAGATTTGCTCATAGTCACTGGAAAGAAGCCACCTCTGCCTGGATTTTCTGGCTTGCTTACTCAGACTATTTCCTTTTAATTTAATGAAAATCCAAGCAATACTTTTAATAGTTTACTTAAAAAAAACCCACTGGGTATAGGAAGTATAGGAGTTCTAATTTCTGTGTCTCTATGTGAATCATTCCACCTAGATTAATTTTCACTGTTTTGCTACCTGAATAGTTGGCAAATAGGAAGTCTGAAAAGTAAGTAATAACACTGAACCTGTTGAGTCAAGAACAGTATACAAGTGGGATTTTTTAGTTTCTGAAAGCCTTGAGATTTGAAAAATCCATTAGAGAATCCTCATTAAGATATTAGAAACTGGCATGCTAGCTCTTTTTTTTTTTTTTTAAGAAATATCGTTTGAAAGATGCTAAACATATTTAAGGGGGAGTCAATTCATAAGAGAAAAATATAATGTAACCTTTAGGTGATGGATCAATAAAAACAAATAAAGAGCCAGGTATACGCACACACAAACATACACACACACATCTCTAATTTAACTTTCTCGCCCTCTATGTCATGGCTTTTTATGTAGTCGCTGACTCTCCTTTAGTGAAATTATAGCTTCAAAAACCTAAAACCACATATTTTTGTTTTTCTCACACAGACCATGGGTGAAACAAATCACTGACAGCCATTCCTTAAACCTTCACTACTTTTCATTAAACATGAAAATTTATGTTTGCATAGTTTGCATAGTGCTGCTGATTATGGCATTAATAGAAACCACGTGCTTTGACAGTGTAAACATTTCCTGAAGAATGAAGAAAAAGGTGCGTATGATGGGGAGGGCAGGCAAAGACGTCAGATCCTCAGCGCCTAATCAAATTGCACTCCCACATGGCTGGGACAATAGGCACACACCACCATCCCTGGCTAATTTTTGTAGTTTTTTGTAGAGATGGGGTTTCTCCATGTTGCCCAAGCTGGTCTTGAACTCCTGACCTCAGGTGATCTGCCCACCTCGGCCTCCCAGAGTGCTGAGATTACAGGCATGAGCCACTGCACCTAGCCTAATTCTTTTCTTGGTACTACATTAATACAAAGACTCCACTGACCCTAAACAATGGGTTTTAGAGCAGGGCTACCCTTTGATTAATGTGGTGTTAACACTCTGTAGGAACTGAAAAATGCTTTAAGAAATAGCCTTGTATAAATCCAATGCATGTAGCAGAATAATCACTGGATTCCTTATTTTGAACTTCTTATAATAAACCATAGGCACAAATGTCACTTCTTGAAAATACGCTAATATTTTATTGCTGGGGAAATCTGACATAAAACTGATTTGGGCAGGAATGTACTACCACATATTTATTTTTCTCAGGCCATGATAATGTTCTTCAGAGGTGGAATTCCTCCTCGAACTGTTTTAGTCAACAAACACACACTGAAGATCTGCCTTGTGGCAAGCAGGATAGGGAGCATTGTAAAATACTGATTCCTGAGTTTAAGATATTACGATAATATCATGGAGAAAATAACATGGAGAATTAGAGCACAGTTAGATGCTAAATTATATCCAGAACAGGGAGACAGAGAAGAAAAAAAAAGAACACTCACAGTTTACTCTTCCATCCTCTGAGACTAGAGCACTGATTCTGTCATTGATCCCAGATCCTACCTTAGGATATATGAAGCTTTGTAAGATTCGTAAGCTTTAGGCAACTAGATTACACTAAAGGGCCTACACTTTTAAGTCAGCAAGGCTGCTCTCATTTATAGGCTCGGCTTTTCACAGCCTCACCTGTGGAGCCCTTTGGCCTTACTTGTGCTTCCCCACATTTTCCTAATATCTTCAATCCAAAAGCTCTCGATTTCCACGCGGTTTCCAATTCCCCACTCACCCCTTCCACCTAACACCTGGTTATCCCCCGTGGTTCCCTAGACACCTGTACTTGGTCAGGCAGCCAATTTCTTTCATGCCCCTGAGGACAGGACCCAGACTAGAACCTCAGACAAAGTTTTGTGTGTTTCTGAACCATGTGTAAAAGAAATAAGAAACTCCAGATGAGAAGTGATCAAAGGAGAGGTAATCATTATTATAATTCCCTAAGACATTCAAGAAAGGAAAAGTAATACAACAAAAGCCACTCTGCAAGGAAAAACAAATAATTCAATTATTTAAAGTTACAGAACCATATTTGCAAATTTACAGGACTGTATGAAGATGCGCACATGTTAAAGAAGTGGGGTTTTTTTTGTTTCCTGTTAACTGATCTAAATCTGCTTAAAACCTCCACTCAAAAGCAATTTAATTGGATAACCTTTATTCCAATTATTGAAAGTTCTTTCAGGAATTCAGTCTCCACGTGGAAGTTGCTGACCAGTAGGCTTGGCAATGATGGGCAAGTTCTATAGCTACACCACCCAGTCCAGCAGCCACTGGGCACATGTAACTATTGAGCACTTGAAATGTGGCTACTGAGACTGAAGGGCTGAAGTTTTTTTCAGTTTTATGTTAACTGATTTAAATTTCAATTTAAATAGCCACATTTGGCTAGTGGCTGTGGAATTGAAACCCATAACTATAAATGACAGATGCTCCTATGAGTTTGTGGCAGAAACAGTGAGGAAGACAGGAAAGGGGCAAAGTCCTTGTCTTCATTCATCTTATCATAGTGGCTGGGTTGGAGGTAAGGCCTGGCTTTCCATCCCTTCTTTGGGGCTTACAGTCTTCCAGCGTGGGGCATACAGGAAAACTCTGAGATGTGGCTGGCTCCTGGTATGTTAAAAGAGGAGGTAAGGGTATTTAGATACTAATCGTTTTCTGTTTCAATAGATCCTAGCTTTCAAGTCTATTAATCTCCATGAGGGCACAAAAATCCTATTATAGGAAATATCAACTCTCCTTTTTGCCTCTTCTTCTCCCTGTCCTCCTCCTCCTTTTTCCTCTTCTTGCACTTCTTCCTCCTCTTCGTCCTTCTCCTTCTTTAATAGCAAGGCTATTACTTCTGCCCTACACCCAAGCAGATGGCTGACCTGGTCTAACTTAGAGAGAAAGTCATTTACAGACGAATGCAACAGAAGCACAGCGTGACATTTCTAAGTGCATCTCCCATCACAGAAGCACGCATTTTACAATCAGTTCAGTGCTGCAGTTTGGTGAAAGGCCGACAATGACCAAGGACACAAGGCAGCTTTTGTGCTCATAAAACTATAGGTGGGCCGAGATGTCCCTCAGCAATGTTTTGTTTTAACAACATTGAAAAACATGAAAAAACAAAACAAAAAACCTCCAATGACATTTCAGCTACCCAGCACTATATTCTTCCAAACCATGGAAACCAAAGGTAAACCCTTTTCATGGCAGAAGGTAGGGACTGTTTTTCTTCTATGTTCTTAATAGTGAATTTATACCTGCATCTAATAATATATTTTTCAGTTCTAACTTCTGGGTTATTTTCATCTACATTTTCAACCACTTCTGGTGCAAAATGGTTCATGTCAATATCTCACAAAGCATAGTGAGTTACAAAAAACAATGTAAAGCATTGCTTTAAAATCTTTAACAATGAAAGCTTAAAAATGAAAACAGGAATTTAAAGAAGTGATTGACTTTGTTAAAGTTATTTTAGCAAAAATGAAACTATAGGATAATATCAATTTAAACCGTCCTGTAAAAAAAGTCAAAAACTGGAGATATAAACATATAATATTTGAGGCAATATAGACACAACCATGTTAAAAAATACTTGCACAAAGATTTAACGTATTGATCGATCCCGCATTTTTAGACCAGTGTTTATCATGTGCTGTTTCTATGTCAGTCCTAAACAAGGAGTCCACTGTCAGCTGTGAGAAAGACACTTACAACTTCCCAAGAACAGTAATGAGTTGGTCAACAAATGATTGCATGAGGAAGCATTCAGGAAATAGATTTCATAATAATGTCTTCAAAAAATCCTGATGCTTACATGCTTACCATCATTAGAAATGACAAATGATAATGTAGCTTTTAAGATTAGATTCTTCATCTAGGTATAAAAGGAAGTCTCTCCCTTTGGGTTAATTTTTTTCTTATTTGGGAAATCCTTCAGGAAGAGACAAAAAGCCTATCTTTCTTTTTTAGCAAATGAATAAATAGAAGAAAATAAAACAACAAGACTTAATGTCTTTCTCACTTAAATCTTCTGGAAAAATTATTCTTTGTGTGAAAAATAAGTAAAATCATTGCAAGCAACAAGTTGTTTATCAAATGACAGTGCATTCTTTTTTTCTGAAAATAATTATTTGTTCTTTAATTGAAAAATGGTAAAGATTTATGTTGTCAGTCAGTAAAACATTTTTAATGCCAGTATTTTTATGAGAGCTGTTATCCTCTTAAGAAACACTACAAGATACCAAGATACACTCATGAGTTGGACATTGCCCACCTTCCAGTTATTCTTCAGTAAATAAAAACACAAAATCTTTAAATATTCTAGGTTTTTTTTTTTTTGCTGTTCTGTATATTTTTAAAGACATTTCAAAAGAAATTTTGCAAAAAAAGATATGCACTTACCATGTATTTATTTATTTATTTATTTATTTATTTATTTATTTAGTAGGGACGGAGTCTCACTATGTTGCTTAGGCTGGTCTTGAACTCCTGAGCTCACGTGATCCTCCTCCCTCGACCTCCCAAAGTGCTGGGATTACAGATATGACCCCCTACACCTGGCCCTCTTCACCTTTTAAACTTAAACCTGTATGTTTCTAGGACATACCATAAAATACTGATATCAAATCTCAGGGAGAAGAAAGTAAACATTAAATCAATTCTTACCAGTGATTTAAAACAACTCTATTCCACACAAATAAGCCAGCCTTTCCCCAGTCCAGTTTGGAATTACCTTCCTTCGACAATTTTATTAGCATGCCAATGATGACAAACCCTTAGAAAGTTGTGGGGGCAGAAGGAAAGGTTGGGGACAAGACCAAAAAGGCAGGACTTAACATAGACTTGGGGCATTTTGCTGCAGAAAAGAAGGAGAATTTAGAGTAACTTAGTCTAGTCAGTAATGTAGTGACATACATTTACACTCCACTCATACCTGAATCTGAATCAGAATCATTCTAGAAAAAGTGTTCAGAAACCTCCTAATATGACTGCACTTAGTCTTTTGGGGAGACTGTACTCTCCCCTTGAATTACCTCATCTCTTAAGAATGTGACTGTGATCAGCATGAGCTCTGTGATGCCACCATTCTCACTCAGCACTCTCTTCATACCTCGTTCAAATGTTTTGAGCCCACAATGAAGAGCATTAGCCTTAAAGGCCCTTGTCTGCTCACACAAGAAAAATATTTTCTCCATCAATACTTCTTGTATTTTTCACCTGGAGCTGGAGATCATCTTGCTAATATGGGACAGAATTAGAGAGGTGGGGAGCCCCAGGTGCACACCTGGTTAACCTACCACATGATACTGAAGTGTCAATGGACAAGTTTCTTGGACTCTTGTTAAGCCAGCTACCAAATTAAGTGAGATTCTATATGTTTAATAACAGTTTGACACAGAAACCAAACAGTCTGTTTGGCTGGCTGTGAAGTATCAGGATGGCCAAATGGGCATATCAGCTTATAAACTAACAGAATGAAAAGGTAACATATGAAACTGGAATATTTGCAAACCATATAGCTGATAAGAGGCTAATATCCAAAATATATTAACAACTTCTACAATTCCATAGCAAAAATAAAAAATAATAAACTGACTTAAAAATGGGCAAAGGACTGGAATAGATATCTCTCTGAAGACATACAGATAGCCAACAGACACATGAAAAGGTGCTCAATGGTTTTACTATTCATGCAAATCAAAAGTAATGAGGAGATATCACCATGCACCTGTTAAGATGACTGTCATAAAAAAAAGATAAAAAGCATTGGTGAGGACACGGAGAAATTGGAACTCTTATACACTGTTAGTAGGAATGTAAAATGGTGCAGCCACTGTCGAAAACAGCACAGAGCTTCCTCAAAAAATCAAAAATAGAACTGCCATGGGATTGAGCAGTCCCACTATTGAGTATTAATCCAGAGGTACTGAAATCAGTATCTTGAAGAGATATCTGCACTCTCATGTTCACTGCAGCATGATTCTCAACAGCCAAGATGTGGAAACAACCCAAATGTCCATCAACGGGTGAATAAAGAAAATGTGACATATACATACAATGGAATATTTTTCAGCTTTATGAAAGAATGAAATTCTGTCATTTGTTAGGGCATAGTTAGGTTGGAAGACATTATGCTAAGTGAAATAAACCAATCAAAGGACAAATACAGCATGATTTCACTTTGATGAGTTATCTAAAATAGTCAAACTGATAGAAGCAGAGACTAGAATGGTGATTATCAAAAGCTGAGGGTAGGGGTAGGGGGGTATGGGAAGTTGTTCAATGGGTATGAAGTTTTAGTTACACCTGGAAGAAGAAAAGGATGCTCACTCTCACCAATGCTATTCAGTATAGTACTGAAAGTCCTAGCCAGAGCAATCAGGCAAGAGAAAGAATAAAAGGCATCCAAATTGGAAAGGAGGAGAATGTCAAATTATCTCTATATGCTGATGACATGATCTTATACCTAGGAAACTCTAAAGATTCCTCCAAAAGACTCCTAAACTTGATAAACAACTTCAATATAGTTTCAGGATACGAAACAAAACATGCAAAAGATCAGCATTTCTTTTTTTTTTTTTTTTTGAAATGGAGTCTCACTCTGTTGCCCAGGCTGGAATGCAGTGGCGCGATCTCGGCTCACTGCAACCTCTGTCTCCCAGGTTCAAGCAATTCTCCTACCTCAGTCTCCCGAGTAGCTGGGATTACAGGAGCATGCCAACATGCCCAGCTAGTTTTTTCTTTTCTTTCTTTCTTTTTTTTTTTATTTTTGTATTTTTAGTACAGACAAGGTTTCACTTGCTGGCCAGGCTGGTCTGGAACTCCTGACCTCAGATGACCCACCCACCTCAGCCTCCCAAAGTGCTGGGATTACAGGAATGAGCCACCGTGCCCAGCCAGTTACATTTCTATATATCAACAACACTCAAACTGAGAACCAAATCAAAAACTCAATTCCATTTACAATAGCCACACACAAAAATAAAATATCCAGGAATACATTTAACCAAGGAGATATAAAATCTCTACAAGGAGAACTACAAAGCACTGATGAAAGAAATCGTGGATAATGGAGATCATAATTCTAAGCAAATTAACACAGGAACAGAAAAGCAAACACCACATGTTCTTACTTACAAGTGGGAGCTAAGCATTGAGCACACATGGACATAAATAGGGGAACAAAACACACTGTGGACTACTAGAGGGTGAGGGGAGGGGGAGTGGATTAAAAAACTACCTATCAAGTATTATGCTCACTACCAGGGTGGCAGGATCTGTACTTCAGACCTCAGCATCACACAATATTCTCATGTAATAAATCTGTGCATGTACTGCCAGTATCTAAAATAAAAGTTGAAATTAAAAAAAAAAGAAATTGTAACTGGCACGAATAAGTGGAGAAACATTCCAAGCTCATAGACAGGAAGAATCAATATTGTTAAAATGTCCATACTGCCCAAAGCAATCTGCAGATTCAACACGATTTTTATCAAATTACCAATGTCATAGAAATAGAAAAACAATTCTAAAATTCCTGTAGAACCAAAAAACAGCCTTGAATAGCTAAAGCAATCCTAAGCAAAAAGAACAAAACTGGAGCATCACATTATGTGACTTTAAGTTATACTACAAGGCTATAGTAACCAAAACAGCATGGTACTGGTACAAAATAGACACATAGATCAGTGGATCAGAATAGAGAACCTAGAAACAAAGCCACCTACCTACAGCCAACTGATCTTTGGAAAAGTTGACAAAATAAACAACGGAGAAAGACACCCTATTAAATAAATGGTGCTGGGAAAACTAGCTAGCTATACATAGAAGAACAAAACTGGACTCCTATCTCACCATATACAAAAATTAACTCAAAACAGATTAAAGGTTTAAATGTTAAGACCTATAAAAACTCCTGGAATGAAACCTAGGAAAAACTCTTGGCCCAGCAAAGAATTTAGGACTATATCCTCAAAAGCAAATGTTAACAAAAACAAAAATCGACAAATGGAGTTTCATTAAATGAAAGGGCACCTGCACAGCACAACAGAATAAACAGACAGCCTGCAGAATGGGAGAAAATGTTTGCAAACTATGCATCCAACAAAGAAATAAGATCTATAATATGTAAGGAACTCAAACAGATAAAAGAGAAAAAAGCCCAAATAACCTCATTAAAGAGTTGACAAAGAATATGAAAGACCCTTCTCAAAAGAAAACATACAAGTGTCCAACAAACATGAAAAAAATGTTTAATATCACTAATCATCAGAGAAATGCAAATTAAAACCACAATGAGATACCACCTCACACCAGTCAGAATGGCTATTATTAAAAGGTCAAAAAATAATAGATGTTGGCGAGGATGTGGAGAAAAGGAAATGCTTATACATTGTCGGTGGGAATGTAAATTAGTACAACCCCCACGGAAAACAGTATAGAGATTTCTCCAAGAACTAAAAACAGAACTACCACTTCATCCAGCAATCCCACTACTGGATATCTACCCAAAGGAAAAGAAATTGTTATATCAAAAAGACATGTGCACTCATATGTTTATCGCTGCACTGTTCACAATAGCAAAGCCATGAAGTCAACCTAAATGTTTACCACTGGTCTATTGGGTAAAGAAAATGTGGTATTTATACATCATAAAATACTATGCAGCCACAAAGAAGAATGAAATCATGTCTTTTGTAGCAACATGGATGGAACTGGAGGCTATTATCCCAAGTGAAATAACTCAGAAACAGAAAACCAAATACCGTATGTCCTCACTTATAAGTGAGAGCTAAACAATGGGTACACATGAATAGAAAGACGGAAATAATTGACACTGGTAACTCCAAAGCTGAGGAGAGTAGAAGAGGGTTGTAGGGTGAAAAATTGCCTATTGGTTACAATGTTCACTATTTGAGTGGTAGGTTCGCTAGAAGCACAAACCTCACCATTACACAATACATCCATGCAATAAACCTACACATATACCCACTTAATCTGTAATAAAATAACAAATAATAATAGTAATAAAATTTCAGTTCCACAAAATGAGTAAGTTCATGAGATCTGGGGTATCTGTGGTTAACAATAATGTATTGCACAATTAAAAATTTGCTAAAAGGATAGATATCATGCTAAGTGTTCCTACCATAATAGAAAAACACAAAGAAAAAACAAAGAGGCACAAGGAAATTTTAGAGGTGAGGGACATGTCTATTACCTTGATCATGGTGATGGTTTCATGCGTAAATGCATTTGGCCAAATTCATTAAATTGTAAACATTAAACGTGTGGTTTTTTTGTATGTCAATTACACTTTAATCAAGTTGTTTAAAAAATACTTGCACAAACCTGTAGTATACTAGTTGTCCCTCATTATTAGATCAGTGCTTACCATATGCTATGTCAGTTTTAAAAAACAGGAGTCAGCTGTAGCTAAGTCCTTTACTACTTCATAAAAACATCAATCAACCAAACAATGGTTCAGATAGTGAAAGAACGACTGCACAGTGAAGCATGCTCAAGTGCTTGGATCTACTTCACTCAAATACAACACACGTTCATTGATGCTTACAGCCTGATCCCATGTGAAATACGTCTTCATAGAGCTTAGCATTCAGTAACTAAACAACTATTAATTTGGAAGATATGAATTTTCTAGAAAACTGATTTTTCTCTCATTCATTCAGAGTGGAGAAAAGATAGCCAGAGTTTGAGTCTGGGTAAGCCAGATCCCTCTGGAAGCTACACAGTGTCTGCTAGGAACCAAGCTAAATTCAAAGACAGTGACTTCAGATGTTTTCAGCCCTAGTGTCCTTTAAACTGTGTGCTGGTGTGCCTCTCACTTCTTTAGATTGTAAACTCCTCATTTTACTTATAGAAAAACACTCAGTGCTTCTTTCTTTCTTTCCAAGGAAAATCATCAGCTTTTTCAATTAATATGTGCCACAGTGTCTGTTACTTTTCAGAAATACCATTCCTTTTCTGCATTGCCTATTTCCAATTTTGCATCTGCTGATGTCTGGGTGCCAAATCTATCCTATAATGTTTTGTCAGCAAGTTATTCCCAGAAAAATAATGCAAAACTCTTAAAGTCTGCTTGAGTGATTTCTCAGGAACCTTATGGCTCATGGAAATCCTGTATTCATCCAAAGGGAAGTCTATTACCAAGAGCTATTTAAGGCAAGTGTGACATGGAAGAAATTATAAAGGAAAAAAAAAACCTCCATCTCAAAAAGTAATCTTCATTTTATGATTTTTACATGAAAGTTGGTATCACTATACTCTTTTAAATGTGTTGTTAGAGAAAATATGCAAATCCTGAATTATATCTTCAATAAGTATATATGAAAATATCACAAGCCATGATATCAATTCATCATTCAGCACATAGCACATGTCTCTCTCAGTTCATGCCCCAAACCTCCCCTGACCACAGCACCGCAGCAACTCACAGCAACATCCCAAACAGAAATCCTCCAGCATCACACCCTCACCTCCAGCACAAACATAGCACTAACGTCTCTTCGACCAGCTCCCTCATATCCCAGTGCCCTGCCCCACTTCAGCAGCTTGAAGAGAAAATACAATGAAGGTTGGGGAAGAGAAGGAGACCTAAGCCACTGACAACAGTGGGAATTACAGAAACACCATTATGGCTCAGGAGGTTGCAAAACCAAAACTTTCCAAAGTGAATCGTAATTTTCACGTCCTGGAAAATGTGACCCCAATGGCTACTAAAAACTGACTTTGCTGACTTAGGTCACCAGTTTCACTCAAATCACCTAGATCTCTAATATAACTCTTGAATATTCACCATTAATTATTTTATTTTTTATTTGCATTAATACAAGGGGTAAAAGTATAGTTTTATTTCATGGATATAATGCATAAGGGTGAAGTCTGGACTTTTAATGTAACCATCGCCCAAATAGTGGACACTGTACCCATTAAGTAATTTTTTGTCTGTCATCCCCCTCCCACCCTTCCAAGTTTCTAATGCCTATTATTCTATATTCTATGTCCACGTGTACACGTTATTTAGCTCCCACTTCTAAGCAAGAACGTGTGGTATTTTACTATTTGTTTCGGAGTTATTTCACTTAAGATGATGGTCTCCAGTTCCATCCATGTTGCTGCAAAAGCCATGATTTCATTCTTTTTTGTGGCTGAGTAGTAATCTATCGTATGTGTGTGTGTTGTGTATAAATACATCTCACAAAAGTTGTGAGATATATATATGTGTGTGTGTATATATATACCAAAAATTTTAAATTTTAAATTGTACTTACCACTGTACTTTAAACTCAAATGCAAATATTTTATCTATTCACTTTTGTAATCATGGAGCTATATACATCCATTGGGGAACCTGATATTGTACAAACAGTAAGCAGTGATGAGGAAGAGATACTGAGGAAATCAGGGAATAAGGACATTAAAAAAGTAAAAAGAGAAATGAAGGAATGAAAACTAAAAGTAATGTCAAGTGTCGTCTGCAGAACGGGATTCAGTCATGCAGCCCATGGCAGTAGCATAGCCACAGACCAAACAGCAGAGAAGCGAGTCGTAACAGGAAGTCTCCACTTTTTCTTGGGCTTCCTGCAGCAAGTGGTAAAGAAATAGGTGAGTACCATGAAAAATCACCCAGTTTTTCCCAAGAATCATGGCTATCCCAGTGTCAGCAGAGCATGGCCCTGTCTCTGCCTCTACCACCACCTCACATGCTTCATCCCAGAAATGGTCCCAGACCTGAACCCCTCTTCAGTCACTTCGTTCACTCCTGGTTCAAGTTTTTCCACTGTAAACTGGAGTCTCTCAGCTACTTAATCACTTGCTTAATGGTTTGGGGACCACACAATCTTCTGTGAGCCCTAGGCCTGCACATTCCTTAACAGATACGTGCAGGAACACAGGGTACCTTTTAACACCACCACCATCACCAATACTCATAATAAACAAACAGATGAATAACACTTATATAATGCTTATTATGCACCAGGCACTCTCCAAAACACTTTATACTTAGGTACTACTTTTATACACATTTCAGGGAAGTAAATTGAGACTTACAGTGGTTAAGTGATCTGTTGTGAAGTAGCAGATCCCAAATTTAAACACCTGTATGTTGGTTCCAAAGACCACATTCTTTATCACTATTCTATGCTAAAGCTCACAAGTGAAGACTTAATAATAAATCTTTAAAACTCCAAATATATAACTAAAATTTGAAGTATATAATTCTTCCATCAAGAAAGCCTTGTGAATAGGATTACGTGGACCCTAGCTCTTCCATCCCTTTTCAAAAAATCTTTATGGTTGGTCAGCTTCTTTATATTATATGAATTCTAAAATATATTTGCCAGAGAAATTCAATCATACCTATAAATATGATTACTCCTCATCTCTACCAAACCACTTAACCATCCCAACTAGCCCTACTAACTTCATGTTTTACTGCTAATGCAAAAAAAAATCTAATGCATTTCTGGCAAACAGGGAGTTTCTGTGGAAGTCAATGGAGAGAAAGGTTAACATTGACTTCTAAGGCAAGACTATATAGACTGGCCAGTTAAATGTCACAGATATAATTTCCTTATTTGAAAGACACATCATATAAAATTGCTGATGCTATTCTGTTGACAGTATGAATGTTAATCATTAGGACTATTTACTGTCATTTCCATGCTATAATTCTGCTCAAATATTGAAATTTGTAATACCAAGTAAGAGAAGCTATTTTCATTACTTTTTACTTTTTTTTGAGACAGAGTCTCACTCTGTCACCCAGGCTGGATTACAGTGGCACAATCTCAGCTCACTGCAACCTTTGCCTCCTGGGTTCAAGCGATTCTCCTCCCTCAGCCTCCCGAGTAGCTGGGATTACAGGCACCTGCCACCATGCCCAGCTAAGTTTTGTATTTTTAGTAGAGATGGGGTTTCACCATGTTGGCCAGGCTGGTTTTGAACTCCTGACCTCCAGTGATCCTCCTGCTTAGCCTCCCAAAGTGCCTGGATTACAGGCGTGAGCCACCTCACCCGGCCAAGAGAAGCTATTTTGGATTTTAAAAATATGCTTTTACCAATTAACTGGTGTTTTCCTAAGCGAGAAGCCTAGTAATATTATTCTGTTATTAGTAATTGCCTGGGAAGAATGTATATGCTATATGAAACTCTGTGGCTAGGCTGTACATATTACCCTGGAGAAATATACACAGGTAGTTGGATACTAGCATTTCTTTGAAATAAATCAAGGATATAGATCATGAGTCCTAAATCTGGCAAACCTTGTTCACATTACCCAAAAAGATCTGTTTTATCATGTGGTTCACTCCTACGTGTGTATTCCAGCCCAACTGGGATTAATTTCTAATATATTTTAAAAATCATGTTTATATTATAGTAAATGGTATTTCTGGTAACACTCTAATAGGTTTTGGCCTCAGTAAGATTTTGCTTAGAGGAAGAGTCAGCCAGCTACAGCCTGCAGGCCAAATCTAGCTCTCTACCTGTTGTTCTTCGACCCATCATTGAGAATAATTTCTCCAGATTTGCAATCAGTTTGATGATAAAGAAAGCTAATTTTGAATCTCAATTAAACAGAATGTTATTTTTTAAAAAAGTTTAAAAGATTTTCAGTGTTCTTATTATTAAATGCAGTAGGCAGAATAACGATCTCCGAAGACGTCCATGCCCGAATCCCCAGAGCCCATGATTATGTTACCTGACATGGTAAAAGGAATTCCATGACATGGTAAAAGGTAAAAGGCAGATGTGATTAAGGTTATGGACTATTATGGGTTGGACCATGTCCCCTACAAAGATATATTGAAGTCCTAATCCCTGATACCCATGAATGTGCCTTTATTTGGAAAAAGGGGTTTTGTAGATGTTATCAAGTTAAGATGAGGTCATCAAGGTAAGCCCTAATCCAATATAACTGATGCCTTATAAGAAGAGGAGAAGAGACAGAGGCACAGGAGGAGAGGAGGCGTTGTGCTGATGGAAGCAGAGATTGAGGCAATGCAGCTGCAAATCAGAAAATGCTAAGGATTGATGGGCATAGCTCTTCCATCCCTTTTCAAAAAAGTCTTTATGGTTGGTCAGCTTCTTTATATTATACAGATTCTAAATTATATTTGCATCTGTGCTATATGAAACTCTGTTGCTAGGTTGTACATATTACGCTGGATCCATAGTAGTGCATAACCTTAATCACATCTGCCAAATCCCTTTTACCATGTCAGGTAATGTATTCACAGGTTCTGGGGATTACGGCATGGACGTCTTTGGAGACCATTATTCTGCCAACTGCATCTGTGGAAGAAAGAACAAGAAAAGGAAGGATCCTACTCAGAACCTCACAGGGAGCGCGGCCCTGCTGAAACCTTGATTTCTGATTTTTAGACTCCAGAACTGTGAAAACGTTTTTAAATAATTGCCGTTGTTTTCAGCCACCCATTTTGTGGTACTTTGTTATGGCAGCCCTAGAAAACTAACTCCTGGACCCTGCATTGTGAAATTTATCCTGAGTTATCCAGGTGGGCCCAGTGTAATCACATGGATCCTTAAAACTAGAGAGACTTTCCAGGCTGCAGTAGAGAGAGAAATGTGGCAATAGAAGCAGGTTTACAGAGACGCTACATTCCCGGCCTTGAATATGAATATGATTCCTGGTATTGAATATGAAGGAAAGAGCCATATGCCAAAGAATGCAGGTAACCTCTGACAACTGGCAAGGCAAGACAGCAGACTCTACCTCAGAGCCTCTGGAGGGGCAGAGCCCTGCCGACGCCTTGATTTTAGCCCAGTGAGAACTGTGTTGGACTTTTGACCTCTGGAACTGTACCATAATATCATCAATATTTTGTGTGTAAGCTACCAAGTTTCTGATAATACGTTATGGCTGCAACAGAAAACTAATACAATAGATTTGTATTACAAAAACTGTTCCTTATTATTATTAATATTATTTTTTACTTTAATTTTGTTGAACTTTGTGAAAATTTGTTTTCTCTCTTGTAAGGTAAGTACCTACATAATGTATTTGATTTTGCATCTTGGCCCATAAAGTCTAAAATATTTACTATTTGGTTCTTTACAAAATTTGTTGACCTCTGGTTTTGAGTGTTAGCAAATTTCAAGTTTGTTAAAAGGAAAATACTTAATGTGGCTCTTCCATTTAGAAATACTACATTTCTTGCCCAATGGTTTATTGAAGTTCAGATTACAGAAGTAGATGGATTATAAAGATTTGTATAGTTGTACTTCTCAAAAAGAATTAAAAGAAACATATCCATTCTTCCTATGACTGTACTCCTGCATCTAAAAACTTGATTTGTGAAGCTTGTGATGTGCCACCATAGTATAGTGTAGTTGGGACAGCAAGTGCATGTTAAGTATGGGGTCAGAATGAGATATTAGATAACCTGGAACAAAGGGGAGTGCTGACTTAAATTTCTGGAATACAAGCAAGCCCACTCATCCCAGAGAGATGGACAGGACATTGCCTGGCTGCAGGCAGGTAGCTTCATAGCACTGTCACTATGGAGCGCTATATAAAAAACATATTTGATAGGAATGTGCAAAATTAAAAATAAAAAATAGAAAAATAAATATTTGCCTATAAAAAAAAGACTCACCTATAATATGTTCAGAATTTATTCCCCTAAGGATTTTTTTAGAATTCAAAATTTCTATTATATTTTCAGTAAAGTTAAATTAATCATGTTTTCTACGAGTTCAAAACATATTCATCTTAATCACAACACTTGCAGTTTGGTAGCCTCATTTTGAAGAATGGAAAGTTAAGAGAGCATAAATCAATTGCTAAAGAAAGACAAAGTCATTATAAAGCAGGATAAGTACTGCCAGATCGTCCCTGCCATATAGACTAGTTAACCCTACTTTTACATGAGAGAAACATGTAGCTTAATGAAAAGCATCTTTCATTCAGTAATAACAAATAGTTGTCAAGTGTCTACCATACGCTGGGAATAAGAACCCCAGACTTGCCCCTGTTCCTCAATGAACTCAGTCATTTGCTGTCAGAATGGAAGGTGCACTTAACCTTTGCTCCCACCCCATGTGAGTCAGTCTGTGGGTCACATTAGCATAGAAAAGGCACAAGCTGAGATTTCCCTACCCACTGCCAGATTGGCAAAGAAATATAGCAGAGAGGCCATGCCAGACTTGGGAATCGGACAGACCTAGATTCAAGCCCTCTCTCCTTATTAGCTATGTAATGGTGGGAAAATAGTCTAAGATGTGGGACACAGTTCCCTAGGGCTCAGATGTAAAATAAGAACCATCGCATATCCTTTGCAGTGTTGCTGTGAGGACTGACCAGGAACCACACAGATGCTCACCCAGTTGGCTCATCATACAGGGTGCTGGGTACATTTTAACCATGAATGTCCTTCTAGGAGGTTAAGTAAATATCAAGAAATACAACAAATAGAACACTTAGCCTTCTTTGCACATTCTGCAGGAGTCTTGTGAAATCACTGAGTTCCAGTCACTCAGGGGACTTGGTAATGGAGCCCCTGCTGTACTCGTAGACACACAGCTGTGGGTAAGAGAAGGTGGGGATGGGACATCAGACAACCTGGAATAAAGGCCAGTACTGACTTCCGTTTCTAGATTCACAGGCAAGCCTACTAATCCCAGGATACTACAAAGATGTCAAAACGTTGACACTGAGGAGAGAACATCATCACAAGGAAGGGTGCATGGAAGAAAGGTGGGGGAGGGCAGTAAAAAGAAGGAGGAGGAGACAATAAAGACAGGCAGAAGGCTTAGAGACACATATTACTCAGTCACTCAGCATCCCAGGGATGGGCTCGTGGTCCAGTCCCTGAATCTATCTAGACTCACATGTATAGTGAGAGATTGATCATGCTGATTGCAGCTGTAAATGTCTTTAATTTTTGTGATTCTATTTTCCTGAAGTAAAGTGGTGATGAATGATAGTGGAGAGTTAAGAAGATTAGTTGGACAATTTTCAAAAGAAGAATAGAAATGACTAGTAAATACGAGCAGTAATAGTTCAGTTTTTTAAATAATGCGAATTAAATCAATGTGATGCAGCATTTGCCTATCAAATGAAAGAAATTAACAAGAACATCCGTGTAGATGAGGGCACAGTGAAATACACGCACTCTGATGTTGTGGATAGGGGTATGGGTTGGTATGAGAGTTCAGAAAGAAATTTGGTAATGTTCATCAAAATAATTTAGAATATTCATCTCTTTTGGCCTATTAATTCTTCTTAGAAACTACCATATGCCAAAATGCCCACAAAAGTTATGCACAGACGTGCATCATTTATAATAACAGTGAGAAATTGGACATCACTCAAGTATTCAATATTAGGTACATGCTTAAATAAGACAGAATATATCAATATGGTAGAATATTTTGTGGCCATTAAACATAAAAGCTTTTTAATAATATAGGGAAATTTAATAACATTAAAAATGTCAAGTAAAGAAAGCATATGTTCTCAGGTAAATTAAAAATTTATTTTTAAAAATACACTAAGAAATTACTATTGCTGGAATAATGAACACATTTCCTGATTCTTCATATTTTTCCAAATTCTCTACAAAGCACATGCCTCATCTTTAAGCTCAGAAAGAACATAAAGCTAACATAATCATCATAATAAGAAAAAAACAAAAGATAAAAAGGAATTGTTCTCATCCATTTTCTTTCATAGTTCTGAGGCCTTATGTTCATGAGAAGAAAGGTAACAGGAAAACGATATTTTTATTTATACTGTATTGATTTTGGAAAGGCCACAACACAGTGGAAAGAGAAATTAAGAGATGGTGGCATAAATTCTTGAAGACGGAGCCTTATTTTCTTCCTCTATTACTTGACTTTCACATTTTAATCCATGTTAAAGGACCTGTTTTATATTCTCGTGTTTTATCTAAATCTTTTCTGGCAGTCAGCAGAAATATATGCATATTCTATACTCACAATAATAAACTATATCAGATACAGGATGAGAAATGTATCTCTTAAAGATCTCCATATGAGTTAATATTACACCTTCTCTAGATAAATTTATCTATCAGGAAATTAGTTTAAATTTAATTTAGAGAAGCCACATGATATAGTGAAAGGAGCCCAAAGCTTGAAGTTGGAACACCTGTATTTGGAGATGGATCCACCAGATTTATGATTGGCACAATTCACTCAGTCCCTTGGCTCACAAATCTGTCATGTGTGGAGCTGAGATGACATCATCTTCACAGCATTACTGCGATGATATGAGATAATACATGTGGAAGTGACTGCGACGTTGTGAAGTCACTGTTTAACCCTTTCATACCAAAAGAAGGAAAAAGTCTTTGATAGGGCCTCTTCATGCTATTAACATGCTGTATTTATCCAAATGAAAATAATAATAATAAAAGTATATTTAATAGATCTGGTGACCCAGTCTGGACAAAGTTCATTGCCTGGGCACATTTCCTTGAGTGCAGCTCAAAAATTTACCAGCATTAACATGATGTGATTTTTTTCCAGGTTAAAAAAATATATATATATGATTCAATAACTAAAGCTGATAGTTTACAAAACAGAAAGCAGCTACTCTAATAATAAATGGAATATTGCCACTTATAAGCGCAGCATTTCCCTAGGTAACAGAAATATTTTCTCTTAAGATGGCTTATTGGGGTCAACAGATTAGAACTTATATGTACTTCGAAATCAAATGGTATAGTTTTCTTTTTGTTTTCAAACTTAGTAAAGATCTCTTTTAAAGGAAAAAGATCTCACTGACTGCCAATGTTGACAACTTATTTTTACAACAATATTAATATATGCCACTAGGTATAATCTGCCTGCCCTATCCTCATGGTCCTTTTACAACAACTACAAAACTAAAAATTAATTTATACATTAAAAGCAATAAAAATCTTTAAAGTAGTGTAAAAATCAATAACATTGATGTGAATAAACACATTATTTCACTGAAAGTAAGTTATAATTCTCAATGTGAATATGATAGTATACATGCACACGTAAAGTTTGACATGTCTATACATATAATTTTCTCAACATTTTTGTCTATTCCAACTTTTGTAAAATCAGTGGTATGATACATGTTTAAGTTATATATTTAGTGCACATAGGGGGAACATAAGAGCGATGCCTGAGTTACATGTTTAGTGCACACAGGAAACACATGCACACGTACATCTGAGTTATACATGCAGTGCACATATAAAACATGTACACACACTTGAGTTACATAAATAGTGCACATATGCAAGCAATGCAGGCACACACCGGAGTTATACATGTAGTGCACATACAGGCTCACACATAAGTTACATACACAGCACACACAGGAAACACAGACACACATCAGAGTTACATACATAATCCATGGAAAACATACAGACACACACCTGAGTTATACATGTGGTGCACATATGGAGCACAAATAGGCACATGCCTGAGTTATTTAGGTAGAGTACATATGGGGGACACACAAGCAACGCCTCGGTTACATATGGAGGACAAATCTAGCCTTTTCCCATTAACTCAAGATAAATAAATAGCACTGCCTCCGTCTAATCAGATTATTAATTCATCAAAAGTGTGCTACAAAAATTGCATGATTAAACTGCATTAGGAGGCCCAGATAACCCAGACATGCATAGATTACTTTTTTAGGGCTATAATCAAAGTATAATTACAAAATTGATTATTTTCTTGGATAACACACAGGCACAGGGAAAATGTTCATATACTCTTGTTTGAGAAACTCTGCTATTGATAACATGACCTATGTCCAAACATTTTAAAAAGTTTTTTATAAAACAGAATCCTAGAATTCCTGATTTGAATAGAACTTGTGGGGCACCAGAGTTCAGCCGGATCTGACTTATTGATTTATGTTGCTAACTCAGTGCAACAGCATCCGCAACAGCCTCTAAGGGTTGGGAGCTCTGGCATTTAATTTAATCTAGTCCCCATCATTGCCCTTCATCTTCTCCTCATTGCTGCTGCTTCTCCTCTCTTTTCCACCTTCGTGCCCTGTCCTTGCTGTTCTTAAGTACCACGCACATTTGAGGACAGACAAAACAGACATACCATGAAACAGATTTGTTTTCAGTCTGAAAGCCCACAAAACAGCACCTCTGTGGAAGAAAAGCCATAGTTACAGTTGGTTGTGTGGCTGGAAATTCTGAATTCCCCTGGAAACATTTAAGACTAGGCCCTTTTCCGCTATCAATTACAGAACAAATAGACCCCCAGGTCTGCTCACCTGCACAATCCACACAGAAAGTAATGGGTATTCCACATATAATGGGTAAATGATTTGACATTTTGCTATTACATATATAGTTATGGTCTGCATAAGGACAGTTGAAAGATAAGTAGACACCTAAGAAGCTGATTTATTGAATTCAGCAATTCATTAAATTTAACAAATATTTATAGAGTGCTTATTTTCTGGAAAATACTGAACAATTTTTATTTTTCTCTTTACAGCAATTGTGAAATGCAAGAACCAGATACCTAGGCTCCAACTTAAATATCCATCTCCTTTATTTAAAACATATATTGGCTATCTATCATGAAGTACCAGGTGTTCTGTTGGGGTCAGTGAGATATTAGAGGCCAAAAAAAATGTTTCTGGGTTAAAAGACTAGAACACATGTTATGAATAACATAAAAATTTAGACTGGGAAAAAAACAATTTCAACAGATAATGACAGAGAGAGACAACAAAGACAAGTAAGGTGAAAGCAATATAGCATTGTGACTAAGAACAAAAATATGAACAAGTGGAAAGATCTGAGTTTGAGTTTCAGGTTATTTCAATTATCTGTGTGACCTTGGGATATTATTTAACCTCTCCAAGCTGTAATTTCCTCTTATGTGCCAGCAGGCTAAATAGAAGTACCTAACACATTCTTTCTTCTTGTTTTTGTTTTGAGAATTAAATGAGATAAAGCACAGTATCTGGCAGAGGGCTAGTGCTAAGTAAAGGCTATGTATTTTTATTATAATTACTACTTTTAATATATTGGTGCCAGAAATAGCATAAGAAAATGAACAGAGGTCAGGTGCAGTGGCTACACTCCTGGAATCCCAGCACTTTGGGAGGCTGAGGCAGGTGGATCACTTGAGGCCAGAAGTTCGAGACCAGCCTGGCCAACATGGTGAAACCCCCTTCTCAACCAAAAATACAAAAATTACCTGGGCATGGTGGCACATGGCTGTAATCCCAGATACTGGGGAGGCTGAGGCAGGACAATCGCTTGAACCTGGGAGGCAGAGGTTGCAGTGAGCTGAGACTGCACCACTGCACTCCAGCCTGAGTGACAGAGTGAGAAAAAAAAGAAAGGAGAGAAAGAAAGAAAGAAAGAAAGAAAGAAAGAAAGAAAGAAAGAAAGAAAGAAAGAAAGAAAGAGAAAGAATGAAAGAAGAAAAGAAAGAAAGAAAGAGAAAGAATGAAAGAAGAAAAGAAAGAAAGAAAGAAAAAGAGAAAGAGAGAAAGGAGGGAGAGAGAGATAGAGAGAGAGAGAGAACAGAGACAAGAAACATAGGACCTTACTCTGGAAACTGTGAGAATGCTCATTTGGTTAAAAGACTAGATCATAGAAGAAAAGTAGAGGTTGATAGGTTTGAAAAGTTGGTTTTAGTCAAATTGAAAAACAGGCTGAGATATAGGGTTTAATTGGTAGATAGTAAAGAAATCATTGAAACATTTTGAACAGAGCAGTGATAAAATCAGAGGTGCACTTTAGGAAAATAACTAAGGATGGCAGGATAAGGTGGAGAGAGGAAAAATCAGAGCATTTTATGAAAAGAATTCCACTTAACCAATTAAGAATTAAGAAGTAAAATGGGAATTAGAGTGTTGATATGAAAAAGAAGAACTAAACTTGAAAGAGGTATTATGGAGGTAGAATCCCTTACAACATTTAGGAGCACCTTTAAGTTCAAAGAGTTTGAATAAAATAGGTCTCATAGGAAGAGTAAAGGTCATGCCATAAGCCCAATCAGTGCTATAACAATGACCCTTAATATCTACTCAGTGCCAGACACATTGTATTACCACACTTTGCATTACTATAGTGGAATACCTGAGACTGGGTAATGTATAACCAAGAGTTTTATTTGGCTCATGGTTCTGCAGGTTATGCAAGCATGGCACCAGCATCTGCTTGGCTTCTGGTGAGGCCTCAGGAAGCTTACAATCATGGTTGAAGGCATAGGAGGAGCCCACAGATCACATGGCAAGAGGGAGCAAGAGAGCAGGGAGGAGGTGCCAGGCTCTTTTAAACAACCAGCTCTTGAGTGAACTAATAGAGTGAGAACTCACTCAACACCAAAAAGATGGTACCAAGCCATTCATGAGGAATCTGCTCCTATGACTCAAACACCTCCCACTAGACACCTCCAACTTTGGAGGTCACATTTCAACGAGATGTTGAGGGGACACACATCCAAAACATATCACATGTTATGTGTCATTTTTAGATTCCTTTTAAGGCTGGTCATCCAATGGATTTCACATCCTCACACAACCCAAACAAAAAACAGAAAAAAAGAAACTTCCTCTAGTTGTTTCCAGCAACCTTCCCTCATACCTCCCTGGCTTGAATTGGTTACATTTCCATTCCTGAACTAATAACTGTGATCAGGGGATTGACATACGCTTTAGGACATAAGTTTTGTTTACCTGAATCAATTTTTGTGTTTATAATAATGAAACTATATTAATGTGGTTAGAACAGTGATTCTCAGTCTGAGGCAATTTTGTCCAGCAGGGGACATCTGGTAATGTCTGGAAAATTTTTGATTGTCACAACTGCAACAGTGTTACTGGCCTCTAGTTGGTAGAGTCCAGGGATATTGTTAAGGATCCTACAATGCCCAGAACAGCCCCCTACAACACAGAAGTATTGGACCCAAAATTTCAATAGTGTTCAGAGTGAGAATGTTGGCTTTGAACAATTAGGGGTCATCCTTGGATCTGGGTGTGAGATCAGCTCCAAATCCCACCTTACATTAATAGATAAGGATAAAACCAATGTTAGGAAGACAACGAAAAGTCAATTAAATTAATATACTCAACAAAAATTAATTGAGTTGGGGTGTGGGGACATTGCAAGAATGCTGCAGTGAAAGGCTTCCAAATATCTGCTCCTCCACAATGGCAATGAAAACACTAAATCAACATTTTAAGAACTCTGTCAACTAACCAACAGAGAAATTCAAAGATTCTTTATTAAAGAAAAAACAGCTGAATCTCAATGAGAACAGTGACCTTTCTGGTGTTTTAACTTGCCCTACTCCCATCCTCTCTTCTCAGCTCCACAATAGCTTTGAAAACCAACAGCTTGGTAAATATGATAGCAGTGACAAGCATAGCCATAAAAAAAACAGCAGCCTACCAACCAAAGGAGAGGGAAAAACAGTTTTGAAGCTCCTCAAAAGTGCCCTTACCAGTTGTTATTATTTGATCTGGCTGGTAGTTTCCTGGAAACCTCTACTAGTAGGGCTTGTCTTTACTTGACCGGACTCAGAGATAACTCCTTGTAAACAACCTTTCCCCAGGACATCGGTCAAAAACCATCCATGGTAATTGCTTAATATCAGCTACCTGAGGCATCTATAAAATTTGGGCAAACAAGAAGCTGACCAAAACCTTACATGGAAAATGTGGTGAATGAATTGTCCATAGGGTCTGTGTGCTTGGGCTGCCACAACAAAATACCAGAGACTGATCATTTGAACAACATAAATTTATTTTCTCACAGTCCTGGAGGCTAGAATGGTCCAGCATGGTGAAGTTTTTGTAAAGCCTCTTTTTCAGGCTTCTTTCTCACTGTGAGCTCCTTTGGTTAACATGCAGAGACAGAGCAACATCTCTGGTATCTCTTCTTTTAAGGGCACTAATCCCATCATGAGTTCCCATTCACATGATCTCATCTAACCTTATTTATCCACCCGAAAGCCTCATCTCTGAATATCATCATATTAACATATAACTTTGAGTGGCACACATATATTCAGTTCATACATTCTGCCCTAGACCCCCAAGATGTCCTTCTCACATGCAAAATACATTAATTTTATCCCAAAAGCCTCAAAAGTCTTAACAGATTCCAGCATCAATTCTAAAGTACAAAGTCTCATTTAAATAGTATCTAAATCAAATATAAGTAAGCCTTATCCCCAAAATCAAAATTATTCTCCAGCTGTAAACCTGTAAAACCATACAAGTTATGTGCTTCCAAATTACAACAGATAGTGGAATAGGCATGAGATAGCCATTCCCATTCCAAAAGGAAAAATTAAGAAAGAAGGAAGGAGAGACAGGCCACAAGAATGTCTAAAACCAACCAAGGCAAATTCCATTAGCTCTTAAGTCTCAAGATATCTCTTTTTCATTTAATGCCATTTATTCTAGACCTACAGGGATAGTGGATCCTGCCTCCAGGCTTTTACACAGCCCTGTCTCCAAGGCCCCACCCCCAGGCTTTAGTCAGAGGCCATATGGCCTATTGAAACTGAGGCAATGGTCCCACCCTTTGCCACAAAGGACACTGACCTGATGATCTCTGAATTGCCTTTGGGGTCACTACTTCATTTTCTTGAAAAGCACAAAGTTAGAGCCAAATAGCTCTCTGGTCTGGTCTTGCAAGATCTAAAAGTCTGGCAGCCTTTATTTCATCTCATTTGTTTCTGACCCCTTAGTTCAAATTGACAGTGTTTTTGCTTGTATAATTGATCTCTATTCCTGGCCTCTTCTGAGATGGCTGATTCAGTCCATGAGTCATTACCACGATCTCTTTATCAAATAATTGTTCAACCACACCCTTCCTGTTGTCTTCACCACAGGCTTTTTTATTTATTTGCAATAGAGATAGGCTGAAAACTTTCCAAATCTTCAACTCTGGTTCCTTTATGCTTAACAATTTCTTCTTCAACTTCTCTCTCTCCTTTCACATTTTACCATAAACAGGAGGAACCAAGCCACTCCTTCAACAATTTGATTAGGTATCTCCTTAGCTAATTATCTAATTTTATCACTTGCAAAATCCAAAGTCTTATCTAAATATTATCTAAGTTTGTTTGTCAAAAATATCAATTTCACAAAACACTAGAACATGGTTAATCCAAGTGCTATGTCACTTTATAAAAGGATCACCTTTCTTCCATTTTCCAGTAATGTTTTTCCTCATTTTCATCTGGGAACTCAACAGAATGGCCTTTAACATCCATATTGATATCAACATTCTCTTCACGATTATTTATTATATTATTATATCTCTAGAAAGATAGATAATTCCCCTTAGCTATTCTCTTTTCTTTCTGCGCCCTCACTCCAACTGCCTTAAATACTTCACTGCAATTTTGGCTTTTTCTAGCATACACCTCAAAACTTTTCCATCCCCTATCCATTGCCCACTTCTAAAGCCACTTACGCATGTTTAGGTATTTGTTGCATCAGCACCCCACTTCCTGGTACCAAAATTAGTGTGAGTCTTCTTGGGCTTCCATAATAAATTACCATAGACTAGGTGGTTTAAGCAACAGAAACTTATTTTCTCACAGTCCTGGAGGGCAGAATTATGAGACAAGCATGCCAGCAGCACACTTTGCCAGGTTCTGGTGGGAGCTCTCCTTCTCTCTGTGCTCTGCCATGGCCTTTCTTTGGAGCATGCGTGTGGAATGAGAAGCAAGCTCTCTGGTGTCTTCTTTTGGGGGCACTCATCTCATCATGAGGGATCCAGTCACATGATCTCATCTAACTGTAATTACAACATAGACATTTTGAGAACACAATAAGGACTTTGAAAAGCTCCAACATGTTTCTGAGAATCTAGAAGGCAACACACATGTGCAGGAAGTTGAGACACCTGAAAAGGTCCTAATTTTTTAACTTTTGCTGACCTTGAGTATCTGAGCAAGCAGGACATTAATGGTAACAGAGTTTTCAACTGCCTACCAGTAAATTGAAGGCATGCACCTAACACACATGGAACTATTCAGGAAAGACTGGGAGAGTTGCTCGTTCAAGATACTAAGGAAATGCATGTCTAGTCATTAGCTGACAATTATGTTAACCAGTTACTACACATGAGAAACTATAGAGTTCTTACAGGAAAGTCATGAAACAAAGAACAACAATAACAAACAGGAACAATAGCAAACTGTGAAGAATGGGATCTGGTTTCCAGAGTTGCTACATCATATTATCTAAAATATTCAGTTTCAAAAAAATCATGATACATGTAAACAAACAGGGGAATATGGCCCCAAAACAAGGGGATAAAATCAGTCATGAATTTTTTTATTATAATTTTTGTCCCTGAAAAAGTCCATGAATTAGAATTCCTAGTCAAAAATTTGAAATAACTTTAAATTATAATTTAAAGCCATTACAATTATTTTCAAAGACCAAAAGTAAACCATGAATACACATTTAAAGAAAAACATGAGAATGATATATCAGCAAATAGATAACATCAACTTAACATATAAATTATTTAAAAAATCGAAATTCTAGAGCTCTAAGATACAATAACTGAAATAAAAAATTTGCTAGGGAGACTTTTTCTATGTTACAAAATTAGCCAACTTTTATTGAGAGCTTAAAACATATTAAAATACATATTAAATACACATTAAAATGTATTGTAAATGCTTTATTTTTCTCTTTTTTTAATTTAATTTTAATTTCTGGGATACATGTACAGGACGTGCAGGTTTGTTACACAGGTAAATGTGTGCCATGGTGGTCTGCTGCACATATCAACCCGTCACCTAGGTATTAAGCCCCACATGCATTAGCTATTTATCCTGATACTCTCCCTCCCACTGCCCCCCTGACAGGCCCCATTGTGTGTTGTTCCCCTGCTAGGGAGACTTAATTGGAAATTTTACTTGGCAGAATAAATAATCAGTGAACTTGAAGACAGGTCAATTGAGACTATCTAGTCTGTGGAATATAAAGAAAAAATAATGAAGAAAAATGAACAAAGTCTCCAATGTCCCTGTGATGCTATCAAGTGTACCAACATCCACATAATGAAAACTTTAGAAGAAGAAGTAAAAGAGAAAAAGTAGAAAAAATATTTGAGGAAACAGTAACCAAATTTTCAAAATTTCATTTGAAAATCATTAAACTATACATATTAAAAGAAACTCAGAATGTATGTAAGATCAACTAAAATTATCCATGCCCAGACATATCATAATCGAATTGTTGTCAACAGTAAAAGATAAAGAGAGAATCTTGAACACAGTAATAGAGAAGTGGCTCATCACATACAGGGGTCCTTGATAAGAGGAACAATTGATTTCTTATCAGAAACTATGGTTTCCAGAAGGCAACGGGATGACATACTCCAAGTACTGAAAGAAAAATACTGTCAAATAAGAATTCTATAATTTTCAGAACTATTCTTCAAAAATGAAAAAAAAAGTGAAGACATTGCCATATAAACAAATGGAAATAATTTGTCACTTATAAATCTACTCTATAAGAAATGCTAAACGGAGTTGTTCAGTCTGAAAATAAAGGACAATAGACAATAAATAGAATCCACATGAAGAAATATTAACAGCACCAGTAGACGTAACAATATAAATAAGCATAAAAAATAGTATGAATATACCCTTGGTTTGTAATTTTTTCCCTGTTTATTTAAAAGGTAACTATACAAATCAACAACTATAAAATGGTGCTGATGGACTTATAATCTGTAAATATTTATTCTTATATAAGAGCACAAAGAAAGGGGGAAAAGTAGAGCTATGTAGCAGCAAAATTTTATATACCACTGACATTAAATTGGTATTGATCCAAACTAAATTGTTAAGATACTAGTTATAATCCTCAGAGCAACCATTAAGAAAAGAATGTAAAAATACAATTAAAGAAATATTAATATTAATGGAATTAAAATGTTATACTAGAAAACATCTATTTAGCATAAAAGAAGAAAATAATGGAAAAAGAGAGAAACAAACAAACAAAAAAAGACATATAGAACACATGTGCCTGGACAACATGGTGAAACCCCATCTGTACAAAAAATACAAAAATTAGTTGAGCATGGTGGCCAATTGGAGGCTGAGGCTGGTGGATCACTTAAGCCCAGGAAGCAGAGGTTGCAGTGAGCCAAGATCACACCACTGCATACAAGCCTGGGTGACGCAGTGAGACCCAGTCTCAAAAAAAAAAAAAAAAAACTCAAATCAAAACAACAGTAAAAAAAACCCACATGTGGCAAAATGGCAGATGTAAAGCTTACTTTATCAGTAATTATACTAACACAGAACATTACATTTGGATAATGATTTTTCTGATTAAATTTGTTGTAGACAGACAGAAAACAGAATTAGATCAGTATTGAGATTACAAAGTGGCATTAGCAACAAGCAAGGAATTGAATCCACAAATGTCTCTTTGGAGAGAGGAAGCAGGATGTATGTGTCACCTCTTAATAGATTCATCAGGATAAACTAAACAGCATGTTCAAAAAGTTTATAGGATTGGCAAATAATGTTTTGGTAAAGTCATTAGAAACCATACAATAGCTATTATGATGATAATTTACAGCCGTGACAATCGTCTAGACAAGAGAATTAAGACATTACTGGTTCCAATTTTAATTTGAAACAAAGCTAACCGTATCATATTAAGTGCCCTAGTCTTGTGGCCTCCAGCCACTGGGTGAAAATGTTAAATTCATTTGCTATTTTTCCCAGAAGAGCTGACAGAAGTAGGCAGGGGTAGGAGAAATGAATGAGTCAATTGTAAAGAAATTTGGATTCAAGCAAAAAAGCCTCAGGAAAGAAAAAAAAATCCTTCCTGCTGCAGCAATGTTATCCAAACAGTGGGGTTCTCAGTTTGCCTAGTACTGAAGGACATCTGATAAACAGCCTCTGGTAAAGAAAAAGGTAGTGGTTTATCTTTTTAAAATTTTTATTTTATTTTTCATTGACCAATAATAATTGTATTTATTTATAGCATACAAGGTGATGTTTTGATATATGTTCACAATGTTGAATGATTAAATCAGACTAATTAACAAATTCATCACCTCACATATAATTTTTTGTGGCAAAAACATGTCAAATCTACCCTTTTAGCAATTTTGAAATATGTAATGCAATCGTATTTATTATAATCACCATTTTGTGTGAAAGATCACTAAAGGTTACTATTCCTGTCTACCAGAAACTTTGTACCGTTTGATCAACATCTACCCCCTTTCCATCCATCCCCCTTTGTCAGGCCCTTTTCAGAGATAAATCACTGGTGGAGACTAGAATGACTGTTACCAGTGGTTTATCTTTGAAGAGTCCACACCTGAGTCCAGATTTTGTTTTTTTGGTTTTTTTTTTTCTGCTCTTACAATGTAAACTTAAAGCAAGATGGACTCTAGTGGTCTCAATGATAAGGAGAGAAAATAGAAAGGAAAGACCTATTTCTGTGAGTAGTATCTGCTAGGATGGGTTCTCAGGACACAGTTATAGACATTCCATTGTAAGAACAGGTATTCATTTACATTTGATGAATGTACAAATCAACCACATTTAGTTTTCCTATTGAGGTTTTATCGTACTCTCTCCAAGCCAATGACTTCTTCACATTCTCCTTTTGGCCCTTCTAAAGTGGATATCAAGTCAAAGTATGAGGTAGTGCATTTCAGAATCATGAGTAGGAAACAATTTCAAGACCCAGAGCCTAACCCCTTTACCAGCACCAAGTACTACTGCCCTAGACCCAGGGGTACACTGGAAGGTATCCTGGCCTGGAAAGTACAAATTGAGCTCTAGGTGGGGCTCTTGCTTTTCCTGAGACCTTGGCCAAGTCACTCAACTTTCCTGACTCTCTCAGTTTCTTTACCTAAAAAAGGAGGAAGATGAACTGGTTGAGCTCTCTTGCATCTTTAGAATTTGGCGGTTTTAGATGCCCCTATCATATAAAATAAATCTCTCAATTCCTTTAAAATAAATATATTTATGCATAAATAATTATATATTTATACATAATAAAGCCATAAATACAAATATCAATATATTTACACATATATAGATACATATTGATATCTTTTATATGTAATTATATATACATACGTAGCATAACACACGTATAGATATACATATGCTATATAAACAAAATATATTATGATAAAAGTGTTTTGAAACAGTCTCCCAACAGCCCATCCAAAATAGTTTTAGATCATTACAAAATTATTTCAGGGTCTCAGAATCAAAACACAGAAAAGCCTCACGGTACACAGTAGCCCACTCCTGATTTGAGATGGCATTAATCAATGAGAAACCTCTAAATAGAGGGCAACCAATATTGTGAAACATGCTGTCTGAGTAGAAATAGCCTCAGAAATCATGGCGAAGCAACACTTTTCTTTTTTCACTCTCTAGCCATGGTCCTCTTCTAACTGGGCACCGACTCTTTCCTCCTCTCCCAGCTTTATCCTTCCCCTACCCGCCCTGGCGCAGAGTTGTCATCTTATGACTCTGGAACCCCCTTGCAATGTGCTGTTTCTGTACCTCACCTCTTGGAGGTAGATGTTGCAGTGGCAGCCTCAAACAGGGATGCTTTTTTAGGCACCATCGGAAGCCACAGCACAGTGCTAGGCAAGAATCAGAGGAATAAAACACAATCTCCTGGAGCTGATGGTCCAGTTGTCCCAACTGGAAAACGAAGTTAGACCACAGTGGTATGCAAAGTGTCTTCTGACTGTAGAATTCTCAGACAAATGAATGCACACCAGTGCCAAATATAACACATTAATTTTAATTGTAGCCCTCTAGAGAGGATGACCTAGCCACTGAGTGAAGATTTCAGGCAGGTGGGCCTTTCTGTTTCCACCGAAATTATATTATATTGGCAGCCACCTAGTCTTAAAATTGCCTTTAGGAAGGCGTAGGAGACTGAATTGGAAAATGCAGCCAGGCAATTTATGGGAAAATTGAACGGAGCGTCCCTCTGAGTAAGGAGACAGGGCGTGGTAATGTCAGTCCTCCTTCTAAAGACCAGAGAAAATTTCTGTTCCACCTGATAAACTCTGTATCCTTTTGGACTTTGTAAATATTGCACTTGGAATTGACTGTCATTTAAATATTGAGAGGAAATCTGCCAAAGTTATTTGATTAGTCAAATGCTTTAAAGATTCATTAAAATACCAACCCTGTGGGATGAGGGGAGGTATTTTATTCAATGCCTTCCTCATGTGGTATCTCTGACATGGCTTATGGACATCCTCAGTAGTTCCAAAGGGATTAAATGTTTAAGTTCCTGGAACAAATGGAAAGTGCTTACTCCTCACTCTTTGTCAAACTCTAAAACTACGACTGCCTCAGTGAAACCCCCAATATCCTTATGTCTAAATGTCACAATGATGATGCAGGTCTTGAAATATACAAAGAACTGGCTTAAGCTGATATAAATCAGAACCTGAAACACTATTATTTCACTACTACAAATAGTTTAAAGTTTGTAAAGATGTGTAGGTGGTTCTTAGTTTTATTATCTTTGCTGTGAGTCACTAATATTGCTTCATAGTGGAAACTGTCCATTTAAACTAAAATAAATCTTGTCCACAGAGAAAGCTGGTATTGGTTGCTTTTTAGTTAAAACAGTGTAAAGCCTTGGTTTAATAGAGAGTTCGTCTTTCTTCTGAGGAATTAAAACATGTTCATACAATAGATTATCTTTTTATATCTTTCCTTCTACCACTTTACCTCTAATACTAGGATAACTAGCTAACATTTAATGAATGATTTCTAAATGCTAGGTGGTGAGTTGGTGAGTTAAAGTGGCTTTCTATGGATTATTTGTCTTCAGAACAACCCAATGAGCCAGGTACTTTTGTGACTTGATGAAGATAAACAACTTGATTAGGTAGCAAACCTAGTTAGTCATGGAGCCAGAAACCCAATCTTTGACACTAGACTAGATGAATTCATTACAAAGTCTTTCCAAAGGGTCCGTCTATCCAGCCTCTTCTTTTTCATATTTTCCCTTAGGCATTTTCTGTTTGGAGAGTACAAAAGACCTCTAACCCACCTCTCTGATCCCATGCTGTAACCCACTCCACAGCCAGTCTACACTCTAATCTCACGCACTGCAATATATTCACTCATGTAATCCAATCCTTCAGAAAAATCCAAACTCACACATCCTTCGCATTCACAATTTTCTTCTTTCTCAGTGTGCCACATGCCAGACTTTAGAGCGTGTTTCTCTCCCTATCTGAGACCCCATCTTCTTCTGCACCTCAAACCCACTTCCTCCAAGCAAGCTTTCCACAGCACTTACTAGGCACATTACACTTTGGGGATGCACCCTTGTCCTGGATTAAGAAAATAATGTATGCTGCAATAGAAAGATCACAGGGCTTAGCATCCAGAGACAGGTGTTAAAATCCTGTTTCACTTGCAATTTTACTTAATATCATGTGGCCTCAGTGTTGTCATCTGTGATGGGGAGTCATTACTATCTGCCGCATAGAGTTGCTAATAGGGATTAAATGAAATTGTGAACACACACACACATATATGCACACACACAAATATATGTATATATTTATATGCATATACTTTCACATATGTAGAATTTCATTTAATCCTTGTTATATTTATGCATGAATATATGTGCATTTATATATATATAATTTTGTATACCCACATATAATAACTTTGAAAACTATAAAATGCTCTAAAGAGGTAAACAATCATTACTGTTGCTAAACTGATTTATTATGTATGTATATTTTGCTTCCTCAACTACATTTTTTATTCCTAAAGGACAGCAATTCTTTTCATTTATATCTTTCTCTTTCTCAGATTCTAGCACAGTGCTATACACCATAAAAAATGCTCCCCAAATACTTGAGTAAGAATATTCCCAAGACCTCTAGGGAGAAATCATGATTCCCATATTATATGTTAGAAAAACGTCAAGGCAAGAAAGTGGCCAGCCAACTAGCCATTGGGAAATGCAGGTCTTCTCATTCCCATTTGATTGTTTTTTTTTTTTTTCAACCAGGCTGTTCTGTCAGCTTTTTCCTTAATAAATCGGACTTCATTTTTACTAATGACAGTCAGAGACTCTACTTACTATTTGTGGGCAGCACCAAGTAGGTGGAGTGTCGACTTCATTTGGAGGGTGTCATTGCAATGAAAAAACACCCTGACAACTTGAAGATGTGGGCAGATATAAACAACAGCATTGAGGCGGTAGCTCATGCCTGTAATCCCAGCACATTGGGAGGACAAGGCGGGCGGATCATGAGGTCGGGAGATCGAGACCATCTTGGCTAACATGGTGAAACCCCGTCTCTACTAAAAACACAAAAAATTAGCCAGGCGTGGTGGGGGGCGCCTGTAGTCCCAGCTACTGGGGAGGCTGAGGCAGGAGAATGGCGTGAACCCGGGAGGCGGAGCTTGCTTGAGCTGAGATCGCGCCACTGCACTCCAGCTTGGGCGACAGAGCGAGACTCCGTCTCTCAAAAAAAAAAAAAAAAAAAAAAAAAAAAAAAAAGACTAATGTCTTCTTTATCAAAAGTCTCCTCAGGAACAGTTTGAAATGAGAATGCTAAAATTTAAGATCTAGTGGGCGATCTCCTCAAGCTAGTTCATATTACTTAGTTTCCTTTGAATCCATCTCTACTTTAGGATTCTCCAACATGACAAGTAAAGACAACATGGAGAGAGCTGCGAGAGAATAACAAAGGTGCCAAGGGATTTGTAAAATCTATCCGTGAACATGTAGAGTTCACAGGAAAAGAGAAAGAGAAATGCCCTTAGTGTACAAAGGAAAGCAGCTACCATCATTTTTCAAAACCCTCCAAAATGATTATAAATTCCCTAAGAATAGGGATTGGCTGAAAAAATTCTCTGAGGTGTGATTCACAAATTTAATTCTTCTGTTGTTTCACTGAAAATCGTCTCCAGGGCAGATAATGAAATCTCTTTTGAACACATGCATTTGATTCTTTACCAAGATGTTAGAGGATGCAAAACCTTAGATGGTCCAGAAACTGAATGATGAGCTACTGAGCATGATGTATAAGACAAGGTGAAGAAGATAGCAGAGGGAAATGTTTGGAAAGAATATTAATCTGGCACTGTTGTGATCCTGAAGCTGAAGAGAATGCTGAGGGACAAATTTCCTCTGGAGAGAGGCAGGGATTGAAAACTAAAGAATAATGTTTCCCTATTTCTGTTACTGGGGGACGGACAGTACGACCAGAAAGACAATGTACCTCCCTGATGTGGTTTGGATCTGTGTCCCTTCCCAAATCTCCCGTTGGATTATAATCCCCAGTGTTGGATGTGGGGCCTGGTGGGAGGTGATGGGATCATGAATGGTTTAGCACCATCTTCCCTTGGTACTGTGTAGTGAGTGAGCTCCCATGAGATCTGGTTGTTTAAAAGTGTGTGGCACCTCCCCCAATCTCTTTTCCTCCTGCTCCTGCCATGTGAAGTGCTGCCTCCCCCTTCGCCTTCACCGCGACTGTAAGTTCCCTGAGGCCTCCCCAGAAGCAGATGCTGCCATGCTTCCTATACAGCCTGCGAAACCATGAGCCAGTTAAACCTCTTTTCTTTATAAGTTACCCAGTCTCCAGTGTTTCTTTATAGCAAAACAAGAATGGACTAATATACTCCCATAAGCCAGGGCCCCAAGAAAGATTATCATGGTCGGGAAACAGTTAGTGCCAAGGGCCTATAAGGATGCGGTCATTGATGAGAAGAAGTGGTATGGAAGTTGGTAACACTAGTTCTCATTCCCCCACACAAAAAGGAGACCCATGAGCAGGAAGCAAGTTTATGATACTACAGAGAGAGAAGGTGATAAGTGAGGGTGATGGCCAGGGCAGAAGGAGGAATTACAGAACATTTTGAATCACCACTAGTCTGTTCATATTACACAGAAAACATTCAGTTTACGCCAGATGATATCCTGCTGCATTGGGGGAAAAAGTCCTTTGCAGTTGTTTCACAGAATTAAACTTTCTCATCTTAGCAGTATGGCTGTTGCTACCTTTTGAAGCCTCATAATGAGAGCCTTCTCATCTTAGAAAAGGTCTGACCTAGTGTGCTTAGAGTTATTGTTTTTCACTTTTTATTCCAGAACTTCAAAAGCATTTGCAGAGAAGTGCTATCCTTACGTAGTAGACAATTTGGTAAAATGTCCTTTTCTGAGTTCCATGGCATTATTCTGACCACCAGCAAGAAAAGGGCTCAGACTTAGAATACTGCAGTGCTGCTGTGCTTTTAATGCCCCGTCCAAAACTCTCAAAGAAATGGAGAATGGGCAAAGGAGCCCACAGGCCTCGATACTGGTGCTCAGGAGGCAGTGCTGTCCAAACCTTCAGTCTTAATGTAGATAACTAATAACCAGATCAGGATTTACCAAAGTCCCTCCAAGGCAGAGACAGGCATGGAAGACAGGAAACCCTATTCCAGCAGCATTATGAAGAGCCACAGCCACCATCATTTAAAGCACAGGGCAAATTCTACTCCAGTTCGATGTTTTATTACAGCATGTGTTTTCCTTTGTTTTGATAGCAGTATATTTGTCTTCTTAATTATGTTTTATGTAAATACTGTAATAAATTAGTTTGCATCTCCCAAGTGCATATCAACAACTAATTAAATGTCAGCCCCTCAAAAGACAAAAGAGAATCTGCTTTGTAAATACATAGTCATAAATCTCTTGAACTACGTGATGTATGTGAAGACTTTTGTTATAATTTTTATAAGAAAGAATAAAATCCTGAATAACCCTAGAAAGATATTAGCGCAACTATAGAACTATTGCCTCTGGGGAGAGGCACTGGGTGGCCCAAGAACAAGCATGCACAGAGCCCTTTCCCTAGGATCCTTTAGTTATAATTTTGTACAATGCATCTATGACCTCTTTGAAAGTAAATTACATAATTTCTTGATTTTAATACAAAATGAGACCAATAAGAGGATATTAGTGAAATTTAATTATGTTTTATTATTTTTAAAATCTAGAATATTCATATCTGGAAAACTTTTATTAAGGAAAAATAAAATTTTATTGAAACAGTGAATTTTAAACATTGTTCCACTTTGCTTTTAAGTGTACTTCATGAAGTCTAATTTTTTATTATGGAATAAAGTTACAATCTTCATTTTTTTCTTCCAATTAACACAGGTTTTGACACCAATTTGCATTAGGACAAATACAATTTAATGTGATGAGACCATGCACCACATCCCCCATTAAAGTTGGACTGTATGATTGGAAACAACTGCTAATTAAAGCCTAATTGTTACCTTCTGTGCACTGTTCACTTAATTAGATAAGTGGCTTCTGACAGAACAACTGGTTTATGCTCAGTGGGAAAGACTACATGACCAGGTACTATAGATGGCCAAGGTCTCCAGTCTTGCAGAACAACATGGATTTTGAGTTTCTGCTCCAATTAAAACTTTCAGTTACCACAGTGGAAACTGAATTCATGGCAACAATATCCAAAATTGTGATTTGACTCAGCTTCAGATTCGGGCAGGTTTTACAGGACCCAGATAAACTTAGGAGGTAGGTAGTGTTTGTGTTTCGCACATTGCTGTCTGGCCCACTTCAGCCAAGCTTGTCTGAGCCTCCACCATATGTGATGGTTGCTCAAAAACTGCTTCTCCTGAGTCCACTTAGTTCAATTTTCCCAGGAAGAAACAAACACACACACACACTCATACTCCTCCCATCTCAGATATCTAAGCTACGATTTGGGCTGGATAAACTGGACAACCTCATCTCCCACCCACTGTAACCACACCTCTCTGTGCCAAACCTCAGTTTAGTGGCCAGGAAAGCAGAGACAGCAGGGCAGAGTGAGTTGGGCATGGCCCATATATATGGTTGGTGCAGGTTCAAACATTTTTATTTAATTTGGGGCAAGCATCTTTTATTTTATTTTATTTTATTTTATTTTTTGAGACAGAGTCTTCCTCTGTCACCCAGGCTGGGGTGCAGTGGTGCGGTCGTGGCTCACTGCAAACTCCACCTCCCAGGTTCAAGCAATTCTCCTGCCTCAGCCTCCCGAGTAGCTGGGATTACAGGCATGCACCACCACGCCTGGCTAATTTTTATATTATTAGTAGAGATGGGGTTTCACCATGTTGGCCACGCTAGTCTCGAACTCCTGACCAAGTGATGCTCCCACCTCGGCCTCCCAAAGTGCTAGGATTGGTGCAAGGATCTTTATGATAAAACTTAAGGCAGGAAAAGGACAAATGGCCAAGATGATTATATCACAAGGTATAAGATTAAAGCCATGGCAACACAAGGAGATAAAGTAGACAATGTGGGGGCATTCTACAAAAAGAGATAAAATGTCTTGGTACAAGTTAGGTTGATTTTGTACTTCAGGGGAAAACTGGCAATCAGAGTATATGTATTTTCCTTCTCTGCACACCTCCACTTGGCCCCATCTTGAGACAGCTTTCTTCTCTACTGCTTATTCTGAGAATAGCTTTCTTCTCCCTTGCTTACAGAGCCAGCAGAAACTGAGAGAAGAAGGGCTTTGGTACATGGCATTAGGTGTGTATGTGTGTGTGTGCATGTGAATGCACATGTGTTAACCTGGGAATTATTTAACTTCTATGAGCTTTGGTTTTTCCATTTATAAAATGGAGAATATTTCTAATATTGACCTTACAAAACTGATATAAAGTCTAAATGAGATGATGCACATGGAATGCTTAACATAAAACAAGGCGCACACACTCAAAAAAAACCCAATGGTAATTATTGCTATTATTATAGTCAATATATAATAATTGGACTTGGTTGGAATGGAAACAAAGCATTTAACTAAAGTACTGTAGGTATTGTGTGTGGGCATTAGACATTACACATGTCATAGATATTGTGCTATGGGAGATGCAAAGTATAACATATGGTCCCTGACCTCAATTTGCCTTCAAGGGTCAGAGGGGGAGGAATTAATAAACCACAGGAAGAAATTGATAGCCTGGTATATATTCTCCAAAGGGAAAGAGTTCTCCAAATGGGAGATGCTAGACTGGAGGGGTATAAACTGCCTTCAGAAAGGGAAAGAAACATGAAAGCATTTTGCCATCTCTCCCCCGAGAAAGGTTGAGAGACAAAAAAAAAAAACCTCCATAAATAAACTGTTTAAACTTCCCTCATAATTCAGTGTGTCTACAAACAAAAAAGTAGGAGCCCCTATGCAAAATGGGAAGTGGAAAGTGGGTCAGGCAAGCAGCAACTCACACACTCCTAGTGGAAGCCATGAGGAGCATCACACACTAGACTATCCAGTTGGGGTGACGTGGACCAGTCACTGGGACTTGGCTTCCACGAGAAGGTAGCTCAAGAAGCTCCCTGTGGTAAAAAAAAAAAAAAAAAAAAAAAAAAAAAAAAAAAAAAAAAAAAAAAAAAGCATTAGATTCCAGCTACTAGGATTACAGGTAAATTCATTAGGGGTTGGAATGGAAACAAAGCATTTAACTAATTCACACTAGTCAACCTTCAAACACACACACACACACACACACGGGCTACATGCTATTTGTTTTTTCAGAGGACCTTTTCAGAGCAAGTTGGGTGTACGGTAAAAATCTCATTCCTCGATGCATAGGAATACAGATGCAGTGAATTCTGTGAAGCTCCCACATCCTCTCCGGTTTCCTAGGGTCCTACTCTGACCAATTCAGATGAAAATTTTGTGAGCTAATAAATAAATAAATAAGCCACAGCACTTTAAATGAAAAAAAGAATCTTTCTTAAAATTATATTAATATCAGGCCCGGCGCAGTGGCTCACGCCTGTAATCCCAGCACTTTGGGAGGCTGAGGCGGGCAGATCACTGGAGGTCAGGAGTTCAAGACCAGCCTAGCCAACATGATGAAAACCTGTCTCCACCAAAAAATACAAAATTAGCCAGGCATGGTGATGTGCGCCTGTACTCCCAGCTACTCAGTAAGTTGAGGTGGGAGGATCACTTGAATCCAGGAGGTGGAGGTTACAGTGAGCCCAGATGGCACCACTGCACTCCAGCCTGGGCAACAGAGTGAGTCCCTGTCTCAAAGAATATATATATTATTATCAAATTGAAGTGTTTTGAAGGTGTTTGCAGAAACAACAGATGAAAGAACTGAGTGTGAAAATATCACGTGAATCAATAGGAATTTGAATTATCTTGAATCCTTTAGGCTTTTCATGCCATTGCACACAACAAGCTAAATATTCTAATCAGGTGAAAATTAGGGCATCATTTTATCAGGTATAAAGCCAAATATTTGGGGCACTATCTCATCTTAAATCACACCACTGACTACCTAAATGTCAATAATTCGTAAAAGCCTGTATTGGATAAAAAGGTCAGAAACAAGTTTTCCCCTCCTGGTCGGGTACAATGGCTCATACCTGTAATCCCAACACTTTGGGAGGCTGAGGTAGGCAGATCGTGAGGCCAAGAGTTTGAGACCAGTCTGGCCAACATGGTGAAACCCCATCTCTACTAAAAATACAAAAATTAGCCAGGCATGGTGGCACATGCCTGTAATACCAACTACTCCAGAGGCTCAGGCAGGAAAATCGCTTGAACCCAGGAGGCAGAGGTTGCAGTGAGCCGAGATCATGCCACTGCACTCCAGCCTGGGAGATACAGTGAGACTCCATCTCGAAAAAATAAATAAATAAATAAAAGAAAGAAAAAAAGAAAAAAACTCCCCTCCAAACCTTAGATTTAATATTTTCTCAATTCAGTTAATGCAAGGACCCATGAGAAGCCATTTTACACCTCAAAGTTTCTAAACTCAGGGAAATTGACAAAAAATGGTCATCAAAGAAAGCCATATTTATAAACAAGCAAAACAACTTAGTAAATTTTTTCAAAAAACAAATGAGGGGGAGAGTCAAAGTATCTGAAAAGCATTTGAAAAATGCTGGTCTTGAAAAAAAAATAACAATGACATTTTAACACGTTTTGCAACATCTGTCCTTGAGAAAAAAGGGTCAGTTTTCATTAAAAAAAAAAAAAAAAAAAAAAGACAGTGTTTATAGACCTAGAAGGTCTTTCAAACATAATGGCCTAAAATGAATGTTTTGAAGGTGAAAATAAAGTGCATATAGGATTTTCCAAAATGTCTGTGCTGAATGTTTGACATCACCTAGCCCAAACATTGCATTTTTCTAATTACAATAGTTCAAAAAGGTTAAATGATCTGTTCATAGCTGCACAGTGAACCAGTGATTTTTCTTACCCAATGATAGAAGAAGCCAGTTCCTCCATCTACACTACATTCCACTAAATCACATCAGCTCATAAATCTACAGAGTTCACAAAAATGTTTAGTGGGATTGTGCCTTTGATTTACAGAGGAAAAAAATGTGTTTTTCTGTAATTTTCTCTAGGGACTCTCACTTCATTAAAACTTTAATTTCCAAGATAAGTTATCCAAGATCATTTCCAAGGTTAATATAGCATTTGAAAAACATAAGTCACCTCTCTTCATTCAACTAAGGCAACACATAGCCAGCAAAAAGCAGTGACGGTGAGAGATTCGCAAGGGGAAAGGCAGAATCGCTCCACTCAAATCTGTTCTCTTTTTTCATTTAATCTGTAATCAGAAAGCAATGCTGACAAGCCCTTTGAGGTCCTGGAGTGTGCTAAGACACACATCAAGTATCACTCATTTAAAAATAAAAGGCTTGTTGTTCAGGAGCATTTGTGTTGGTTGTGTTGCTATTTTATTTTCTAATTTTCATCTCCCTGGAGTCAAAGTACACAGCATCATGCTTCCATAAAAACAGTAATTAAAGCTTTTAAAATATACATATTAGCAGATCACACACTCCTATCAGTTTATCTTGTGAATATCATAAATACCATGCACACAACAGATAGAAATTGCATAAACAGAAAAATTCTGCATTATTCATGAACTGTAGTTTGCTTTTCCCTTGGCTCCATGCTACTAAGGAATATGTGTGCTTGTGTACATATTCCCTGTTAAAAACCACATCTTTAACTACAACATAGTTTATGTTGAGGTATTTTAAATGTGAGGATTATTACATTTTAAAATGTGAGTATATTGCAGTTGAGTTTATCCTACCTCACACTTGGGAATGAAAGGAGATCATCCAAGACATAACCAAAATATTATTGACTCATTAGTAAAAATCCAAAGAGAGTATTTATCAAGGGTGGGTCATATTTTCAACAGCTGTCCCCCTGTTGAATATAGATATTTCGTAACACAAACAATATAAAAAGACACTAGCAAAAATAACCACAATATATGAAATAGGCTCGTTGTATTATTTCTACCCAAATTTAAATGATTCTTTTCACTCCCTCCAGCAGAATCACACTCCAAAAGTGAAATTTCTTGAATGGAGAATTTACAATGAGTTTCTTGGGAACAGACTCAGAGATGAAAACAGCTATGAGAGGTACTCCCAAGAATACACTTGCGAGGACGCGAGGAAGGCAGGACTGGGTGGAGGGGAAAGCTCAATGGTTCCAACAGAAGCCTTAGGCCAATTCTACAAGGAGCTCTAGAGCTGAGCTGACCCTTCAGCTTTGTTTCCAGTTGGGTATGAGGTTCCTTATCTGGGTGACAGTTTCAATCAAAGCCCAAACCTTGGGGTATTTGTAATGAACCAAATCCTCCACTTTTGTGAAATCATGAATCCAGAAGGAGACATCCTAGGCATATTATTTAGAATTTTGCAAGTTAGTATCAGAATAAATATAAACAGAAACAGTCAAAAACTGTTGGTGTCTGAAGCTGAGTATGTTCTTCATGAATTTTGCATTTTCCGCACTATACAATAAATTAATGTACTTTTAAAAAAGAAAGAAGATTTGTTCCAGTTGAAGCCAGGCATTTGTACCCCTGCACCAGCTAGACAGGGCTGTACACCAGCATGTTAATCTAGGGCCAGGCAGGTCCCTTTGGCTGAGAGCATGAGAGCAATTCTCCAGTGAGAGGCAGCTATAAGCTATCAGTTGTCCATTTTCTCAGCATCTGGGAATCATGCTTCTGACTTGAAGCAGGGAGCTAGGAAGAGTACCATAGTATCCCTACAAAGGGGATTTTAAATTGTAGCAAGCACCACCAATTGCAATTTCAAGCTAGAGCAATCTTGATTCAAACTTTTAACATCTACAATAGATTAAGGGTTCCTAGCCAATGAAAGGCAAGCACCTATTAAACAAAAGAGAGAATAAACAAATTTTTAATTAAAAACTGGGAAGAGAGGAAAGACAAATATATCTTTTTCTCATCAATTCATTTATAAAAACAATTGTTCTCAGCACTTAAAACTATAAAAATAAAAAATTAAAATACAATTAATATTGAGCCTTTTCTCATTCTAGTAATAAGTAATGTCACCCCAGATGAATAAACTAATTAAAATATTTAAAGCCCATCTGTTTCATTAACAGATGCATTTTAAAACAAATATAGTTATTTTTATTGGTTACCTAAATCTAAAATTATTTTGATCAATGATACTAATGAAAATCTAATTCAGAAAAAAAAATTTTTAATTTATATAAATATTTTCATTATAGAGAGGTATGAAAGAGTGATCAATAAAAGCCTTTAAAGTATAGATATATTACTTTAAGTTCTGTGAAGAAAGTTAAATGGAAATAACAGTTCATGGAGGAAAGGAAAGGATAGAAAAATTTCCATATGTTAAAGAAGAGATTATTTATGTATTTTAAATGAATAGCAGTAGTGAACAAATCACGGTAGTTTCCAGATATAATCATATATTCTTAAAAGAGAGATGTACCATTTTTGTTCTAAAATGGAAACATTTACATTAAAAACTACATAATTTGGGACTGTAGTATTTAAATTTGTGATATAAATTTTAGGCTTCATTTAAAAATGTGCAAGGGGACAGATAGATTTCCAAAATTATTTTGGGGGTGGGTAGTGCAAAAGCAAAACAGCTGACAGAGTACCTGTTTTTAAAGTCCCTCCCAACTCTTAGCTACTTATTGTTATAAATGGTGTGTTTCCCATGGCCCTGAAACTATTGCCTATCCAGAACCTTAGGACTACCAACAGAAACATGTTTAATTAAATGTCAAGAAAGCATTTTAAGAACCCTACCCAGCACAGTAAAGGAACAAAAACTGATCACATTAAAACCACGTAGGACAGAGAATATTGGAAAATGAGGGGGTTTCAAGGTAGAGAAAAATCCAACTCACCAAACTCCAGAAGGGCAAAATAGTGCATGGTATGGAGTCAAAATAATCATAGTCTCAATTGTAGCGTAAGCCGAATGCAGTATTGTTTTTATTGTCATGAGGTAACTCTTGTCTTAGGCGGTGAACAACCTCTTGGGACGAAAGACCCCTGGGTTCTCTCTTTTTTGCAACAACTATGACCACCTTTGTTTATTTCTCTGACTGCCCTCCTCCCTTTATTCTCATTTTTTATCTTTCTATCTCTCTGCTTAAAGACCCCATCTTAGTAAAAAAGAAAATATTATAGTTATAATGCAAAAGGGAACAACATAAAAATCACTCATTATTTTACCAAGAACAAGAGACAGATTGGCCAAAATAACTTTACAGGAAGGAAGAGTTAATTAACAACACACTCTGGTCAGTCTCTTAAATCCCTATATCTATTTTCATTCCAAAAAAATACATATTAATAATAATATGTGTGTGATTTACCCCACTCTTATCTAAGAAAACATTTTAAAGAACATTTTAAACAACAGCATTTAAAGAATGCCTTGCTCTGTTGTAAATTTGCTTACTCCCCTCATCTTAGTCAGAATTGATGTGTTCATATGATCACTTTACTACTTTCAAAGATTATTTTTGCATCTTTCATTTTAGCTCAAAATTAATCAGATCTTTGGTTCAATTACTTCCAAAACTTTTTGAAGTTAGAGTTAAGGGGGGAAAAAGCCAACAGACAATTTTTCCCTGCTTAGTACATCTTTTGCTACTTGGCTACAACAAACACACACTGGACCCTTGTGTGCCAGGAAGCTGGTGGGCCCAGAGAAAGGGCTGGCTCTCAAACCTACTTCACATTTTAATTTTGTTCAATATATTTTCAATGAAATTTGGTTGCTCTTTTAAACCCTAACTCAAAAAGAGTTCAAGATCAGCAAAGTTACAAACAGCTTTATTCATAACCAGAATAATTTGCCAAACAGAGCAGAGGAGCTGGGCAAGCACTCTAGATCGCTTTTCATACATAGGACTTCAATTCTGAGACTGCCTTTTGTTACTAAAGCTTCTTGGTTCAATTTGACATGCATATAATTTTGCTCAATTTTTCTCGTATCAATCCTAAATGTCCATTCCATTAAGTCAAGCTCCCTGAGTTTGCTTAAATTTCCCTTTCACAGTTACTCAGTTGTTTTCCGAAAGAGCACTTAGGGCTCCTTCGTTTCCAGGTTTTCTCTCATTAGAGGACGTTAGGGAATAAACAGATGACCCTGATTCCAATTCCCCAACCAGTTCCACAACTGGTCTGCCCAAATAGGTGATCTTTGTGCATCTTATTCCATACTAGTTCCCACTGACTTCCTTCTCTGCCGTCTCAGGCCTCCTTCAAAACTTTTCATTTGTTTGTTGGTTTAATATGACATGTTTTTTTAAAGAACTAAGGTAGGTCAACCTGTTTCCCAGGCTATAAGCAAATGGAAGGAGAGTATCAACCTTGAGCATCACACAAATTCATCGAACACAGTAAAGTCTAACATGCAATAGTCCCAGAAACTTACCAAAGGGATCTCAAAGCATCTCTGAACCTGAATCCCCCTGACCTCCACCCTTCACCTCCCACAGGAGAGCTCTGAGGGCACAGTGCTCCCTGGGCAGCCCTGTCCCCCTGCTATTCTGTTCATTTCAGAATCTGCCTTTCTCTGCCTCCATCTTTAAGCTTCTGAAGGTGAGGAACCATATCTCTCTTCTCCTTCTCCTTCTCTTGACAACTTCAGAGCTACAAATAACATACTCTGGGCACAGCTTTGGAAATATGCATTGAATGAAGAAAACAGGGAATTATGATTCTAACATTATTATCAGATTAACAAGGACTAATTACAAGTCTGACAATTGAGGAGGGCAAATAACTCTCTACCTCTTCAAAATTTACAGATATCCTGACATTACAGCCATCTCAACACATATTATGAGTTGAATTATGATGGGCTTCTACCAGCACTGCCAAGCATAGCTTACAAAAAGCTTTGCTCCGTAGGAGTCTATTGTCACCAGGCTGCATGTTGCAACTAAATCCAAATAAAGTCTGTGACTCCACTTCCCCACCCCCCACAGTGCAAAACACTTAGCTTTCTGCAAGAGGGACAGAAAAGTAAGCTGAATGCTGCCAGTTGTCAGCCTTTTTTACATACTGTGGCAACTGCCACTTTTAAAATTATACAACACCTTGAAAGAAATAACAAAGATGGAGATTTCTTCGAAAACAGCTCTAAAGCAGCCTGCTAAGCAGGAGATTCACGCCTGCAGCCAACATTTACCCCGTCTGCCTTGCAATTTCAGGATCAGTATACATCAAATCAAGTGAACAACCCAGGGAATTCTGCCGTTACCTTTTAGAAACAGAATAAATATTAACAGAGCTTTACTTCTTTCCACCAAGGAGGACTATATGTTAATACAGTAATTTACACTGGAAAAAATATAAATGAAAGGGTTTAGAACCTCATAACTTTAAAAATAACATAATTCCTCCTAGAACATTCCTTTCACTTGTGATTCTCAAAGCACTTTGCATTTCCCAGCTATTGGCAGGGCTGGAATTAGGATCAAAGTATCACTAAATGGTAGGTGAAATAAATGTGAAGCTGATTTTCAGGAGTACAGGAATGGAGTCATCAGGCGACTTTAAAGTTAAGAATCTGTTGGAGCAGCTGCCAATAAATCAAGGCCCAAAGGAGAAAGTTCTTTGGAAACCTTGAAATATTGTATACATTTAGATAATTATTGTTGTTGTCAATGTTAACGAAAAAAGCAATAAATCAGGGAGATGGCACTGATGAGTGAGGAGAAATAGACTCAACAATTTAAATGGAATCATTCCTTATCCTCCTTCCCCAACAAGCAGCCTCAACAGTGTTTGCTTCTGCCTGCCAACAGCCAAGCCAAGTGAGAAAACACTATATACCCTCCCTATATGTCCCAGCCATCAGTTACCAGCCTCTTTAGATGGCACTAATGAAAAACAACCTGTAGGTCTTCCTGTCTCCTTTAACTAGGAGACAGCTCAGTCTATGGTACTAATAGGTATTACTCAGATGCTCCAGCCTCAAGAATGAGGAAGACTGATGATACCTTTGGCCTGAGAAAGCCTCTGGGTGAGAATTCAGATCATCACTCAGGAGTCAGGTCTTACAGACAAGGTGGCCCCTCTCCTGAAATGACTGACCAGTTGAAAAGCAAGCATCGAGTCCCTCCGCTGCAGCACATTATTTGGCCTTAGCCTAACCTTTTCCTTTACTGTCTTGAGTTGCACTCCATAACTTGTAATACTTGAGTTGGCTGCACTTGCAAAATTAACAATATTGGTCCATCGCTGTTGCTCAGGAAGATCCTTTCACTCTCTGGACTTGCTCATTAATTCCCTTCCTTTGCCATTAATTACTTTCAACCAAATGATGAAATGTTGTCATTTTTTAAAGTTCTGTTTATTTTGAAGCTATCACGCAGTGTCATTTTTATTGTCTCCTTCTATTCTTACTTTGAGGCTCTAAACCATCATTTAAGATTCAGAAGCTTAAAAAAATATATACAAATGTATATAGGTTTTCCTTCCTCAGGATACATCATTGGGTGGCTCCAAGAAGGATCCACAGCCTTTTATGAAACTATTTGAGCAACTTGGTCATCACACAATAAACACAACAAAAATACTCATTAAGTGTGTTAAATTCATCCTTTAAGTCATAATCCCTGGAATGCCATTTAGTTTCAACACTCACCACTCCCTACAGAAGCTAGGCAACCATCTGGAATGATCTCCTCTCACTGTGTTGTTAAGTTCATTATGTATAATTTATATTTCTAGATCAGGGGATCTCAACCGGAAGAGATATTTGGCTACTGCTGGAGACATTTTTCATTGTCACAACTTGGGGGCTGCCACTGGCATCATGTGGGTAGGGGTCAGAGATGCAGCTAAGCATCTGATAATGCATAGGACAGCCCCGCAGATAAAAAATTATCCAGCCCAAAATGTCAGTGATGTCAAGGTTGAGAAATCTTGTTCTAGACGTTCTATCTTGCCTAAGTTGCTCATATTTGGTATGGAAAGGCCATTTACTCATCAGCCTGAAGAGTTCCCATAAAACCTGAAAGAACAACTCACCTATGAAGAAAGGAGTGGGAAACAGATTCTTTTTTGGTGGGAACTGAATGTCACCACCCACATGCTGTGAAGGAGAAACATATCACTATTCACTCTTCTAGGAAAATTAAGTTTAAAATTTCACAATTTACCTCTTCTTTTGGTTCATATGCAAATTATAAGGTACTAAAAATGGGAGACACTGACAGGTTAATTGCTCCCACTCTTCTGGTCCAGCTGCACAGAGCTGAGGCAGAGGGAGCACAGAGAAGTGAGAGAACCTCCAAGGTCAGCATGCTCCAGCACTGGATACATCAGCATATCATGGGTTTTGAGTTAGAATAACTGATAACATAACACATGTACTTGAAGTTCACTGATTTGATTCCAGCTTTTTAAAAATAATCTTTTAAGCAGAAGCTGGCACTGCTTTTTACTCCTTTATTTTTTTCTCTGTACCTCTTAAAAATAAAGTATAAATCTGACATATGTTTCAGGCAAATTGGCTCAGAACTCAGAAAAGGTAAAAAGAACTCTCCTAGACAGCCTATGTTCCCAAATAAAAATTATCTCTAGTTCCTATGCCTGCATCAAGCCTTTCTAATTAAGTGATATTTGGTCCTAACAGCCAGGTTAAACCAACCTACCTTTATGTCAGATCTGAGCCCCTTCCCCACAGCCCACAACCATATTTACCATCCACACTACTGTGTGTGTATGTTTAGGCTATTTATATAATTCTGATTAGAACATTTTGTATCCTTCCTGAGATAATATGCTTTTCAAAAGTAGACTGTGAGTTTTTGAATCATCTGAAACTCTTCTTTTATTTTTGAGTGAAAAAGGGAATAGGGACGACGCTATGTACATTATTTTAGGCACACGTTTCCTCTTCTTAAAGCACTCTTCTCATTCACTGATGAGTAGCGGTTGACTTTGTAATTTTCAAGTGGCCAAAGCAGATGGAGTGAGAGAAAGAAAAGTCAGAGACAGAGGTGCAGCTAGATCCAGAAATGTGAAATGGATCCACAGGAGAAGATGTGCAGACTGAGAAGGTCAGTATTTACAGAAGAGGCAAGAGACTAAAGGGTGCATACAGTTAGGCAGTGGTAGAAAGAAAAACAAAAAACCCTATGAAAGCATGGTAAAAGAAGAAAGGGGATTCGCATCGCTGGGATGTGAATAGAATTTGCAGGTGCTATGCCTGCCTCTCAATCCAGAGCCCAAATCTATTTGCCTCATTCTATACCTCTGAGTAGCTCTGAGATAACACAGGATGAGGTTTGGGAAAGCCACATCATTCTACCAGATAGAATGCCTGGCTTCACCATCTACTAGCCAGATGATCTTAACCAAGTCGCTCAACTCTCCCCAAACTCCATTTCCTCAAAGTGGGGACAATCATTTATTCACAGCAGGATTGAGGTAACATAGGTAAAGAATCAAGGGCACTAGAGAATGTTACATGGAAGGCTCTATGATCACATCACGCGGTATTCTAAGTAATGGAGATAAAACATTTTAACAATAGTAAAAGCAAAATTGAATTATAAACATTGCTTTTTTTAAGATTGGCACATCATAATTTTACATATATGTGGGGTACAACATGATGTTTTGATACATGTGTAAATTGTATAATGATTGAATTAGGGTGATTAGCATATCCTTAAACACTTATTGTTTGTGATCAGAACATTCTAAAACCTTTCCGATAGCTATTTTCAAACATACAACATATCATTGTTAACTAGTCATCCAACTATGCAATAGACCACCAGAACTTATTCCTCCTATCTAACCATAGCTTAGTACCCATTGACCAATTTTTCACCATCCTCTTCCTCCCCTGACCCTCCCTAGCCTCTAGCAATCACAATTCTATTTTCTAAGTCAATGAGAACAACTTCTTAGATTCCACATATGAATGAGGTCATATTGTATTTGCTTTCCTAAACCTGGCTGATTTCACTTAACATAATGTCCTCCAAGGTTCATTCATGTTGCCACGAATGACAGGATTTCATTCTTTCTTATGACTGAAAAATACTCCACTGTGTAGATGTACATTTTCTCTTTCCATTCATCCACTGATGGACACAGGTTGGTTCTATATCTTGGCTATTTGTGAATAGGGCTACAATAAACACAGGAGTGCAGGTATCTTTTTGACATATTGTTTTCATTTCCTTTACATACATACCCAGTAGTGAACATTCTTAATACAATGGCAATTTAAAACTTTATGAGCTAACCACTAATTCCCAGAAAAGAAAACTTGATATTCTCTAAAGAAGACTTTAAAGCAATGCAATTCTAAGATACTCTGGGAGTAAAAAAATAAACTACATGCACACACAGTTTTATTGCTATCTTCTTCCATGGAGAAGAATAAGCCACTATCAAAACGCTCATAGAGACATTTCTGTTCTAAAGAAAACAGTAGTCAAGAATTTAACAGACCCAATCTCAGTGTTACAACAACTGTGCAGAAAATACCTCAATTTACTATTAGCTAAAAAATCATTTTTATATTTTAAAAGATCATTTGCCACAAATGAGATGAATAGGCATTTCAATGCTCAAGACATTACATTTCATAATTATTAATGGGGATCAAATAAAAGCCCACTCTGTGTAATTAAATTGGAATTTAATTTCCCGGAATAGTGGCAAACATGAGAATCAGAGAAAGAAGATGTTGACTCAGAAAAAGAAAAGTAATTAATAAGGATGTCAGAAGTCACCCCTGTTTCACACAACTCCGCAGGCAGAGCAACATGCAACCAACGCAGCAAATGTGAGGTCCACCGGTGAAGCGCTACAGCTGAGATGGCCCCAGCTGAAGTGCTGCCTTGATGAGGGGAGCACTCTGCTGCAGAACTGTGCCAACCAGAGTAAGCTGAGAAAGCCCGGAACACTGGTGGCTGGGTTCAGGACCAGCCCAACTCCATCATGGCTGTGCAGATCAAGCCCATATTGCACAGTAAAAAAAATATGCACATATATTTACAAATTAGTATTTTAAATTGTTTAGAAAATTCCCCTCAGAAGCCAAATTCTGCCCGTTTCAAGAGAGGACTCTCTCTTGTATTCGTGTGCTCCATTTTTTACTAGCACAATCTGCCTTGGGACCTTCATCAATTTTGCTTTGCCCAACTCTGCAAATGCAGTATTGATTCCAAGAGGAAATCAATCTCAGCTTGAAAGAAGATCTTTCATCAAATCCGTATTTTCTCCTCAATGCCAGAGCTCTGCTTGAATAAAAAGCCCTGACCACAAAGCAGAAGTTTCCTTCCATCTGATTTGTTCAGCAAATATTACTGAGAGCTAGAGCTTTGACCACATCAGAATAGACCTTGACTCCACAAGAAAAGGGTCTACCAGGCCCACGCTGGACCTGCAGCACGTGGGAGAGCACAGCTGGCCATGGGAAATTAGAATTTGAGGGGAGAGAGCAGTTTTTTGTTTGGAAACTGTAACAGAAATAGGTAGAATTCCTAGTTGAATTGTGGAGAACTCGGAATCTTCTGGGTGGTTGCAAGAAAACTTAGAAGGAAGAAAATATCAAATATTAGAGGAAAAATCCCATCATTCAGGTTGGTGGTCAATGATGGGGTTCCCATCATTGAATCCCATCATATTTATTTCTATGTTAAAGGGCCACCAAATTAAGCTAGGGTGCCATAACTCTCACCCTTTTTAATCTTTTTCTTTTCGCCTGCATCTATGGCACATCCACTTAATGTCACCACCTTGGGGTGTTTTTATCCTCATTTTTATGCTTACTCATAAAACGATACACTCATATATATGCATTTATATGAATATGTAGTAATATAAACCTGTACACTCTTTTCATTTTATAAACCTAAGATTATAAATTGCTCTCTTAAGAGCAAATTCATTTTTAACTCATCAATTTTCATGTCTGCATAATATTCAAATTGTCCTTTTTATTTTTAATTTTAATTTTTATGGGTACATAGTAGGTGTATATATTTATGCAGTACATGATGTATTTGGATACCGGCATACAATGCATAATAATCACATATCACATCAGGGAAAATGGGGTATCCAACACCTCAAGCTTTTATCATTTCTTTGTGTTACAAATATTCCAATTATACTCTTAGTTATTTTGAAATCTACAATAAATTACTGTTGACTCTAGTCACCCTGTTGTGCTAACTCAAATTGTCCTCTTTTTCTTTTGACATTTTCTCTTGCTTCAAAGCAGCTACACTGGTTGGATAAAAGACATTTTCTGTTTCCTGTGTGGGCCTTTGGGTGTTGCGTCCACTCCCAGCATCTCTGGAGTCTCCCATTGCCTGCTTACATGGAGGTGCATTTTCTTGCCCTACCTCCTGGGGCTGCTACCTCCATGCAATGGTTACCCCAGAGACAGAAGAAGGACTTCTTCACCCAGGACTTGACATCAACCCCTGCTCCCTAGATTTCTACTGCTGAGTGAAATTCTTCCATTTCATATCTTGCTAAAGTTAGTTGTAGAATTGAACCTTCTGAGCTTGTGGAAATTGGTTTGGAATTTGGATATATGATACTTCCAACCATGAAAGAAAAAGTAATATGCTTCAGGCAGAAATTTACAATGTTTACTTTTTAACTTCCTCCTGAAATTGGAAGGCTGGATTACCATTTTGGTGGGGTTCAGCTGTTGAAATTGATACTAAAATATACTCAGTTTATATATCTCAAGCCCCAATTCACAATTCACAGTTCTGAATTCTATTAAATGATCAAAGTGAAGCCAATAATGACAATTGAAAGGCAAAAGATTTTCTTTTAGTTAAGCCTGAGACATGTTCAGAGCTTCTCAAGAAATATGTATTTGTGAAACCTAACCCAGGGACATTACTTGTATTTTATAGTGCGGTTATGGTTGAATTTAATCTTGTTAACAGTAGCATTTATACTAATAATTATCATTGGAAGACTACATTTGTATAAGACTAAGTATAATACAACATAAGTGTAAGTGATGTAATAGTAAGTGATGTAATAATTCCATATAATGTAGTTTTCATATGATAATTATTAATATGAATAATAATATTCCAGTAAGTGACCTTAGATTTCTGGATTTCCATTTTCCCTTCCATAAAAGCTAAAAGTTGGATGAAAATTGAATTTCTAAAATGTCTTCTGTATTTAGTCTTTTTGAATTCTAAACTTTTCTGCTCATACGTCCCAACCCTGTAAGAGAAAAGTGCTTTTACTTGAGAAGAGGCATCTAATTTTTAATCTTATTTTAGTAATTCTCTTAACAAAAATATGTGATTATATTTTTCATTTAAGAATGGAAATGAAAATGTCATATAAGCAATTCACTAAGAAGATAGATTCCAAAGAAAAAATTTCTAAATAAGTCTCACTTCTAGTCATCAACATGATAAACTCTAGATCTACACATAAAATCCAAAATGTGTATTTTATGTAGACATTCCTTTTAAAACACAGAAATTTAAGAAGGACAGCTACATATCTTGAAGTTTCAAGACATTAGATATATTTTTACTTATTGTACTCGCCAACATACAATTCAAAACACTGCAGACGGTTGAAATACTGCCATTATTCTCCTTAGTTAGTCTTCCCTGTCTAATGCACAAAAGTAAAATATTTGATCACGTTCTTGCTTTAAAATAACAGAGTTTTTCAAGGCATTATATACATTTTTCAAAAGCACATTTTCTAGGTTGCTGTACCTTCTCTTGGCATCAAGAGTCACTTCACATGATGTCTGCAAGTTGCATTTACTAATGTGCTCCTTATTGGATTCGTGGCACGCACACCTTCCAGAGCATAAGATTATACAAGTTAACATCAGCCCGGCTGGCTCTTACTCATGCTCATGAGACAGGCCTGTTGGTCTCAGCTCAGCCTCTCTTTAGCGGTATAATCTTGGACAAATCACTTAATCTCCTTGACATTCCTCTTCCTGTCTGTAAAATAAGGAAATGCACTACACAGGGGTATTGAGATAACAGGTATAAAAGTGAATGACAGTTTAAGAGTACTCTGTAAATAGGTTATGGTAGCATTAACATTCTTCATGTTAGAAGGAGAGCGGACATACAACAGATTCTGTGAAAGAATGTTTCCCAAGAGCCCTTGCTTGCTTTTCAATGTTCAACTAACTCTAGGTACTCTAGCAATGCAAATAATTAAATAACAGAATATTTACAAACATATCTATGTGATTTTAGGCAAACTGCATTATGGAGACAACTCTTATCAAAAGAGAACTAAATTTGGGGATTAAGTGATTTTTTTTCAGATGGAAATTTAATGAAATAAATTTGAAGCCACAGTTATCTAATGAACACAAACCCACCAATACCAAAGGACGGAAGGTTAAATTTTAGAAAATTTAGGTCTTTTAAGAAAACTGAGTGAAAGAAGAAACTAATTTGATAAGATGATAAATCTAAACCCATTTTCTATCTCTGCTCCACAGAAAGGGATCCGAAAAACAAGCTAGAATCCTGTCCTTAAGGAGCTGAGTACTTGAGAGGGAGAAATTTCTTTTAAAAGGAGACCGCATATAATAGAAACATGCACAGCCATTTCAGCCTTTCAGAATATATGTTTGAGGGCTGGGTTGATATGAATGACATCACACAAACACACAAACACACACACACACACACACACAGATTTTAAGTGAAAATGTGATCACAAGCTCTTTGAACTAACAGATAATTTACAAAGAGGTGAGATGAAAGTCATGTTGAAGTTCAATTGCAAATGTAGAATTACAGTGCAATAAACATTTGTCAAATTTTTAAATTATTAATTATTTTATGTCATTGCTTAATTTCCTAACTAGACTACAAGTTCCTTGAAGGTAAAATTCTTGTCTTTTGTATTTACATTTCCAATACTAACTAAAACAAACTTGGCATCTAATAAATAAGTGTCCACTGATTGTCTGAAACCACTTAATTCTGTAGACACTAGAAATTCTATCACAGATTAGAAAATGATTAGGAGTCAGAAATTGTTTATCTTTAGCAACAATACTTTTTGATTCTCAAAAACTGGTACTATTATGAAACTTATTATACACCTCCAAATCCTCCTTACCCCATACAGTCTTCAGAGACTATGAAGCTCAGTCTCACTCTGAACACAGAATATAGCAAAATGCCTGTCTATAGCATCGTAAGTATGTAGTAAGTATTTGCTGAATTCATCCACTGCTATTCCTAGGGTTTTTCGAGGACTTTGTTTACACTGTTATTATAGCACTTACACTTATGTGTATTATACTTAGTCTTATACATGCCATTTCCCCTAATTTGATTGCTAGATCTTCTGGCAGGGTTCATTTTATATTCAGCCTTGCACTAGCACAGTGTTTGGCAGACATCTGGTCAACCATTATTTGTTTGACAACGTATGTAATTTTGAAAGTTGAAGGCATTATTAAAGACATGCACTGCAGCCTTATATCAAATTAAGAAACCTTGACCAATGGTTTGCCATCGCCAGCTTAAATACCTCCAGTAGTCATAAGCTCCTAAGGCAGTCCTAGTTATTACAGAGAAGGGCATCCCTAGCTGTTAAAGAATTCTCTTTTGAGCTGAAATAATCTTCCTTGTACCTCCTTCCCACTGGTTGTAACTGTTAAGAAAAATGCAGAATAGCTTGTTCTACTACTTCTAGAGGATACTCTTTTAAGATACAGGTCAGCAATCCTGTCTCACTCAGGATGTTTCTTCCCCAGGGTAAGCATCCCATTCTCCTTGAGTAGTCTTTGTGGTTATCCTGCTCATTCTTCATGAACACACACTCCTCTAATCAATGTCCTTCTCGAAATACAGCATCAGAAATGAACATAGTCCTCTAAGGGAATCTGTCCAGCCCGAAGTGCTGATTACATACCAAAATCCAGGTCAAGGCCTCCATTAACGCAGCCCAAGACCCTACTTAGGAGAAAATGGAGGAAATATAATGAAATCATATTTTAAGAGACTATGTAGAAATAAGCTCTCAATAGAAGTCTTTCATCATCTATCGGGATGCTATCTGGGTCAGTTAAACTATCCTGGAATATGCTAGCTTTCACTTTGTTTAAAACCTCATTTTCTACAGTTCCAAATATAGGTTTCAAATTACCTAGAGAAAAATCACCCCAGAAAAATGCTAAAGTCACAAGTTCACACTTTTACCAAAATTTAGTATGAGTGGGGGCAAGGGTGTATGTAAGACCACTTTACTAAAAAATATGGCTGGTGACTCTGAAGCAACATCAGTGACTAGCTAGACATAGAGACAGGTATCTGGTTTGGGGAAGAGGGCAATGCACAGAAACTGGGAGCTTGTCAGTTCAAGAGTGAAAACTGTCCTGGCTACTGGAGATCCAAAAGGCACCAAAATTATTTATTTGTAAATCCTCCCAATTAATTCCATTTTCAGTGCTGCCCCTGGGATCACTGCAAGTACTCTTGTCAGCTTTGTGGTTTAAATATTATTTAAGAAGGACTAGAATTTTGTTAGGCTCCCTCTTATTTAGATTTGATATGATAGTTTTATTCTGCTTTTTTCCTCTGCATGGTGACAGTTATTTACGATGGCCTACGGCTTTCAGAAGGACTTTTGGTCTATGGCTTTCAGAAGGACTTTACTCCACTTTTGAAACACTTAAAAATCAACAGGGTCTTTGCCTATATTTTCTATCTACTGTCATAATTCACATTTATCCTATCTGTTTCAATCTCTGTAAATATCTATCCCAAACGTTGCTACCACAGTTTACCAGCATAACTTATAAAATGTTCTGCCCTAGAGCCCAGGAGTTTGAGGCTGCAGTGAGCTATTGTCATGCCACTGCACTCCAGCCTGGATGACAGAGCAAGACGCTGTCTCAAAACAAAACATCCTAATTTAGAATATTATTATATTAATCTTTTTTAGTTTTCATTCTGATATAAATGACAGAATAACATAATGGTAATAAGAACTTGAATTGAGTTACAGATTAATCAGGATGGTGAGAGATACGTCTCTACAGCCTCTGAAATGGCATTATTTTTCTATCATTTGGCTTCTCTTTTCATACATAAACACGTATAAACATATTGTAACTAATAAAGATATTTGGTTGTGAAAAAGTAGAAAGATTATTTTCATCATATAACTTTTTCCTATCATTATTAATAGTAAAAATTAAATAAAGAAAACATATCTCCAAAAGGCTCTCTCACATTACTATGCATTCCAACAGCCCTTGGATGAAAGTAGCTCTCCCCCGTATTACATCGGCAGGGTCTTTGCAGGGCTTGCAAAGAAACACCAGATTAAAGGAATTTTTAGTGTAAAAATTAGTAATAAAAATGTCATTTCAGTATCAGATCTGTGGTGGAGAAGTGATCTTTTCCTAAGAAAGAAGATATTTCATTGTACTGTGTAAAACCGTGTGCTCAGGGTTATAGGGGTGTCAACTTTTTGGTGCACCATCATGTTATAGATTCGAATGTCGCTATGCTGAATTAATAGATCCCATTTATCATTACCACAAGTTGTCCTAGGACAAAAAGAGGGCAACATTCAGGGTCCTATCCAACTGAAATTGACAAAAAAAATAATTTTAAAAAGAACCAAGGATTGCTGAAGACAGTATTTCTAGATGGTAACTTGTGTCATGTATACCAAATAGATTTTAAACTATTCAATATGCTGCTAAGTATCCTCATGTCTCTGAGCCTAAAGAAACTATACTACATAATGTATTTCCATCAAATATAAGACATTATATAATTACTCAAACATTAGCTTTAGTTTTATCCCTTTGAGCAAATACCTTGATGAACAATAATCATGGCTGTCTTAAAAGATGCCTCGAGGAGGAAATGTTTAACACACTGTAATCTAAGTTGGTGCACTGAACTGCAACCTCGTCCTCAATGCTGAGCCATAAACATTTTACTCTCTGCTTCCCTTCCTTCACAGAAATGTTCTAAATATCTTCCCTATGCCAAGCCCCCAATTCCCAGCAGAATTCCCTGAAGAGGAGCCCTTCTGAGGGTCACAGTCGCAGCCTCTCCCCAAAACAGCACATGCTTCCCCACGTCTCAGCCCTGTCTTACCTCTTGATTTAGAAAGCTCTCCTCCTCCACGAGAGCTCCTCCTCCTGTGAGTTTTGTCCCCCAGGCCTTCAGAGCTCTGAAACCTGCTTCCTTCTTTGCAGCTCCTCTTTCAATCCCTCTCTCTCCCTCCTCTCTTCACTGGCCTTTCCCCTTAGCCCATGGACAAGGCCTTGAACCCCAAAAAAATCTTTCTTCAACCCTGACTTTCCCCTAAATCTCCAGTACTTCAACATCCACCTCTTCAAGGTGACATTGCTAGACAGAGTAACTATACCTCCACTTTTAACTACCCGCTCATTCAGGGCTAGACCAGGCTAGCCCTCCGGACAGGCTAATTATTTCAAGCCCTTTCAAACCATTATTTTATCTTCCTTTATTTTATGCTGCACTAGAGAAGACAATTTTTATGAATGCAAATTGTATGTCTCTCCATCAGTTCAATAAGGGATTTATTTCATGAACTAAACCTATGCTGTTAACTGATTTAGAATTGTCCTTGATTTTGCTCATTTCCAGTCACCTCTAACTGATAATATTAGGTCCCTGAGTATACATTAAAGGCAGAAGAAAATTACAGATTAGAAGGCTGATTCAAAAATGTTTATAAAAACTGTTTTGACTCTCAGCTCTGCAAAATATATCTTCTTTTTGGTTTTCTATTGCAATATTACAAACCAGACTACTTCTTGGAGACATATTAAAGCAATTAACATTTAGGTAATGAAGTAAATTATATTTTCCTTGAAAACAAGATTCTGCCATGCATCTTTTCAGTTACAGGATGTACATATTGTAACTGACCACTTGCAGAAACTGTCATTGAGATAGTCCCTGAGCTGAGGTCGTGGCCGCATATTTATTCATTGTTTCAATTTGTGAAAGCATCCTTGGAAGAGTTTTTACCTGTCCACTTAAAGTTCTTGGCAACTTCAGTTGACATCGACATTGACATTGAATTGACATTGGGTTAATTATACTTTGGTTCACGCGTGTTGCAATTTCCTCCAAATGATAGTGCACCAGGAAGTCTGCCAGCTGGCCCGTCCCTTACAGCACACTTCCTAAGATGCTATATGTGGTGGTTACAAAGGTGGGCTCTTCAGCCAGATGGCCTGGGTTTGAATCAGAACTTGGTCATTTATTGGCTCTATGATCCTAAGGTAGCCATCTGACTTTTCCATGCCTCAGTTTCCTCCACTGAAAAATGAACTAATGCTGAAACCTATCTCACTAGAGTGTTGTGAGGATTCTAGCTAATAGACCAGGAACAAAGAAAGAGCTCCATAAATAATAGCTAGCTATGCTAATTTTAAAGTTATCCCATTTATCTCCTAAAACTATTCTTACTGCTGTCTGTATAATGCCTATTTCAATATTCTTATTTTCTTATTCTATTCAATTTTTCACAATAGATAATATTTTGGAATGTAATATTTTTGAGATGTTCTTCAACATTTCAGCTTCAATACTTCAGCAACAATGCTTCCTCCTGGCTTTCCTCTTATTTTTCTGAATATTATTCAGTCTCCTTTTGTAAGTTCTGTCTTCATCTCTGAAATCTGCTTATTCTTCCAGTTTTTGGCCTTTTAGTTCTCATTGTACCTGATCTCTTTAGGGAACATCATCTACTCTCTTACAATTACCACTTTGATTATGATGGTTCTCAAATCTATGTCTGCAGCCCACTTAAGCCAAATCTTTATTTCTAACACTGTCAGCACATTTTCTCATGAACAGCCACCAGAATTCAATTTATCAGTTTAACCACACATTCTACCTTCCTTCCTCTACCCCCTTTTCAAACCTCTCTTCTTTCTGTATTTTCTACAGAAAATGGTTAATGGTACCAATTTTTAAACTTGACATCCTAGCCGGGAACATTAAGATCATATTTAACTCCATTTCCTCCCCCAATATACATTTAAGAGCCACTTTTCCTATATTCTATCAAATTCCTGGAGCTTATTTTCAAACATGACTGCCTGTCTAGTCCTGGCCATTTTTCTTCCCAGTTTAATATTTAATGGATTCTTATTTTTCTCAAAATAAAGCCTATATTATTATTATAACACTCAAGCCCTATCTCTTTCTGCCTCCCATTCCATCCAACTAGGGAATCCTATAGGCTACTCCTTTAGGGCTGTTACATACTCTCTTGCTTCATGGAATTTTTTTCTTGCTTTTTCTCAGTTTGGAATGTCCTAGCCTATCCACCTGCCAAGGGAGATCTACTTCTTTTTTCCTCCATGCAATGCTTAAATGTCTCATCTTTCCTAAGCCTCTCTTCCAGTCAAAATTAATGACAAAGATTTGGGGCACTTGCCTTTATTCTATTTTTTAATACTGGGTCTTCCTCTCCTACTATGTAATCTCTCTGAGAGCAGACACAAAATTGTGTACATTTTTGTCCCCTATGCATCCCCACCCTGATGTCTATCACAAAGACCTGTAGTAGGTATTCATGTTTCGCAAACATAATTATGATGTGTACACCATGAATATTACTCTACATCACACAACTCTATGCAACGTCAGTCATACATCTTCTAATGCAAAGTTTTACTAATACTTATCTATTAATAAAACTACATTATTTATACTCTGCCTTCCCAAAAGGACTTCTTGCCACGTAGAATAATAGATACAGGTAATATAAAAATACTAAGTATGAAAGAAGGAGAGTCCTCAGTAAAGGGGATGAGGAAATGTAGGATTCTGTTCCTCCCATTGTGTTCGCAGAATAACAGGTGGGTACTTTCAATCAAGCATACATACCATCTGGCGTCTTGTCTGCTGAGCTACGTAAACCACCCGCCTTTGTTTTACATCATATATTGCATGCACCACATTTTTGACTCTCAGACACTTCCAGATTTATTTATTTTAAATATGTTTACCAAGGGAAACTCTGCATATGATACTCTTCATTCCTCATTGAATAACAGCCAAGTTTTCTTATTGAACGTTTATGTTGACCAACATTTTCTTTCATGTTTGCTAACTGTGAAATGGCAAAACGGAAACATGCTCTTTTGATTTCTTCCTCATGGCAGTTTTCCCTGTTTCAAAGATTTGTTTTCATCCAAAATGAACGATGTTAACTTTATCCCACTATATTTATCCTCAGGTATGTTGGACAGTTTTTCTTCTCCACCAACACAAAATGTAGTTTCTAGTTTCTCAACGGTAGCTTTAAAAAATTAAGATACATTCCTATGTGGTAGGGGGTGCCATTTAGGAAATGGTGAAAACGAAACAAACAGAACACTAAAGTCAATCAAAATCTCATTATCTTCCTCTCTAACACTGAAGGTGCCCTCTGCCCCTTAAACTTACTCAGAGGTATTAATTGAATAGCATATGATTAAAGAAGCTTGAAACTAAAATTGCCTAATGAATACTTAATATCCTTTTCCTTGAGATTGAAAACAATGTTCTCCTATCCATTCATTCATCTATCATATTCAATTATACTAACATTATCTGTACTCACTGATCCTTTCTTAGGCACCAAACCCTTTGCTAAGTTTTTTGTTAACATTATCTAGTTTCATATTGAAAGTACCCCGAGGAGTTGGCTATAATAATTCCCATTTTACAGATAAGAAAGCAGAGGCTTAGGGAAGTCAAGAATCCTCCTGTTATTGCACACTAAATAAATGCTAGTATCAGAATTTTTGTTTCAGTGATTCTAAAAGTGTGCTCTTAACAGTTCTGCTATACTGTCTTCTAAACATAGCACACCTCTGTCCTATGCAAGCTGAATATTAAAATATAAAACCTCCTCTTCCATTGTTAGGTATATTTTAAGCACAGTCTCGAATATATTTTGGGTTGATTTAAACATACAGTTCTCAAGACTACTGAATGTTGTCTTCTCTCCTCCTAACATCATTTTATTTTAATGTTCCTTTATTTCATATTCTCACTTCCTTCTGTATTGAGGAAGCAGAATATCTGTTTTTCTTGGCTGCATCTTGAATGGTTATGCACCCCAGGGAAGATGTCAGAGTCCAACCTTGCCCTAACACGTAGAAGACCTAGAAGGAGCCAGTGCTGCCTGGGAGTTCTCACTCACAGCAGACTTTGTGAGTTTTGTGGATACCCTACGTTTGCTAGACTCCAAAATCTTACATGATTACATTAAGCTCTGTTGTCCTAATTTCATTTAAATCATGCAACCAACAAGAGTATTAATAACTAATGTTTACTTAGTACTTAAGACATGCAGGACTCCATGCAGAAAATCTCACATGACTTTTACAACTTCATCCCCACAACAAGCTTACAGCTTAGAACGACTATTATCACCGTTTCACAGATGATGTGTGGCGCAGAGACATGGTGATGAATAGGAGAAATGAACTTATATTTTGTGGGCACTGTCCATTATTCTTTCCACTATTTCTTGCTACTGGTAAGGGTAGGTATAAAAGATCCTAAAGTTGTGACTAATGAGGATTTTCATGGCAGACAACTGCCTCTACCTCAACATGGGCTGCTCTCTTGGCTTGGAAGACACCACTCTCCTGGCTGTCCTCTTCCCTCTCTAGTCCCTCCTCAGCCTCCTCTTGTGGATTCTCCTTCTTTATTCTACCTCAAGGCTTCTCAGGCCTTGGTCATGGTTAATAAAATAAGTGTTGCATTTCCAACAGCTAAGTGTGTACTTACCAATGGCTATAATTGGAGATTTAGGATTTAATGAAGACTAAAGGAGTTTTAATTCCAAATTTTCCAGATTAACTCTGAATTGTGACAGTGGACAGATCAGAGGTGAACTTAGGGTGAATTATTTGAGCATGCTGTGGAAGGCTTCCTCAAACTGAACAGCCTTCTGTTATTCAATTCATTAAATGACGATTCTATTCCAGGCATTGTACTAGTCACTGATATACTGCTGTGGTCTGAATGTTTACATTCCTCCAAAATTTACGTATTGCAATCCTCACCCCCAAGGTGATGGTATTAGGAGGTGGGAATTTGGGGAGGAGATTGGGTCAAGAGGGCAGAGCCCTCATAATTGGAATTAGTGCTCTTATAAGAAGGTCCGAGGGAGCTTGTTTGTTCCTTGCACCATGTGAGAACACAGCTAGAAGTCACTGTCTATGAGGAGTGGGCCCTCATCACACAGCACTGAATCTGCCAGTGCTTTTATCTTGGACTTCCCAGTCTCTAGAACTGTGAGAATTAAATGCTTGTTGTTTATAAACCACTGAGTTTATGATATTTCTTTATAGCTGCCTGAAAGAACAGACTAAGACAGATACCAAAGTTAAGAAGATAACCTTTGTCCTTAAGGAGCTCCCTGTCTACCAGGGAATAGAAAGGTATAAACAAACACTGCAATTACAAAGTAAAATAAAAGGGTCCTATATTTAGAGCTCCATAAAAGGTATACTGGGAGTACAAAGGAAAAAGTGGTTCATTTATACCAGCTCCCCCTTCCTAGCCCAATTCCAGTGTTGGGGAGTGGGCCTCATGAGGGATGTGACTCCAGGGGACTTTGCAGGCGGTAGCAGGTGGAAAGGGTAAAGAACAGTCCAGAAAAAGGAGGTGTGTGTGCACTTTGCTAATATGTCTATTAGTGTGCTAGTCATTCTGGAAAGAACTTGTGTCATTTATTCCTCAAAGACCCTAATCCATCTCAGTTATAAGATCGAGTAGATGGAAACCCTCTGAGCATTTATTTGTAATTTGCCATAATACCTGTAAAGAGCATTGGAAAAAAATGCAATAATATTACTGAAACTTTTATTAAATGAATGTATAATTATAGATGGATAAAGCCATATTTTATAGGTATCATTAACATTCAAACTAATTGGGGGAGAAGTTATCTCTATTCACCTGGTAAAGAAACGATTTAAAGAGTTAAAATGACATACTCAAGGTCTCAGAGGTAGTAAGTGGAGAAGATGGAATCTGACGTGGGGTATCTTGATTCAAAATGTATTATTTCCACTGAATTATTTCCCTTTTCTTTTTTGTCTATAATGTCATACTTTGATATCTGTCAATCTGGTGAGCCAAGTTGCCACTAAAAATATTTGTCTCAGTTTCTCTGTCTCTCAGATACAAATTTAATATGTTGTGAAATATATGGATCATTTTTTAAGTCCTGAATTTTAAATTAATGGTGAAAGAGCTGTTTACACGGAACAGCAGGTTGCAAATCAACAGCTTATCAAGGTCACATAAAATAAGTACTCTGCTTTGCATTTTGATCCGTTTATGTCTTTAAAAAGTAATCTCCTTCACCTTTTGGTGTCCTATGAATCTGGAAAAATATTCTTTGTGAACAGCAGTGACAGGAGGTGAGTTGGCTACAAGAATAGGCTAGAAATGTTTAGAAATGAGAAAAATCATTTAAAGCAAGAGCAGAAGGCAGGGTCTGTGGGGTAAAACAGCTTCATCGATAGAATTAAAGAACTGTAAGCCACAATTCTTGAGATTTATAACAGAAATATACTAATTATGCTATTTTAGAATTATGTTACTTCTTCAGCATTCAGTAACTGACAAACCAGCCAAATATAGCATATGTTATGTCCTCCCTCCTGTGACCTGTCCAATGGCTATCTCGTTACTCATGAGAACCTGCTAGAGAAAGAGCACAGAGAAGTCAGATCTCATCAATCCAGTGATATCAAGAGGACAGTCTGAATTCAGATAACTGACTCCACCTCTTTCTGGCTGAAACACATTGGCAAATTACCTAAGCTCTCTAAAACTCTGTTTCTCCACCTGCAAGATAGTCAGTATGGCAGTAATTCCCAACTCACAGGGTCATTATAAGGGCTAAACAAAAGAATGAATGCAAAAATTCTGACACATAAAAAATGCTCAATTAACTGATACTATTATTAGCTGTTGCTGATTGTGATAGAGAAAATAGCCTGAGACTAAAGTGCAAACTATATTAGAGTGTGCTGTGGTTTATGTAGGGATTTTATTTTTATTTTTTCTAATCCTTATTCCCACTTGTTTTGCTAATCAATAGAAAGAGGCAGACTACTATAAACATGAAATTAAATAAATGAATCCCTCAATAATTTACACCTAAGTATCCAAAGTCATGTATTACACATACATTGAACAAACCTAACTACAGTTAACATTAAATGTTTAACATGTTTTTATTTTAGCTATTAGGTGATTAAAAGTAGAAAAAAAATCACAGTCATATGGAGCTACAAGCTGAAGAAAAGAATAAAACTAAAAATAACTTTCACATCCACATCAACAACAACTTTACCTAAACAGTAAGTTGCAATGCTATATATCCTATCAAGCTATCACAAGAAATTTAAATAAGAAATAACTCTAGGCAAACATTCAGTGACAATTATATTCTGTTAGGTTTTTTATTTATTGCTAATAAAACTACCACATCTACAATGTTTTATTTTCAGAGAAGCATTTGCAAATATCAGTCTGAACCCTTCTCTTTTATTTTGACATATAGAAATAAAACATAAAATTATGAATAATTAACAAGTTGATTTTAGGTGAAAATGTAAGAATTCTAAATCCCAAGTCATAAGAGCAATTATGATCTTCTCTTGATTCCCTTAGTATAGCTAATGTATATTTTAACATATATTTTGACACAAAAATAAACACGATGTAAATCGTTGTAGACTTATTTCTTCAGGCTTTTCTTTTACAATTGCTTTAAGTTAAACACCCTGTAACACATGCCATGTGGGAAAGAAATGCCTTTATAGATGAGTATTAGAAAACCCTGAATAAAAAATTACTTTTATATTTGATGACAATAAAGTAGTAGTTTTATCTTGAAATGTGCTTATATATTAGGTGAAACAGGAGAGGCTTTAACCAAATTATATGCTGGTCCAAAAGGAGTGTCCCCCACCTTTTCCGGTGCTGCCTGCTCTGCCTGAGACATCCGTGCAGCCCTCCCTTCTTCCCCTGAGGTCTTGCCCCTCTCACTTTCTCAGTGCAGCCTCCTCTGGTCCCACCTCACACCATTCCCTTATGACTCATTTTTCTACCAAAGCATTCCTCAGCGTCTAATATGCCATTTTTGTTGTTGTTGTTGTTGTTTTGAGACAGAGTCTCACTCTTGTTGCCCAGGCTAGAGTGCAGTAGCATGATCTCGGCTCACTGCAACCTCCGCCTCCTGGGTTCAAGCGATTCTCATGCCTCAGCCTCCCAAGTAGCTGGGATTATAGGCGCCCACCACACCCGGCTAATTTTTGTATTTTTAGTAGAGATGGATTTCACCATGTTGGCCAGGCTGTTTTCGAACTCCTGACCTCAGGCGATCCACCCACCTTGACCTTCCAAAGTGCTGGGATTCCAGGCCTGAGCCACTGCATCCAGCCTCATTTTTTTATTTAACTTGCTTTTTTTTGTCTAGCTTCCCCCACTGGAATGCAAGTTCCACCAGGGCAGGGACTTTTACCTGTTTTGTTCACAGCTGTACCCCCAGCACCTATAACAGAGCCTGCTACTAGGAAGAGCTTGAATTAAATTGTTAAGCAAATGAGTGAACTTGGGAGATCATCTCTGGTGCAACTCCCTAATTCTGTAGATGAAACACGTGACTCCCCATAGCTGAAGATGGAGTCAGATAAGAGAATCTTCTATGACATCATACTGCCTATATAAATTAGTAGAAAACCCAGCCACTGTTCCAGGAAGCTTACTCTTGTCGACACACAACCCAGACACTTTTCCAGGAAGCTTACTGTTGTTGACACACAAAACAATGAGGTCAGTGAGTAACTGAAGCCTCTATTTGCATCATGCTGACTTTTAATGTGCTTCTAATTGGTTTCTCGTCAAGTTTTTAAACATCTATCTTCAACTGTTAAATAAACTATGCTCTTCCATATTTGACTACTATATGGTAGACAACTGTCCACCTTACATGAGGTATCTAGATTAGTCAAAATCAGAGACAGAAAGTAGAAAGGTGGTTGCCAGGGACTGGGGAAAGTGGAGAATGTGGAGTGGTTTAACAGGCAGAGTTTGGGTTTTGCAAGATGGAAAGAGCTCTAGAGATGGAAGGTGGTGATGGTTGTACACATCACCACCATCAATGTGAAGGTACTTCATACCACAGAAACATACACTTAAATGTGAAGGTACTTAATACCATGGAAATATACGCTTAAATGTGAAGGTACTTAATACCATGGAAATATACACTTAAATGTGAAGGTACTTAATACCATGGAAATATACACTTAAATGTGAAGGTACTTAATACCATGGAAATATACACCTAAATGTGAAGGTACTTAGTACCATGGAAACATACACTTAAATGTGAAGGTACCTAGTACCATGGAAGCATACACTTAAATGTGAAGATACTTAATACCATGAAAACATACACTTAAATGTGAAGGTACTTAATACCATGGAAATATACACTTAAATGTGAAGGTACTTAGTACCATGGAAATATACACTTAAAAATGGTTAAGATGGCACATTTTATGTTATGTGCATTTTACTATAATTAAAAATAAAATAAAATAATTTTTTAAATAATAGGCAATTTTCAACATTTTTTTCTGAAATGTTGAGAGATTACATTACTATCTTCACAGTGTTCAGAATTATTCTCTCAAGTTCTGTACATACTTCATTAATATATATACATATATATGTCAGACACATTGAATGCATATTAGTCATAAATTACATCTGAGCTTATGAAACATACACGTTTGTCATCTCCCCAGCGATGTGTATGAGTTATGACATTGGAACCTGGAATTCCATTTACTTTCTGTGTATGGAGAAGCCATGTGTAGAAAAGACTGTATGGATGAGTGATACTTTAAAGCACTGTTTGGGTAGGAGAAGTAAAGTCTTGTTATTATCAGAGGAACATGAACTCTGCTTCATGTGCAGCTATATCTCAGGTTTCCACATAGAATACAGTATCTGTCATACTGAGAGCTCCCACAGAACAAGATTATTTTGTCTGGCCAAACCAATGTATCATTTGAAAATTATCTGATTTATAAATTTGGTTTACTCACAAAGTCTACTGCATATATGCCCAGTGAATTTCTGAAACAAAAAACACAAAATCATTTGGCAGCATTTATTCCTTTGGAAGCTATATTTTGGGATCTATTTATATTTTTCTGTAATGTTTAATCATGCCAAACAATATGATCCATTAATCATGTAGGATAATATTAAAATTCCAGTGTGTCATTAAAGTTTTACAAATGAATCAATTAAAGTTATGAATAATTCAGAGATCTAATATCCACTTAGCTGTCAATATAACCAAATACAATCATTCACTGAAAATTTTTTGCTTTGTTCTTTGCTGCTCAAAGTTTGGTCTGTGAGCCATAAGTGCCCTGGTCACCTGGGAACTTGTTTGAGGTAGAAAACCCCAGGCACCACCTACATCTCATGTAACAAAATCCTTAGCTGATTCGTGCGCACCTTAACATTTGAGAAGGGCTTCCTAGGGATATATAAAGATATACCATACAAATGTTGCAAATTTATGGTCAAAAAGGATCAGGATCAGGGAAGAAAATTTGTTTATTTTTTAATCCCTTATTTCTTAGCTTGTAAAACATATTTTCTAGAGAAAAATGTGTCTCTTCAAGGCAACTGGATATTTTGATGCAAGATCCCTGACTTTAAAACTTTGGGATTGTCAGAGGCACTGAAACCAGAGTGACTCTATCTTGAATAGGTGCTGGGTAAAATGAGGCTGAGACCTGCTGGGCTGCATTCCCAGGTGAGGCATTTTTAGGCACAGGATGTTTACAATTCAGGGAACAGATTCGTAATATTTACCCAATAGACCCAGGACTTGTAACAGACCCAGCAAAAGTCCTGATGTCCCAATATCTTAACAGTAAAAGCATTCATAGTTTAAGAATTAGTTTTGCTTTAAAGATAGTAACATAAATTCTTGTGGAAGATAATAGTTACACAAAGCTTGGCAATCCTTTGTCAGGAACCTTTGTAGTAGAGCACACCTTCCCCATGACTTTTTGCTCTGTTGTCTTATACGTAAACAAGCTTCAAACCTAAGGTGAGTGCGTCCCTCCTCTTGCTTTGGGGAATGCCCTGCTCTGTCTATTCTTTCATCTCTTAACTTTCTAATAAACTTCTTTCACTTTACTTTGTGGACTTGCCCGAATTATTCGTTGCACAAGATCTAAGAACCCTCTCTTGGGGTCTGGATCAGGACCCCTTTCTGGTAACAGGATCAGCAGATCAGGGATGAGAACAGGAAAAAATGATTAAGAATGGCCTAAAATTACAGGCCTTTGCAGAAGGAAAATCCTTCAACAGACTCAGGAAGACTTTTGCTTGCAGTAAATAGCCCATCAATGCCTGCTGACCCTTTGACAGACTGAGAACTCTCACCGGACGCAAACAGGAAGCCTGAACCTATTTGAAGAGCAAACGACTGGTGGCACAAATAGAACGAGGTGCACTGTCCCGGGAAGCCAAACAGTACAAGTGAGTGGAGTTTTCCAGGCTGTGGAAAGAAGAGCCTGATCTCGGGCTAGTGCCTGGTTTCCCTCCCCCAGGACTGTGCATTGTCCACCCTCTAAAGGACCTCTGGAATAGGAGTTAGAAATGTGCCTGGGGTCAAACAATTCACACTGAGCAAAGAAAGCTAACAAGTAAGCGTGTTTTCTTGCAGCCTCTTAGTAAAGTGGGTGTCTAGTAAGTCCACATGGACATAGGATGCGGAACCCTCATTTGCATCATCAGCCTAGAGCAGGTGCAGGGTGATTCCCTTCACTCATGCCGAAGTGAGAAAGGCCCAGAGAAGCCAGGCTGGAGAGTGCTGAGCTCTCAGAGGGCCTCCCAGCAGGAGGGGACTGGAAAGGCGCTGGAGTGCTGAGAGTTGGTTGCGCAGGACTGCAAAGGACCACAGAGGGGGCCGCACTAGGTCCCAAGAATGCCATTCTCCTGTGTGATCACGCCTCACAGGTATTGCTGGCAAGCCAGGCCTAGAGGAGGCTGCCAGGAACACCGCAGGCTGAAGGACTCCCATCTTCTCTGTTGTTTGCTCAGCTTAGTGTTGTCCACCACAAGGAAGACTTTCTGATAGAGCGTTATCTCAACACTCCCACTCACCTGAGACCTTCCCACACACATTTGCCGACATTCAAAAACCCTAGAGACTCACATGTCTGCAGAGTGGGGCATTCTTTCTCTGAGAACATCTGAAAAACGTGAGGTGGGTTCCCTGCATCCGAGCAGCAGGAGGCCCTCTGCACAGAGTAGGGGATTGAGCCGGGTATGTCTTTCTCCAGCCCCAGCAAAAGCCCCGGAGAGGCTCTGGAAGAGAATAAATCCCTGGGAATAGAGGCTGTCCCTCATCCCTGCGAGGGGCGCATGCCCAGCCCCTTGAGGAGTGGTGAATGTCACAGCTCACAATTGAACATCTGTTACTTTGGTGCAAACCCTGTTTCAGCAGAAGGAGTATTTGCACCAGATTTCTAAACTGCTTGGGGTTTTTTACACTTCAGAAAAAAAAAAAAAAAGAATTACAAACCTGGTTCAAATCAAGCTAAAAATTTTTTGATATTACCAGAATTTTTAAGTCATCTAAGCCATAAATTAAATACATTTCTAAAAAACTGTCTTCAGCCTTTCAAGGAAAAATATGTAAGTGTAGAACTGACCCCTGAACACTCAATCTTCTGTAAATTAACAAATAATAATTATGAGTTTAAAATGACAAATCTAAAACATCTTTTAAAAGTGAGGTGTTGATTTCAATAAAGAAGTGATTTGACTTACAACTATATACATATGCAGATTTTTGGACCACATCTATTGAGGAAATCTGTCTTGGCATTCACTCTAAACTGGTATTAAGGACACATATTACCTAAATAGTCATGTTTTTAAGATCTACTTAAGTTTCAATTATGCAGCTATTTATACTCCCCTAAATCTAGTTAGTTACCATTTATGTACCTGGGATGTGCTTCATGGGCAACGTTTTCTTTATTATCATTGAATTTGTGTCTTAATTGAATTGCATGCTTACTAAATGAAATAATTGGAACATAAGAAATTTGTATTGTAAAGGCTGCACTCAGTCAAAATATTCTAAAATATATTAAAGAAAGGATTTAACAAGAATATACAAAGTGATGGCTTTAAGAGATGAGATAAAGGTTAATCCAAGGATTAACAAATGCCACAATTCAAAATAAAACAGGTTGCAACTACTTTTCCAGAGATGATTTAAAATGTGTAGAATATAAAGAATGTTTCCATCTTCTGTCCTGTCTTGTATATCCTTTCAACATGCTCTTTTATTGCAGCGATATTTGTTTTCCGGACTGTTACTCTAAACTGTAGAAGATACACATTTCATCAGCATGCTTGACACTGTTTCTTTCCATTAAAAGCCATTTATATATCTCACATCTCAATCAGATGATATTTCAGAGAGAAACTGAACTTCCCTCTTTAAGATGTATTTTATGAACACAGTTTATAATAATGTACATATTTATAAGTTGTCAATGAGTGAGAGCATTATATTTTCACGAGAAGTATTTCCATGTTGTTATAGCCAAGAAGGCAGATTCAAAGTATAGACAGTGATATGGCAGACAGCCAGGATCATTGATTCATTTTTAGAGCAAATTAGCTGGAGACTTATTAATGTAATTAGTTAGAGATTTATTAATGCTATTTAAACTATTAAAATAACCTCACAGTGCTTTTACACAGGTCTCCCCTTATTTTCCCTTACCTCTTGCTCATTTATGTGACTTATGTGTCTGGTTCATGTGTCTGTCCTTAGAAAGGTAGTACATATAAAATAAAATGCACATTGCTGAAAAGAATAGCAGGACTGAATACAGTTCTGTACACCTATGACCTATGTTGCCTATCTGCTTAATGGAGTGGAAAGCATGGTGGACTCAAAAGACGATGGAACTCAGAGGCAGAACACTTCACTGCAGCTGAGGAAGAGAAAAGTTCAGTAACTCGCTGGTTAAAAAAAAACAAAAAACAAAAAACAAAAAACGGTAAATGACAACCCCAAGATCCCAGCCCACATCTGTCAGACTCCAAAGCCCTGAAGTAGCAATTGCATTGTAGAAATGTCTATTACCCAGTTACTGTACAGATTTTTCTGTTTCATCATACTGTGGCCAAACTGGTTTTTTTGGGGTTTATATTGCTTGTTTGTTTTCTGTTCAAAGAAATGTCTAGTGTACTTATCAGACGAACTAAAGATGATAGAAATTAAAAGCCAAATTATATTTGTTCCATTAGTGCTACAGAAAAGTGTTTCTCAAACATTAATCTTGTAAGAAATGCAGATTCTGACTCAATACTTCTGGGTTGGGCATTCCTAGCCAGCTCCCAAGAGATGCTGATGCTTCTGGTGTGAGGACCACACTGAGTAGCAAGGCTTACGGAAGACTCCTACCAATTTTCTGCTTTGGAATTTGAATGAGGCTGGTGAAACTGCTAAATGGGGAACATGCATTTATAGCATTAGCTGCACATGTGACTAACAAGTAAAAAATAAAGATTATGAAATAATGCCCCTAACCAAAAGTGGTCCCTTTGATTTCTGGAGCTCTGCAAATGAATGGAGCCACTAAATGACCAAGAAAACCTGGACACAGTTTTCCTGGGTTTTATGACTCAGTATTTACTTTTCTTACTGCAACCCTTCTGATATTGTCTTAATTATTTCTGATTCCCTCCTTCACAACAGGTCATCTTCCAAAAAGAGGACCAGAATGTCCTTTTTTAAACACAAAGTTTAAGAAAATACACCTTTAACAAATGTCACTGGAAGCAGAAAAATCATCCAAAGTATGTAATTAGGATCAAGAAATCTAGAATGTAATTTTACAAGATAAATGCAAAGGATATATTAGCATTTTGTTCTGATTGGGGAAAGGCTCTCTTTAAAAGGCACACTTATAAAATGTGTTATTTTACAATGGAAATTTTAACACAATGCTTTTACCACTTCATAGCATAGTCTATCTCAAGAATATTACCAGAAATGCTGGCTGTCTCCTTGCACCTGCATTGTTATTTTTTATCAGCATCATAGGGAGAAAATGCTTCTTACAGATAACATATATAACTCTCAGCAAGATTATGAACAGGAGTTTAGAAGGTACAGATAAAATATCTCTATATATAGCGATCTTAATTCAAAACAGAATATAAAGCATATGGCCAACCAAATGCAGTCATTCTGTTATCTTTGCTACTCCCTGCTCTATAAAATAATGCTTTCCCCGGCTCACACATTATATAATAAAGACATGTCTTCACTCTGCAAAGCATGCTTTCCTTGCCTACCTCTACTGTTAACATTGCTCAACTAAAATAAACATTTCCCGGCAAATTCAAGAGCTGATATTTGCATCTTTCAAAATAATAGACCAATTTTCTGCTTCCCACCATATCTGGTTTATAGTCTCCCTCTTTCATAGAAAAACACCCTTTCTTGGAAAACACACAACTTGTAAGGACAACTACTGCAGTGCCAGTTCTCCTCAGCTATGAACTACTCAGTAAGTATTGCTGGAAGAAACAGCTACAGGAGAGGAAAGATAAATACCTACCATTTAAAAATGACTAAAAGAGTATAATTGGAATGTTTGTAACACATAAAATTTTTTAAAACATTTTTTTGAAATACCTACCACAGAATAACATGTAAATTCCAGAAGGATTGAAGATGCAAACTTTAATGGAATAAACAAAATTAGGAGAAACAATACAAGAGAATAATTTTTACCCTCTTATTTAAAAAAATTATCAAAATACATAATAGGAAATGTTTAAGGTCCATAACATGAAAAGTGCTTCTTCAAATCATTAGGAGAAAAGGCAAAGGGCAAAATGTAAAAATAGGCAAGGGTTCTGAAAAGATAATTCTCAGGGTGGCAGAGGGTGGGGGGAATATGCAAATGTCAAATTAACATGAATAAAGATGTTTGGCTTTACCAGAAATCAGGAAAACACAAATTAAAAGAATTCGAGTCTTTATATCCCACCAGACTGATAATGAACAGTGGACGCTTTGATCATTGTAGAGAAAGGGGCACTCATACAGAAAGGGGCACTCTTGTAGATTCTAGCTAGAAGACTCTGTCGCAATAGCAATCCAATTCCTGGTGATTTTTTTCCCCTTTGCATAGATAGGACAGATTACATGCATGTATGAGAAAACTTATAACAAAAAAAGGAGCATAATTTCAAGTCCCATATCCCTTTACCCTAGTATAAACAAGAAATGGTAAGGGTCACTTGTTGCCTTCACATTCCCAAGTCGTTCTGCAATTGTACCCCATACAATCCATGTGGCCAAACACAACAGCCCTGTTCTTTCCCCATCGTAAAAAGACTCTTTAGAAGAAACAGCAATAAAGTTATAAGATGAAGATTTCTTTGTTGAATATCAGTCAAAAGAAACTAGGACAACTAACAAAGACAGCTCAGAATCCTCCTGGAGTTATGCTATAGAAAAAAATATGATCTGTCCACCTGCTTTGCTAATTTGAGCTCAAGAACTTGAGCATCAAGACAGTTTATTTTTTTCCATTATTAAAAAACCCTTTCCATGAGTAGCAGCCAGCCTATCCTTCCATTACCTACAGAGCCATCCACTTAATGAAGAAAGAGTTTGTTTAGAGTACAATGAAGATAGACAAACCACTGGGGACAAGGTTTTGCCAATGAGAAGCCCTAAAGCTCTGATACAGCAAATAGCTCCTGCCAGGAAGTCTTATTTTTAGTTAGGAAATAATTTTCTACAAGCCATGCAAGTTCTGCTTGCTTTGTATTTAAGATTCAAAGAATCTTTATTCTTGGCAACCTGAAAATAAAAAATCAACTAAATGCTCTCTTTTGGCTTTAAGACCCCAAAATGAGGGTAATGAAAGGTACAGTGGCTTTTGATTTGAAGTTAAACCCCTGTTCCTTCAAGTCATTGTCTGAATTTCAAGTACAAAGCATTGTATAATGAGCCTCATCAGAGTAACCTAGTTTGGGAGGCTAAAATAAAATGAAATACATGTAAAATATTTGTAAACTGTATGAATAAGTTATTAGCTCACAGAGGTTCTACTCTTAACTCCCTCTTTCTTGAATATTCCTCAGGCAATACAGAAAATATTACATTTAAGTTGCACTTAAGGTGTAAATATGACAAAAAGAGTCTGACAGGCAGGAAGAGCCAAGCCCTGACCATACTGTGAAGTGACATGATGTCTTTGTCCATTTCAGCTGCTGTAACAAAATTCCTGAGATTGGGTAATTTATAATGAACAGAAATTAATTGGCTCCTGGCTCTGGAGGCTGGCAAGTCCAAGATCAGGGTCAGCATCTGGCAAGGGCTTTCTTGCTGTATCATCTTATAGCAGAAAGTGGAAGGCCAAAGAGAGAGCAAGAGAGATAGAGAGAGAAAAGGGGCCCAAATTTGTTATTTTATAAGGAATCCATTCCACGAATATGAGCCCACTCTCATGATAACAGCATTGATCCATTCCTGAGGCATCAGAGCCCTCATGCCCTAATCACCTCTCATTAGGCCCCACCACTTAACACAGCTGCATTGGGGATTCAGTTTCCAACATATGCTTTTGGGGGAACACATTCAAACCACAGCACATGCATTATCTCCTCTGGGCATATCCACTTCATGTACAGTCTTTGTCCTTTTCACAGTATTTTGCTTGGAAATCCATTTGTTTAACCAATCCTGTCTTTTTAGAATACTACTCCCTCCAGTGTGCAACAGACAAGCTTTCCCTCAAAATCAGTTCTCTACTCTTGCCCTAGGCATTGGGCTGCACAGCTAGAAACTATATTTCCAGGCCTCCTTTGCTTTTAGGTTTAGTCATGTGACTAGGTTCTTATCAATGGAAGTGAGTAAAAACAGTGTGTTCTACTTCCAAAGCTTGGCCATAAAACCTCAGTTATGTACTCCACCATTCCTTTTTTCTCATTTCCTCATAAGCTAAAACAGGGACATAATGGTGGTCAGCTACAATAAAGCCCTAAAGGATAGCAGAGCAGCAACATGGAAATATGCTGGGTCTCTGAATAACATAACAAAGCCAAGCTACTCTGTCAGAATAAATTGGTTGAACTACAATAGGAGAAAAATAACTTTCTATCTTCTTTAAGTGACGGTCTCTTTGTCATAGCAGCTTAGCTTTTACCATCACAAATACAGAAGAAATTGACTTGTTCAACCAAATTCTGCCTTTTAATGCCACCTTTCCCAGAAGGAACTCCATTTGAATATGGAATCCTGATAATTCAAAAATGTTTTAAAGTCCAAAATAGATTATGTAACTGTATAAACCCAAGTCACTGGTGATAAATATCTAAGCCCGACATTTATTTATAACAACACATAATTGAATTGTTCAATTGAAACAATTAACAACAAAAAAACTAATTTTCAAGTACTGATATAAAATAAGTTGGGGTATCAGTGTGATAAAAAGTATGGTAACATGGAAAGGAGGCAGGAAGACCAAGGTTTCAATTCAAGGTCTCACAATTAAGAGCTGTGTGACTTTGGGCATGTTTTTTTTTTTTTTTTACATTTCTCTGGCCCTCGATGAAATGTATATAATAAGAGAGTATGACAATCCACCACATGATGTTAAAATAAGTGTTTAGCCTGGTAACTGGCAAATAGGTGGTCAGCAAGAGTGAAGCTACTAGCAGTAGTGCTTTAATTAATGAACATATATACAGAAAACAGCTATAAAGGACAATTCCTCTCACTGAAACACTATTAAAAATCCTTTGGCAACTATGTTGATGAGAACTCTTTCAAGTCCCGCTCAGGTTTCTCTTCTTGGGTTGTCTAGACTAAGCAGATGCTCTGAAGCATCTCTTACTATTCTCATCCCATCCTGTTCTGCACTGGGATGCTTTTCCTAATGTAGAAGCCCCTCATCATTATATTTAGTAAGCGCTAATTCCTTACCTATGTGATTCCTTCAAAGCTTCCCCTAAATTCTAAGTTTTAAATGAGAGTACTACAAACGCGGTCTGTATTCTCCATGTGTCCTGTAAAATTTAAACTGGTACTTATTACTCTGAGACTGAATCTTCTTGGAATTTGAGGAGTACTGTAGATCTGTGCTGGGTCTGAATTATGCATTTTTGAGTTCTGTATTTGTCTTGAGTTCTTTTGTTGAAAAGTGTAACTTGCAAGTTGGGTGTGCAGTAGAAATCTCATCCCTGATACACAGAAATAGGGATGCCATGGTTTTTGTGCAGCTCCCACATCCTCTCTGGTTTCCTAGGGTTCTACTTTTTGACCAATTCACACACAAAATTGCATGAGCTAATAAATAAATAAATAAGCACAGCACTTTAAATGAAAAAAAAAAAACTTCCTTAAAATTATATTATTATCAAATTAAAGAAATTTGAAGGCTTTTGGGGAAACAATGGATGAGAGCCGAGTGTACAATTGTCATGTGAATCTATATGAATTATCTCAAGTCCTTTAGGTTTTTCATGTCATTGCATACAATGAGCTGAATATTTTAATCAGGTGAAGATCAGGGTGCCATTTTAATCACACAACTGGTTTTGTGAGGCAAATATATCTTCTTCTCAAGTAAAGAATATTGAAAATGCCAGTGAAATGTGCCTGACCCAGCACAGAGAAAGAAACTGTGCTCCATCCCAGCAGAGGCCATGTGGATGGCCTCTTGTATCCTAGGATACCTTTCCAAGGAAGAACCACATGTTTCTGTTAACACACATAAATACACAGAGGAAAACAGATTTAATGTGTTTAAACCCGGAAATGATATAATTTCACAATAGTAGCCTTTCAATAAGGTAGTAGAAAAAACATCAATTTATTCTTATAACATGAAATATGGAAACTACTAACTACCTCTAATCAACATCAAAAGATAAGAAAAGCAGTTGCTCTCCATTTAGGGAATGCCTGCAGAGATATTTATCACATCTTCTTTTCAGAAATCCCAACCAGTGGACAAATCAGCTCCGTATGTGTGCTCTTTCTTTAAATGATCCCAAATGCCATCTACAGCCTACCTGAGCTTGAGTGAGTCATGCAGTCATATCTATACAAAGACAAGGTACACAGACAGCCTCTCCGAAGAGTTACTTGTAATAATTCAGATCCAAAAGAATAATGTAGTTGTGTGTCTCCCTATGCTTATAGCAGTTTGTAAATATAAACACTTCTATTAGAAGCTGGTAGTTAGAAAACGTTAGAGAACAATTACTGAAATGTCTTTAAAGTATTTACGATGAGTCTTTTAAAAATGTAGACTAAGTTTTACCAGGAAAGGCTCATGTTGGCCTTATTTTTATTTTCATGACTGGGGCTCATCAAAGTGCCTAGCATATAGGAGAGATTCAATAGAAAGGTTTCTAAATGAAGGAGTAAATTTATGAAATAAGTAATGGTAACTTAGAAGTAGAAAAAAATTATCCATAAACTCAAATTCAGCTAACATTAATATTTCTATATAATTTCCTTTAGATTGTTAATTTTATAAGGATTTAATGAAAAATAATTTTAATAGGATGGTAGCATTTCCTGAACACACACTATCCTCTGGACTAAATAAACACCTCTCAGCATTACCTGATTTAATAAGCACACTGCGTGTGTTGAGGGCTTCTATTACCCTCAAAAAACAGTTATGAGAATTGAGATATGTTTTTAAAGTGTCATTTGATATTTAAAATTTAAATTTTTGCTTAATATTCAGGAACAAATCTGCGTGCAAGACAGATCAAGTGCATACAATTTTAAAGTATAGTAAGAAAAACACAAACTTAGCAGCTTACAGTCTGGTAAAAACCGGATGCCTTCATTTTTCCTACTTACCACTTGAAAAACTTGCAATTGATCACGATACATAAAACATTACCAATGTTTTGTTTCATTCCTTTCTTTCTAAAACAGATTATGTGATAGGTGGACATTTTCATTTTCTTTTGTCTTAGAAAAGAAGTGAAGCACAGAAAGTTCAAGTAATTTAGCCAAGATATCTGATAAGCCACTGCGAGATACATTCACAGAATTCATCTCTCCTTTACAGCTAGACTACTGCTTTTGCTATATGTATTCTCAAAAAATTTAAGAATGATCATACTCAATATGAGAATTGATAAAGCAAATGACCATCAGTATCAACGTTGTTACACCCCTTGGCAGTCATTATAATGTTAAGATTTTCAAATAGCCAATCAGCCTTCAAATGTTGAATTAACAAAGGAGAGCAAGCAATGCTACACAGATGTAACTATCTAGGCTACCTTTTGAAAATCAAGGTGAGTTGGTTTGAAAGTGTAATGGCAAACCCTCAACTTATATCCCAACGCCATGCAAAAGCACTTAAAACAGATGGAGCTGGCACTGACAGAGAAGGCAAAGCAAATTTCAACACAGAGAAACACAAATCCTTGTTATTCATTGGGGAAAATGAGGAAATTTTATATCCAGGTTTGTTAGGCAGTTAATGATTGACTCTATTATGTTTCAATGAATCAACATCAAGTTAGTTTAAAATGGCCATATTCCACAAAGCAATTTATAGATTCAATGCTGTTCCTATCAAACTACCAATGACATTCTTTACAGAAGTAGACAAAACTACTTTAAATTTTATATGGAACATATATATATATATATATATCCCAAATAGCCAAGGCAATTCTGAGCAAAAAGAACAAAACTGGAGGCTTCACGTAACCCTTCAAACTATACTACAGTGCTGCAGTAACCAAAACATCATGGTACTAGTACAAAAACAGACACATAGACCAATGGAATGGAATACAGAGCCCAGAAATAAGGTTGCACTCCTACAACCATCTGATCTTCAACAAAGCTGACAAAAGTAACCAATGGGGAAATGACTCTCTATTCAATAAATGGTGCTGGGAAAACTTGTTAGCCATATGCAGAAGACTGAAACTGGACCACTTCCTTACACCATATGCAAAGTTCAAGACGGATTAAGAATTTAAATATAAAATCAAAAACTATAATAACCCTGGAAGACAACCTAGGCAATATCACTTTGGACATAGGAACTAGCAAAGATTTCATGATGAAGATGCCAAAAACAATCTCAACAAAAGCAAACCTTGACAAACGGTATTTCATTAAACTTAAGAGCTTCTACACAGCAAAAGAAAATATCAACAGAGTGAACAGACAACCTACAGGATGGGAGAAAATATTTGCAAATTATGCATCTGAGGTCTAATATCCAGCATCTATAAAGAACTTAAAGAAATTTACAAGAAAAAAAAATCAAACAACCCCATTAAAAACAAGTGGGCAAAGAACATGAACAGGCACTTTTCTAAAGAAGACATACATGAGGCCAACAAGCCTATGAAAAAAACCCTCAATATCACTGATCATTAGAAAAATGTAAATCAAAACCACAATGAGATACCATTTCACACCAATCAAAATGACTATTATTAAAAATTCAGAAAATAATAGATGCTGGCAAGGTTGCAGATAAAAAGGAATGCTTATACACTGTTGGAGGAAGTATAAATTAGTTCAACCATTGTGGAAAGCAGTGTGGTGATTCCTCAAAGAGCTAAGAACAGAACTATCATTCAACTCAGCAATCTCATTACTGGGTATATACCCAAAGGAAAATACATCGCTCTACCATAATGGCACATGCACACATATGTTAATTGCGGCACTATTCATAACAGCAAAGACATGGACTCAACCTAAATGCTCATCAATGGTAGGCTGCATGAAGAAAATGTGGTATATATATCCTATGGGATACTACACAGCCATAAAATAAAAGGAGATCATGTCCTTTGCAGGAATGTGGATGGAGCTGGAGGCCCTTATCCTTAGCAAACTAACATAGGAATGGAAAGCCAAATAGTGCATGTTCTCACTTAGAAGTGGGAACTAAATGACGAGAACACATGAACACAAAGAGAAACAACAGACACTGGGGCCTATTTGAGGGTGGAGTGTGGGAGGAGGGAGAGGAACAGTAAAAAAGCAACTATTAGGTACTAGGCTTAGTAGCTGGTGTGACAAAATAATCTGTGCAACAAACCCCCACAACACGAGTTTATCTATTTAACAAACCTGCACATGTACCCTTGAACCTAAAATAAAAGTTTTTTTAAAAGTATATACTTTGCTTGTAAGGCATGGTTTTCAGCATTTTGGAATATATAAAGAAGTAGAAAATATTGTCCCTTTCTTTTTGACTCTTAGAAATTATTAATGTATACTTCTTTACCAACTAAAATAAAATGAGGAAACAGATAAAATGAGACAATGCTGCAGACATGCATTTTACACAGGTTTAGAGTACATATATCTTATTTGAGATATTCAAGATTCCAGTAAGAGCAGAGGGGTGGGAAGTAGATTTGATGTGTTCAGTATAAAAATGTGGATACCAGTCTGACTCAAGCATAGTGTTTGTATAAAAGGAAAAGTGGAGTACAGAGTGGGAGAGGGAGATGGGGGCCAGATTACCAAGAGGTTTGGATTCTGGGCTAAGTTTGGATTAAATTCACCAGGAAATTGTGAGCCGTGTATTTTGCACCAGGAATTAACAGAATGAAAGCCATGTTTTAGGACGGCTTCAGGTGAAATACACAAAACATATTACATGCAGAAAGAAAAAGTGAAGAGAGAAAAAATGTCCACACCATCTTTCGTGATGTGAAAAATAAATGAACAAGACAGGCAGTAGAACGAAAGCTGAAAAAAGCATTAAAAGAAAAGAATGATTGAGACTTGATGTCTGATTACATATAAAGCAAGGGAGCAGGAGGAGTCCAAACCCCAAAATTTCAAGTCTAGATGGTCAAGAGAATAACAGTGCCATTGATAGACTAAGGAAGTGCAGGAAGTAATGTCCTGGGAAAGAAAGAATTGAGTTTGAGATACATGGGTTCTAGGTATGGTGGGGCATCTATGTAGAGCCACGGAATGCTCATTGCAGACATAAACCCGGAAACGTGAATGGAGGCTAGATGGAAGTCACGGCCTGAAGATGAAGATTTAAGAGCATTTACTACAATGGATGAGATTTCCAAAAATGATAGAAAGATTTACCAAGGAGTGGGAGTTTATCCCTGTTACTCCCTTACTTGAGAACAAGCAAAAGGAGACACACGGAGCAAGAACTTGTTAAAAAAGTAGACAGAACTTGGATAGCAAAATGTTGTTCAAATCAGAAGGGATATTCCTAAAGTGGTCAGAGAGCACAAGTGCTAAAAAAACAAACAAACAAAAAATGTAAATTGACCACAATCAGAAAGAAAAGGTTGGCCTTGAAGACAGCAGTTTTGCAGAACAATGGGAGCTGTCGTTGAGGGTCATGGACAGAGCAGACAGTGCGGAATGCAGACTGTGTGTGAGAGTGACCAACAGCTCAGAGAATTATGGTATGGTACTGAGAGGGGTGTGTGTGTGTGTGTGTGTGTGTGTGTACGCGCACACATGGGCGCATGCACATTTGAGGGTATCTTCTGTTATCTTCTGTGTTGAAATATGTAACGCTGAATGTTGACATAGGACTACACCTGTGTCTATTTCAACCGAGTCACCAATCTGGTGGTCCTCAGATATCTGAGTGAAAGACAGCACTTCCTTCTTGTTCCCCAATTCCTAAGCAACAGTCTTGGGAAACTCTTTCACATCTCTTGAATTATTTGGTGCAATTCAAAGATACATAAAGGATTTCTTCAGTTAGAGTGCAGAGCATTTTCTTCCTCCTCCTCATGAGAAATCTCTCATGGACTCTAGAACCAATTACCATGGGCTGGGAGGGAGAAGGACTGGCTATGCTCTCTGACAGTGGACTAAGGGGGAGGCATGAGTACTCCTCCCTGGACCAGGCCCAGCCACAAAAGAAAGGGAGATGGTCTTGATCCTGCCTATGTAAGAAGACCACCCCCAGGGTAAAAAGACACATGTGTTCCCTATCAATGGAACTGTTGGAGAGGACACCCCTCAAAGCACCATCATGGAAGGAGTAAGCTTTAACATCAGCCAAGCTGACAGAAAGAAACAGAGCTAGGTCACAACTGTCTTTCTGCCTAGCCTCTTACCTACACTGTGCCCTATCAAGGAGTTAAACGCAGTTACCAAAGGGAGGAAGTGCACAAGGAGAGGACAGCCACAATTTCCCTGGGACACAGGCTTCCAATGTGAACCTCCTCTGACCTGGGAGAAGTCCAAGGTTAATGCACTTCTTTGGAATCTTAATTTTTGCACAGTATATTGTGCATATGCTTTTGGAATTAAGTCTGTTTTTATAGCAAGAGGAATTTCATTATCTGAAAGTGATCAAATATCATAGCCTCATCCAAGCCTCCTCCAAAGGAAAAGCAGACCACCCCCACCAATGTGGAAAGGAACAGGGTAGGCAAAGTGGAGTTGATTTTTAATGAGTTCAGACATAAGTGTGACTGGCATTGAATATTATGTTCCCCTTCTGGGAAACCACGGTGCATTTTGCTATATTAAAAGCCCTGAGAAATCCTGCAATAAAGAAGCCTGTTCACTTTGTTAACCCTGGTATTTCCCAAATTTATTTAAAGAGACATATTTGTTTCAGAGAATGCTGATTAATATGCTGATAAACTAAGATTAATATTTCATTAAACAGAGTTTGAAAAGCATTGTTCTAGACATTTGGCATATTACTAAATCTCTATCCCGTAAAACATATTTAGGAATGCCTACATACAAAATGACTTACTCCAAAGAAGGACCTATTTAGTGTTATTCCTTTATTTATAAATTTTGTAATAAAATATCTTTAGAGTAATTTTTCTGCAAATCTTTGCTTAGCTAACCTCATTGAGAAATTAAGCATCTTACATACACGAATTTTCTGGATAACCAGAACTTTCTCCTATAAACTTTAACACTTAAAAATATCAACCATTGAAAATAAAACCTCTGAATTCAGATTTTTATTACACGAAGTTTTCATTATAAACATGAATGTTTCATTATAAACATGAATGCTATATTCATTATATTTGATGAATTCATTATATTTGATGAATGCTACATCAAATCACTACTCATTGGTATGGTATCTTTGTCTCTGGGAACTACGGAGATAGAGGTACAAGGTTCCCTCCTGGCTGCTGACTTCTTAAGGCCTGGATGTCTGTTTGAAAATTCCTTTTATTTCCTGTCTTGCAATCCACCTGTCTGCTGCTGCACCCAGTCAGAAGGCTCTGAGTGAGGGCTGGAGCTTTTATGGCACTCTAAGCCTCTGGACTTTGTAAAAACTGTTGGTTCCCCAAGAACCTTTTCTGTTGGCTTGTTGGATTTTGTTTTATTCACTTCCAAATTCAATCTTTTAAAACATCAAGAAACAGGATCTCATGATGAAACAGCATTTCCTTCATCCTGAGGACTGCTGCAGACAGTAAAGTTTGTACACTGCATAAAGGACAAAAACAAGGGGCGAGGAGGGCTAGAGTCCAGTAGAGATGCCAGCCATCGAGTTCTGAGCCTATGGGATTTGGGTTTTCTCTACTAGCTATGCTCTGCACAATCAGAGGAGACACCTTTTCCAAATTCACGTTGGGGCAATTGGAACCCAGTATCCCTCGTGCTTCAGTGGAAATCAGATGCCACACCCTTTACATGACTCTTTTTAGACTTCCCTTCCTGCATCCTCCAAATGATGTTACCAAATCTCTCCTTCCACCAAGCCTCATCCAATCCCCAAACAATTTTCCCTTTATTTGCAAAAGCACACCCTTATCTAAATATCACTGATAAATTTGAAATGAAATTTATGAATCCAGAGAACTCATTTTCTTTGTTCCTCTGCATCTCAGCCTACAGAGGCTATGACCCACAAATGGATAAAATTAATTATGAGCATAATGCTGTACCAGTCCAGTCACAATGTTTTACTGATCCCAGACACCTGTATATCGATGCGGCTAATCTAATCTATCTGGACCATGTTAGGAAGGAAGATAGCTGGGAAAGGCATTATGCACATTTTGCAACCAAATAGAAAAAGAAAATGAGCCACTTGCGAAATGTAGGTTGCATGGGAAGAACTGGAGCAGGACACATCCTAAGGGTTGACATGCACTTTTTTACATGGCTGAGGCCACTGAGGCAAGACCCAGCCCTGCTAGAGTGGGAAACTCACTGGTTTCATGGGGCAAAAGCAGTATTCAGGTTTTGATTCTCCCACTTAACTGCTGTACAACTTTGCTAAGCTTCAATTCCCTCATCAATAAAATGGAATCAGTAATAATAACTTGCTTAACAAGGCGAGGATTTCATGAAATATAGCCGTACCTTGGTATCCGAGGGGACTGGTTCCAGGACCTCCCAGAGATGCCCAAATCTGCAAATACTCAAGTCCCTATTATAAAATGGCATAGTATTTGCATATAACCTTGGCACATCTTCCCATATACTTTCAATCATCTCCAGATGAGTTAGAATACCTAATATGATGCAAATGCTATGTAAATAGCTGTTATACTCCATTGTTTCTTATATGTATTTTTATTGTTGTATTCTTATTCTTTTTTTTTTAATTATACTTTAAGTTTTGGTTAAATGGGTACATGCTCAGAACGTGCAGGTTTGTTACACAGGAATACACGTGCCATGGTGGTTTGCTGCACCCATTAACCCAACATCTACATTAGGTATTTCTCCTAATGCTATCCCTCCCTTAGCTCCCCACCCCACAACAGGTCACTGTGTGTAATGTTCCCTTCCCTGTGTCCATGTGTTCTCATTGTTCAACTCCCACTTATGAGTGAGAACAAGTGATGTTTGGTTTTCTGTTCTTGTATTAGTTTGCTGAGAATGATGGTTTCCAGCTCCATCCATGTCCCTGCAAAGGACAAGAACTCATCATTTTTTATGGCTGCATAGTATTCCATGGTGTATATGTGCCACATATTCTTTATCCAGTCTATAATTGATGGGCATTTGGGTTGGTTCCAATTCTTTACTATTGTGAACAGTGCCACAATAAACATACGTGTGCATGTAACTTTACAGTAGAATGACTTATAATCCTTTGGGTATATACGCAGTAATGGGATTGCTGGATCAAATGGTATTTCTAGTTCTAGATCCTTGAGGAATCGCCACACTGACTTCCACAATGGTTGAACTAGTTTACACTCCCACCAACACTGTAAAAGTGTTCCTATTTCTCCACATCCTCTCCAGCATCTGTTGTTTCCTGACTTTTTAATGATCACCATTCTAACTGGCATGAAATGGTATCTCACTGTGGTTTTGATTTGCATTTCTCTAATAACCAGTGATGATGAGCTTTTTTTCATATGTCTTTTGGCTGCATAAATGTCTTCTTTTGAGAAGTGTCCGTTCATATCCTTCGCCCACTTTTTGATGGGGTTGTTTTTTTCCTGTAAATTTGTTTAAGTTCTTTGTAGATTCTGGATATTAGCACTCTGTCAGATGGATAGATTGCAAAAATTTCCCCCATTCTGTAGGTTGCCTGTTCACTCTGATGATAGTTTATTTTGCTGTGCAGAAGCTCTTTAGTTTAATAAGATCCCATGTGTCTATTTTGGCTTTTGCTGTACTCTTACTCTTTATGGGTTTTTTTCCCCCACATATTTTCGATCTGTGGTTAGTTGAATTGGGATGTGGAATCAGATACAGAAGGCTGGCTGGAGGTGAAAGAACTGTAAACTGTAAATTGTACTGTATAAACAAATAAACTTTAAATGCTATATAAGCCTCTTAATTAAGGAACCCTTGTGATTAGAAGTAAACTGGGATAGGAAAATTTCCATTTCATTGACACAAGTCTCTTTCTTGTCCCTCCTCTCAATAAAGATGAAGATTTTATTCCCTCACCTCATGTGATTTTGAACTAATACAGGTCAAGTGAAGGTAAACAATGAACACAGTACACGGTAACACCACCCAAGGGTAGTAAGGTTTCCACCCCAGCAAGAGAGGGAAAGACTGGTTGGTGATGGTGAATTTCTCCATTATTTGGAAAAACTGCTCATTAAGTTAACAACCTTAAACAATCCCAAAACTTCCAAAAATATAACATGGATAGCAGCCTTTATAAAGTTAACTTGGTTAATATTTTTGTTAATCTCACGGTGAGTGCTTATGGCACAAACTCACAATGCAGGTTGTCTGTGAGGGTTCGGCCATTGTCCCAAAATGTTAGAGATGGGTAAAGTCAGCCTGGGGGATCTACTGGAGCTCTGGATCAGATCTGAGGTCATAGTTGAAAATACGTTACAGGTGGAGCTCAGGGGCTGAACCAAGATCCTCATAGTTGGGTTTACAGGAGCTTCCAGGCGAGTCCAGGAGCCTCTTTGTCACTCCAAATAACCCTGGACTCAGAAGCAATTTTATACTTTATTAAGATTCCTAAGAATTCTGATGGCCAGAAGCCCCTAGAAGACCTCCATTTGAGGCTATCTGTAAGGAAGACCTACCACGTGGTCCTCGTCGTTGGTACAGATGAGGGTTTCTCAACAGCAGAACTTTTGACATTTGGGGGGCTAAAGAATTCTGTGATGGGGAGCTGTCATGTCCATGGTAGGAAATTCAACAGCATCCCTGGCCTCTACCCACTAAATGCACGTAGCATCATCCCTCAGTTATAACAACTAAAAATGTACTAGACATTGCCAAATGTCCCCTGAGGAGCAAAATGGCTCCCAGTTGGGAACCACTGACATAGCTGAAGTCCTGGAGACCTGGAGAAAATATAGAGATTGCAGGCTATGGACTCTTCTCACCAACTTGCTTCATGTTTTAATTAACTGTTAATAGACTATTTTAGGAAACAGCTAGGTGAAGTCTCTAAATCACTGATCATCTGCGACAGTTTAATGTAAAGTTACCATTCCTGCTTTGGAAGAAAATGTTAAATTTGAAACCCCTTTTATTCTGGTCATTGTTCACAGTGCTGTTTCCATGAATCAAAACTGAATCATTTAGACCTCATCAACCAGAAAGATAATGCAGACCACCTCAAAATTTCTCTCTTTCATCACTGAGTTCCAGAGATAGTAAATTATTCTTCTATATTCTATTACTCCTTTGGCCACTTATTCTGATTAAATTTGAGCACGATTTGATTTTGAAAGGGAGAGGAAAGGCCAGAAGGGAAATCCAAATGTCCAACCATCTTTCGGTATCAAGTACAGTGATAGGAAAACTACTCAGTCAGCCACAAAACATGAACCAAAAATTGTTGAAAAATAAATAGCATTTTTACCCAAAGAAATAACATCCATTTGCCTTTGCTTTTTACATGAGATTATCACACAATAAAGAAAAAAGAAATAAAGCAGATGAGAGGGGGAAGCCATCCATTTAAAGGAATAAATAAGATTTATAAATCAGGAAAGAAAAGAGGCTGTCATGTACAATCAGTTGTCTTATTAACCCACAGGCAGAGATACAGTCAGAAAGGTCCTATGATGGAAGATTTACCCTTGCTTATAAATGAGGCAAGATTACAAAGTAATGTAATTTCCTGGGTAAGCTGTGAGTAAGTAATTATCTCATCAAGGAATTCTGCTTCTGGGGGGCAAGTAGATGAAGAAAAACAGCCTTTCTTCTGTCTAAGACACTTATGCTGGCAGAAAAAAAGGTTACTATTGCCTGATTTTGTACATGTCTAGCTGAGTTAAAACCATAGGTCTGCAAAGACACCCACCATCACCTAACTTCTAAAGGGCTAATATTGTGAGTGAGCATGCTGCTTTAGGACTGTAACCTTGGTACTTCAATGCATCTTCCTCTAAACTTAATGTCAGGAAACCTTTACAAGGCATGCTTGATGGTGGGACTGGTTCTGGTGGAGAAACGGGTTTTAGAAAATAAACTTGAATTTGATAATAATTAAAAACAAAAAAAACTCATTGATTGGAAAAGTACCCAAGACCACTCAGTTTCTACTTGGGGACAGGTGAGGCACAGCAATTACTCAAACTCTAAATCAGGATGGAGCAGTGTTTTGATTTGGAAATATAAAGGGATGGTATGAGTTGATGGAAGAGAGGGAGAAATGAAAAGATTGAGAACAGGTCACATACATTCTATGAAGTCTTTCAAAAGTAGCTAACATGCCAGGCATGGTGGTTCATGCCTGTAATCCCAGCATTTTGGAAGACCGAGAGCTTAGCGGTTCAAGACCAACCTGGGCAACACAGGTAGACCCCATCTCTACAAAAAAAAATTAAAAAAAAATTAGCCAAGCATGGTGGGACACATTGTAGTCCCAGGTACTCAGCACGGTGAGGTGGGAAGATCACTTGAGCCCGGGAGGTCGAAGTTGCAGTGAGCTGTGATCACGCCACTGCACTCCAGCCTGGGTGACAGAGCGAGACCCTGTCTCAAAAAAAAGGAAGAAAAAAGTAGCTAATGTACAAGTTAAAACAGAGGCGCCTAGCAACTTGTCAAATTTTGTTGGAACATTTCTCAAACTTCCCTTGGGAACTACTGAATCAGACGCTCTAAAGAGTTAACACATCTTCTGGAATTTCCCACATTTTAAGCAGAACTTACTTCCTCCACAAGATCTGTCCTAAATTATTATATAACTTACTAGTAATTGCTCATGCTAGAACATAAGGGAAGCTTAACAAATGGGTGACATTGCTTGATTTAAAATTAAGAGTCGATGCTGATAATACAATAAAATTAGTCCATGTAGAACAGTTTGACTTTAAGTTATATGTTATGCAATATCAGGTTTATAAATTAAATCTAAGTAGTTTGAGTTAAAATAATTGGTCATGAATTGAAAATATGTTGAAAAAATAAATCATATTTTTGCTCAATGAAATAACATCCATTTTCCTTCACTTTTCACATGGAATTAACACGTTTCTATCTGAATTTGGTGGCTTGTATTGAACTTGATCTGGTATATAAGGAAAAAGGAGAATTGGCTTGCATAATAATTGGCATAATAAAGGCAGTGAGATTATTACAAAATTAAGCATCAGCTAACTTAAAATTGGCATTTCTCTCACAACAATAGTATCAGAGTATATAATGGTAGGTATACACAGTTTACCTATTAGAAAAACAAAAAGCATACCTGCCAACAGATAGAAATGCATTACCTCCAATAATAGGGACATTTTCTGGAAGTGAATTCTTTCAATAGTTTGCTGATGGTTTTAATTTGACATCTTTTTTTTCCTTTTTGCATGCATGTCCATTTCCTTTCTTTTCTTTTTTTTTTTTTTTTTTTTTTTTTTCGAGACGGAGTTTCACTCTATCACCCAGGCTGGAGCACAGTGGCATGATCTCGGCTCACCGCAACCTCCACCTACCAGGTTCAAGTGATTCTTCTGCCCCAGGAGCCTGAGTAGTTGGGACTATAGGCATACATCACAACGCCCAGCTAATTTTTGTAGTTTTAGTAGAAGCCAGGCTGGTCTCAAACTCCTGACCTGAAGTGATCCACCTGCCTTGGCCTCCCAAAGTGCTAGGATTAGAGGTGTGAGCCACCACGCCCAGCCGTTTGCATGTGCATTTCTAACCAATAGAGTCCCCAACTACCCATCTTCTGCCAATGTATATTTTTTCCATCAATACTTCCATTTTTCATACTTGCTGCCACTAAGCCACAAGGAAAAGGGAGCGCTTCATGCAAGAACCCAAGCATTTGACAAGGCTGACAGTCTGCAGTGTTTCTGGAGGGGCCACCTTCAGTCTTCTCCTTTCTTTTCTTCTTCCTAGCTCTTCAAGCTGAACTAACCCATGTCCCTTTATGGCCCAGTTCATCAGCCACTTCTACCTATAGCTGTGTATTAGTCTGTTCTCATGCTACTGATGAAGACATACTTAAAGAGACTGGGTAATTTACAAAGAAAAATGTTTAATGGACTCACAGTTCCACGTGGCTGGAGAGGCCTGACAATCATGGTGGAAGGTGAAAGGCATGTCTTACATGGCAGCAGACAAGAGAGAATGAGAGCCAAACGAAAGGGGTTTCCTCATATAAAACCATCAGATCTTGTAAGACTTCTTCACTACCATGAGAAGAGTATGGGGAAGCTGCCCCCATGACTCAATTATCTCCCACCAGGTCCCTCCCATAACACGTGGGAATTATGGGAACTACAATTCAAGATGAGATTTGGGTGGGGATACAGCCAAACCATATCAAGCTGGGAGCACAGCAGCAGCTTCAGCCCACATGTGAGGGACATTTGTACTGTGCCCCACCCACCAGTGTGGCCAGGAGGCCAAGCGACCATGGAGGTCGCTTGCCTCCACCCCTCTTGCTTGCCCAGGCTGCTGTGTCCTTTCCTCTGCCACCATTGGCTGAGGTCCTCTGTCTTTGTTCCCTTTTGGGACTGCCTCACCCTAGACACTGGCCTGCCTAGGACTCTGGGAGCTTGGGCATTGATGGCCAAACCCCTACATGAGTGTTTATTTATTGCCCCCATACCTTCAGTCTGGGGACGGGAGCCCATGAGAAGAATATGGCAGCAGATGGCAGCAGATGGGTCGCTCCACCATCCCTGAGCCCAAGCTCCCTGGAATGATAGCTGTCTCAATGAATCACTGATTCCACCTGTTGTGCTGTGGGTAATGTCAGAGGGGCTGCACATGAGCTTTGTGAGAGATGTGCTCTTGGTTTCATTAAGTGAATGGAGGAACATGCAAACAATAATGTAAAAAAATGTCAGGATCTCTTAAGTAGGTTTGGGACAAATACTATTCAAGTAAAACTAATGTGAAAAGTAAACACAGACCATTACAATTGGGAGTTGATTAACCTGTGATCCATGGTTGGACTTCAGGGGCTCTTTATGCCTCCCAGGAAGTTAATAGATAGATAGTTTTACCTGTATGTGTATTTTTTCTAGAGAAAAAATTAATATTCTCAAAAAAGAACATGATCTGAAAAAGTTAGAAATCATCTCCTCATTCATCTGCTCATTTTGTGATGGGCGCTACCAAGGCACAAAGAGGCTGTCCTGAAATGCAAATAACATGATCTTACTCCTCTGTTGAAAGACTTCAGTGGCTCCTGCCACTCTCCAGATGAGATACAAAGCATGACATGCTAGGCTGCATGGGGCTCTGGCCTCAGCTCATCCCTCCAGGTCCATGCCCACCACTCATCAACCCAGCTGCCCTGTGGACACAAACTGAGCCCCTCACAGCTCCTCAACAGACCACACTCCCTTTGTGAGCACATCCCCACCCCCTGCCATCTCTCCTAAATAATTTTATTTGACTGGTTTTTTGTTTTGTTTTGTTTTGTTTTTTGAAACAGAGTCTCATTCTATGTTGTCCATCCAACATCTCTTCCCTTATAAAAACTTCCCTGACTGCAACCTTGGTTCTCCAGTCCCTGTTAGGAGACACTCCTCCTTGTTTTTGTAGATACTCACGTCCTCCTGTCTCATAGCATATATATCATCCCACTATCATAGTAAATTTGCTTATCTCTGGATTTATCGACCCTGTGGGAGCCCTCCCCCCCATCCACTCTTTGCTCTATCAAGGTAGGATGTTTTTACCTTCACATTCCCCAGAAGCCAGCATAGCACCTAGAACAGTCTAGGTTCGCCACATATGTTTTTTATATGAATGAACGAATGAAGCAGAGTTATAGATAAAGATAAAGCACTGAACATCCCATACTAGCCCAAGATGCCACATAGCTAGTCTGTGATAGAGCCCGAAGTAGGAATCTGTCTCTGATTCCAGTACTGTTTCTATGACACCCATTGCTTTATGTCTTTGCTCTGGAAAAAAGCAGGAGCATGTTTTTCTGCATCTTTTAAAAACATAAGTATAAATACTACTTCTTCAGTCCTCACCGGACAGAGGGAGCTGTTTCCCACGTTCCCGACACCCTTTCAGGAGATTCATAATGTACATGTTGGTTAAGGGTGAGCACATCACTAGCGAAGCCCTTGATCTTCAGGCAAGAAAGAGCGGGGAGGAGGAGGAGTCAGAGAACAAGAAAAAGAGAAGGGGGAGGAAGAGGAAGAGAGAAGAAAAAAAGAAGCGGGAGGAGGGGAGGAGAGAGTAAGTTTATGTAACCTTTCCTTGGGTCACAGTTGAAATCTAGTTATCTTTTGAATGGGTTAACTGGTACTCAAATTCTCAGATATTTATATCTAAAGTTAAAACTAAATCTCAAGTTACCTCAAGTAAAATATAGATCAGTTCGCCACTGATCTTGGAAACCCAACCACGCTTTTTTTTACTGAAAGTTTGTTTCAGTGTCAAATGAAGATTGAGAATCAAATGCAGTGGAGAGCAAAGTAATGCCCTCCAGGCACTGGCGTGGCAGCATTTCAGCCTGCTGGGCTCCCTAGAGCCTCTCTGTGCTGAGCTTTCATGATGGTTCCATGGGGAGTATCGGAAATGGCTCTGTTTTGATTTCCTCTGCAAACCTGCAGCTGCTTCTCTTCTCCAATTCACTACAACATGCTAATAGGGTGACTAAAGAGACAGCTTTGCTATCGCTATCACATTGACTCCTGTTCATTTGCTGTAACGTGCCAAGAGGCAAAACGGGCATCAGGATCAAGAGAAAACTAACTCTCCATATTTTAAGACATTCTGTAAATGGACTGAGTGTGCCTTTAGAACCTTCATCCTACCCAGCAACTTGCAGTACACACCCAGTGTAGCCTGTTCACTCTCACCTCCCTCTTGTGAGACATCCTGTTTCCGTGCTTAAAGTGTTCTTCCTTGCCCTATCCCCTTCTCTGAATGACGCCTGTTATACCAAGTGTCTCAACAGAGAAGTTACTTGCCAGCGCCTTTCCTAACTCCTCCAGAGAGGTACTCCCATTGTGCCCGCTATTGTGACTGCCTCTTTCCCTGTCCCTGTCCCCAAAAATTGTCAGCTACTTAGGGGCAGAAACTGTGTCCATAGGAGACACTCAGATACCTGAAAAGTGAATAACTGAAATTGTTTCATCTGAACAGATTCATGTCATTTTATTTTAGATCAGTGTCTACAAAAAATGACATCAGGCCCCAGCAAGGGCAAAAAGACCATGGGATCCTAATAAGATCCACTTGGACTGAATGATAATTAGGATAAAACAAGGCACCAAAAACAAAGGAAAAGTTTTGTAAGAAGCAATTAGATAATTTTGGAAAATATTTAAGGAGCTTTACCTTTAGCTTCTTGGCTGTTACAATAAGTTTTAATTCAGCTTGGTTGGATGTTGTAGAAGAAAATCGTTGAGATATTTAAACCTATAGCAATGCTACCAGTTTTAAAGAAATGGGAAAAAAATGAAAGTAAATGAAAAACCAATGTGAATGTAGCATCTTTAAAGAATTATAAATTAGCTGGAAGCAGCATCCAAATAGCAGTTCCCAAGATGTCACTATGTAATTATAGCTCATCAGCACATGTCTTGCATATTCCAAAATAACCCGTTATACTACCCTCTCTTTCCCAAACCGGGGAAGGAAAGATGACAGCAGGCCTCAGAAATAATGACTAAATAGTTCCTTTCTAACAAGGGTGGCTATCAGCTTTTAGTGTCCAATATCTTCTATAAAAATACATCACACATAAGGAAATATGTAAGCACATTCCTAGAATTCAAATTAAACAGTCTAATTTTCAAAGACTTTCATAAGTTTTTAAAGACAAAATGATTTTTCCTATTGAATTTTAAATAAAGAAGAAAATATTACCCTAAAAATAAAATAGGGGGTACCCAGTAGGTTTTGTTGAGCTGGGGATATGTAGGAGTCTTTTTGTCCATGGCCTCTTTGGTGTGATCACCTAAAATGCTTGACAGATGGGATGCATGGCTTCATTAGCAACTGTATCAGGACGCATGGAGAAAGGGGGCCCACTTAAATTGGGTGTTTGGCTAAGTGACTCTTCCTGGAAGCAGTAGCCTTGTGGATTCACTCAGTACTAGCTGTGGCTGAGGGCAGGGTAAATTCCACTGAGCAAACAGATGTGAATGTTATAAAGCAGATGCTGATCTTTAGTATCACACTATTGGGAAAACCTTTTTTTCATGGATACAGCAAGAAATACTTGTACATTTTTACTCTAATAGATGTTAAAAATAAAGCATGTTAAGGTTATGACACTTAAAATAAACATTTTAAGTGCTTAAGATGAAATATTTAGGTATTCAGGTTAAATACTCTAAAGCTTTTCAGAAGTAAACGTTTGCTATCTACAATGGAAATAAAAATTCAGAATCATTATTTCCTACCTACTATTGCTTGGACCTCCCTTTCAACCAATCAAACTTAAAAAGAAAAATCACTTTTTATTTCATGCTCACTCTGTCCCTGTGAGGAACTTTATAAAGAAAAACTGGTGCTACAATTCCTATCACTGACACCCTTCTAACCTTGTGTTTCTTGGTGGGTAATTGTTTATTTTAAAAAGTCTTTCTAAAATTCCTAGCAGGAGTAATTATTTTGATAGATTTTTAAGTGTAAATGTAGCTCTAAAAAAATCCATGCACATATCTGTTAAATTATATAATAATGATCCAATATAGCCAAGTAAAGCCAAAATTTAGCACCCACTAACAGGTAAGCATTATGTTAGGCAGTGGATTCTCAATGGTTGAATAACACACTTTCACTGATATTTGGACTTTTTATGAAGCCCATAGTAGTTCATGTTTACCTTATTTTATTGCTTTTATTTTGATGCTTTTATTTTATATCATCTCAGAAGTCAGTGATTGATTGATTGATTTTTAAGTGAACGAAAGGTCTCACGTATTTATTACTGAACCCAGCAAACCAATGCGTTCATAACAGATTCAGAGAGAAAAAAATATATATTCCCAACAAAACATGTCCAACTCTCCAGATAGTGGTGACATTTTCAGCTTGATATGGTAACATGATTGTGACCTTCAGACAGCATAAATATGTGTGCCATCTCATGTGCAATTCCTCATAGACCCAGCTTGGTTCTTTTCCAATGTCTCCTTTTGGAGTTTCACCTGACTTTATTACCAGTTTTCGTCTAAATCCACTGGGGAATGGGATGATTTTGCTTTTGTTTCTTGGCCAGGAATCCTAAAAGTCTTTTAACCCTAAAAGTCTTGTGAGAAGACATGGCGAGAAGCGCAGTCAAGCACACACCACGATGGCAGAGAAAGGACGATTTATTTTAAAAAGCAGATTTTATAGGATATTTCTTTGAGCTTTAGTAAGGTGGACTTACTCATTTTAAAGATGGAGAAATGGAGTAGTGAGCAGTGAAAAATTATGTAGTATCATAATTTGATGAATAGGACAAAAATTTAGTCTCAAGTGCTAAGGGTTTACATAATACCACATTTTCTTCTTCATTCCTTAAACACATGAAAGGCACCCCCAATAGAGACAGTACCTAATATGTATGAAGATTAGAGAGAGATTATGAAGTAATTCAATACCAATATTCTCATTTTATGCCAACTTTTATAAAAACATATACTTAGTTCACTTTTTACAATATCAGAATTACTAATTTAGGCTCTACGTATTTTCATGGACTCTAATATAATTTTGTTTTAAATAATAAATGTTAGCACAGATAAAAATATTTCTAGTACAGTATTTCTGGACATAATTCATATTGCTTTTAATTCATGCAGAATTGCTAAAATTCAGAATTTGTTTAAGAAGTGACCTATAGGGAAAATCAGAATAAACACTCTTAGACAGTGAAATAATTCACTCTCTGGTATATGGCTCTGTTTAACGTATTTGAAAGGCCAAATGTAAGAACCAGGGGAAAAAAGTTGAGTGTCATTTAGGGGCAGAATCAATTCGAAACTTTATTCTTTCCAAACTGGCTGCATATCAGAATCACCAAGTGAGGGGTGAAGGCTTATATAAGCTTTCCAAATCGAGAACCCCTAGAGGTTTTCTCTTTCCTTTTTTTTTTTTTAGCATATCTGAGATAGTCCTAATAATCTGTATTTTTAAAAGAATTCCTATGTACTTCTGAGGTATAATAAATTCGGGGAACCAATTTTAGATGGATTGAGATCAAAGCTGTTTGAATCATAGCTCTGTCATTTGCCAGTTTTGAGAGTTGGTGAAACAATTTAAGACTCATGATACTCATCTGTAAAATGAAGCAAAATAGACCTTTCTCATGAGATTCATACTAGGATTGCATAGGGACAATGCAGTGCTGAACACTGACACCAACGCAAAGTTGAGGCTCAAAAAAAGTTTGCATTCTTTGCTCCTTCTCCATAAAATTAGCATCTACTATTGACATGGAAAGCATGAAATATATAAAGCACGAAAACTGGCCAAAATTAAAAGTTCTGACCACTTCAGCTGATTGAGTTATATGGCTATTAGATCGTCTGTGTTTTTTCTAGTACAATACCAGACACTTAAAGCATATTTCTACAAACCAAATAAGTCTAAGGGCCTCATTTGGTCCTATACGATTTGGGGTTCTATAGCAGAAAATAACACACTTCTTGTTGTTTGAGTAGGGATTTTATAAAGGAATTATTTACGAGTCTTTACAGGTTGTACAGAAACCACAAAGGATAGTAACACTATCTGGGAGCTAAAGATGGTGGGGGACTAAAACACCTGAGTCAAAAAGGGCAAGAGGGGAGTGGTTATTTAAACCTGGAGTCAGAGAAGTTTCCCTCAGAGGAACCATGACCTGTTGTCAAGGGACACAGCTGGTACACAGTGACTGTCAGGAGGAGGGTATTAGGACAAAATCCCCAATCTCACTCTTCTCCTGCTAGTTGTTTGATCATGCAGCCCATTGGCCAAAGGTCAAGGTCAGTCTCCCAGGGCACAGCACGGGATGGAGAAGAGCTGAGAGTAGATAGGAGGAGGAAATTGGAGGCATATCATGTAAGTCCTATGTCATTCTGTATCATAAAGAAACACAGTCCTTCACCCCAAAGTAATTAAAAATACTTCTAATACTTACTTGTATCTTTTGAAAACATTAAAAGAAATTCAATTCATAACCAAAAAACAATTTAAAATGCCTTTTCTCTCTCTTTAACTTGGCCTCTCTCTTCCTTTCTCATTCTCATCCTCCATCAAAACTTCCCTCCAAAACAAGGTCTCCACTACCCTTTATTTCTCCATTATGTTTTTGTGTAAGTAAATTTTGGCGCTTTCTGGTATAAACTCCTTAACTCTCCATACCCATTTCTGCTTTGCAAATGCTCAGAAACAGAACTGCCAGGTTCATTATCTCTTTTAGCAAACATGGCGGGAGGTGAGGATAAGGGAAGTAATTGCAAGCATGGACACACTGATATGCACTGTTGTCGATCTCCATCAGACTTGGTGAAAAATAATAGCGCATCTGAATATAATTCAAGCAAAAGGCAGAATCCATTATGGTCTTCTATAAGCCATGACTTGGGTTTTCTTCCATATGGAAAAATGGAAGTGTTTTTCCATATGTAAAATGTAAATATTGACTGTACCTGATAGTTGCATTAGAATTGGTAACATTCCAGATTTTCATGTCTTATTCTGTTTGATTCTCACAAAATAGCCTTGTGAGGTAAGTAGGAATTTTTATACCCTTAAGACTGAGAAAAATTTAATGACTAAATAGAAGAATCACAGCTGGTAAGTGAAGAAATCAAAATTAGAATTCCAGAATACATTTTTCCCTGAGAACTGAAAACACTTTACCTAAGAACTGAAAACACTGAAAAGTGCTTCTTTTTCAAAATCAATAAAAATATTTTTTAAATTGATGCAAATGCTTACTTTGATTACTCTATTTTGAAGCATACTAATGGAGATTTCCTGTAAAATATAAGAAGAAAAAAAAATTTGTTTACTTCCTGCATTGTCATTTAAAAAATTGATTAAAATAATTAAGAATTAGATAAAATTACAATTGCAATGAAATTGGGAAGCTATGACAGCCCCACAAAAAAAGACTAAGAAGACTATTGCAAAATACCAATACAAAATGAGAGAAAAAATAAGGGACAACTCATCTCTCTAGATCTTAACCAAGACGCAGATTTCTTAAAAGTAACTGGTAAATTCAAAAAGGTCTAATTAGTGATCCTTTACTTGGGGTGAGAAAATATAGGCTCAACTTCTACTTCCCAGAACAGTAGAAGAGGCTGACTAAAGGTGAATGACAAATATTGGCCATTTTTGTTTTTGTTTTCCCATTAAAACTCCTGACACCAAAAAACTGCCAAAGATGGAGTTAGATGGAGTTAGAAGAGCTGAAGAGAGAGGAACCTCCCTCTTTGTAATTGCATACCGAGGTCACCATATCAGTGATAAGCAAACTCTAAATTACAAAATAAAAACCTGTAATTTAAACATCCAATTACAACAAGGCTAATCCTCTTTGTGGGTGATCTGCTCATCTCAAAGAGAGAATACAGGAGGGAGAGAAAGAGAAAGAGAGAGAAAGAAGCAAAGATCAGATAAATACCGCATTTTATAAAAGAATTGCTCCCAATAAACAGAAGCAAATTTATATCAAATGATATTCTTAAAGAATATAAAGAAAACATGCAACATGGACCATGGATTCTGGGTAAAGAATTTTAAAAAGATATTAAACATATAAAAGAGGGATCAAAGAAAACAGAGATAAAACATGAACTCACCAATTTCAGAAAATAAATTGAAAATATCAGTATAGTCATTTTTCAGATGAAAACTACACTTGAGAAAGAAAAGAGTGGAATATATACTGCTGAAATCAGTAAGAAAGGTAAAACACAAGCTTGAAAAGCAAATTACACAAAAGTAAAGGAATAAACATATAAACTCACTGGAGACAGAAAACAATAGTTACAGAAGACAAAAAGTAACCAAATGGTCAAAATTGATATTCTTGAAGAAAACAAACAAAAACAAAGAAACAGACAAAATTTCAATAGTTTAACAAAAGAAGTCTTTCTTGAAATAAAAGACGATGAAGTTAAGGAATCACACTGTATTTACAAAGAAATGATGTGGAAAGTTAACTGAAGATTCTAGTGAAGTTACTGGACCTTAAGACAAAAGATAAACTTTCTTTTTTTTGTAATTTTATTTTATTATTATTATACTTTAAGTTATTCACAACTATTGGGTTAGAATTATGTCCATGAGGCAGATGAATGATTTGGGGCTCAACCACACCCTAGTCGGGGAGCTTCTCAATGAAGGGACCTGAGACTTCTCCATCTTTGTGCCTCCAGCACTGAACACTGTGCTTAGAACAGTGTGGTGGAGAAAAAGCAAATTGGGAGCATTTCAGACATCAACTTCCAATGACCAATGCAGTGGAGAAATGCTGGCAAAATTCTAACAGAAAAAATACATGACTCATACATTGTATACTCAGCCAAGATTTTTCAGTCAAGTGTATAGACAAAAATAATAATTTTTGGAACATTGAAGGACATATGAAATGTATTGGCCATTTTTAAAGTTATGTATCATACATGTAAAGGATATATGTATCATATCTATGGTTATATATATGGCTATGTGTAGAGAGAGAGAAAGATATCTTCAAGCAAGAGATAAATTTAAATAATGTGTTCTCTATAAAGGATGACTGCTAGTGCTAGATCAATATAAATGAAAAATTAGATTTAAATAAACAAGATAATTATGGTTACAGAACCAAATGTAAATGTTATAATCCTTGGTATTTTACAATCATGTAAAGTACTAAAATTTGGGGGTAAAAGAAAATACAAACATAGTAATTTCTAAGTTTCAAAGCAGACAGAAATTGTATACAGTTAATCAAAAAATAGTTATTCAAATGTATTATCTAAGGATATTGAGAAAACTACTAAAAGAAGCTGGTTAGGTGAGCTGATGTTTTTCATGCCTCAAAAAATACAAAAAAAAAGAGTACATTCAATTTAGCTATAAATAGATAAGAAGGAAACAATAAATCATGAAATACAATCTTCTAAGACATCAGAATAGGACCACACACATTTATGAAATCAATAAATGTAAATGGAATAAAATTTATTCTGAATAGAAAAGCTGCCATAATAGTGAAAAACATCCTTAAGGACACAAAAATGTGAGCACTTTGAGGACAAAATCTTGGTCTTTGTTCGCCACTGTCTCCATGACATCCAACATAAGTCCAAGCACATTGCAGACACTCGGTGTCATTGACTAACTCACTAAGGGTTAGTGAAATAGTTCATAATAATCCACACAAAGGAATAATGTGTAGTTAAAAAAAACTTTTTCCTTATTGTAAAAAACAATAAGGAAGATCTAAAAATGACTGATGTGAACATTTTTGCATGATAATTTTGGTGAAAACGCTGCAGAATAATGTTATACTATGATATCATTTGAGTAAAACCAAAATATGTAGACATTATATAAAAGTTATGTAAGTTATAATACATTATATACATATATAATGTTGTGGATACAGGAAAATGTCTAGAATAATATATGCAAATACATGTGAAAATCTCAATAGAGTTTCTAATAAAGGAAACTAGGGATGATGGGAGAAAGAGAATTTCACTTCTCATTTCTGACCTGTTATATTTTAATTTTATATGATGATGGTGTTTTTATAATTTAAATCATATAAATCAAAACTTAATAAAGACTACAGATGTTACCTGGAAATTTCTAGTCAAAAATTTAATCCTTTAAGTTAAATCACTAAAATACATGAGGGGAAAACATGTTATATTATTCAAATAGAAATAAATTAACAAAAAATATTTCCATCAAAAGACTGACTAATCTTTTGATAAGTTTAATGATAAACTCACCATGGCAACCAATTTTATCTGCCTCTATAACAAGAAGATCATTCAATAGGTTACTGAGAAGATAGAGATGTTATTTATGCTGGCAAAATAATATTTAGCTTGTGTACCATATCACCTAACAATTAGCAATCTGGAGAGATACAACTTTCTTACTAAATGGTGAAGTAACATTCAACTGAGAAAAACATAATTCAAGCTTAATGTTTGGGTGATACAGAAAAATGTGGTCTGAAACAGGCAGTGAATGACTTGTTTGGCACAAATATTGGAAAAGTGAAAAACAGTTCATCAGGAAAACCAAAAGCCACTAAGTCCTAGGTGGAGACCAACTGGACATATGCAAATTCAACAGTCAAGGCAATTTCTGCTAATATATCACAAATTTCACAATCAGCAATAGACTACAATTGTAAAACAAAGTTCTTCGTGTTAACTCTGAAAGTGTCTGTCAGCATGGATAGCACAGGCAGATTGGGGAAGACCATAAAAAGCATAATTCTGCTTTTAATTTTAGGTGAGCTATTATATAAAGAATGGTGATAACTGTTTGTCATCTCTTATAAAAACAGTATTAAGAAAAATTATATGACAGAATTTTATTCAGATGTAAGTAGGGATGTGGTGAATTTCTGAGGCATTAAATTATCAGCCTGGCAATCTTTATTTTATTTTGTATTTTATTTTATTATATTTTATTGTATTTTAGGGATGGAGTCTCAATATGTTGCTCAAGCTTGCCTTGAACTCCTGGGTTCCAGTGATCTTCCTGTCTCCGCCTCCTGAGTAGCTAGGACTGCCAGGCATGTGCCATCACACCCAGCTCCACCCTGGCAATCTTTAACACAAGTTGATGGAAGTCAGATGTGGTGGCACATACCTGTAATCCCCGCTACTCGGGAGAATGAGGCAGGGGGATTGCTTGAGCCTAGGAGTTCAAGGCCAGCCTGGGCAACACAATGAGACTCACCCTTTCAAAAAAAAAAATCAGAAACTAGTGCATAGATACCATCTGTTTGGAAGGCCTGGTTAAGATGGTGTCCACAAGCTAGAGGCCTGACCAGGAGCTTTGCATCTCACCACGCCCGAGTGGAGTTGCTGTTCAAAGGCAGGGACCAGTTTTTTTCCATTATTTCACCAGTACCTAGTACTGTGCCTGAGCAAGTTTAAAAAAATTCTCTGGTCTTAAATGTTTACAATTTAAAATAGAATTAATCTGTTATCTGACAATAAAGTTGTAAAATTTTAAGTAAAATGATGTTATAAAAGTATTACATGCTGCTTCAAGAAAATATGAAACATTCAGGGAAAAAAAAATAAAAGAACCATATTCCTTCACTTAGAAACATCCATATAGTAAATGTCTTTCATCTCTCTCTCTCTCTCTCTGTGTGTCTCTAAGGTATTTCATATATTTTAAGCATAAACATAATTTTTACTCTGATTTTTATTTTATGCTGTATTGGAAGCATTTCCTATGTTACTACACAATTTTAATAAATCATATTTCAAAATCTGTATCATATTACATGAAATGACTTTACCACTGAATCTCAAAACATTTCTCTATAGATAGAAATTTCAGCTGTTTTCATTACTGTAACACTTTGCCTACTTAGGTTTGTTTTCTTAGGATAGATTCTCAGAAACAGAATTACTTACCAAATATATAAAAGCTTTTAAGGATCTTTACACATATTGTCAACCTGCTTGCCAAGAATTTACTTCTGTAAACAATATAAGTTGAATTTCACTTACATGCTTTGAACTGTAAGTGAGCATAAATATATAGACATATAGACATATATATTGTACATTGCATTGTATTTTATGTCTGGGTATTTGTTTTTCCTTCTTGCTGAATTGTCTGTTCAAGCTGTTTGTCATTTATTTGTTTGTCTTAATGTTTTTCTTATTGATTATTATGAATTCATGATAGAGTAAATATATTAGTCCTTTGTCATGTTTGTAGCAACTGGTGTTTGGGTATATATTCTGTGTAAAGTGCTTTCAAAATTTGTTGTCAGATAAATTTGATTTAATGCAAGTATCATTGTTACCACTGAATAAATGCATTAAAGTATTATTTCCTTGCTTATGCTGTTTGCTGAAAGAAATGAATGCATGAACATTTATACAATAAGCAGTTAACATGGTTTTAAAAGGACACAGTTTCTGTATTCATATTAGCTAGTTACTCCACATGCTCTACAGAGATATTATTAGTTTCATCTTGCTATGTGAAGGAGTGATTTAGTCAATTACCCTTGGTTTTGTGGTAAATACTTATCAGAATTAATATTACGATATACAGTTTTTGGTTAATTTGGTGTCTAGTGAAATTTTTCTTGAAATTAAATTCTGAATCTTTGCCAAATTTTTAACAATTTTTATATCTCATATTGGTTTGCCAGTTCCCCAGCACGCCTTCCTGCAAAATAAAACTCCATCATACTCATTCTTCTCTTCACCATTCTGTCTCGTCCATTTGCCGTGTTCCAGTCACAGCCATTCATGTAATTTTCTCTAAATACTCCATGAACATTTATAACTCTGAGCCACGCACCTCCATTTTCTGTCCAGAGTGCATTTCTTCCCATTTCTCAACATACCAAACTCCAACCCATCATCAATGGAAGCTAAAATCAAATATTATTTCTCCCACGAATTCTTTTGGAAAGCCCCAGATGAGTGAGCTCCTTTGAGTACTCGTTCCATCTATTTAGGTTCACTGGAGTTAATATCACGTTGTGTTTCATTAATTTTCATATGTCCATTTTCCCTACAAAACTATAAGTTTAAATTCCAAATAACTAGTACAGTGTCTGGGTCTGCAATAAATGTTATGAATGACAATCGCTATCATCGAGCACTTTTGGATGTCTGTCTGATGTGTGGTCAAGTAGACAGCATGGCACAAAAATAATTCCAAAAATTTAATCTGAATCTTTCCTCTTCTTTCCACCCTGGCTCCCACCTCTGTAGACCAGGTCACCGTCGTTTCTCACATGGGCCACGTTGGTAGCCTCCTAACCTAAGTCTCTGCTTCTTCCTTTGCCCCAACCCAATAGTCTATTCTCTAGTGAGGACTCAGAAGAATCTTTTTGAAACATACATGTGATCTGTCTCTCCTCTGCAATGGCTTCCAGTTGCAAAAAAAGTAATACTCAGACTCCTTAGCCTGTCCAGCTGCTCTCCACACACCAACCCTGGCCGAATTTTTTGATTCCCTCCACTTTGCCAACAGTCTCCAGCCACTCTGACATTTTTTCTTTTCCTCAAACACCCCTTAGGTTTTCAGTGCTGTAGCCTTTTTACCGACAGTTCCCTCCCCATTTTCCCTCTTTCACTTTCTTGGCTTGCTTTTTATTATCATGAAATTTGAGTTTAAATATCACAAACGCAGAGAAGCTTTCCCGGACAACTCATTCTAATAAACCCCTTTGTCTTTTAATCATTTCACTCTATGTTACTTCATGCATTTCTTACTCTTTGTTTATTTGACTTTTTTGCTTAAAAATTATGATTACTTGTATCTCACCATTGAATGTAAGCTTTAGGATAGAAGATACCTTGTCCATAATTTATTTCACCCTTGTAAGTCCAGTACTTGGCACAAAGCAGGTGCAAAGTAAATATTCCTAAATGTGGATATGGTGATGGCAGGAACGGTAGTAATAATATCTAACATTTATTAAATGACTACGGCACACAAGGTCCTGTCCTAAATACTGCATATGTGTTAATTTATTTATTTTAAATAAAAATGCATACCCAGATGAAACTCTGCAGTAGAAATGGTAGTCATTGTCATTATCCCAATTTTACAGATAGGAAAACTGAGACACAAAGCTGTGAAATAACTAGCCCAAGATCGTATAGATATTGAGTGATATATCTATATATATCTATATATCACTCAATATAGATATTGAGGGCCAGAGTTTGAATTATGTCACACTGACAGGAGACCCAACTGTCTTAACCACTGTACTATGTACATCTCATTTTAAAATAAGGAAAGAAATTCATTGATAAGACTTTTAAAGATAGCTTCAAACGTAGTTTAATTTAATAAACAAATATATCTCATGAGTTCACAGAAGATTTTTTAAAAATAAAGCAGGTTAGGCTGTCATTGTTGATATCATATCCTATGACCTGTCACGAAATAAATAAAAACTAGTTATGTGAGAGCTAATTCCAATGTCTGTCCTTAGAAAAAGGCAAAGACTTTTCCTCTAGTTGAAGGGAATATAAGGGACATCACTACATTGCATTATTTTGAAAAAAAGGTAGCAACGCTGGACATATGGTGTGGTTCAAGCCCGTGCTGAGTAACTTTTGGACAGGGACACTAAAAAATAGACCTAACCTAGTTAATAATAGCAAACCACTGATCCGTCGACTAATCGTGTTTATAGGAAATAGAATTCATGACAAAAAGAAATAGCAGCATGGGACAGAATTAATCCACAACATGTAATTTCCTTCCTGTGCATAGCCTTCACCAAAAGGAAATCTGAAGACTCGCCACCTGTTCAGAGGTTTGCTTTTCAGAAGATTTGGAATGGCCTCCCCTCAAAACGACTCAAGGCATTCATTTATGCCACATGATAAAAATAAGCACTGTGCTTGCTGAAAAGTGAATTTTGTGATCTAAAGAAGAATGAAGTAAAAAATAGTTACATTTTCAAACTTAATTTTAGTAACAGATTGTGTGTGTACTAATATAGAACACCTGAAATGTCATAAGCAGAAATTAGTGATTTTTATTATTTTTTAACTGATCAAGCTGTTTTCCTAATTTATAGTAAATGCTTTTCCACCTCTTAAAAATCTTTAATTTCTTTTCTCTTTCTACAGGTCCAGGAGTTTAGGACCAGCCTGGCAACATAGTGAGACTCCAGCTAATAATACAAAAATTAGCAGGGCATGGTGGTGAGTGCCTGTAGTCTCAACTACTTAAAAGGCTGAGGTGGGAGAATTGCTTGAGCCCTGGAGTTCAAGGCTGCAGTGAACCGTGATTGCACCACTCTACTCCAACCTGGGAGACAGAGCAAGAGCAAGACCCTGTCTCAAAAAAAAAAAAAAGGAAGAAAGAAGTCTCAAAAATGAAAGAGAGAGAGAAAAGAGAAAGGGAAGGAAGGGAAGGGGAAAAGAAAAGAAAAAAGAAACTGACAGCAATAGTAGTCACCTTGAGGGGTTTGTTGAGAGCTGTAGATATCATGTGGAAAACTGCTGGCACGTAGCAAATGTTCTATCGTGGATCTGCCATTGCCACTATCCCTTGCCTGTGCCTGGCTAGCTACACATGGGGCTCCCACCGCATTCTGCAATTCCCTGTATCATTCATTCTCTTCAAACATGCTTTTTGGATACTTAATACAATAACATCACTGAATCCCACAGTGAATCCCACCTTGGGGCACCTATACCTCTGAGTGTCGGAAAGATTTTGATTTTTTTAAGTTCCATAAGGAATGCTGCATGTATCTGTGGCAACATTGTACAAACTAAAATGTCAAGTTGCTTTCTAATGGATCTGGAATTTTATTAGTTATTTATTTGTCCCCTACCCCCACCCACACAAACCCATATTTTAATATTCATGAAAGCAAGGATGCTGTCTCTTTGGATTTTGAATGCTGTGTCCAGCAAAATGCAGGTTGCAGGTGATGAATAAACAAGAAGAATGAAATGCCAATTTTATAAAATGTTGCTCAGAAGTTCTGATTAACACTCATATATATAATATATTTTTTAAAGAATGCAGCTTGTTTAGAATGTTAAAAGCCTGTCAAACAAGGGGTTCAAACCCACACATACACACATACACATACATACTAAAAGAAGCCATTGGCCCTTGGTGGAAGAAATATTGAAAACCAATGATTTAACCCATATTCTGGTTATGTCTGACTTGGAGTATTCTGTCTTTGATCCTCAGATATGGAATGTAGAAACCATGCCCATATATCTTGTAACCAATGTAGAGTTTTAGTTTTGTTTTTACTCGTCATTATTTAATAAATAATAAATAATTATTTATTAAATAATGACGAGTAAAATAGCATTTTACTCGTAATAGCATTCAACATGGTAACAGCATTCAACTCATAAGTATCTATAAAATCCAAAATAATTAAATGTATCTTGATTTTCTGTGAACACATCAGGATTGTATTTTGCCTAGGACAGAATCTTAGCACATATTTGAAGCATTTTCTCCTGTATGCATTAAATTATGTCCTATCTTCATAGCAAATGACAGAGATTAACTATTTTCTCTGCATTTTGACCTTGTGGGTAATACTTCCTGTAATGTCCTGCAGAAGCTGCTAATCTGCCAACTGAGATTAGGCAGATTTCTCTCTCTCTCTCTCTCTCTCTCTCTTTCTCTCTCTCTCTCTCTCTCTCTCTGCCACTCTAAAATTCCAAAGGGGTCATATTTGTTTTGGTATTTTTATAAATTAAAAAATATGCCAAAAATATTATCTAATGAAGAATTTAAATCATAACATCTGGACAAGGGGCTATTATATTTTTTTACAACCTCTGAAAATTTGTATTTAAAATAGAATGGATTTCTCTCCTAATCTTTACATCAAACATAACATTTGAAATATTTGAAAAGATGATAAAAATGAATTTGAAAGTAAAGATCCAAGTATTCAGCCATAAAGGCATTCCATTGGGAAATTACTTGCCAATAATCTCAACAGCTGAAATGGATCCTTGCAAAGAACATTAGATATAGAATCGGGATCTCAGACTTTTATGCCTAATAAACTAGATTTCGGAACACAAATAGGACTTCTAAAGTTCTGTCCTGTGAGTAGTGTGAGTCCAAAGGATTCTGGATCCTCCAAGAAAATACTTCTTTCCAATTGTCACCTCTGCTTAGCTTAGACAACTCAGGCTCCAATTTAACTCCCTCTACAATCTTCCCAAGAGTAGCAAAAAGGAACAGTTATTTAAAATGAAACATATATACAAGACAGAATGAGACCACTGACTGATCTCAGCAACATAATAATAAAATAATTGTAATCTTAAATTGAGTTTAAGAGCAATGAACAGTAAAAAAACAAACAAAACAAGCTTCCTTCATACCTACTTCTTGAGCTACTTCTCTACTACTGTAAAGATTAAAGTGGAATTTTACTTTTAGGAAGCATTGTAGAATATGAAATGACTATAAAAGTTAGTAATTCCCTATGAAATGTTTTCAGCAAATTGTTCAGTCTGAGACGTAGTTTTTCCATTAGTTAAGTAGAGACTCAAAGTTGGCCTGAGAATTGCATAATTCTGAGATAATGTAAGTGAAAACCATTGCACAGATGAAATCTCAGTCAACAGTGCTTTTGCCTTAACTACTGAATAATACTAACTAGAGGCTTCTGGAAATCTCTGTCTTCCTAACTTGGAAATACACACACACACACACACACACACACACACGTACGTGTGTGTGTGTGTGTGTGTGTATATATATATATATATATATATATATACACATTATTGGTTCATCATTTCTGAAATCAGAAGCACTTCAGCAAAGATCTCTTGAAATCTCCAAACTACTGACATATTTAGAGTATGGAAACTTTCTTAATGTTCATTGCATCTGACACAGACCATCAAACAGAAATTCTCCAGCTCTGAAAAGATTGTTTGTTCACTGTCAGTTCAAAGAATTATTTTTCCTTTTAAGAAGTTTGAAAGCCTTTGGTGCATTATTCAACTTGCCTACAAAACATGTAAGTGTCACGGTATGCAGTCTTCTTTCTGAAACAGTATAAACAAACTACAAAGAGATGTGTGTTTGAGCCCTAATGTTTTCAGAGAATTTTTTATTTAAGCAACATCTTATGTAAGCAACCAGAAACACAGGAATGATATGTTTAGTTACTATAACAGCATGACATTTTAAAATTGACAGTAAATTATGCAAAGAGTTAGAGATTATGAGGCCTCAGTGTTGCAAACAATAATAGGATAAAGTTACTTTGACTAACTTGGTAGTATGTTCACAGGTATCTGTGCTGATGGTCACCTATCTAAAATTAATGGAGGCCAAGAAGCAAAAGTTATGAAGCTAAGGGTGCTTGCTAAAAGCATGTCAACCTACAAAGATGATGGAAGGATTAATATGTTGCCTAACTTTCATCATTTTAAATTGTAATTCCTTTATCTGTTCAAATATTTTGTAGATTAATTTTATCAACTGCCACATTACTAGAATATGGCCAATTTTACCCACCTTATTTTTAAACAGATGCCAGAGATTGTGGTTGACGAAAATTGTTTTTAGAATGACTATCAAGAAGATCTATTTTAGAAATCACTATTCACTTTATATTCCTATTTAAAACAACTGCAGTGTCTCTTTGTTTTAAATTTGCACATTCCTCATTAATTCTAAAGTTGAGCTTAAGCTGAAAGTTATTCAAAACTTGGAAAACCATGACTCACTGTCCTAAAGGAGAGAATGTCCCCCTCTCAGCTATCTCTGGGAAGTGTGCAGGGCACTCAATGCCCTCCCTCCCAGGCAAGAGCAGCATGCTGGCCCCACCGCGTGCCCACTGGTGTTATGTAGATGATTCCTCATCAGCTTGACTTACCAGCCCAACCTGCAGCCTTTAGACACTATTCCCTTTCCCAGGGGAGGGACCTGGAGGAGCTCCAGGCAGATCGGGAGGCCAGCCCTGGGCTCTGCTCTGCTGCCTCCCATTACCCCGCTGGACAGCATCCCAAGCAGGGGAGGATCCCAGGAGAGGGAAGACTTTTCATAAGCTCAACCATTTACCAGATCTTCTTGAGAAACAGGAAGAAAGCCAACTACTGAACTCTGCTTTTCACACTAATTTTACAGCCATTCAAACCCTTCTCTGCCACATGTTGACATCCATTACAGTGAACCCACAAAAGTGCTCCTGCATTCACTGAGTTCTTAGCCTACTTTTGTAACTGACCTAATTTAATGTGTATTTGTTTATTTACATCCTTAATATCACCATCCAAGTCATTATTACCTGTATTGGACTGCAAATTTTGCACAAATGGGATCATATCTGCTCAATTCACTTTGCAAAATGATTGCCCCAGAATCAAATACAAGCCTTAGAGTACATGCTTTTCTCTTGGGCTGACTGTGGTCTTTGAAGAGCCTCATTAAAGCTGCATTCAAGGTGGGAGCCCACCTACTATTCAACGGAAGTGGCTCTGCTACCAGCTTCCATAATTGAATTCTAATGAAATAACACAAAATGTAGCTAAAATCCTTTAGATGATCCCACTCATATCCATAGCCCATTAAAAGAGGCAATGAGTCACAGGCTAAGGGTTCTGAAGAGTGCCTTTCTTCACATATGACAAAACAATGGAGGCCCAGTGAGGTAAAACGGTTTGTGCAGAATTAGAGCTGACTGGCATCCATCTCCTGAGGCTCAGGGTTGCCCTTCACAGAGGAAGCAGCGGACAAGTTGAAAACTGGAAAGGTGGCTTCAAGCTAAGCGCAAACAATACAGTGGTATGTACTGACATCAGCCATAGCCATTCCTGAAGTTGGTCTTTTATAAACTCATGCATTTCACCATCTGATGAGGTAGATGAAACAGGGGTGATTGAACATAGGTTCAAAATGCATCATTCCTTCTGGAAACAAAATCAAGTTGCTCTAAAACTCAGGCTTTTAGATGTGTGACCCCAAAATGCAAGTGTAAGCAATGTAAGTGTCACTCTACATACATTTTATGTAATATATATATATATATATACATACACACACATACACACACACATACACACTTCATTAAGCTCCAGTGTATGCATTACTCTGAAAAATCCCTCTCTGCTATCATAACGCTCATTTGTTACATTTTAAGATAAATGACTGAAAGCAAACAGCAATTGTGAGACAGGAAATCAAATTCCATCAGATACAGAAGTCTGGTACCATCTGCCGAGGGTGCAATGATGAAGTATAAACACAGAGCGCATTTTGAGCCCTCCATAGTGACCTTGTACAAAAGTGCCCAGGAAACAAAGATGATGTGACACATTTTGCGACTTATATATACCAGCTGGATATAAAAGTCATAAAAAGCAAAGGTGATATTATATATATTTGACATATATGAACTGGATTGTTTTGTTTTAATTTATTTAAATGTTATTTTATGACTATGAAAGTACTGAGAACTAGTGGAAGAAAACTGGACAAATTAAAAATTTAAATTCCCCATAATCCCTCCATCAAGAGATTATTTTGAACATACAGCTATATTTTCTTCCAAACCTCTCTATACTTATGTATGTTTGTATAGATAGATAGATAAATAGATGATAGATTTAATAAGGTTTATACAATGTTTTCATTCTTCTCCCAAGTAATATATTTACATGGAAACATGTTTTATGGAAAACATGGTATTTTGGTAGGTACCATCATACATAAGCTTATCTGTTAACTATTTCTTATTGTTGAAGGTTCAGGTTATTTCTACCTTTTGGCTATTAAACTAACACTACAACTAGCAAAATTTTAACAAAATGCACATTACATTTAATCAATTTAGTTGCCAGGGTTTGCTTCTTCACGTTCCAAATTTGAGTTATATATTATGTGATTGTTTTTAATATATTATTTGTGTCTATTACTTTGTTCCTCATTTTGTATATTGTTGATCACTAATTTGTAATACTAATTCTAGTAAACGTATGCCAGGCACCGTTCTAAGCACTTTCCATATATTTGCACATAGTACAAAATAATGGGCACAGTGCCCAATGCATACTCAATTATATTTTTTCTTTCCTCAGCTTTACTCCCCTTAAAAAAAGTAAGTTAAAAAAAAATTGAACCCTTCTTGGAAACAACACAGTCTAAAAGTCTAAGCTTTATAAACTAACCATTAACATCTTGTTCAGAATAAAACCCTTTGGGAACTCTATTTGAAATACATCTAGGCTCCCCTGGAAAATGCCTGGCCATCAGTTCTCCCTGCTGAATGCACAGATGCCTTCCAAGTCTTCTCCCTAATATTATACAGATTCTTTCCTGCATTTACATCTATTGGAAACAGACTGACTTGGAGACATGCTGCCCAGAGACCAGGCCTAAAGTTATATTCTGTGTATGATTTAATATATTAGGGAGGAAGTTGTATACATAGTAAATAATAATTACAAATATCATTTAAGTATAATGTGGATGCAGTGCTGTAGATATTAAATACAAATTATTTTTCCTTTTTTCACTCAGTTCAAATAACAGTACCTTCTCAGACCACATGCTGCAGGAAAATAGGCAATTATTTCAGCATTATCCAGACATGTCAGCTACTAAAGAATAAATAGCATATTTATCTTTTTAAAATTATGTAGCAGGTTGGAAACAAATGTCATTTTAACAGCTGGTACCAGAGTTTCCCAAAGAGAGAGAACTGCCTTTGTTTAGGAAAATACCTGGAGAGACTGTTTTAAGTGGGGGAGTATGACCCAAGGAAATGTTTTATGTGAAAAACTGCACAACCAACTGATGCTGACTGCTCCATGAGATGCTCATAGAATCTGGAGGGTGGAGAAGATATCAAGAAAGGAGAGAGGGCAAGCCATCAGTGAGAGTGGAGGGGGCAGTGGTCAGCAATGGAACAGGATGTTTGATCATGTGGAAAAGGAGGTCAATTTAAAAAATTCCAGTGTCAGGAATGCAGGACAGCAGCTGAATGAGTGTTTGGTTCTGCAAGGTAAACTGCCTTAGTCACTGCAAACCTTCAGTGAAGCCATTATACACACCAATGCCTTCTTTGAATGGTGGTTTTTGTTTTATTTTGGAGTATGCATGAGATAAAGAAATAAGAACAGCTCCAAGAGCTAAGATTTAACAAACAAACAAACAAGATCTAGAGTTTAATAGGAATATGAAAACAGATCTAGAGTGAACATGAGAACAGGTGCCCCTGGGAAACACCAGAAATCATGGGAAGGACATTGAGCTTCCTACAGAATATAAAGTTGAGAGTTTGGGTCAACTCTGTGTACATTTCAAGGGAACCTAACATCATAGTTCCATGAAGGGATAGATACAATCTCTAGAGGAGGAGTATAAAATAAACAGGATAAAAAGGTGCTTTCCAACGTGCTTGGAGAACTGGACTTAGATTTCATCTATTTCTGCTATTACTTTCTTTTATTCCTTTTTTTCCCCAAGTGCTTGAGTTTCAGTAGTAATATTTTCACAAGGCCAAACATAAAATAATTTTAAGGAATTCTAAATGAAATCAAGCCATTGTTCTGATGAAAAGTAAGATTTTCTTTTTACTGGTTATAAAATAGAGTAGCATCAAAACTGAGTTACCTGTATGCAGGCTCTGAGTAAGCTCAGGAGGTAGTAAGGGCTGTCCCTGAGCCTGTGCTGCCATTGGTCCTTGAATGCTTTTCTGGATTTAGAAATGTCCAGTAAAGAAGAAGCAAGAGTGGCCCTCTCCCTGAAAACTCTATTCATCAGCCCAGCAAAGAGAGGGTATGTCTCATCAATGTTCTAGCATGTTTTGGTCCCACCTCATCTCCCTCCTCACAGTTATCCACTCTTCAAAGCAGAGGAAACAAGCCCCTACCGCTGTCAGTGCTTTGACCTGACTCTACTCCACCATGGTCACCAACAACCTCCTAATGATCAAAACCAGCAATCTTCTCTTCATTTCCATGTCTCCACACTTGCTCCTGAAGTGTAGTCTTGTCATAAAAACTACTCACCTCACCTTGGAATCTTTGACTCTGTTTATCTTACGTATTCCACTATTGCTCTGATCCTAACTTCTTTTTTTTTTTTTTTTTTAAGTTCAGAGGTACAAGTTCAGGGGTACTGAAATGACTTCCAAAAACATTTCTCCAGATTTCTCATCTCTCCCAGCTTCAAGCCTCTATTTCCAAAAGCATACACTACATGTCCATCTAGATATCTTACTAAATAACTCACTATCTATGTGTCCCAAACAGTGGTGGCAACAAGGGATGACCAGGTCAAGATTGATCATTTCTCTACTAGGCACCTCTCACAACTATACCAAAGAAAGAAAATCATATGTCCGTACTGCAAATGCAGCAACTTCTTCTACCATCTTAGGCCCCACACATATAAATTCAGAAGATGCCACAGAGGCTGACCTTGCCGCTTCTCCTAACCCTGCTTCTTTTTTTTTTTTCTTCCTTTGAGATGGAGTCTTGCTCTTGTTGCCCAGGCTGGAGTAAAATGGCACGATCTCGGCTCACCGCAACCTCTGCCTCCTAAGTTCAAGAGATTCTCCTGCCTCAGCCTCCCGAGTAGCTAGGATTACAGGCATGCACTACCATGCCAAGCTAATTTTGTATTTTTAGTAGAGATGGGGTTTCTCCATGTTGGTCAGGCTGGTCTCGAACTCCCAACCTCAGGTGATCCGCCCACCTTGGCCTCCCAAAGTGCTGGGAGCCACCACGCCCAGCCTCCTATCCCTACTTCTTACAGGTTATCACATAAGGAATCTGAGCCACTTCTTATTTTGAAATTATTTCATCTGTCTTAATGTCAGTTTAGTATCTGTAACAATAACTTATTTCATTTTCTTTCCAATGAAATATATCTTTATCTCCATAATACTTAGTGTTCCATAATGATATGTGGAATTGAAGGGCTCTCTACAACACAATCTCCTCATGCCCACACCTACCTTCAACATTTATCTTAAGCTAAGCCACTAAGAGCTTTCTCAAGTTGTGCTTCCTAAAGCTGCAGTTCTCAAAATCCACCCCACATACCTATGAAGCCCATATAGGAAGCCCCATTTTAAAAATAATTTTTGTAATCGAATAAATATTAGAAACACTTCACACCTCCTCTTGGAGATTCATTCCAACCACTATTAGGTCACACTATTTTCACTCATATTCCATTGGCCAAGGCTGATCACATAGCTATCCAATAAAAGTTCTGAGAAGTCATGCAATTAAAAAAAAAAAAAAACCTCTCTAGCTTCTTTATGTCAATGTTTTCCAAACCTTTTATTAAGTTATGTTTATTAATATCTGAAAAACGTTAGGATTCAGATTATCTATGTTGAAAACTAGTAGTGGTTTAGATAAGGTAGGCATTTATCTCTTTCTCTGAGAGAGCACAATCAGCCCAAAGCTTGTATGGTGGTTTCAAGGCTCCTTCTATCTTGTTGCTCTGTGGTCCTGCAAAAGCAACTTTTCATCCATGACTGCCCCAGCTCCTGCCATCACGCTCATGTTCCACTCAATGGAGACAAGAAAAGAAGGGGACATATTGCACTCTTTTGAGCAAATGACCTGGGAATTGGTTACACTATTTTCACTGAAATTCCATTGGCTATGGCTTGATCACATGATCACAACTAGCTACAAGGGAGGCTGGGAAATGTAGCCTTTAGCGACATGATCTTATGCTCAGCTGAAACCTCTTTTATTACTTTAAAAAGAAGAAGAAGAGAACAGAAAATGGAGAAGAATTTGTAGTCTCTGCTATAACAGGTCCAGAACCCCTTCTGGTACATGCTGGGCTAAAGACCTGATGAATGAGAATAAGATTATGGAGGATGCATATTAAGTGATCTAGAAGGAAGTGTTTTACCAGCAATATCTAACATCTTCAAACGTTCACATTGAAAAACAGTCCTTTGCCATCAATTTTATTTCACCATTTCTTCAAATTTAGTGTAAATTCCAACCATTCTTAGAAAATTCCTTTATTAAATATTTTTAAATATTTTCAAAGATTTACAGTAAACAATTTCTCTGAACCTACTGTCCACTGTAACCATACTTCATTGAAAAAATGCAATCAAAATTTCTTTTCTCTAACGGTGTGTATACAAAAGGGAAACATTCAATTACATTAAATAATTTGTTTCACTCCCTAATCCTTAAATTCAGGTCTGCCACTCACTAGCTTTGTAACCATAAGCAGGTCAGTTGATTTTTCCAAGTATCAATTTCTGAGTCTCATTTCCTCTGTAAAATGAAAATAATGCATACTGCAGTATTGTTGTGGGGTTTAAATGGAATAATGCATATATATGTCAGTACGTAGTAGGTAGTCAATCATCGTTGGCACTTACTTTTGCAGGCAAAAAGTAGGTATTATAACTAGATGATCCTTAATATTCTACATTTCTGTGATTTAAAAAATAGTAAAGGGTGGGTAATGCAGAAGTGCTGGCACTGGAACTTCAGGCAACACTGTAGTAAATTGGTGCTTTTTCCCCCGCAAGAGAGAGCAGCTTTCTTGATGTCATCTCAAAGTCTAGGAAACAGGTCTTGCATACACAAAAGCATATTTCAGATGGCATAGCCAGAATGTCTCCAAATCGCAACTCTGACAAAATCAATTATAAAACTTCATAAGATTATCTTGATCTTATAAAGGACTGCCCCTCATGAAGGACTCTATGAAGTCCTCAATAAAATTTGTTGATGACGGGAATGACTTAGGGTTGCTGGGTAAATAAGGCAGAACCTAATGATAAATGTAGCAAAGTCTTAATGAAAAAATTCATTAGTAAAGTTTACTTTGGATAAAGTTTAACCTTTGCATAATATGAGCAATAAAGGAATAAACAGTGCAATGACCTCTCACATTAAAAAATGAAAAAAATATTATTTAAAAATAATGAAATTGGTCTAGATGCTCTCTAGATTTTTTTACTCTAAAATTTTAAGAAATTTACAATATTAATTTCAGTGTGAATTTTTTTAGATTAAATACAATTCTATGCATTAAGTACAAGTACAGAAAGCCATCTGAGTTCGACAGTCAGCTATAAAATAATAGAAACACAAAACTAAAGCATTCCAGCAGGAATATCAAACATAAATGCTTACTCATGGTTTTGATGCAGACAATCCTACTTTTAAAAAATTAAATGGTATTTTTTACCGAGGAGTAAAGAAGACCCTAAATAATTAATATAATCATTGGTTCTTATTGCAAATAGTCAATGTTTAAGTCTTAGCTCTCTCTCACCCTGTCATTCTTCCTTTTCTATTTCTCTCTCTCTCTCCCCCTCCGTCTCTCTCTCCCTCCCTCTTTCTCTTTCTCACCACTTTGAGCTGTATACATTACATTTTTCAAAAAGAAGGAAAAGAAGAGTCACCAAAGACACAAAAAGTACAGAAAAAAGAATGAACCTTGGAGGACTCCATGACTGAACATATTTATTCATTTAGAAATTGCAGCCACAAGAACACATCTACTTATACTTTCCTAATGTCAGAGGAAATTTTTTACAGAGCAAAGGATAATACTCATGAGTCCATAATAAATCCCTCTGGTGATCTGATTAATGTTCTTGGTACCTGGATTAATACAATTTTTTTGGTTATACATTCTGCTTCGAAGTGAAGACTTATTTTATTAAGAAGAATTTCTGGAATGTGTGATGTTATATAAATGTATTTCTGGTAGCTATTTTTCTGGAGATAATAAGAATTATAGAAAACTCACTTTCTTGGAATGGTTTACATCCGTGAATTTCAGGAATTAGACTGAACTGACAGTTGGTGGGGTAAATGCTAGTTAAGACTTATATCAACAATAAACTCGGTTCTTCAATAACCTGGAAGGTTACACTAAGAGTTAATACCACACAATCTCTGCCCTGAATTCTTCTGTATTTTGATATTAAACTGTTTGAGAGTACACTACATTCCAACATTTCTAATGATTTTTCTTCACAAACTCTCTACATTTTTAGACCTGTGTTTATTCAGCAAATGGATAAGATAAATCTCTGTGAACTAGCCAAATAATATCTTGATGCCTTTTAATACATTGATAGCATTTAATCAGTACCCAGCACTGTTCTAAATATTTTAAATACTTACAACTTACAATAGGGTAGGTATTATTTTTATTCCCATTTTCCAAATGAAAAAATGGAAGCAAAGAGAAAGAAAGTAATTTGCCTAAGGTTACAACAGCTTGTAACACATGAAGTCAAGGCTGATACTTCAAGGCAAAGGGTTGCAGAGTTGCAGAGATCGTAGTACAAGATAGAGGATTGGTGAGGAAGACTAAGGAGGGGGTACCCCTCATGGAACAGGATTCAATAGCAAAGCAGCATCAAGAAGGAAGGAAAACTCACTGGAATTTATATCCAGAACCATTGGTCTGAGACTCCTAAAACATCCTCAGAGAGCAAAATAGGTCTCATTGTTCACAACAGGCTCCAACTTGGTAGAGGGAGGTAAGTAGTCTCGTTCATGAATGTTTTTATTTAGGGGCCAGCGTTCCTAAGCAATCATTGCCATATTCTCACCAGGTTTGTCCACAAGCTCTCTCCTGCATGCATTATGAGCACTAACTATTTAGCACCAACTTCCCTGACCACGTTCTCCCCCGCCCACCAGTCTGCCCCCTCCCGCTGCCCAGAAAGAAACCCCCTGCTGCCCAAAGCTCACCCATCACATAGGAACTGGTCAAGTTCCACCTCTTCCACAAAATGCCCCCTTTCCTCTTAAATACCTAAATAGCTACAGCATTTGTCATCTGTACTTTACACTCAGTCACATATTTCATTGAAATGTTTTTGCTTCTCTGCATGAGTAACTAACCTGGGAATTCTCTGAGGCCAATGACCATGTAGTATTACTTCTCTCTATGTATAAGTATTGCTTAACTCATAGTGCTCATCATGGTGTTTGCTCACACAAATTGCCTAATGGGTACTTGTTAAATAAATGTATCCGTGAATGTCATAACTTCCATCAACCCACTATTTGTGGTGCATAAGAAAATGCTCAATAAGTCCATACTGACTAATGAATTATTTCACTGTTGAGTCAGTAATTGTTTGCAGTATTACAACAAAAGACTGTGATCCTAATCCAGTACTAGTTATTTAAAATAAATAACATTTAATATGTGTCAAAGGCACTTTGTATAATTCTACAGGAGCCACACTATGGACTAATCCCTGGGATTCATTTCTAAAGAAGGCAAACATTTTCCTTATTCTCTCAAGCCTAGTGAGAATACATTGCATCCCTGGTCATTCCCTCCCTATCTTTGACACATACTTGACAATGGTTGTGATATTTGAGCTTTAATAGTCATGGGGGAGGGGGAGGGGGAGGGATAGCATTAGGAGATATACCTAATGTAAATGACGAGTTAATGGATGCAGCACACCAACATGGCACATGTATACATATGTAACGAACCTGCACGTTGTGCACATGTACCCTAGAACTTAAAGTACAATAAAAAAAAAGAACAAACAGAAAACAAAACAGTATTTCAGAGAAAAAAATAGTGATAGCGATTAGGAAGAAGGCTAGTAACTCAAGGCTACAGTCCCTGGCTTTGATTTTGCTTTGACCGTTCTGTAAATGTGCATGTACACAGCATGCTTGCATGTACTGCGTCTGGTGTAATACTAAGACAATGAAATTAAATGTGACTGGAGGTTAAATAGCAAAGCCACCTTAGTTTATGACATTATTTGGATATAATCACTATAATCACTATGAACATATCTGTTTCCTAGTAACTACTTAAAAGGTAGACATGCAATTTAGGGGATAATTCTTTCTGAAAACATCTCTATTAAGGCCATGCCTTTTTTTCTTCTCCTCTGCAAAATGTTTTCGACTTGTGTTTTATTTAAATTTCAGACCAGAATAGTACAGCAGATTACATAGTAACTTATATCTCCACAATGAGAAAATACCTTAGTTGATCAAATTTCTAATACTGAATGTTTAATTTTTAAATGTTCTTGTTTTTAATCTGAAAGGCTGAAGAAGAGCTAATAAAATATATCACATGAAATTTTAAAAGTGAGAGATAAAATGTATGCAGACAATATTATTCCATTTACTTCCATGCTAAACCCCTTACTTTATTACAGACAACTTTGGGGGGATAATCCTCTGGCCACTGGAGTCCAACTTTTTACCTTTGTCTTCCCACTACCTAAGCACAGCAGAAACTCTCTAATCGTCTTCTTATTCCAAACATCAGATGCAGTGCCTGGCACACAGTAGGCATTCAGTAGTTGTTTGTTCAATAAATAAATGAGAATCTTTTGAAGCCACACAAATGAACTAATAATATCTTTTGAGGATGAATGATAAAAAGCATTTGCATCAGAGAATAAAGTAGTCTTTGAAGTTGAATCTCTCTAAGAGTCTAAAAATTCAAAGGCTCTTCTACATGACCATGACAGTTTATTTTATTTCAATACTACTTTGAAACAATGACTTCATTTTCTCCAGCTTTTTTATTTTCCTCAATCATAATTAGAAAAGGCTAATAAAGTGGTCATGTTTATGTAATATTGCCAACTAAAATCTACTGCAAACTGGTGAAAACAACTTGTCACAACTAACAAATAATGTGAGCCTTATTCTCACATATCCTGTTATTCACAATAATTAACAGAAAAACTGGTTCAAAGATCTAACTTTGTATTAATTCTAAGTGCAGCATAAGAGATTTACTTTTTTACTATTCCATAATAATATTCATAGAATTAAAACAAAACAAGTACTTTGACTCTCTCAGAAGAAAAATATTATTCCCATAAATTTTAAATAGTCCTTTCATGACACAAAAGTATCCACTTTTTGCTTATTTGTGGAGTAAAATACATTTCCTATATTTTTATATATCTATACAGCTGATGTCTTTTCTCATTTTTTTAAATTTATTTAAAATTTTTTTATTTTTATTTTTGAGATGGCGTCTCACTCTGTCACCCAGGCTGGAGTACAGTGGCAAGATCTCAGCTCACTGCAACCTCTACCTCCTGGATTCAAGCAATTCTTCTGCCTCAGCCTCCCAAGTAGCTGAGGTTACAGGCGCCTGCCACAATGTACAGCTAAGTTTTATATTTTTAGTAGAGATGGGGTTTCACCATGTTGGCCAGGCTGGTCTCAAACTCCTAACCTCAAGTGATCCGCCTGCCTTGGCCTCCCAACATGCTGGGATTACAGGCATGAGCCACCACTCCTCACCCTCTTTTCTCATTTTTAAAAGCTTGTATCCTTCAACATTTTTCTCTATATTCTGTGAATTTGTCAGGTTTCTTTTTTTTTTTCAATTGGAGTACCAATAAATGCCAAGGTTAGCCAATGAAAGCCTGGGCATTATAGGATGTCACTAAATTGATTTATTGACCCTTTGCCTTACAACACCTTCAACATCAGAGAAGTAGGGATTCAGTCAGAAACTCCTCAACACTTAGTATTACTAGAATTATGTTACCAATTAAAATTTGTTCATCACTCCTTGAGTGTGGTCTCTTGTGAGCCCTGTAAAGAATTAAACAAAAAGTGATGAAGGTTTTAATTCCACCATGGGTCTGCTTGCCATCACTATATTTCTAGATCTCATTGTACACATTCATACATTGATACACCATTCATTCCCAGCATTTCCCACATGCTTACTTTTAATGGTGTGATAATCTGATTAATGGCTTTCTAGACCATTAGAAAACCCATTGAAACTCTTTTGGTAAAGAGCTAAAATTAAATATTTTAGGCTTTGTGCACCAAAAGTTATTTGATGTAACTACTCAAGTTGGACATTATAACATGAAAAACATCATAGGCAATATGTAAAAGAATAAGGATGGCTATGTTATGATAAAATTTTATTTCAGTGTCTGTACCCCTAAATTAAATTCACATAATTGTTTACATGACACAAAATACTAGTCTTCTTTTAGTGTTTTTCAGTCTTAGCTTGAGGGTTGTACGAAAACCAGTAGGAGGTAGGTTCAGCTTGCAGATCGTAGTTTGCTGACCCCTGCATTAGACTTTCAGACCCATAAGAAGAGATTCTGTGTCATATCTTAATTTGCCAACATAGGTACAGGCCTTAGACAATGCTCTATACATTGTACATGCTCAACACATGCTTAGAGGATGAATCACTGCTAAATAATTTATGGTTCTCTTAATACCATGGTTACCTTGTTCGTGTGTGAATGATTTTTTTGGTCTCTCTCTCTCTCTCTTTCCCTCCCTCTCTCTCTCTCTGCCTTTCTCTCTCTCTTTCTTTCTAAGATTCTAGTGAAGTCAGAACGTGGTAGCCTGAGAGGGTTATTCTATTCTTAAAGGGTAATTCTTACTTTAAAAGGTAAGTTATTTCTATTAAGTTCAGGATATTTAGAAAGAGACTTAGTTTTCAAAGAAGAGCTCAGTTGAGTAACTCAAATGGTACAATGAACTGAATGATTATGTCCCTTCAAAATTCACATGTTGACAGTCTAATCCCCAAGGTAATGGGATTACGAAGTGAGATTTTTGGGAGGTGCTTAGGTCATAAGACTGAAGCCCTCACAAATGGGATTAGTGCCTTTATAAAGGAAACAGACAGCTCTCTTGTCCCTTCTACCACCTGAGGAAGCAAGGAAAAGGCACTGTCTAAGAGCCAGAGTATGAGCCCTCACCAGACACCTACCCTGACAGTGCCTGGATATTGGACATCCCAGCTTCCAGAACTGGACAATAAACTTCTGTTTAGCTTATAAGCTACCCATCTTAGGGTATGTTTTATAGCAGCCTGAGCAGACTAAGACAAATGGTAATAAGCCACACAGCACATCATCAAAATTGTCACTGCTACCTTCCTGGAGCAGCCTGAGTGCAACAGTTAACAGTCTCCTAAGATTGAGAGAAACATATCTTTGGCTCTCTGGACCCGATCTACTTTGTTCTGGTGCCAACTACCAACTTTTCCATTAAATTCTAGTGCTGTGCCTGAGCCCAGCACCAATGTAGTATTGTGTCCTTCTGCATATGCAAGACTTGGCTGTGGTCTTCAGCTTTATTCTGGAGTAAGTGATAGGGTACAGCCCCGAGCTAGGTCCAGGGCTACTGTCACTCCTACCAGAGCAGATTTATTGCTGCGTCCCTCCACAATCCTTAAAATCATATAGTCATTTTCACCCTACGCAGTTGTCACCAGCCCTTGCCACAGCTACCATGCCTACAAAATGACATACCAGCAGCAAAGGATAACTCTGTCTTTGTGAGACCTACTCTGTGGATCTATGCAAACCTATATAGTTTGAATTGTTCTTTAGGGGAGCATAAGATGTTGCAGAAACCAAGTACAAATTCTATAACCAATAATATTTTGAAAAATAAAAAGAAAAAATCAAAACAAAGAGAGAGTTAAAATGGAGCAATAGTATTTTATAGCTAGTAAGCTGCATGTTTTCTTGTGCATGACTCTAAAAGCAGTAAAAAGATGCTTTGCTAAAAAGCATGACTGATAGAAATTTTCTAACTTTTCAGCCACACGCTGTTGAAAATATTTCTACCAACGAAATCAAACCAGTCTTATAAATTATCTACATTCCTTCATGAACCATCATTTACAAGTTACAATTAAGCCTTTTCTTCTTTTGAAACTGTCTTTACAAATATTACTCTGGTAATTTTATATATGGGGTTTGGTCCTACCTTCAGATTAGAGAAACTGTATTTTGAGTTCTGAGTAGAAGGCAGAGAGGAACTCGCTAACATGTTCATAGGATTTGGGAGGAAAAAAAGTCTAGAAGTTTTCACAGTGGTGCTAGGAGAAGCTTAAAGGAGTGTATTCCTTCCCCGTGTCAAGAATGTGTTCTCTATTCACCAGAGTAAATAAATAACTGCATAGGTGTAAATTAAAATAGATAGATCAATAAATAACATTTTTTAGAACCAGAAAAATCAGCATCCATCAAGCTGAGAGTCCCCACACAATACCATACTGTGGGGTGTGCTATACTGAAGAAACCAAGGAAAGAATGTTAAAGACTTGATTGGAATAAAATCAGACCCTAAGAATAAGGCTGGGAAAAAAATACAGAGCTCAGAGCCCAGCAGCTACGTACACCTGAAAGGATTCAACAGGTCCCAGGAAGGTGTCTGCACCTCTGCCCTGACTCCTCCAATGCTCTGGTTTTTACCACCTCAAAAGGGAGGTGGTATCACTTATTGTAGGACCCCAGGCCGACCCTCCTGCTTGTCCACATGGTGCCTGTGGTGCCTACTTGGACTTAAAGTATAAAACTTGGAAGCATTTAAAGGGTAAGAGAAATGCTTGAGAGTCGCTGCAGTGAGTCAGCACATTAATGCTGACTCCACAGTTATCTGGATTAGAGCCGGCCTTGTCTGTGACCTGGACTCTCACTTTGCCCAATCCCAAGCGCTTGCAGAATGGCTGGCTGGCCGGAGCCCCCGCCAATTTGTTTTTCTGGCTTGCATTTCATTATTTAACATAAACCAGGAGTCAGTACTAAACCAGCCTTCTAGTTCTCATATCTTTCATCATCCCAGAAATTGACAAAAACTGACAGAGTTGAGAGGATGTCTCATTTTACCTGCCAAATATTTCCTACCTTATACTCTATAGCAAAAAAAAAAAAAAAAAAAAAAAAAAACTGACAATTTCAAAGCATTTTCAAAGCAGAAGATTTTAATGTATTGTTATTCTTGAGGATAAATCTTTCAGGATATTACCTTCCAGAATTTCTGATGTAACAGGAAAGAGTAAGATCAGTATCTGAAGCAGTTTCCACAGATAAGACTAGATCATTATATTTTTTAAAGATATGTACATGGACATCAGCTTGTTCTGGGCTCTCGCATATATCTACTACAGTGTCAGACACCTACCAAGTGCTTAATAAGTATGAATTCTTAGCTTTTCCTTCAGGGTTTTGGGTAAGCCTTTGCAATTCCCAAGTCGAAAGTCAGCAAAACGTTATATATCAAACAAAAGAAACCACCTCACCTACAACAATGGGCCTGAGACTCAGCAGGATGAGAAATATCTTTTTATGAATACAGTTTTTAAAATATGGAGCCACCCCACATAATAAACAGCAGGACAGGTCAAGTATTAGACACAATGAATGACAATGGGTGGCTTGGGCGTGTCTTCTGAACACAGTGGGCCATAGCCATGGTCCTCATTTCTTTCTAATTGGCACATGTGACATCTGGACCTCTCTATTAGCCTGAAGTCACAGCACTTTGTGCAGGAACCACAGATTTAAAGAGACCTTGGTATGTATTCATAAGGCTGAAATGAAGATCACATCTGCGCAACTCCACCAGCCCTTTCCTCAAAGTCTCTCCAGGATCGATGATTAAGGAAAGCAAGATGATTGACAGGTAGTACTACAAGGATTAGCAAATTGCAGCTCCCTTCTCACCACCCCACTGTCTGTCCATCTCTGGTATCCATTCCTGCCTCTCACCTCCCAACTACCAGGCTCCGTGTTTCTTCCCCTAGACAAGATGATGAAAGCAAGAGATCAGGTATTCAAAATTGCCATGAAGGCTCTCTCTTCCTTGCCATGCCATCCCTGGCATCTTGTCAGTTGGCTTCCAAGTTTCAGCATTCACTCTGTAAAATGAATTAATTTATGTGAAATTTGCTGATAGATGCAGGATCAGCACTCTCAAAAAATGACAAATCTTCCTGATGGAATTTGTCTTTTAATTGTCTTCCCTTGGAGAATACATATTTTCACTCTCCCTATTGCTACCATAGGTACTGCATTTGTCCTGATCAGCACAGTAACATAAAGAGGCCGTAGAGAAGGCATATGGCCGGCTGCACTTTTCATTTCCTGGTTCTCTGTTGACAGTATTGCTTATTTCCAGATGGATAAATAGTTTGCACCTTAATGTAATCAAAGACTGAAAAAAAGATGCCACTTGAAAAACATTTGAGAAAAGAGAAAAGAAGGGGAAAATAGGCCTCTGAGGTGGTATCTATAATGTGGTACTGAATTTCACTCTATCTTCACAAACAATAAACCTCATGTTTTATAACATTTTACTGAAGCATTATTTTCTAATAAATCCCCTTTTGTTTTGATTCTTGTTGCTGTATAATAAGCAAAGAAGAAAAGAACAATGGCTGGAAATTCTGTCTGTGTGATTTGAAGTGCTCTCACTTGCATGCTGAGAAGTGTTATAACGAATATTTTTGGCATCAGCTGATGATAGCAGCTTGGTACTAGCAGCACTTGATTCAGAATGTCATATGATACAATAATACACAAATTGAGTGCACAGAGGGGGAAAAATCATGCAACCTGTCATAGGTACAGCGATATTCCATGAGTATTCAGGGCTGGAGATGTAGAAGTAGAAACCTGAAATCTGAAATATGAAAAAAATGAACAAACACTTAACATCCACAAATACCAAGCAAAAATTAACAAATGAAACATAGCAGTTGTTATGCAATCATAATACAAGAGGCTTCTCTAGTCAAAATCTTATGGCATAAATCTATGAATGATCTGCTACAACTAAAGTACTCAAGTCAATGGGAAAACATATTTATTCAAATAAAATGTCTTTTCTATGACTTTTTAACAACTAATTTTCTTAAAATAACAGGCCTTTTCTCCATTGCTTAATCTTCATCTTCCACTGACTTTTTAACAACTAATTTTCTTAAAATAACAGGCCTTTTCTCCATTGCTTAATCTTCATCTTCCACTGCTTTTTTCTAGAAGACTGTTTGGTCCAAAAAAAAAAAACAAACACATCCTGAATGATTAGGAAAACTACTAGGACTGCTTTATTTAAAAATTTATTTAATATCAGCAGGGAATTTATTTCATGTTATCTCTAAAAATAAACACATTCTAAATATTAACTCCAGGGGCATTCTTTTAACCCCGTGGCATCCACTTGGCTTGAACTCTGTCACTTGTGTTTGAATATTTGAGTGGTTGCTGGGAACTAGATTGTCAATTTCTGTTTGCCCTCCCCTCCTTTCTTATTTCCACTATTTCTCCAGTGGTCAAAATAGCTGTTTCCTTCTGATAATATTAGTGAAATTTTTCTAGTTTCACTTTTCCCTAGTCTATATAGTTAGACTGCCATTGTCCAAGTTCTGGCTCCCTCAGAACCATCTGTGTGACCTCTATCAAAAGACGGCTCTCTCAGTGCCTCAGTTTCCTGATCTACCTCCTGAGGTTACCGTGAGGACTAAATGAGTTACAATAGCACTTAGAACAATGTCTGGCACAGAGTAAGCTCTGTGTTAATGTTCTCAACTTGAAAATTGAAGTGATTTCATTGTGAATGCTATTATTCAAAATATTTTAAAATACCTACTTTGATTTGTTTTTCTCCCATCAGTTTGTGGATTACTTTACTTTAAGTAGTTGGTATGATTATTTTAAGTTGGCCACCCATAGGAGTTTAAAACCAGAAAGAACCATAAAAATCATGTTGTCCAACTTCTACAGGAGGTTCTTCATCATTATGATTATCACCAGGCATTTGTTCCTCAGTTAGTTATACTTCTTATCGATTCTGGTGCCACTGGAGCGCATTTTTATCTAAGCTCGGGGCATGGAGATGTTCTCAACCGTATCTACAAATTCACTTTCGTCTCTGTCCCTCTCATCAACATCTTCTGAACAGTAAAGATCATCACTCCACCATGCACTGTGATATCTAATGGTTCGTGGTGTAGGCAAAGAGGATTCCTAGTTACTCTAGACTTTTCCTTGCCCCTTAGCAGCCTTAAGTTTTTTTCTTGTCCTTTGACTTGTACGGTACTGTGTGGTTTGTGATACCTTTGCACTGTGTGGTTTGTGATACCTTTGCACAATTATTACACAATGGATCCTAAAACCAACTTTCTAAAGGTCGGCGAAGCAGGCATAATTATTCCCTCATTCTCCCTCAGGGCACTGAAAATCAAAGGCTAGGATCTTGCCTGAGATTACAGAATTAGAAGTACCAGAGAGAAACATAAAGTCCAAGTCTTAGGATTTTCTCTCCAAAGGTTTTTTCACAGCACCACATTGCTTTTACCCAAAACACATTGCTTCATACAACCATATTAGCAGAAGCAAATACCTCCGCAATGGGCAGCGACCAAGAAAATGACAGAAACGATAAAATAATGTCTGAATGGGCAGTAAAATATTTACACCATTCAGCAGCTCTGGGTCAAGTTCACACTGAGGCCATCCAGATGATGCAGAGATTGCGAAAATAGATTCCTGAGTTCCCTATCCATCCAAAATGGAGTTGAAAAATAAAGTCCCTTTGAACTATAGAAGAAAAAAAACAGAAGAATTGACCTCAGTCGTGTTGCTCCTTAATGTTGGTTATGTAGAACTGAGTTTGCATTGTCAGGACCACTGTTTCTGTTCCTTTTGGAAGGTTAGAAAACCATTGTTATTTGTATATTTCAACTCTACAATTAAAAGTTTTGCATCCCCTTCAGATATTTAGGTAAAATGAAGTTGGTGTGACATTTCTCATCATGTCTCCCAGGCCCACAAAGAAAACAGATGGTCTCTGAGTTCTAGAGATCTCTTTGTGTTCTATATTAAAATGTTTTCCAATAGATTGACATAGTGTAGGAGTCTGGCTCTTCATTAAAAAATTGTTTCTTAGGATTTCTGCAACTTCTTCTGAAAAGTATAAGATTTTGAGTTATCGTGGTTTGCAGCTTGGTGCACAAAACCCCTCTGCACACCGTATTGGAATCACTTTGCATTTTTGGGGTGGTCTGCAGAATAGGGCAATGGACTTATGGACACTTCATTGGCCTTGATAATCCCTGATGTACTGCAAGGCAATTAGCAACTAAATTTTTGCTAAGTGCACTTAAGAGTAATAAGAAAAATTAAAATGTCATCAAAATGCTAACCACAGATTCAACTAAAACTGAACCAAAGAATGGCATATTTAGTCTTGAGCTTGAAGACCTAAATCACACAACTATAGAAGCACAATTGTGCATCCATAGTTCTCCATTTCTCCTTCCAAACCACTTCCCCCAGAAAAGCAGCTTTGGAGACTGTCTTTACTTCAGTTAGATGCTAAAGCTCAAGAAATGTGAAACAACCCAGGGAAACTAGAATTCAGCAGCAGTGCTAAGACAAAATTAAGTGCACTCCTTTCAGCTATTCATGAAATCCTCATAAAGAGGCCAAACTATTGCATTCTATCATGGAGATAACATAGCTGAAATAATTTACATGTTTCCATTTTAGTGTAGTAAATCACCCCAGCATAAAAATCACACAAATATAGCAGAAGTTATCTTACCCATGATCTACCTACTAGAATCATTTAATCAACAACAACAACAACAAAAAAAGTAATTTTACAGTGGAATAACATGACTATGCTAGCTCAGACAGGTGCTCAAAGTCAACATCAATGGTGATAAGTCATACTGATAGTATTGGTAGATAACCTTCAAGTGATGGGAAAAGGTGGCATTTTACCTCGGATTTTCCTCCCCCCAGAACCCATAATACTCTTCTAAACATGAAGAAAATATCAGACAAATTCAAATTGAAGAACATTCTACAAAATACTTGAACCAAAGCTCTTCAAAACTGTTCAGGCCATCAAAAACAGGGAAAGTTTGCAAAGCTGTCACAGTCTAGAGGACCCCTAAAAAGACAGACGACTCAATGTAACATGGTATCTTATATGGAAAACTGGAACAGGAAAAGGACATTAGGTAGAAACTAATGAAATCCTAGTAAATTGTGGGCTTTAGTTAGTAATAATGTATCAATATTGATTCATTAGTAGTTATGACAAATGTAACATACTTACATAAGAGGCTATGTAAGAGGAAGCTGGGTGTGGGATATAATGAGAACTCTGTACTCTCTCTGCAACTTTTCTGTAAATCTAAAACTATTCTGAAATAAAAGGTTTATTACAAATAAAAAAGGGCATAGGGGTTCATGCTTATAATCCCAGCACTTTGGGAGGCTGAGGCAGGAGGATTGCTTTAGCCCAGGAGTTTGAGACCAGTCTGGGCAATACAGCAAGATCCTACCTCTATAAAAAAAAAAAAACAATCAAAAAATTAGCAGGGCATGGTGGTGTGCATCTGCAGTCCCAGCTACTTGGGAAGCTGAGGTGGGAGGATGGCTTGATCCCAGGAAGTCATTAATGACTGCATTATTAAATGAACCAAAACTATTTTTTATCTCTTCTGTTTTACAGTTCAATGTGATGGTGCCCGTGGAAAGCTGGCCACAGTGGCTGGGATGCCCTCACAGAATGTGCATGCAGGGAAGTTCTCGTCTCAACAACACATGGCCGTAATTTTGTTTATACACATTGTACTGTTGCAGTGTAAGAATTTTTGAAATCACAAGTATAATTGCAAAAGACAGAGTTATTTCTATGAAAAATGGATTGGATGATTTGGCAAAACCCGGTAGAGGCAAATGTCTAAGAGTATTTATTTAAGTACATGTGTTCTCATGCCATAAACGACTGGGGGAAAAAAACTCATGAAAATCAAGAAGGATGCTGCACTCAGCTTGCTTATGTTCTTCAAGTTCTGCTCCACTTAAAAACACCAAAATTAGAAATCATAGATCGTGGGTGTGATTTCTGCAGGAACTCAGATCAGTTCAACCCTAATCAAAGAACACAGGGTGGAGCTATCTCAAAGTACTGATGAATGAGCATTTATATATTTAATATAAAATAAAATGTTCAAGGCATGTGTGTATCATTTTTAATAATTGTCCTGTTTTACTCTCTATTTTTGTGAATTTATCTTTTCAATTAACCAGTTGCTCCTGATCCCAATTGACTAACGAAGACATTCTATTGAAGGTGATTTTTCATTTTACCTTTTATGTGTTAGTATTTTACAGTATGTCTTTTACCATATGTCCTTTATTTGGTAAGTTCCGGTTTTTATTTTACACTGTTTTATAATAAATGCGTTGTGCACTTCTGTCACCTTTTTTTCCCTGGTGGACTCTAGACACAAGGGTGATTGCCTAATTATACTGTGCTGCTTATAAGAAGCAGATTAGTTAAGTGGCTTCTTAGATGAACAGTGCAAAGTGCCACATGAAAGCTGGAGGAAAAATATCCCCAAGAACAAAAGAGCTTTAAAATGTTGTTTTATTTTTTAAAATTCCGGTGTCTGAGAAAACATCATTTCTTCAAAATTAAGTGACTCTATTTTCTAAGAACTCTTAAGTAGGAGCGAAGATGAGAACTGAATAAATGTGATGTGCTTCTCTCTTGGCCTCTAGGTAATAAATTCTGCACTATACAGATTACACTAGACGTGAATCTGTTTCTTGTTTTATGCTGAGAGCAAGATCACTAAGACATACTTTACCTTCCTTAACAGAATCTATCTTTCTCAATGATGGTGATAAAGCAGATTTTTCTACATTGGTAGAAAACTCATTCTAATCGAAGTTGAATAGTTCCAAGCTGTTAGAATTTTCTAAGCAAAAGAATAGCAAGATGCTCCAAGGATACAACAAATGAAATTCAACGGTTATTTACAAATTCAGCTGTTCACCGAAAACGAAAAGCTTCTTAAAAAATTAGGGTGGTTGAGTCTGAAGTATGGTTTGGAGAAGTGATTTTTTTAAATAGGGTATTTATAAAAATATACTTGAGAAACCAATCCAGGGGAGTCAAAATGGATGCAACCAAACCTTAAGAATATAAAGCAGTGCAAACAATCCAAAAGCAGTGCTTCTTAGGATTAAGCCATGTGCACATTTAAAGGTTAGGAGAATTTCAGCGTGTGGCTTGGCTGGACCTTTTCTGTTTCCATTACGATCATACTATTGTCAGAAATCCCAGCTAGCAAGCAGGCAAGAGATCATGAGGAAAATCAAACAGGAGTAGAACCACTGGGGCTGCCTGAATTTCTACCTGCACCTTTCCCGATTTAGGCAAGGAGACTTGGCTGGACAGCGGGAGGTGGAGAGGGAAAGGGATGGTGACAGAAGGAAGGAGGAGGCCCCGGAAGCGAGGTCTCAGGATAGCATAGGCTCCCTGTTTCTTTTCCTTTCTTTGCTTCCTACAAGCATTAACCTTGAGCCTAAAAGCACAATATGAGGAAATAAGCAAACAAGATGAGGGGCAGCACCAAAGAAATGCTCTAGGCCCTAGGAAGGTTAGATTTTTGAGAACACATCAACTTGGGTAACACAAAATATGAGTAAAAACAAATATGAGAGAAAAACATATATGTAAACTGAACACAAAAATTGAATTGAACCATTAAAAGTTCGCTGATCTTATCCCTAAACAAACTTCTGGGATATGTGTATTTCATCATTCGTGTGTTTGAAATTAAATTTTATTTAACTGGTATTTTTAAGCTAACTGTTCTACCACCAAAATCAGTTTTAAAATACACTTCTAGTTTCTGCTACATTCTCATATAATTTAAAATCAGCCGTGTGAAGAAAATACAAACCTTAGATTCAAAGCCTAGAATCAACTATATACCTAAAATATACCAGAACTGATTGTTTTATAAATGAGCAACAGTGAGCATTCTTCTCTTTAGAACCTGGCTCATAACTCATCTCTCCCACCAACCTTCTTGTTGCTTCCTCAAATCTTCCCTTCTCTCCAGCTGAAAACTACAGCATCATCATACATATCTGCCTTCTTCTCATGTTAAATGTAATCTATGCCTCGAGAATCTCACCTAATACCTGCTGGACATTTCTAAACAAATGTCCATATGTACCCCCCTCAGCAAATTATTCAACAGCTGAAAAGTGTCTTTCTCCAGATTTGACAGTCTTGTTGTATTCCCTAAAGAAGTTAATGCCAACCTCATCCTCTCAGTTGCTCAAGAGCAAAACTTCTACATAATCTTCTATAACCCTTTCTCCCTGGCCCCTCATCTCTAATCAGTTACCAAAGTGTGCCCAATCTATCTCCGTACGGACTATAATTTACAACCCCATCAGATTTTAAGCTCTATCATAGTAAGAATATTAGATTTGTTTGAAATACTGTACCCATTACCCAGTACCATATCTGGCACAAGAAGATACACAGTGCATATTTGTTGACTAAAGTTATATATTACTATATCTAAAGGCAATTATTTTAGTTGTTAGCCTTTATATTTCACATAATCACACATGAGAGGATTTTCAGGGATCTTTTGCCCATCACAGAACACTGATCTAAATTTGCTTATATTCCCTGTTTTCCTGACGCCCCAAAGTCCTTACCAATATGCACACAGACACACACACACACACATACACACACACACACACACACACACACGTTTAACCTTAACAACATTTCAAATTGATAATCACTATATAGAAATTATTTTTAAAAGAAAAAGGCTATTAGGCTATTATCTTTTTTTCATCTTCTAGGCTTTCCTCAAAATAAAGTGGAAAATTGGCAAGCAATGAGTCAATTTGATAAAATGTAAACAGTCAAATGAAATAGATCAGGCCAAATGCTTTATTGAAATATTTAGTTTCATCCATCTACTTAATTGACAAAATTGGCCATATTGTTAAAAGTTTAATTTATCTCAGCCTTGCTGATATATCTATAATCAAAAGCAGCATTTTGGAATGGAATAGTTCCTTATACATATTTATATGGAGTTGACTTTTTAAAAAGAGTTTTCAACAAAATTTCACATAATGTAGCTGATGTATAATGACTAAGAAAAATAGGAAAACACAATTCAATTGACAGTTATGAATTTCCTACTTTGCAGACAATAAAACCTGCTAAGAGTATGTTGGAAACACCAAATAAAACATGGGCTCCTCAGCTATTGGGGTAGGTAGATAAAAATGTAAATTAATAAAGGAGGTGGATTATAGTCCATGACAAAGTGGAAAAACAGAAAGCTTTGACTTCTGAGCTTCTGTCCTCTCCCTCTTGCCCTCTCATCTTGCTTTACCCATTCCCTCTTGAACTTGGACTTACCAGTCAGGACTCACTCCACCTCTGCATGCATGCAGATGAGCACACCTGAGGGGAAACAGGCAGCTCCACAAGCACACTTTTCTTCAATCTATGACGACTAACCTCAAGTGCGCCTTTAGTGCTGGAAGGCAATCTTACAGTATTCCCTGGAGATCATTCTATACCTCCTTTCTTCTCAAATCTTCCTGTACTTCACACACACACACACACACACACACACACACACACACACACTTTACTCTCAGATAATGGTTTTACTTCTGCCTTCACTGAGAAAGAAAGGAAGTGTCATCGGAAGAACACATGCCCACCACCATATCTGACAGCCACCTGCCTCTGTGTCCAGACACTCTGTCTTCCTTTCTGCTACTTTTGTCAAAATGTCCACACTTTTAGATAGGGCCTCCTCCTCCACCTGTATCCCAGATCCTTCCTCACACTGCTTGTTCAAGAGCATTACCACAGCAGTTTTTCTCCTTGAGTATTCTTTGCTTTCTTACCAGATTAAGGAGAATTCAAAAGGTTTTTAAAATACTATATCTAGCATATTGAATTGTTTTCTGCAGAGCATTGAATGGAGTGCCAGTTAACCATGTTGGAGATATATTAGTGGTTAATCCTCAGTTACATCTCACTTGATCCATCAGCAGCGTTTTATACAATTAATCTCCCCTCTTTATTAAAACACTCTTCCATGTGGCTTCAGGAATCATGCTTGCTCATTCCTCCCATCAGATGTTTTTCCAGGTTCTTCCTCAAATCCCTGTGCTGTAAAGATCAGCCTGCCCAACAGTCCAGCTCCAAACCAGGCCTTGTCACTATCTATACTGATTTCCAGGTGGAGCCATGGACTCAGTTACTAACAACTCCCAAATTTACATCCCCAATCCTCACCCTGTGCCCCAAATTCCAGACTCAGAAATCCAACTCTCTGCTCACCACCTCCACTTAGACATCTCTTAAAAGCTTCTTAAATGTTGCATGTCTGAACCCAGACATTTGCTCCCAACTGCCAGATATCTTCCCACAAACTCCCAAACTCAGTGATAACTCTCTCTGCCCAGTTGCTCAAGCCAAAATAACTCGAATGATCTTTGACTCCTGTCAAGTCTACTTCCAGCATATGTCCAGAATCTGACCTCTCTCTACTCTCTCCACCAAAACCACCCTTGTCCACCCAACCATTATCTTGTGCCTGCACAATCTCTAGTATTTCATTCTAAATCTGGCCCCTGCCATCTATTCCTACACAATAGCCAGAGTGGTCCTTATAAAACATAAGTCAGATCCTGCCACTCCTTCACTCAAAACCCTTCAGTGTTTTCCTGTCCCCTAGGAGTTAAAGGCAAACCCCTCACTATGTCCTACAAAGTCCTAAATGAGCTGCCCCCAGAAGAACATCCTGCTTCTCTGACATCATCTCCTACCACTTTCTCCCCGACTCACTCTGCTCCACCCAAAGTGGACTTCTTGATGTTGCCCAAGCCAGGAATGCTCCCACCTCGGCATCTCTGCGCTGGCTGCTCCCTTTGCCTAGACTGTCTGTGTTCCCCAGACACCTGTATGCTCTTTCTGCCACTCTTTCTGTCCTCTGGGCAAATGTCAGTGAGGATTTCCTTAACCATCCTACACAAAACAGCATCTGCTCCACAGTGAAAGCACTTGCTCTCCTCCTTTTCTGTTTTATTTTCTTTATAGAATTGATCACCATCTTAAACACTTTGTATTGTTGTGCTTACTTTATGGTTATAAACACACCATGAGGATGGGGATTTGATCATTTTTTTCAGTTCTGTTTCACAGATTTCAAAACTATAAATAAAAGGAAATCAATAAAGAATTGCCAAATGAATAATTGAGTGGAAATTTTAAAAAGATATTTATATGAATAATCAAATCTAACATTTATTGGGTGTTTGCCATCTATCAGGTTCATTCAGTATTTTGCAGGTACTGTAAACTCCAATTTTACAAATAAGAAAGTTAGGGCTAACAGAAATCAAATAACTCACCAAATGTCCCACAGCTATAGCTAGTATGTGGTGGACTTGAGACAGACACTCAAGCCTGCTTCACTTCACATCCCAACCCATTGTTTTTCTAAATTGATTCCATGTATCTTATGGTTGTGTCACTGCCACGAACCTAGATAATGACCTTAGTGTACATTAAACACTTAATAAGCATCTGCAATTAGTGTCTTTAAAATTCAAACTGCACACAGTAGGTAAAGCACTGAATGATAACTTATCAGATTCAAAAAGCTGTGTAGCTTGCTAAGCAACAAATTTACCAACAGCGATTTTAGACAATTAGTATATCTTTATTCATTGCTAAATGAATGCTGTGACTTTGGAATTAGCATATCTTCAATTTAGCCCTCAAAAGTTGGTTGGTGTTTATTGATGCAAATGTTCAAGTTATTAAAATCAGTTTGCCAAGTCACTACTGAACCCAAATCATCATCATCATCATCATCATCATATGCACAAACAAGAAAAATCTATTACATTATTTTCTCTAATGATAAATAGCAAGGTATACACCTTGCTTTCTTCTCTGAAACCCAGTCCCTAGAGTCCTGTCTTCCTACTGAACCCCACGAACTTCTTGCTTAAAGGAAGCAGCTACCCTGAGATGCTACTTGGTTCAATACCTACTCTGTTTTGGAATTGTCTTCCTGCCTCAGATTCCTGTTGCTACTCTGATCCTAAATTCAGCCCTACTATGTCCAATACTGTCAACTCTACATTCTACCAGCTCCTGATTCTTCCCTAACACGGGTTCTCTATTCAACCCTAAATACATTGAAATTGTACTTTCAAATTTTGCAGAATCACCATTACTCAGTCAGATAGGCTTAAGAAGTAAGAAAAAGGAATCGGTGGTCCTAACCAGCCTTCAAGAGGGACTCCAGTGATTCTCACTTCTGGATATTCACATTCTTCTATGGGCCCCTCTCATATCAAATAAGATAACCTGTGTAGCTGAGATTAGGCCATAGAAGACACTGGGCTATCTGCCTTGCACTTAGATTATTCTCTCTGGAGGAAGCCAGTGATCATGTCATGAGGACACAAAAGCAGCCCTATGAAGTCTACTTAGTGAAGAACTGAGGCCTCCTGCCAACAACCAGCACCAACTTGCTATCCAAATGCTGGCACCATCTTAGAAGAGGGTGCTCCAGCTTCAGTCAACCTTCAGGTGACTGTGCCTTCAGCCAGCACTCTAACCACAACCTCACAAAAGACTCTGAGCCTGAACCATCCAGCTAAGACACTCCTGAATTCCTGACCCACAGAAATTGTGTGAAATGATGAATGTCTATTCCTGTTTGAAACTACTGAGTTTTGGGGAAATTTATTATGCAGCAAAAAATAACTAAAACAGTGTGCATACAAAATCCATTTGTAAGGAAAGTAAACCTGAAAAGTCATGAGTCCTATGACAAAGAAAATTGTGTAGAAATTCAACTCAGCACTGAAAATGTATTGGATATATAAAACAGATAAAACAATGATTTTGTCTTTTTACAAAGCTTAGAGTTTTTATTATGAGTCTTTATGAAAAGCTTTTAGCTGACTTTTTCTTCTGTCAGTAGAGCCCTAAATATCAGTATTTCAATAAGTTTGTAAAATAGCACAAATAGCCTAACTAATTTAAAAAAACAGAGCTCCAATGACTTTAAACTTTAAACTCTGAACTTTAAAAAAAAATTAAGAAGCATAATTTTCTGCTGTTAATGCAGTAGCCCTGCTTTAAAATATAATAATAACCAATCAAATGTGGATTGCCTACGATAGAAACAGATGCACAATACAGAAGCTTAAAGACAATGTCAGGGTGTGATTATGAAAGAAAATATCAAGACCAGGACTAAAACAGAAATATTTGCCTTAAGGATGAAAGTTTGGTGTTAATATCAGAATAGCATTGTAATTACATCAGTATTTTACTTCCTTATATAAATACAAGTTTGCTAAACCAACTAGAAATTTGAACATAAATCATTCCACATATGAGTTCAGTCATTCTAAACTAATTTTTCTTCTTCCTGATTTATGACATCCTCCTTGGAGTGATATTACAGAGAGTGAACTCAGCCAAGTGAACCCACATTGTCAACTGCAGTCAATTTTCAGATATTGAAGTAAACAGATGAAATAGGGTATACCCAACTTATAGATGCACCTAAGGTTGCCAATATTTACTCTGGTCTTGTTATATCACACATTACAGAGAAGAACTGCTGTAAATCTAAAATTGAAGACAACAGACATGAGGATAATATTTGGCTTCTCTTTTGAAGCCCTGGGGAAGCATTTAGGAGATAAATGCTAAATAATTTCAATGCCCTGCCCTGCCCACAAATAAAGCATTTAGCATTCATCCCCTAATGAGGAATATACAACTCATTTTGTCGGAGAGGTACCACTTTGATGCTTCCCTAGAAATTGGGCTGTAAACCCCTAGGTTACCAGAACTGTGTCTATTTATGGCTCTGCCTCTGGCCCCAAGTTTTGCATCCTGGTTTTGGCCAATAGATCACTACTGAGTGACAGATTAGACAAATACTCTTCTTCTAATCAGTACACTGGAATACAGCCAACACACATTGCATCTTATCTTCTACCAGGCACTGTATTTGGTGCTAAGGATACAAAGAAGATGAAGAGCCATTCCTGGCTGTGGAGCAGCTCATGATCAGTGGGAGATTCAAGCATACGCATAGACATTGCAGGGCAGGGAAGACATATCATGCTTGAGAGAAGGCAGATGATGGAGGGGAAGACAAAGAGAAGAATCAGGCCTTCTGGAAAAAATAGGTACTAAACAGGCTGAACAGAGCATTACAGAAAAAGGATGTCATGAAAATCATGACCTTGGAGTTTGGTCTTTAGGCAGAAGCTCATCAATGGACAGCTGGCTTTGACAAGGTAAGAGGGGACCCTATGCCACAAAGCTGGAGCTTCTGCAAAGTAAGACTGTGTGCCCAAAACATTGCTTAAAAAATAATAATCACATAAGTATTTCTCAAGGGCCCATAAGGCCAAAAGAATGAAGAAAGAAATTAGCATACCTACTCTCAAAGTGTTCAGGCCTTTTAACCTTTTGAACAATGAAATTTGCAGTGCACAGTATACTTAATTAGAACTATCCACCATCTATCAGAAAAAGGCCAGAGTCATATATTTTCACATTCTAACTTGTATGCACAATAAAGACCACCCCCTGCAAATACGTCCACGTCCTAATTTCAGAATCTGTGCCCATATTATCATACATGGCAAAGAGGGTGCTGCAGAAGTGATTAAGGGTAAGGACCTCGAGATGGAAAGAGTATCCTGAATGACCCAGGGCATTTCTCTGGGTCCAATCTAATCCTATAAAGTGGGCCCAGTTCAATCATAGGAGGCCTTAAAAGTGGAGATTTCCCAGCTGTGGTCAAAGAGATGGCAGCGTGACATGAATTCGATGTAGCAGAGCACAAGCAAGGATGGCAGAGAGGCTTCTAGAACATAAGAGAGGCCTCCAGCTGACAGCCAACAAGGAAGTGGAGAGCTCAATCCCATGACCATATGGAACCTAACTTTTCCAACATCCAAGTGAGCAATAAATGAACTCTGTCTGAGAACCTCCGGAAAGGAACGCAGGCCCCTGATGCCTTCATTTTAGCCAGGTGAGATCCACAGGAGACTTCTGACCTGCAGAACTGTTTGATCATAAATTTGTACTGCTTTATGCCACCAAATCTGTGGGAATTTGTTACAGCAGCATTAAAAAAACTAATACACCAATAAATTCTGTTTGTCACTTAAAAATGGAGTCACAAGAACTGGCTTATAATTTGAGTTTATAAAACTAAATTCTGTACAATATCCAGAAATGTTGGTACCACTTATTTTTATGAACTTTTAAGACTAATAAGTGGTACCATTTATTGAGGACACACCATGTACTTGTTATTGTACTAAGTGCTTCACATAGCAATAATAATCACTAATATTTTTAGTATATGTACATGTATGTTAGGATGTGATAGGCACTGTACCAATCATTTTCATGTATTAATTCATTTAATCTTCACAACATTCTTATAAAGCAACTTCTATTACGATTCCCATTTTACAGATGAGGGAATTGAGACAGAAAGGATATCCATAAGGTGCCACGGCCACTCAACCCCCATTGCAGCTCTCTAACAGGAGCAAGCATTTATTAGGAATATACTGTGTTCTAGGTAATAGGCCAAGTACCTCCCATTCACTAGTGCACTAATGCCCCAATAGCACCCCATTTTCAGATAAGAAACCTGGGGCCTAGAAAATTTTAATAACTTTCAAGGTGTCTCACAATGAACAAATAGTGCTGCTAAAGCCAGAACTGACCTCAGAACAGGCCCTCTCAGACATCCAGGGTGTCCTCGAGACACCAGAAGGCTGGGCTGGCATCAACAATGTGTGGCTACCTGAAGATGTCCTTTCCCTAAGAACCTTCAGAAGACTATTTCAGTTAACAGATTTCCAGACGTTGGATCAAGCCAGATATCTCCCTAAGATACTCAAGATCCTCTCCATTGGCAGAGGGTGGGCTGCACATCCACCAAGTGGACAACTGAGGATATTTGTGTTTAACAATAAAAAGTTTCAATCACGTTCCCACTTTTTACATTCAATCCTGATTACAAAAGTGACTCAACATGTATTGGATGTCCACTATGAGCAGATCAATATAATGAGCATCAACGAACATCCAAACAGGTATAATTTCTCCAGGGGTACTGATTTATACTTTATAACTTTCAAGAGAAGTTAAAAGGGCTTCAGTAACACATTTGGGTAACACCACGGCCCTAAAGAAACTTACAGGATGTATAAAGGGGGAAGTCTGATCAACTTCTTATAATGTTCTAGTAAAATTCAATGCAATTATGTCAGGAAAAAAAGAATTGGACTAAAAGGTAGCAGACCTAGTTTCTAGCCCCAGCTCTGCCTGAGTGATCTGAACAAGTCATTTTACATGTCTGCCTCCATTTCTTCATCTGTAAAATAAAAGGATCAGTCTACAATATATCAAATATCTTCTGAGTTCTGAGTTCTGCGATTCTGCTCTTTGAAATCTGCCAATCTGCCCTCACACAAGAGAGTGGTTACAGTCAGGCAATGTGCTAAACAATAAGACTGGAGTGGGACCTGGTACCTGGGGTGTTATTGGGGGCAGAAGATGGCAAACATCCAGACTTCGGAGCCACTTTGTATATGAACTAGGAGGGTTTCTTATACAAAAAAAAAAAAAAAAAACACAAAAAAAACAGACCCTAGAAAAAGAGCACTCCAAAGTATCTGCAGAAATGTAGTGAGTTTTCCAAGACCTGAATAAAAATGGGACACCAGAAATAGTAACCTTGCTATGTTAGTAATGGCTGATGTACTTGATACTTGGTTAATGGGATTAAATGAAAAGTAAACATGCACCCACACAAATGCATACATGCATAACATACACACACACACACACACACACACACACACACATCTCGCACAGTAATGCGTTGAGTGCCTCCCAGTCCTTCAAGTGGAGCACTGAGCCGATCAACATGGTGCTATTACACAAGCTTGCTGCACTGCACCAAACTCGCTGAGCGCACAGCATGCCTGGAAACGCTACCACGTTCTCCTACAAGCATAAAGGAGTTTCTGGAACTTCTCCAAAGCCCCATGCTTTCATCAGCTAGGTAAAGGCATTCACTTCACCGGCTGAAATGACGGGGCTATCAGCCTGCACTAACCAGCCCTGGGAAGTGCAGTTTTATAGTTTCTGGTACTGCAGAGTACCACAGAGCAAATGGGATTCTGCCTAGATCTGCTAGGAAAGAATCAAAGAGATGAGAAAGTTGCATTTTACTGCCCACAAGTGATTTCTCTTGCACAAAAGGACCATACAATTTGGGTAAAAAGAACTGAATCATGAAAAAGTCAATTCAATAATCAAATGCAAAAATCGGATGAGCACTGAAATGTTTAATAAACAATATGCTAAAATTAGTGCTGCCTATTATAAAATTGCAAAGGATGAAGCAGCCACATATTTATCCATCAAAGGGATTATATAAATGAAAATTCTCAGAATTTAAAATCTTCTTAGAGCACATATCCTGGCTCTTTTCCCCTCCTTCTTCATATATGATGGCAGGGACCTCTCTGAATCTTCATCCTGCATTTGCTTTAGCCTTTGAATCTCAGCAACTCTTGGACAAGTTTCATTTGAACCTAGCAATCTCATCTGGATAGAAACCTCTGATAAGGTCTCCATGACCTTTAATTGTTTTTTACCCATGCACAGATATCTCTTAAAAATATATAAGGCATCCACTTCCACAAACATCTCTGTGTGACTCTAAGCTGTCACTTCACCAGTTTAGAACTCCTTTTCTTACCCTATAAAATGAAAAGGTTTGCTTCCTTCTATAATAGCTCTGTCATTCTGGCATCAGTTTATCTTTAAATGGCTTGGCTTTGAATTGGGAAAACTTTGGAAAGGCTTTAATTCTAACAAGCCCAGAAGGTGAGAAGAAGGAAAAACAAGAGGATAGTTTTACTCTTGCCCTCTTTGGTCTTGGTTAAAATGAAACACACGTGTGTGTGCATACACAAACACACATCCTTCCCCCTTTCCTCACTTAGAGTATATTTTTACTGTTTGTTTGTTTGGATCACCAACTATTTAAAGTGAGAAATCCTAACAGGCAGAATTCCCGAATTTTAAAAATAGAAGTGACCTTGAGGAGCACAAGGAATGAATGGAACTAATAAGTATTAAAGGAGAAGAGAACTTACTTTTTGAAATTAGAATGAAGTCTTTTTGCTTTAAGTATGAGCTGAGCTTCCATATGCATCTTTGTTGTATCTGTCTTCAGAGTTTGTGCCCACAAGGGACTGAAAAGTGTCTTTCTGGGCCAGGAGATAGAGGGAGGCAAGGAATAAAACCTTCTTTCCTTTCTGTCTCTCTCTTCCCGTTTCTCTCTCTCTCTCTCTCTCTCTCTCTCTCTCTCTGTGTGTGTGTGGGGGGGGGGGGGTGGGGGTTGTTTAACTGCTAGAAAACTCCCCTTTCCTTTTTCTATAAGGTAGCCAGCCCCAAGGTCTAGGTAAAGGAAGCTTGGCCTCCAGCAGGTCTGAAGTCCCTGGTCTCAGGAGTTAACTAATCATTTGGGGCCAGATTCCAGACCAGATTGTTCTCCCTTGGGGGTGGGAAGTCACTGCCAGGGTCTCATTTTCAGGAGCTAAGAACTGCATCCAGGGCGTGACCTAATTCAAGCCTGTGTCCTTCTACCACACCAGCATCGCCTCTGTTAATATGATCAGCTGTGTCCCATATGGCCCACTTGCATCAAAATTTACACACACATACACACACACACACACAATTTAAAAAGGATTCGGTCAGCCATTAACTAGGCTAGACTGCTCCGTTGCACCCTCATTCAGTGTTCTTCCATTCATTACATTCAGCATGGTCCAAGGGAAGAGGTTATTTCTTAAGGGTGTGAAGAAAGATGCATTTGGACATGCATTCCTTAGGGAGAACAAGGATGTTCTTTTCTAAGAGGGTCATGAACAGATCACACTGCATTAGGAGTTTCTCTTGGCCTGGTTTCTGGGCCCTGGGGAGTTGAGCTTTATGACATACTAGGGGCAGCTATCTGATCAGTCTTGAAGAAAATATCTTTTCTATGTGAGCTCTTTAAAGTAAAACTAAGTTTTGTCAATGATTCTCCCCAAGAAATAATGGTGTCTTTAATTCTAGCTACAATGCCCCTGCTGGCAAGAGTCCATCCTTCCCCACAGCTGAATCGGGCCGATTTAAAAGTCACCTCATGCATTTGGGACAGGTTGGAGGTGTGGAAAAACACTCCCATTACAATTCAGAAGTGCTGTCATACTACCAGAACCAAAAATAAAGCTGTAGAAAAGGAGAGAGGAGGAGAAAGTAAGCAGAAGAGATTAAGGGTCAGGCAAAGCAAAGGGCTTAAAAAGACAGCGTGTAACACAGGATATTTGAAACGAACAAAGAACTGAGCTATTTTAAAGCACAACTACAAACACTTCTCGAATATCTGTGATCATAGATGAGAGCTGAACAAGTTATCCCCCATCCCTTTATGGTTCTTAGAAATACAGAAGGCATAACACAACATTTGCCAGAAGAATAAATAAGACAACTTACCGATGTGCTAAAAAGTCTCTTTCAAATATTGAGGTAAGCCAAAGGGAAATGAGTATCTCAATGTTACTAGGGTCTCATATTTTCCAACATTTGTTCAATTTGGCCCACACATTTTAATGTTTCATATTTATGGGTTAATAACATTTTAATTTGGGAACCAAGTGACCTGAGTTTTAGTTTAGCTGGGCCGCTAAGAACTGCTTGACGTTTGGTATGTTACCTACTCTGAGTTTCAGTTCCCTATCTGCTAAAGTATTCCATTCTCTTTAAGGTTGTCTACGATTTATGAAACCATTATTGTCCTCTCTTTTGTACTCTCTGACTTTCCATTTTATTACATAATGAACAAGTACAAGACCTAAACCAAAAAAAAAAAAAAAAAGGCAAACTCTGCTTGCTCATTTAAATGAAAGCAGAAAAAAAAAACTTAAGTGGGAGAGAGCTTATATTAGCAACCTACTTCTGGACAATACCAATTTTCAAAAATACTATTTTCAAGGAGGTTTCATTTACAGCGTTGTCTTTCATTCTTACAACAAACTTTGGAAGCTAATATTTATTACTGTTTACCAAGGAGAAATTCAGATCCAAGATCACCAAACTAATGCCAATTAAAAGAATAAATAGGACTGATACTTGGGCCAAGGGTTTAAAATGTCTGTATGTTTTATAAAAAATCAAATCCACTAGAAATTGTATTCCCCACAAACACTTATGAATGGCATTATACCACTGCACTATTAATCCTAGTGCTGTTAGGAATTCCAACTACCCCCCTGGATGGCTTAAAGGGATAGAGACATCAGTGATAGCCCTAGGAAAAATATAAGAATTAGAACTTATAGGAGAAGGAAGTGTATTGTTTTGTTTTGTTTTGTTTTTCAGGGCATGGATTTGAAAGCTTCTGATAGCAGAAATTTCTTGCTGATTGTTTTCTGCTATCAACAACATCCTCAGAGACATATGAAGAATAAAGAAACATTTAGCTCTTCCATCGAAGCCCTACTTCTGGACTCCGTCCACAGCCCCAGATATCCCTTTCAGTCCAGAGCTCGGCAGGTACATCACTCAGGGGCTGTGTGAAAAGTCAAGTGGGGTAGAGAGGAGACACAACCCTGACAAAAGCAAGTGAGTTCTCCTCCTCCTGTAGCGGACCAACCTACTCCTTCCTGAGCCACAGCCATAGGAGCAGACATTTAGTTCAAGGACAACAGAGCACCTTCCAAGCACTGATAGCCTTACAGTTCTCCAGGGAAAAAGGCAGGGCCAAGCAAGGCCCCTCTGCAAGGTTCACATTCAGCTATCCAACAATCAATTCAACAGTGTCTTCCACCTCACTGTGGGCAGGGCACTGCTCCTGGAAGGCACCAGGCAATGTCAAACCCAATCCTGAGCCTGGAAGCACTCACACACAGGGAAAGCAGCCGTGGAAATAGCTCAATTACAATTATGTGCCTAGTCTCTTCATCAATTACAACAGAAGTGGAGAACTCAGAAACTGAGTCTCACGAGGTAACATTTAAAGTCAATCTTGAAAGATAAGCAGGAGTTGTTTGTTGGAGCCAGGGAAGGGCACTCTCGTCTCAGGGAAAGGCATAAAAGAATGCAGATCATCACTGATGAAACAGTCCCGATTTTACAGGAAATGGTGAGAAAGTGAAAGTCAAAATTGTAGTTGGTGGTCCAAACAAGATACTCTTTGGGAATTCTCTCAGAAATACTCCATTTACCTTTTAAGGCGTTGGGCAGGGGAGGGGGGTAAGAGCTCAAAACAGTTCACATTGTTGGTTTTAATAGATTTTTAAACTAATAACATAATGAAATTAAAATGTCTATTTTCAGCCCCAACCCCAAAAGAAATATATTCTTGTTTGCATTAAAGAAGGTTTTCACCAAAACTGTTCAGGTTCATTTCTATGGAAAATCATTCAGGCATCAACCCTCATGACTTCTTCAACAGTCCAAATGGAAAGCAACAACATCACGTCACAAATTCCTCCACAAAGTAGTACTAGACGTTCAAGACAGAGAAATTAAAATACCAATTATTTTCTCTAAAACTACCAAACGTGTTTTCCATCACTCAGGCAGAAAATGCAGCCATTACGAAACAACTCTGCCAGGCTGAGGCCGGAGAACACAGCCAGCACACAGACGACCAAGATGTTCAGTCCACTTAAGAAAATGCACCTCACTACTTCAGGGGCCACGCAAGCCATCTTCATGAGGCATTACGTATTGAAAAAAAATGGCTAATTTTCTGAGAGGTCAGTTGAAATATAAGAGACAGAAATTTCTTTCTGCTGCTTGTACAGTCAAAATTTATTGAAGTCAGTTAGCAACAATGTAATTTGCCTGACCTGATCATCTTACAAATTGAAGTCATCAATAAAGTGTATTCACTTGTGTATCATCATGTTTTATTCAGCTGGAACTGTCTCTCTCCACCGATGGCCCCAAACATATATTACATGCACAAATTAAGCAGCACCCATTCTATATTGACTACTTACTAGTTCCTTCTGAATATGTCCTCAATCGCGCTATACATATTTCCTGAACTGAAGGGACCATTCCAAGTGTCTTCACGGTATATGTTACTTCAACAAACCGAACATATTAATACTATATGGAATGTCTGCATTTTCCAGATACTGTACTAGATACAAGGATCCAATGATTAATAAAAAAGCTTTCCTGCCCTCAGAGAGCTGAAAGTATAGTTTTATTATCACAGAAACTCACAATTATTCATAGTAAACACTCAGAAAATATTTGGTGAATAAACAGGTAGACGTACATGCAAATAAACAAATGCCAATCACTCTTTCAAAGTTGTTTACAACAAGAGTTACTGTTTTTATTCTGAAAGTTAATTTCTGCTATCAGGAAAAAAAGTCGTCTTGTGTATTAATTCAGGAATTTCCTGCAAAGCTCTGAAAGCAAGTACTTGCTCACACCTGCCAGAAGGGTTTGGTATTTCTCGACATGGGAGTAAATATAATGTTTTATTGATCTCACTTCTATTAGCTTTGGCTAAAAATTTATATATAAAAATACATAATAAATGTACAAAATTATACATATTATATTAATATATTATATAACATATACATTATTATAAATAACATATTAATGTATAATAAAAGATTCACATAATGTTACACACACATACAAACATGTATACATATATGCATATATACATAGGATATACAAACATATATGTACAAACATGTATATATGTTTGTGGTAATGTGGTAATATATATGTATATTGTGTGAATATTATATCACACACACACACATGCCTTCCCTAATAAATCGGTCAAAGAAATGAGTAGCAAGGAAAAAATATTATAAAATCTGGCATTCCTCCTTTCTGTAAAGGGGATCTTTTTGAAAAGAAACACATATTGCTCTAAGAGTCAGTCACACTTTCACAGACAGAAGATACTGCTTCCAAAGTGCCTCCCAGCCTGCACCCCTTCAGGGGACAGTAGAGCAGTTCCCTGAAGCCCTACCTCAAGTTCAAAAACTATCACTTCTCTCAACCCTCCCCTGTAGGCAATGCCTGTAACATTTCACTGCATTTTTTGCGGGCCTCTTTTACTTGACTAAGTTCTCTGAGAGCCAGCATTATGAACCATTTGTGTTTAAATGCCTTGTATTTGGCACAGTTTGGGTCATAACCCAATACTGCAAAAAGGGAACTCAATGGCATGGGTTAGTTTATTAAATTAATTTTAAAATCATTTTCCTTTTAGCTGTCTTGTAATCCTTCTTGAAATAGTTGAGGATCCCCTAGCATTTCACAAAACAAGAGTTGGAATTTTCTGTCCCAAATATTATTGCATCTAAAATATATCAGCTTGGGTCCTGTGTACCTTAGGGAGAACCCCAAGCTTGAAATAAACTAGGTAAGACCTCAAATACAGCAAGGCAGTGAGCCTAACACAGATTTATTGAAGCTTTAATTCCCTCTTCTTACCTTTCTAGCAAATTACTCCTTTTTACAATATCCCAAGATATTTTAAAAAAAACCTGTTGTATATTACATTACACTCTTTCATGAATATACCAGCACTGCAAAAAAGCAGAAACTAGGACATGACTACTTGGGTGCATAATGAGCCCTATGCAATCCCACAGCTACACTGTGCAGAGAAGAATAAAGCATTTGGCCAGTGCTGTCTCATTAGGGGAAAATATGTCCTGCCAGGAGGCAAGGGTCTAAACTAGGAGCCCCCTTGGAGTCCCATATTAAACCCAGCAGACTGCAAAATAACAGAAATTAACAGAAGGATAAGCTTTGTGACTGGAGAAAAATTTAACTTTCTCAAATCCTAAAATCCTGACCTTTCTGCCACAGTACTCAACCAAGTTTTCATGGCATACTATCATGTTACATACAATCAGTTGTGGGACATGTCAAAAGCAATGTTACCAACAATAGTCTCTCAACATGCACATCAAGGGTTGAACATTCAACAAAAATGTGGTAAGTTGATGGGGTGACAGATATGTTAATTCGCTCGCCTGAATATTTCTACATAGACCAAAATATCACACTGTACCCCATACATATATACAATTATTATCAATTAAAAATAAATGAATAATTTTTAAAAGGGAGGATATCTTGCACATAGAAATCCCACACATCATGCAAGTTGACTATGAAACTAAACATGTTAAAACATTGAGAACCACTTAGGACAACTTAAACAAAATACATTTACAAATTGCCTTGAATCACTCTCTTGAACTATCTCTGTATATGTGTGTGTGTATATATATATGCATATAAAATATTACAAATATTGGCGTGTAGTTTTTCAGCCATGGTATTATTGTAGGCTTTAACCTTTTTGTTCAGATGTCCTGAAACAGACCACTTTAAAAATCAGAATTTTTGAAAATATTAACTCCTTTTTGCACGGTTAATCATACAACCTCTGAAACACCTGAGAAATTATAGTAAAAATAATGTAATCCATTCTCAGGGTTATCATCATGATTACTGATATTAAATGCTGGCATCTTTCAGGATGATTGAGATGTGGAAAGAGTAGCTCTGACATGCAGTAAATTCACCTCATGATACTCATGATACTTCTTTTGATTGTATGGCTTTTTTAGGCCATTTTCCATCTTTTTTTGGGCCATTTTCCATTCATTAATTCATTTCATTCCATCACGTACCTTCTCAGACATGTGATATAGACAGGCACCGATGTCAGTATGCCTGCCTCTAGCACAGATGCATTTCTCCTACACTAACTACTTGCTACATTTATTCTGCAAGAAGCCATTAATTTACACTATACAGTCACTAGCTTTGTGAGAAAATAAGAGTATAAAGGTTCTGAGTAAGATTCTTAAGACCTTTTCTAGAAGTAAATAATTTGAACCATACATAAACATTTGCAAGATCGATTCAGTAATTTATATTCTTTCGTTATTCCTTTATTCCCACCTGCATTCTGTATAGTGGTAATAAGTATTAGAAAAAAAAAGATCCCCAAAAACAAGAGGAATTAAATATATATATAGATATTATGAACCAACTGATATGTTCCTTCCTCATTTACACACATTGAAGGAGTTAAGAATGTTTCATCCTTTCTCCTGGTTTTCTGCTTCTGTCTCTGTTATAAATTATATCACTTAAATATAAATGAATGAATTTTTACTCTATAGCTTTGAGACATTCTGGTTTTTAAACCTTTGTTTTTTTTCTAAACACTTTCCAAAATATAGGACCAAATTTTTAACATACTTGAGAGGCTTGAGTAAGCTGAGAACCAAGGAGAGCAGCAGATCCCTCAGTCCTGGACAGGACCCGCCCCTCCCTTCACTACTGGGGAGGAAACATCCCACCCCTTCTGGCTTCTACCAAATGTGACAACTTGCCTGCTTGGCCTTCTGTTAAGAGCTGGATTTCCTGTCCCCCTCCCACACACTGGGCAGCAGCCAGACTGCAAAAGTCCAGTTTGACCATGTGGAAACCTTTGCTTGGTTCCTGCCAGAGCCTTTCAGTAAGCTGCCCTATTTAGAGTCCAGCTCAGATAAATCCTCCCCTTCCACAATCTGGCCTACTACAACAATTGCAAGACCATAGACATCGGCCCCAGTCATGCTTGATTTTTAATTTTTGTTTGCTTAGACTAGGGTTTATTCATCATGTTACCATCATGTCTGAAAAAACTGATAATGGTATCTGGCATTTTCAGTAAATGGAGGGAGTTGGAGGCCCCAGCCACCTGGGTCTTTCCCAAGTATCTTGAAAGCTGAGAGGATCAACACCTCAGCACACCTGCAGACATTTAGGGCCAAGCAGTGGGAAGATCTAAACCCCTGGAAGGAGCCAGAATTCAGTTTGAAATCTACTCACATAGGGAGTGCCCTGGGTGCCATAGGAGCTGCTGGCAGCAGGGGGTCCCAACTGCGTATCCTCAGCCTTAGAGCACCCACCCTACCCAAACTGGGCACTCAGATGTATTTGTGTCCTAGGCTGCTGTAACAAGGCACCATCAGCTGCGTGGCCTAAACAACAGACATGTATTGTCTCACAGCTCTGGAGGCTGGAAGTCTGAGATCAAGGTATTGGCAGAGTGGACTCTTTCTGAGAACTGGGAGGGAGACTCTGGTCCACGCCTTTTCCAAGCTGCTAGTGGTTTTTCTGCCTGTCTTCAGCTTTCCTTGGCTTGTAGAAGTATCACCCTGATCTGTGTCTTCTTCTTCGACTGGCATTCTCCGAGTCCCTATCTGTGTATAAATTTCCCCTTTGTGTAAGGACACAGTCATATTCAACGAAGGGTCTGCCCTACTCTAGCATGACCTTATCATGACTAATTACATCTGCAACAACAGAATTTCCAAGTAAGGTCATATTCTGAGGTTCTGGGGATTAGGACTTCAGCACATAAATTTGAGGGGGGCACGTTTCAACCCATAACTCCAGGAATGACATTGATGGCTACCTGTAGATCATCTGAGACAGGGTTTGGCACACAGTAGGTTGGTACTCAATACACATGTGAGTTAAATAAACGAATGCATGAGTGAATCATCCTTTCTGAGTGCCAGTGAAGAAGTCTTTAACTTGGGGTGTCGTGATTTTCATGATCACCATTGAGCATTGAAGACTATTGAGGAGAGAAGCCGTTGCTGCGAGCTTTCTGAGGCTGCTTGCTGAAAGACGAAGGCACTCCTTGCTGTCTGATCACAGCAGAAGGCTCTGAATTTGAAGTTGGAGTGCTATAAATAGCAGTTAGTCTTATCCTTCAAAATGTCATGTGTACTTTTTAAAAAGATTTTAGTGTCATATGAGAGTCCCTGAGTAATTCAATTTATAGGAAAGGGAGATCAGAAAGAACTAACCATATTATAATTAATTACATATGCAAATGATGGACTACATCTAGATGCATGAATCCATGTCTAATCATAGTTGGCAAAGGTTGGCAACTGCACACCTGGACTGGGGAACACACCCCCTGCTCTGCTTAGATACAGACGCCATCAACAACCTCTGAAAATTTCCCAGAAAACCTGGAAATTCAGTCCTGTAAGTGCCAAGCCTCCTGCCTTCCCCCATCCCTCTCTGGGGCTTGCCCCCACCAGCACACAGCAGTGCAGACACCATACAGCATGGCTGCGCTATGGTGAGGCATGGCCAGTGGGAGGAAGGCCACCAATTGCATACAATAACAACTTTGTTGTCACTGCTAGGAGCCGAACCAGCTGCGATGCCTTACAATTGCTACTTAAATGTAAGCAGTGTCAGGAAAGTCTGAATGTAAAGAAGTTTCTCAGTTCTTGAGCCAAATGACCGGTTGCTTGTGTTCTTCTATTAACTCTAAAACAATTAACTCTATCAGCTTATGCTGATAGCCACTGTGCATTTTTTGGAGCACCTGGGCACTAGCTAAGGATAGTGACTGATATGTGGATGATGAAATATATAATAGAGATGATATAGACATAGATGTGCCAAATGCTATATATACATGTATGTATGTATATATTCATATATATGCACATGCATACTGATGAAAGCCACTTTGCTGATATCCCCAAATAACCACTGAACTACAGATTCCAGATTTATAGAGCATATTGTTGGTGTTGTTTCTGAGAGTACCTACCATAGTATTCCTGTGGAAAGATACACACCTATATAGTTTCCATTTTCAAAATGCATGCATGTGCCTCTGTGTGCGTGTGTGTGCTCCCAAAGCAGCAGTTGTAGGGGACTGCACAGAATAATCGTTCGGGAGATAATCAGGAGTCCTAGATTTGAGTCCCAGTCTTGCCACTGATCAAAAATGGAAAGAATGAGTTCTATCACCCAAAGTATGAGCATGCAATTAAAGAGATTATGTGAAAGAACCTTGAAAACTCCAAAAAAAAAAAAAAATGACCCTCATGAGACTTCACAAGTCAACAAAGGTAAAAATCAATGGCAAAAGTTTCAGGCAACCTTGTGTTCATCCAGGTGGAGACATGCTTAATCTCTCCTGACCCTGCAAACACTTCTGGGCACCTCCCTGGCATGCATTCAGTTGGTGCTGCACTGGAGTTGCCATATGACTGCATCCTGAGTCTCTGCTGTGGGACTGGAGTTATCCTAGGGAAAATGGTGACTAAACCAATTTCCTCTTCAGTGTTCTTTTTCATTCCCATTTCCTCCTGTTTTGGAGACTTATTTTGTCATACAGTCTTAAAGGAAAGGGATCTGGTTTGCTGGTTCACAATTAGAGGTAGGAGGCAAGGTAGCTCCTCCCCTAGGAGTTTGTGCTCTTTGAAAGCCAATGTGGGAGGACCTCCCTAGAAGCACATGGAGATATAGCTGAGCAGCATCTATCTACTCACCTACATATTCCCTTGAATGGGGCTAAAGATGTGCATGTTATGCCAAAAGCTGAAAAAATAGCAACATGAGATAGGAGAATGGATAGTGAATGTTCATTGTGAACTCTTTAAGGAGCAATACCTCATTTCCTATTTCCTTCATCCCTCCCATTCACCTTTCACACTGAATTCTTAGCCAACTCTACATAAAATAGACTCCCAATAGGACCAGTATGGCTATACTCAAAATAGCCTCTCTCTAATATGGGCTCAATTTATAACCTGGGTAGCTGGTACAGTTCATACGTAGAAAAGTTTTGGCCATTCAAAAATATTGGAATGTCTGATTCCTGCTTGATATTCTGTAGAAGTAAGGGCACCAATTTGCAAGTCAGGAGGCCAGACCACAGTGTCTCCTTAACTGCCAAATGTCTATATATCCTTGGACAGACCCCTTCATTGCAATAGAGCACATTTTTTCTCAATAAAATGACTGAATTGAAAGCTATAGCTCTAAAAAGCTTTCAATTCAGTGCTGGAAATTCAAGTTATATGGACTGTTTTAATTTCCATGGTAGTCGATAAATAATATGGTATGGCATTTTGGTTAACTTGAAATTACCATGTAACTCCATATATGGAGTTACTATATAATTTGCAATTCTCAAAGAATCATAATGCAAAAAATAAGTATTTAACAATGCAACATATAGAATACAATTTTTAAATGAATTTGAAACATAATGCTTCCCAGGGTCATTATAAACACAAATTTTCATTTATCCATATATTTTAAATTGCTAATTATTGGAAATTTTTGATAAATTCTTGTTAGTGGCTTTTCCATACTCTATTGTTTAAAGTACGTTTGTGTGCATGTGAGATTATTACAAGCAAAGGTAACTGAATAGGGACCTACTGCCAAAATCTGCTTACATTTCACTAATTTTGATTAGGCCTTAATGTGTTTTCTAAACTTGGGTAGGGCATACCAAATACAACAAAACTAGATTCCACATCTAGTTCATAATCAGGAGCATTAAGTATATGATGACTCTATCAATTCTCAGTAGTTTGGATTCCATAACTAATAAAGAATCATGTTTTATCCTGATTAATTGGTTCAGATTAATTTAGCACCCCCTGCCAATGTCCCATTTTAACTGTCTTCAAACCCAAAGGTAGAAAGTGGCATTTAAATGTTTTTCAACTCTGTACTGGGAGCAGACCAAATTTCCTAAGTCAGATCCAAGCCAGAGTGGTTTGACCCAGACAGGATTAGATTGAGCCTAGGAAGGGTGAGATTGGAGAGAGGCACCCAAACCCTGGAACACAAGGAGGGTGGCTGACAAGCCCTTTTCCTTCCAGCATTCACTGTAATGAAAAACTAATGGGCTGGAGATTTGCCTTCTAGGAAGAGCTTAAGCATTGCTTTACTAAACACACCTACATATTGTCTCTAAATGTCATGCTAAGATGTACAGGGTATTGCCATGAACTTCTTGAGCAGTTAACTCAGTGGCTTAATGCTTGCCGTGAAGCATCTTTAAACGGAAACATCCTTTACTACTAAGACTGAGGCTTCACCATGGTATCAAAGGAAGTCAGTAAAATGTACCTTGGCATAGAGTGCAGGAACATATTTATTACTGGTGGGAAAGACCTATTAGGCCTGTCTGTCACAATGCCAATGTATAATTTATCCCTGAGGCTTTTGGGGATCCTATAACTGCCATGATTTTAATGGCTGGTGGTGAGTCATGGGCATTTATGAAGATAGAGCACTTCACCGACTACTGATTGGACTCCTAAGATGCACATAATCCTTAAAAAATTATCCAAAACTTTGTCTTAAATTTGAAGTCTTCTCATACTTATAAATAAAGTTGTGGTTCAATAGCTCTTTCTCTGTCTTCTGCATGATTTCCTTTTGGTACAATTATCATCATTGACTTGGCAAAAACAATGTAAAACACAGGGCTGCATGGAACTTCTAGAATTTCAGAGGATGAATACATTTGTAGCTTCATACTAAAATGTGTCTAAATTATTCCTAAAACATGCATTATAATATGTGTTCTAATTCCACATCCCTATTATAGAAACAAATACACATACATTCCCGTACTGTCCCATCTCTACCTCTTCCAGTCTATCACCAAACTTAACATTAAAAAAAAAAAGTTGCCATGTGATATTGAAAACAAAACAAAGTATAAGCTAAAGAAATATCCTACTTTAACCTCTTTGATCCTTGCTTTTCTCACAAATTGATCCTTACGCTAGCATTTCTTAAACTGGCAAACAGCTTAAAGGTGAAACAGAAGCCCTGTGGTTTCTGCTCATAAAGTAAATTTGGTTAGTATTGACTCCAAAGGCTTTTGTTTCCATTTTTGCCCAAGTGTAAGGTTAAAAAAGTTGCTGCAATGTCAATTTATAAATTATTGTTAATCTGTGTCAGCATTTGACACATCGCAGTATATGAGAAACACTGAGAAAAATTGTTCCATGTCAGTTTGAGACCTTTTAAGCTGCATTAGTCACAGATTTCTCTAAGAATACCTGGAATTCTGAGTCCTCAAATTAAATCAGGATTATATGTAGTTATAAAGGATTTATAAGTTCATATTTTCTGTAGTTCATTAACTTGCTTCTTTTTATTTCATTTCCTGTCTTTGTTATTGATGAAGTAAGCTAACTGAATTTCATTAAAGTCTGTTTTATAATTTTCATATAAGTTGTCTAACCAATAAATACATAAAAGACTGGTTTCACCATTTGAAAGGCATTGATATGACATTGGTAAAGATCAAAAGCTTATCTCAGAGACAAATTGAAATCATATCATTTGTGTAGTAATCAAGATTAAATTTACCAAGAGTCCTTTCTTTTTAAAAACTGTATTGGCTCCTTTGTGAATATAGCAGTAAGATTTTACCAGACGTCCCTCTATATTTTTTGACCTTTGAGCCTTGAAAAGATAAATGACCTACAATAATCAATATTCTATCAATCATTAAGAACAAATTGGAATTAAGTTAACCTCCTAGTAGCAATAAAATCTCATACTCATAGGAGATTTGAATTCAGGTTCTGAGATTAATTTGCTGCTCTCCCACTTGTAATGTACAACTAAAGGAAACAAATTTAGTTCAGGTCAGTGATTATTTCATTAAGCCTTCAAACCACTGCTTAACAGAATGTTATATATCAGATGACTCTTTAAAGGATCCCAACGTGCAGTATGTGTGTGTGTGTGTGTGTGTGTGTGTGTGTGTGTGTGTGTGTGTGTGTTGCTGTACATGTGCTGTTGTATGTGAGCACAGGCACACATCTGGAGGCATTATCATATATATCCTTGTCTGATTTTATGGGAAAAAGAAAGCTATGATAATATTTTTACACTCAAGGACAATAATCATAGCTATAAAATTCAGTGTGCCTAATGCCATATCCTAACTCTAAGATAAAAGTGGAAAGAAGCGGCTGTGGGCTTAAGGAATGGAGGGAGAGAACCCTCTTTCTAGTGCCCTCCCTACAACACTAATAAGAGCCTCATATGTGTTGTGATGAAGAGCTTGGGCTCTAGGGTTAGACTGACTGGGTTCAAATTCTGTTTCTACCATTTACTAAGTATGTCCTTTGAGTCATTTATCTAATCTCACCAAGCCTCAGTTTCTTCATCTGTAAAATGGGGCATTTATTTTTACTCATTCAACAAAAAAAGGTCTTCAATGTCTGATACATGCTGGGCGCTATGCATCCTGAGATGCAATCATAAACAATACCTAGCTTTCTTCCCACCCCTTGTGGAGCTTTAATGCTAGTGGTCCTTGTCAGGGTTAGATCAGCTCATGCATCAAAGTCTTTGACACAGTGGCTAGAACAGAGCAGGCCCTCAAAAAACGTCAGTTCATGGGAGGATAATTATCACCGGGTGTCAGGTGACATGATCTCCAATCCCCACAACAATAGGGTAACTGTTATTAACTTTGTTTTACATATTAGGAAACTAAGGCTAATAAGATAAGATGTCTGGCCCATTTATAGTTTGTTTTTCTCTATTAAAGACAGATATTGCATTTTTATATGAGAAGATCTGTGTGTTCAAAACGTGTTACAAATGTGAATACACTTAAATAATAACTCCTTAAAACTCACCCCCTTTTCACTGTACCATATCGCCTGCTAACCATTAATTGATATTTGTTTTTTTTTGATAATTTTGCAAATGTTAAAGGTGAATTTTTAAAAACTTTACTGTGATTCTCAATTCAATATCATAAGCACACACATACATATGCACACACAGCACCATCAAAAGATTTTTTTAAAAAAAGAGGAAAAGATCCTTGCAATCATAGCACATCAAAGAGAAAATGCTCAAAGGAAATGGAAGAAACCTGAAAATAAAAGATGGGACCAGACTTCTACAAACAGCTGTCAAATAGCCTACAGAAACAAGGCATAAAGGATCCCAAAGGAAAGATGAAAAAATTATACTGGGTTTTTAATTAAACCTGGAATTTTTTTTTTCCAAAGAATTTTGAAAAGAAATGGAGAGCATCCTGTTAGATCAAGGTTATGAACAGAAGAAAAAAATTTTAGAAAAACGTTGTGAAATTATTTTTCTCTTTTTATTAAGAAAAAACAATACCAACAGTCTTTACAATATTGCTTGGGGCCATTCAAAGACTGTACTTCCTTTTCATGATCATTTTCTGTCTGATCTTGGGTCTTACCACACCCTCTTGTGCACCCCACTCAGCCATTGTGGGCACCGTGGTATTATTTGAATGTGCAAAGAGGCATACTAACAGGCTGTTTCCTCTGCCTGGAATTCTATCGTCTGGAGTGTATCATGGGTAAGGCCCTTCCTTCCTTCAAGAGGCCTGCACTGTCCTTACAATTTAAAATTTCAATTTGCAACCTCACCCGTATTTTAGTAATCCTGATCCCAGTTACCTAAGCTTTATTTTTCTTCTAACACTACCATCCTCGGTCACACTATGTGCTCTACTTATCTACCATGTTTATCTTTTATTTTGTCTGTTTCCTCCTGCCTAGTCCAAAATGAATATAAGCTCAACGAAGGCACAGAATTTTGCCTTCATTTGTGTTTGTTTTCATTCATCTGTTCACTGGTGTACTCTGGTGAATATAAACTGTGACTAATGTGAACAAACAAAAAGTGTTTGTTCAATAAATCCTAAATACCTATAATTTTTTTCATACTTGCTCCAATGGACATAGGTGATGCTTAAAAGCAAAACCAAACAAAATAGCCTAGCACTTCTGATTGGGCATCTTTAAGAGTAAAGGAAAACTAATCATCTCTGTTACTTGTAGAATTGAAATGTGAGATGAATTCAGATCACTATGAGTATTGTTCAATTCAAATTTTAAAGCATAACCTCAAATAATAACTAAATGAAATTTGTAAATAAGCCCAGAAGCCCAGGAATAACAATCAAAGCATCAAATGCAAGCATCAAATGAAAATGCAATAAATTTCTTGACTGAAAACATGTCAGCCAAAATACTGTATTGAAAAATGCCATTAAATATGCTAAAGTGACAAACTGCACAATGCAAATAAAACTATCAGTATAATTAAGCCGAACTTATATAGAATTATTATATAGCCTAAGTTCAATTTAAATAAATCAAACCCAAAAGAAGAATACTGACCTCTTGCTTATGATTTTCTTGGCCCAGTAAACTCTTTTCTTGGGACATATTAGTGATTGGTAAATAAATAATGAATGGTATAAATATTTAGCACTACTTCCTCATCGCTGAAGGAAGAAAAAAGTACTTATCTATTTATAAGTTGGCTATGAAATGGGGTTTGGGGGATAGAAGAAACATGCACACAAGAAAATAGCTCAAAAAGGAAGGAAGGAGGGAAGGAGGGAAAGGGAGGGAAAGGGAGGAGAAGGGAGGGGAAGGGAGGGGAAGGGAAGGGAAGGGAAGGGAAGGGAAGGAAGGAAGGAAGGAAGGAAGGAAGGAAGGAAGGAAGGAAGGAAGGAAGGAAGGAAAGAGGGAGGGAAGGAAGGAAGAAAAAAAAGGAAGGAAGGAAGGAAGGAAATATATATGAGCAAACCAATGTTTCAGATATGGGAAATTGTGACTAAAAAAGAGGGATCATGAAAACTAAAATATATGAACTAGTAGAATATGATTTTGAAACAGTCAAGATAACCCCAATTATTCCCCACGGAAACTGAACCTGAAGGGAAAGTTCTGTTCAGCTCATGTGTTAAACCATAATAATAGTTCAACCCAGCATAAGATAAACACAGAAAAAATCCAAAAGCCCAAATTGAAACAAGTTAAATAAATAGAATTTCCCAGCAACTATGATCACAGTTCAAGGTGTCTTCATCAAAATAAAGTTCAAAAATGCCAAGTAATGGTCTACCAGCCTACCTGGTGTAGATTTCTGGTCCTCCAAATTGCATAAACTATTTAAGTCCCTATTTCTTTACTTTCAGTAACATTAATGTTAATATAAAATTATAAACACAGCTTCTCACATTTGGCTGGTTTGCAACACATCTGTTAGGATCCAAGGTGACTTGGCAGGGAGCAGTGGGTCAAGTCAACACACCACAACATAAAACCACTTAAAAGTCACCACTAATTATTATTGTTATCTCGCATAAGCTTACACCAATATACAATGCAAGGGCAAGTATCCATTGAATTACTAACAGATGCCTCCAACTCCAAACAATTACCTTAATTCAAATAAATAGATTTGGCCAAATCACTTATATAAATCTCTTTTATCTAACAGAGGGCGACTGTACTACGATCATGAAAACAGAGGAGATCAGCTGGGTGTGGTGGTTCACACCAATAATTCCAGCACTTTGGGATGCTAAGGCAGGAAGATCACTCAAAGCCAGAAATTCGAGACCAGCCTGGGTAACATAGTGAGACCCTGCCTCTACAAAAACAAATTTAAAAACTTAGTTAGGCATGGTAGTGCATGCCCGTGGCCCCAGCTACTTGGGAGGCTGAGGCAAGAGGATCACTTGAGCCTGGGAGGTCGAGACTGCAGTGAGCCATGGTGGTGCCACTGCACCCCAATCTGACAGAGTGAGACCATGTCTCCAAAAAAACAGAACAAAAAACAAACAAAAAAAAAGGATATCAAGAATTGACTCATTTCCAAAAAAAAATAAAAATAAAAATAAATAAAAAATAAATAAATGGTTTATAAGCAAAAGGCAGGATAAAAGAACCTGGAAGGATCAAAAAAAAAAAAAACAGAATAAATGCTGGAATGTGAATTAGCAGAAATTCTTCACTGCTATGAAAAGAAAAATGAAAGTGGCCTAAAACTCATAAGTCTCCCTATTATCTCAAACCAGAGCACGAATGGTCTTCTCCATTCTCCCTTCTGGAATGAAAGGCAGTGAAGTCTCACTGTTTTATTTTGTACTTGAATTTTAACATAAACAAACATTTGCAACTTATTCAAGTTAACCATCTTGAAGGTTGAAGTTCTTCATAAGTACATTTATTATTTAATCGCTTATTTATCAAAAATTTTGACCATTAACTATGTATAAACCTGTGCCAAGCACTAACTGGGCAGAAATCAAATTCTTTGCAAGTGGCTATAAAATTCTGTGAGTGGTCTGGCTAAAATAGGTGAATTTGTCTTCCAGATAGACTATTTTATCTTCCATATTTCTAGAAAAACTGACATCTAAACATGTCTCTACCTCCTCTATTTTCCCACATAAAGCACAGGTTTCTATCCTCCTTGTAGTTATTTGCTAGAATATTAGTCTGCCCCTCTAGACTGTGAACTCCTCAAAGCAAGAATTCTGTCCATTCATGGAGCTCCCACCTACTCCCACACTTAAAGCTCTAGAGCACTGCCTGGTACATTGTGGATGCTTAGAATAGCTGTATCGTGTGATACACGAAGGAGGAGCAATAACGTAGAGTGGTAAAGGGGAAAATGAGTTCCTTAGTATAAATATCTTGTATAAATTAAGATACATTATACATGTATAAATTAAGATGGAGCCCTAACAAATAAATGGAGCCCTAACACTGCTCATATTCCAGGAGTTATAAGAGTATTCCAGATATTCTGGTGTTCCGGTGAAACTGATGCCATTATTTGTAGGAATAGGAAAATCCTGAAGCCCTACATGCTCTTGGCAAACCCTCCATTCTCCTCTCCCCTTATCACACCAAGCCTCACCACCATAATGTCCCTAGGCCTCCTACAGCCTAAGTTTATTTTCCATTTTTAAGAAGCCTAGGAGTTCCAGTTCGTTCCTGACCTCTCAGACTGTCACCCCATATGGTTCTGTACATCCTCCTCTCTGGCCCTATCCACTATGACCTAACTGCTGAAGTTCTTTCACTTTCAACTTTCAGTTGAGCAAATAGAGGGTTGCATTAATACCCATGAGCTTACATCAAAGCTCATGGCTACTAGTACAAAAGCTCATGGTTATTAGTACAACCCACTATTTGATCAACTTCTCTGACTCTACCCTTCAGCTTCTTGCTCCAAGGCTGAGAGCTGGCTCTCCTCTGAAGATTTGGCTTCTTATTAGCCCTGTGAGTGAAGGCTGCTTTTTTTCCACATGACCCCAACAGTAGTGTCAAAAGCCTCCTTGTTCTTTGCCAGATCTCTCTCCATTCCCCCTCCCGAAAGACCTATAGCTCTTCTGCACTGCCTGTGAGCAGGACTCAATGTGAGCAGACCTTTGTCATTCCCTTAAAACCCATCAACCACTTGCTCTGTATTGCAACCACCTGCTGACCACTCCCTTCCCTGTTGGAGTTCTTCAACTTTTAGTTCATCATCAATCTACCCAAGAGTATTCAAAATAATCCTTGGTGATTTCCCTTTCCAGTTCATGGTGGCCTTTCAGTTCCTTGCATCTTTCCTCCAACCTTGTGCTCTGTTCAACTTCAGCTGCTCAGACCTGTGGATGTATCCAAGAAGACTGAATCTCCTGAATGACCTCATTACTAAGCACCCCTGCTCAGATCAACACCTCCTGTTTTCCACCTTACTCCTTTAATCTTAACCCTACCATGTTGTACAATCCATTCATCTCCTCACCCTTTCCATGGCCCTTACGCACCCCCACCTTATGCCCTCACTTCTCAGCTTATATTTCATAATTATTAGCTCTTTATTACACTCTTCTGGCAAAACTCTGATCACATTTAAACCTAAATTTTCACCAACTAATCTGTGAATCCTGAACCTGACTTGAGCATCATGTTCACTTCCCCAAAGTTAAACCCGCAATCGTGCCAGTTATTCTCACTCTGATCACACAACCGCTAACCCCAAGTGGACCCTTAATGCTGACAGGCAGGGAGCCAGCAGAGACGTGTTTCTGTCACTCTAACCCTCTTCTAGAGGACAATTCAGTATTGTTCTCCACTCCAAATTTCAGCAGAGCCTCCCTGTCTGCACTCAGCTCAAGATCTGATTTTGCCTTCACAATGAGAAAATAGAAGTAAACAGAAGAGAATGCCCTCAACTCCCACAAGTTCATCTCTTCACCTACCAGCATCTGTGCTCCTATCCGCTGCCTTCCTTCCTATTATTGTGAACCAATTTTCTCTGTTCTTATCTATGATCAAGTCCTACACTTTTGTACTGGATCCCATCCCATCTCACCTATTCAAGAACATTGCTATAGCAATTCTCAACTCTCTCTCCTGCATCATCTATTTTTCTTTTACCAATTAATCATACTATAATATCTCAAGTCTTACAAAATTAAAAAAATCCCATACTCTCTTGACACAGGAATAATTTTGGGACACCTAACTCCAAAACACTGCCTATATTCTTGCTCCTTCCAGTTCTTCCTCCAGTTTCTCTTTAGCTATCTACAATAAAGTTTCAATCCCGCCCCACTCCCATTTCAAGTATACCTCTGTTCATGCCTTTGCTGCAAGGTGACTTTCTTGGCAAGGCCTTCCTGACCACCCTACTCAAAACTGCAAGCTCCACACCCCTGATCATCACTCCCTCCTCCCTTCATGGCCTCATTGTCCTCTAAAGCTTCCGTTACCATGTGACGTTCCATGCATGTATTTATTTCTTCACTATCTGTCTCCCCTCTACAAGTAGGAAAGTGCCATGAAATCAGGATTCTTTGTCTACTTTATTTTCTGCAATTTTTCTGGCATCTAAAATAGCAATATGCCAATAAATATGTGTTAAATAAATTAATGAATGGATGTGAGAGAATTATAGCATAGTGCTTAATTAACACCAGAGCTTTGGAATCAGACCGTCCTCCATTTGAACAGCAACTTTGGTGCTTGGACGTGTCATTGAACCTCACTGCAATTCAGTTTTCTTCACTGTAAAATGTGGATAATAAAGTATGTCATAAAATTATTAAAGTAAATAAAATGTTATATATAAAGCAGTCAGAAAATTCCTTGGGACACAGAAAACAACCAACAAATGAATGGCCACTTTTACATTGTCCCAGATCAAAAGGTACAAAGCCGTTTTAATGATTAAATTCTGAACTGCTCCATTTTCTCATATTTTAATATCCCAAGGCCCCTAAAGACATAGTTTCAGCTTATGCAATTTAACATGGATATTGGTATAATCCCAATAGCTTGGACCCATATTGGAAATGCTGTTCTACTCCATCACATGTGTGCATCATCAGCTTGCATGTATTGGTTAAACATTTGACTTCATTATTGTACATTCACACTGTAGTTCACAATGCTCCTAATGTGTGGGTGCACATACCACCCAGAAAAGCACAGAAAACCACCCACAATGATGTGAAGAGACCTAAAGCAAAATGTCAACATCTGATTAAAATAACTTCACTCTTCCTTTGAACAATGCATCTCCAAGGGGATTGATTTATAGCATTATTTCTCATGCCATCTTTAAGAACAAGGTGAAATAAAATAACTGAAACACAGTATAATGAACACAAGCTACATGAAACGCACAATGAAGGATTTTAGGGTTCAAATGCATTTTTCATACATAATTGGTGGACAAGAGAATCATAAAAGTTTCGAATTGGTAGTATAGCATCCTTACAATATAAATGAGAAAAGTGAGGCGATCCACTGAGTTTATGTGAAGAGAATGGGCATTAAGAAAATCCTTCCCCATGGAAGGGAAAAACTTCCACAGAGTAAATTCCCCATAGCAGAGACAGACAGGCAGCTTAATGGAATAGAAAGGGCACAGAAATAGCAATCAGCGCAGCACCCAACACAATAAATATTTGTGCAAGAACTGAATTAAGGGTATGATGACCTGAATTCTGGTTGTGGCTCTGCCCAAATTCTCCTTGAATAAGTAACTTTACTTCTTGGTGTCCTTTTTCTCCTCTTTGTACTAAACGGCAGAGTCAGTAGGGTTAAGAGCATGTTAAGTGACTGATTGTAATTTGTAGAGATAGGAAAAGATGGGAAACTTTTTAAAGTTTTTTTAAAGACTCCCAGAGCTGTGGTAGGACAGTGGATCCTAAAGATCACATTCTATTTCAATAAATAGAAAAATTAAAACATTTGAAAAAAGAGTAAGTATGAAAAAGAGTTGACTGTCCATTTCCCCAAAGAAAATGCATAAATGATGCAGTAGAAGTAAAACACTCATTATTCTGAGATGCCATTGTATGTTAATATTTTAAAAATATATCTTAAATCTAAAATCACATTTTTAATCATCAGAGATTTTATTAACTCTGTGTGTGTATGAAACATTAATGAGAATCCAAAAATGCAAGAGTGAGGATCCCTTCTGCCATGTTTGTAAAACTAGGAAAATTCCATTTTCCCAGAATTTAAGGCTGCAACCCATGATTTCTCCAGAAAGAGCTTTACCAACATTTTTTTTTATAAATTCAACTTCTGTGCATCATGTCCTCAAATACATCATCCACAGATGATGACTAACTCACAGCAGACCTGTCTCCTCTCAAGTGCTGGTTGAAATGTTACCATCCTTCTTGACAGGTCTAAGTATGTCAGTTATTAATAATAATTTTTACTTATAAGTTTCTTAACACTTATAAAAGAAGACCCCCCAAAAGCTTTGCAAGTTAGACAGCTCTAGTTTGCATATATATTTTAAGCATCAGTGAAAAGACATGATAAGTGATACTTCTCAATAAATAGCTCAGTTACAAACAAATCAGAACTAAGACCAGAAGTCCCATTTTTTATTCCTTGATGTGACTGTCCCATAATTCTTCTAGCTAACTAATGAGAATTAACTTAAAGGAGATCACAACATAGAACTCTTATGAAGATATTTCTATATGCGGTATTTCTAGAAACATTACAAATTCTATGTGTTAAGCTATGTAAAATTTGGGAACTAGATTATCATACTGCACTAAGTAAATCTTGGGATATCCAACATGCCACCCACGGGCCATATGAAACTTCCAAAATTGAAAAGCCTCTTGATTATATATATGTAATTCATGCCAAAAAGTAAAACTTCCCTTCTACCTTAACCCAACGTGGCTCTCACATATGCGAAGTGTTCATTGTTTGAAAACACATCAAATGTCCATGATTTATAACTAGAAAATCAGTGTGTGTCTGTGAGAATATGAGTCATAGATCTGCAAGCAAGGTAGGAAGGTCTTTATTCCAAATAAAAGAAAGCTGGCCCATAAAACAGTCTAGCCCAGGGTCAACTTGTTATTTGAAGATCAAGCAAGATTTAAAGCTTATGTCATTGGTTCTAAACTGAGTCCCCTGCTATACCGTTTCCTATGGACTCACTGAAGAGTCAAAACCATGGATGTTACGCAAGAAGAGGCCCCTGGGCTTTCGGTAAAGTAGGAACACAAAGGCAATGTCAGAGATATTCAGCATGGTTCTTGTTTATGATTTCTTGTGTTCTGATGATGGAACATGTAAACAGCTGTCAACCAATTACCAAAAATACTGAACTCATTCAGAAAGGACGTAAAGTGTCTAGGAGTGAATAAACAATGCTCACTCCAAACCAGCTGCTGCCACTTAGGGCCAACATTTGATCCAGGACAAAGAAAAAAGAGGTATTTGGTCATTTGTTATGGTAATCACCAGCGTGTAAAGGGCTCTTCCCATCAGAGAAATCACCCAACAGCCACCACAGGATGTTTCTTATTTTGACGACTGAAGGGTGCATGCTGGGTCTGGAGGAGGGAGCCATTGATTTATTTTCACCACTTTTCCCTGGCTGACAGCAATCTAAAAGAGAAGGAACAAGCCAGATCACTCATCTGCCTGCTTGGCATGCCTGGTAGTCATGGGAGCCCATATAGAGGCCATCTGTTCAGGTCCCAGTCTCTCCAAACATGCACAGAAAGATGACGTCAAAAGGGGTGTGCTTCAGCCCCATTAATGAGCCACCCAAAGTAAACCGGAAGACTCAGCCTGAGTAGCCCACCCATTTATCTCCTCTGTTAGCAGCCAAGTTCAATCAAGTCATGGATTGGGGCAGGCACAATTATTTTTAAGTTTATTTCCCTAGGCAAATGTTAAGTTGATTTGAACATCTGTGGTTTAGTCCTATCTGATAGACATATAGGTGGGTAGATTCCGTGAGTCAAGAAAAATGCACGTTGCTTACAACCTACTAAATGAAACCCACCTCAGAAGACATGATGTTCAGCATTAGCCTGATGGTTTGGTAGTGCACCTTCAAACTCAGCTTTCAAATGCCCCTAAATTACTGCAGCCAGAAAAATTCTCTGCAGCAAGCCATGCAGATGATGGCCACTCTTCAGAAACAGCAGTGTCATGTAGCTCTACTCAGTGAAATAAAACAAATGAGATGTTCTCTTTTGCCTCAAGATGATCCTCCCATTGCACCAAGATTTATGATCTATTACAAAGAAATGCCAATCACTACAGATTAGTTGGGATAAAAAAAGTGTTCGTATAAGGCTTCTGTGATCAGAATTCTAACTTCATGTTATATGCACAGTATTTATGAACTCAAATAGAAATAATTTGGCTTTCTAAGATGTTTTGAATTTTTGCTTTTTGTACCCTAAAACGTGTCTTGCATTTTTAGTTATCCTTGAGATGATCATGTGAAGGATGTCCTAGATTTTTCAAAATAACCCATTATGATAACAAGAGAACTTCTGGGATCTAGGACCATTTCAGCAGTTATGTTGGTAGAGGCACCCCTCCATCCTCAAGAAAGGACCTGTTTTCAATCCACAGTAAGACCCCAAGTGACCAAGCAGACCGTCACTGACTAGAAGCCACATCTTAGAGTCATTGTCACATCTTCTGCTTTTTTCCCGTCTATACCCTCTTCCATCAAACCCTACTTTCCTATAATTGCATATCCATATTCCTTCAGGGCCCTCCCTGTGTCTCTGTACGATGAAGGTAGCTCATGGTGACTTGTTAATACATCACATCTCAGTTTATATCTCTGCATTCCAAGCTAGACTCCCTGTTTTACTTGGCCCAATCTCTGAAGCTACTGGAAAGAGAGACAACAACATCTTCACCAATGCACAAACATGCCACACTAGCCTTCATTTCATTATTCTTTGATCATTTCAATACTATTATTTTGTTTGGTCTTTCCTGCTGAAACCCCTGTTAGATTTTGGACCTCATGGATTTTCTAAATTATCTCTAATTGCTATCTATGCATCTACATCTATGCACTGGCCTATTCCATAAATAACCATAAGGGTTCTCAATAAGAGTAGTCTTTTGTTAAGATTAAGTAATTTTAGCAGACACAACCCAAACCCCATTCCACCAAGAAATAAAATATAGTGAAAACACTTCACAGAAAAGAGGAAAGAAAAGCCCGAATGCCTATGAAAGAAAGAGACCAAGAAGGTGCACTCCATTTTACCCTGAAGAACCCACAAAAAGCCTAGGAGTTGGAAGTACCAGATACAATGCAAGGGAGGAGTACAGGCATGACTCATTTGACTGTGCCTCTCTTTAATGCGCTTCACGGATGCTGTGCTTTGTTACAAATTGAAGGTTTGTGGACTCTGTGTTGCACCAGTCTATCAGTGCCATTTTTCCAAGACACCCTGTGTCTCTGTGTCACATTCCAGTAATTCTTGCAATATTTCAAACTTTTCATTATTGTTATATCTGTTATAGTAATTTGTAGCCAGTGATCTTTGATGTTACTATTGTAATTGTTTTGGGGTGCCCCAAACTGTGCCCATGTAAGACCGTGAACTTCATTGATAAATGTGATAGGTTCTGACTGCTCCAGCAATTGGCTGTTCCCCCATCTCTTTCCCTCTCCCCAGCCCTCTCTATTCCCTGAAACACAAGAATATTGAGATGAGGCCAATTAAGAACCCTACATGGCCTCTAAGTGTTCAAGTAAAAAGAAGAGCTGCATGTCTCTCGCTTTAAATAAAAAGCTAGAAATGATTAAGCTTAGTGAGGAAGGTAGGTTGAAAGCCAAGATGGCTGAAGCTAGTCCTCTTGCACCAGTTTGCCAAGTGTAAATGTGAAGGAAAAGTTCTTAAAGGAAATTAAAAGTGCTACTCCAGCGAACACATGAATGATAAGAAAGTGAGACCGCCTTATTGCTGGTATGGAGAAAGTTTTAGTGGTCTGGAGAGAAGATCAAACCAGTCACAACATTCCCGTAAGCCAAAGCCTAATCCAGGGCAAGGTCCTAACTCTCTTCAGTTCTATTAAGTCTGAGAGAGGTGAAGAAGCCACAGAATTAAAAATGGAAGCTAAAAGAGGTTGATTCATAAGGTTTAGGGAAAAAAAAGCCATCTCTCTAGCATCCAAGTGCAACGTGAAACAGCAAGTGCTGATGCAGAAGCTGTAGCAAGTTATCCAGGAGATCTAGCTAAGATCATTGATGAACGTGTCTACACTAAACAACAGATTTTTAATGTATATGAAACAGCCAGCTATTGGAAGGAAATGCCATCTAGGACTTTCATAGTGAGAGAAGATAAGTCAATGCCTGGCTTCAAAGCTTCAAACTCAGCCAAGAGGGGCTGACTCTGTTGTTAGGGACTAATGCAGCTGGCGATATGAAGTTGAAGCCAATACTAATTCATCATTCTGAAAATCCTAGAGCCCTCAAGAATTATGTACCTGTCCTCTATAAATAGAACAATAAAGCCTGAATGACAGCAAAACTGTTTATAGCACAGTTTACTGAATATTTTAAACTCCCTGTTAAGACCTACTGTTCAGAACAAAAGCTTCCTTTCAAAATACTACTGCTCATTGACAATGCACCTAGTCACTCAAAAGCCTTGATGGAGATTGTACAGGAGATTAATGTTGTTTTCATGCCTGTTAACACAACATGCATTCTGCAGCCCATCAGTCAGGGAATCATTTCAAATTTGAAGTCTTATCCTTTAAGACCTACATTTTGTAAAGCTATTGCCACCATAGATAGTAATTCCTCTGATGGGCCTGTGTAAAATACATTAAAAACATCTGGAAAGGATCCACTGTTCCAGATGTCATTAAGAATATGCCTGATTCATGGGAGGAAGTCAAGATGTCCACATTAACTGCAATTTGGAAGAAGTTGGTTCCAATCCTTATGGATGACTTTGAGGGGTTCAGAACTTCAGTGAAGGAAGTAACTACTGATTGGGTTGAAAAAGCAAGAGAATTAGAATTAGAAGTGGAGCCTGAAAATGTGACTGAATTGTTACAATCTCATGATAAAACTTGAACAAATGAGAAAGCATTTCTTATGGATGAGCAAAGAAAGTGTTTTTTTGAGATGGAATCTACTCCTGATGGAAGATGCTGTGAGTGTTGTTGAAACAACAATACAGAATGTAGCATATCCCATAAACTTACTTGATAAAGCAGAAGAAGGGTTTGAGAGAATTGAGTCAAATTCTGAAAGTTCTATGGTGGGTAAAATACTATCAAACAGCATCATGTGCTACAGAGAAATTTCTAGTGAAAGGAAGAGTCCATTGATGAAGCAAACTTTATTGTTGTCTTATTTTAAGAAATTGCCACAGCCACCCCAAACTTGAGCAACGACCACCCTGACCAGTCAGCAGCCATCAACATAAAGGCGAGACTCTCCACCAGCAAAAAGATTACGGCTCATGGTAGGCTCAGATGATTGTCGGCATTTTTTTTAACTAATAAAGTATTTTTAAATTAATATGTGTACATTGCTTTTTTAGACAAAATGCTTTTGCGCATTTGACTGAATACAGTATAGTGTATATATAACTCTTATGTGCACTGGAAAACCAAAAAATTCACATGACTCACTTTATTTCTACATTTAATTTACTGTGCTCGTCTGCAATATCTCCAAGGTATGCCTGTACATTCAAGGGAAAGGGTTGAAAAACATGGTAATATTTTGTCTGGTTTTTTTTTTCTTGTTGTTTTTTCAAAATCAGATGACATATGCATACAAGGGAATATTTTGAAAGTCTCCATAAGGAACATTTAATTTCTTGCATCCCTACTTCCAACACAATCTATTACATGATTACCCATTGTTCCTTCCCTCAGGAATGTTGAGAAATATTAGGTGGAGAAATTGAGTCTGAGATTCTTAGGAACATTGGAGGGTGACAGTGAGAAACACTGACATCCATGCCCCCCCTTCTGCCCAGCTTAGGATGTAAACAGTTAAGTTTCTGCTTCCTTAAAAGGAGACTGGAGAATCCTGCTCTGGAGAGAGTGGGGGAAAATGTGGACATACTGACTGACATTTGGGGACCCCCAACCAAAAATGATCTGGCTGGTTATAGAAAAGCTGATCAATGAACTAATGTAACTTTCTCACAAAGCTTCCCATCCATGTTTAATGAACATAAGTAGAAAAACAAAGATTACCACGTTTGAGAAAGCCTCCAATTTAAAATAGAGAATAAAATAGGAAACAAAAGTGAGAAACAAAACTGAAAAATTCAAATAATCTATCATTGATATCATCAAAGATGTGATGTTGTGCCCATGAATTAAAAACAAGATATCATAAAAAGGAATAACAAAAAAATAAGAAAAGGGCCAGGTGCCATGGCTTATGCCTGTAATCCCAACACTTTGGGAGGCTGAGGCGGGTGGATTACTTGAGACTAGGAGCTCGAGACCAGCCTAGCCAACATGGTGAAACCCCGTCTTTAAAATACAAAAAATTAGCCAGGCATGGTGGTGCGCACCTGTAATCCCAGATACTCGGGAGTCTGAGGCAGCAGAATCCCTTGAACCCGGGAGGTGGAGGCTGCAGTCAGCCAAATTGTGCTACTGCTCTCCAGCCTGGGCAACAGAGTAAGACTCTGTCTCAAAAAAAAAAAAAAAAGAAAGAAAAGAAAAGTTCCCTGAAAATAAAAATATAAATATGTAATTTTTTAATCCAATAAGGGGATTAGAAGATTAAAAACAAGGAATTCTTGAGGGTGTGAACACCCCGTTTTCCATGATGTGCAAATTTCACACCGCATGCCTGTATCAGAACATCTCACGTACCCCATAAATATATATACCTACTATTTAAACACAAAAATTGAAAATAAAAAAATGTAAAAATTAAAAAAGATAGATTCAAGGAAATTTGTTCCAAAAAAGAATAAAAAGACAAAGGACTCATAAACAAACAAACATAAAGAAATTATTTAGAAAAGCCATGAGTTCCAAAATCTTACAGGAGTTTCAGTAGAAAAGACCAAACAAAAGAATTTGTATGGAAATGATCAAAGACATAATTTTAAAAACAAAATTTTATAACTGAAAGATGTAAATCTCTAAAATTGAAAATGTCTAACAAAATCAGTAAAAATCTACATCATATGCTTAAAAATTCCAAGGGGTGAGGTGAGAGCAAAGGTCCCATACAAAGGATTTTTTTAAGTGGCATCATAGTTCTCAACATTATTGAAAGTTAGAATCGAATGCAGTGATATCCTCAAAATTCCAAGGAAAAACAATTTTCATTCTATAAGTCTGCACCTAGCAAAATTATCAATCCAAAAGGAGGATAGAAAAAGACATTTTTAGACATGTAATATCACATATTATTTTCCTTTATCAAGAAGTCATCATGGTGAGAGATAATAGGAAATCCAAGAGATAGAAGGTCCCACATAAAAAGGGTTAAAGAAGTTTGAACAATGATAGCATGGGCTACGTAAACTCACAGTAAAAAAGAATAAAAAAGGACCACACCATCTAAAGTGAGTTAAGCACTCACCACAATTCATTTTCCATTTTCCATTTTTACTAGCTTGCTAGGAGGCAACTGGAGGCAAAATTGAGGTTAACGACACACGGAATAAGAAAGGAGCCTACTAGTGTTTGGATAAGAGATTAACAGAATTTCAAAGGCACTTGGACTTGTTTAGTTTATTTTTGAAAAGAAAGAAAAAAAACACAGTAATTAGTATCTTCAGATTCCTACTAGACTAATGGAAACGCAACCAAATTCAGCTCATTTACAATTCTGTCTAGTAGTGCCCAGCCCTGAATTTCTTTCCAGTTGCAATGTTTTCAGATTCAAATTGCCCATCCCCACATCTTTTGCCATTTTGGCGAATCCCTTAGAGGGGAGCCATGTAGTTTAGAATCAGAAGCAATTGCGTTTCACATCAAAAAATATTTTTATTTCAGAGAAACTAAGACAGAAAAGCATAGCCATAATAATCTTGCTTCTCTTTTGAGTTACATCTAGGATTGCTAGCTATTCTTTGCCCGCACATCCTTGCCACAGTACAAACACATACACACACACACACACACACACGCCAAAAAAAGAGTGTTCATCAGTTCCAGAAGGTTCACAAAATATACAAGCCTTTTACCCTAAAACCTTGTGATACATCCCAAAATATCTTTTACCATCAGAGATTAGCTCATCAGTCCTTTTGTCTAACTATCATATTTCCTGATTCTGAAACAATAGCTCACAACTAGAATGACCTTTAAATATGAAAAGAAATAGAGAAAGTGTCCAACAAACAAAACTTAAAATCTATATGTGGATCAAGAAGGCAGTCATAAAATGCAAAGGGCTTCTTATTACAGTAGCTAAAGGCAAGGTAATCAGTTAAATTACCATGATGAATGTACTTTCGTGGGCTTTCAGAGTTTGTAATAAAATGGCAATCAGATTTACCCAAGAAAGCAAGAATATCCCATGCATGTGTAATAGTTTACTCAATCAAGAAGGATTTGCTAATCAGCTACTATCTGCTCATCACTGAATTTGATGCTGAGATTTTTATTAAGTAAAATATGTGCTATTACACTTGTTGCCGGTGTAATTATGGTAAGAAAACTAAATATGTGTTAAATAGAAATGGAGTAAGGTAGAATAACCAATGAGAAGCTTCAAGGAGGAGGTGCCACTTTCACTGTACCTTCAGGGCAAAATTAACAAAAGTAAAAGGGGGGAAAAAAGACTCCCCTAGCCTGGGAAAAAACCCAACTTTTGTTTCTGACAATTTTATAACAAAAAAAAGAAGTAGGATGGGATTTAATCCAGAATAAAAGTGAATAGCTTTACAGAGTAGAGAAAATGCTTTTATATGAGACTAGAGAAGAGTAAGAGGACAATTATTTATGCAAATAAAAAAGAAAGAAAAATCATTCCATTATGAGGAGACAAATTTGTTTTGGGTTCCTGCTTCATTCCAAATAACAGAAAGTACATATACAATATCCATCATCCATTCATCTACCCATTCATTCATTCAGCAGACACTTCATAGTGCAGATTGTGTGTTGAAGACAATAGCAGGCTTTGAAGAATACAAAAAACATATAGTTCCTTCCCTGAAAGTGCTGCTGATGTATAATTAAAGGCTGTTCTTTTCCCCTTCCCCAACCTACCTACCATCCCTATTGTGAGCTCAAAGCAGGAAGGCTGACAAAGCTGTTATTTGAAATATTTGTATGATTGAGAAGGCGACCACCTTTCAAGGTTTCCAAGACACGGCATTTTTCAAGAACTGTTTATGTCCTTCTTCCTATGAATAAGACAGAAAGCTGACATACAGCTATGGTATTACTCTTCTTTTTACTTGAAATTGCAAAATGATTAAAGCCATCAAGCAACAATAGTTGACCTACTGAGGGAAAATACCAGATAGGTGCCCTGGAGAGATTGATGAGTGAATATATTTAGAAAGGATTCCCAAGACTATTTGCATTTGTCTCTGAGACTGCTTTCTCTCCTTTGCCTCTGTGGTTAGCTTCTCCATAGCTCCATGTTGTCATCCAAACTGAACCTACTTGATATGGAGCCTCCTAAGCTACAGGGAAACAAGCCCACTCATCAACACAAGTAATAACAGACTGGGAATCTTCACTCACGCAATCAAAGTTTCTGTTGATTTCAGTAGAAAATCAGTGTTTTCTGATACTTTTAAGGCAACACCTACAAGTTTAAAGCCATTTAGATAAAGCCATAAGTTACGAGGGAGTTATGTGTCTCAATCTCTCCATTCATTGAGGACTTATCGTTCCTGGGGCACTTTTCTGCAGGGGAACAATGAAGAGCAATGGAAAGTAAGCGGTGGCATAACTCCCAGCTCCAAGCCTGATGTCTCCTGAATAGTCCCTACATTAACGTGCTACTGGAATGATTCTCAAATACAAAAGGGGAGGAAGGCATTTTGGAAATGCTTTGCATGGACTCAGGGCTTCATTTTTAATTTGCCATGAAATCCTACATAAGTTACTTAAGATTCTGGGCCTCAGCTTTCTAAACTTTAAAAAAAAATATGAAAGAAAAATGGACAAAATTAACATTCTCTGATTCAACCTACATTCCAGTGATGGTGTCTACTTTGGTAATTACTTTTAAGCCTGCAGCAATGGCAATGACTAATTCTATTACTACATATAATACTGAACATACTAATATATGACTTTATATTATTTCAGTAACTCAGAAATAACAATAATCCAGTAATCAAGATCAGTGATAGCTCAAGGAACAAAATAACAGAACCAATCTTAATAGTCACAGGAAGCCAAACAGGAGTCTAGCTAAAAAATGTTGATGTCATTTTCCTCTATATGCTTCCTACAAAATTCTAAACCCATCTCAGAACACCAGTGGAGGGCAAAATGGGTCAATAGGCACATTTCCATAGATAAAATGTGGGGTGGGTGGGGCTCAAAATTGAGAATTTTAGCAACAATGCTGTTTTTCTTAGCCTAAAGTATTTTCTTCTGTAGGAATATAAGTATTTGAGTAAGAACTGAAATTAGAAACCCAAGCAACTAGTCTCCAATGTTTTCAACTACAACATTAATACAAAATCAGTAAGAGTAAGATGAAGACTATTTTGGAATTGCAGGCAAAACTTCCACGAAGGATACAGTTTTTGAGAGTAGGCACAGTCAATAGTTTTGACTCTGAGGTATCAGTGAATCTATTTATAAATCAACTCAACTAATTGTCATGCAGGGCCTATCCACGCAGAGATAATAAGAGCTTAGAGTCAAAGAGGGAAGGGTAATGACCACGCAGAGATAATAAGAGCTTAGGGTCTAAGAGAGAAGGGTAATTGAATACAAAAATTGTTAAGAGTGGCTTGAAAGAACTGTGATGTAAAGGCAGATTATTGGTGCAAAGGAGGGATTGGTCAATCCCTGGGGAGGATGAACAGAGACCATGCATTTCAGGTAGACAGGGATGACTGCAGTAAGTAGCCACTGGCTGAGGAATTCTAGGCACTGTGAGCTGCTCCCTTATAGCTCAAACATGGATTTCTAGGGCAGTTGTTGCAAGGCCTGCTCAAGCAGGACCTAGTCTGCCAAGCTAAGGCATCTAGATTTCACCACTAAAGGGCTTTACACAGATGAATCACATAATCAGATTTTCTTTTAGAATGATAACTCTACCAGCTGCATAGAGAATGGATTAGAAGGGTGTGATATTACAGACAGTCATATGCGAGACTGTTGGCTTCCAAACTAAATTTAAGTGACCCCTTTCTACGAATTCTATGGGTCAAAACTTCTACTAAACATAGCTCTCACATTCATATTGCCTCTTTAGAAGCATAGCAGAATCTAAACATATTTTGAAGGTTAATATGTTTTTTAATATCCTGTTAGATTCCCTTAGCAGGAAAAAGAAAAGCCATTCAAGGCTGACATTAAGATACATTTTTCAAGCGGCTGTTATGATCATTCTAACCCCATCTTTCCCTGACTATACTACTAAATACAACATAGTTAAGCTTTTGCAGGAAAACATTCTCATAACCATATTCTCTGCCTTGTGTTTTTCGTACTCTGTCACAGAAAGAATATGGAGTGCTTTTAAAGCTGCTTATGTAATTCACAGCAAGATCTGTTCCATTCTTAGTTATCAGTAAAGTTATTAAGTTAGCAGCAATCCACGTACTTTTTTCTACTTCTACCAGAAAAGAAGGCATGAAACTCAATCACTTACGAAATGATCCTCCATGAATAAATTATCCTGCGGCTATGATATTTTTAAAATTACCTCACACCTATTAAAAACTAAATTAATCAAATCACTTAGATGTCAGAATATTTTTTAAAAGAGAGATACTGTCAAAATGCTACGATTTCTGGTAAAGATCCTCCAACTTCTTAAGGAATCTGAATTAAAATAGAACTGCTTCTCTAAAGAACCCTACAAAACCTATTAGCTATTGAGATTATAATACGTGTTGCTTCTGGGTAAAGAATACCTATGTTTGCCCACTTGGGCAAAACACTAATTAGATGTGTAACAACACAACATCTATTACCAGAGCATTTGAAAAATGTATTTTTAAAAATCAAACTAAATTTCCTTCTAAGTAGAATGTAGTCCAAGAGTATTATCTGTTGGTTGATTGAGATTTGCTCTCATATCCTGTTTGATATAAGACAACCTGTCAGTTTAAGCCACTTTCATAGTATTTGAGCTCTCACTGCCTGTCAGTCTCTGGATGTACAAAGGATCTGCAGTAAGGAAGAAGAGAGGCACATAAGAGATCATTGCCCTCTCAAGGACAAGGTCCAGGGCTAGCATAGTCATGCACATGAGGTTCAAAGAAGGTTTCCTGGAGAAGAAGACTTAGAGTTTGACACAGAGTAGTGTGTCCAGGTAAAGAAAGGTGCAAAGAGCATTTTATATAGATGAATCTACGTGGCCTAAAATATCATACAAAGGTATGGAGCAGCATTGGTGCAGGGAACAACTACTGGTAGCTTGATGTACCTAGAATGAGAAGCTGTGGGAAACCACGCTGTTGAAGCAGGGAAGGCCTGGAACCTGGATGTTCTTCTAGAACATGAGGCTGGCTCACTCTCCTAAGACAGGATGAGGAAAAATTTTACTGAATTTCAAGTGAGGGGCCATGTAATACAACCTCTGGTTTATGGTCTTAATTCCAGCACTAACTTGCTATAAACATCTGGGGAAAATCACTTAGGTTTTCTACATCCCTCTTCCCTTTCAAGAGATACTCTACCTACTTACTCAGGTATATTGAAGAAGTAAAAAGGATTTGGAGAACATAACCACAATATTACTTAAGAATATTGTCATTTTAATAATAAGTATTATGCATCACATGAACTACCCAAGGCAAACAAGAAATAGCAAGCACATACATCTTACAGCATGTGTGGATAGCACCTATTTCTATAAAGCAAATGCGATGATGAGTTTATTAAACATGGCACTACTTTGGCATGTCCTCCCATTCTTTTTTTAAAAAACAGTGCTGTCCCAAGGGAAAACAAATAAAGCAAATAAAAATTCTCTCCATCCTCTCTCAACCTATCTTTTTTTCCATTCTTTCCTTTTTCCCTACAAAGCATGCCTTTTCCCCCATCCCTTTCTAAAGTAAAAAGCTGGAGCATGCTTGTCTCATATGTATATGTTGGTATAGATCTGTTGCCGTGGGTTGTTCTTTTCTAGAAGAGTTAGCATCTTCACCCATGTGGCCATGGCTCCTACGTTATTAAGAAAGCTGTGAACATTTCAGGGAGGCAGTATGAGTTTACTAAACATGTATTAGACTAACCTAACTTTATTTACTTTTATGAAACTCTTCTTGGAGAGGTAAAATGTAAGAATGCAACAAAGATTATATATTCTATTTCTTCAGGGCTCCAGGCAGGATTTCTCTTGCTCTCCTTTTGGACTGGAAAAGGGTGTTAATCAGGAGCAGACCAATCAGTTGGATAGATTCAATAGCCAATTAATAACATTAATCAAAGTGTACTGGTTATTAGTGTATTCATATCCCTAGGACAACAATGGGGAGAGTTACTATAATGGTAACAATGATGGAATATATAGTTCTCTACTACATTTAACATTTTTGTCTATCATTTGGATTAAATTTCTGATTATCAAATGTGTAGTAACACACAGATTCAAAAGATAAAGATTGAAAAGTATCTTTAAATTATCCCAAATCCTGAAGTATTTTGGTTGAAATCAATAAAATAAAATTTAACAAGCACAAAAATAAAAAATTCAGCTTCAGGATTCAAAAATTGAATGGTAGGATAAAGTAGACCTAATTTAAAGACATTGTAAATAGGTATATTCATAAAATGAAATACTATATAGCTAAATAAACCATATGGCTATTATAAATATGTTCTATAACTACATAATTCCATATACTATATAAATGTATAACTAACTATAAATAACTATATAATTGAAGTTTAGAAAAGATTAGTAACCCATCCCAGGTCATATAATTAGTAAGCAATGGGATGTACAGCCTAGGGCCATCTGAATTCAAACCCTAGATTGTTATCCACTATGTCACATTGCTTCTCAAGGCAGAATGGAACTCTGTTTACTGACATAAAGAGACTATGTCATATATGGCAGCGTACAGAGCCATATATATTTATATATATAGAGAGAGAGAACATATAAGCTCAGAATATATACACATACATATACATACACACATTACACATAACATATGCATATATATCAATAAAGATGGCTCATGGGAAAAGTCTTCAAGGTTATAAAATTTCAACACTGGATGTTTCTCGGTAGTGGCATTAATTGCTGATTTTAAATTATTATTTTTCATCTGAATTTTCTAGTTTTTATAGTGATCATGTATTGCTTGTATAGTTAAAATGCATCATGTGACTAGCGAGGCATTGCAGTGATCAGAATTTTAGTATTAGTCAACAATATGACACAGGTGCTACAATCATTAAAGCAGTTCTGTTGTGTATTTAAGAACAGCCATATTCTAATGGAGTGGAAAACCACTTTCACGTGTCTTGCACTGATGCCCAGAACACCGTGTTCAATAGAACATCCAAAAGTGGATAGCCAGCATGGTAGGAGGTCTGGAGCCCATGTCCTATCAAGAAAAGCTAAGGAACCGAGCAGAGCCCAAAAATAAAGGGGAAATACATGGTGAGATGCATGACCATGGCCAGTTAAAATGGCAAAGTTCAGAAGCTGGGTTCGTTAGTGTTATTCCAGAAGTGGACAGGAGAAGCAGACCTGCCAGTCAGTCAATATTGAGGTCCTTCTAGGTACCAGGCCCTATGCTCGACATCAGGGATTTACAATGACTCAAGAGACAATCACTGCCCTCAGAGAACTCATGGGTGAGTAACTCATCACAGTATTGCTAATAATTAAATAATTCTACCGTAGAAAGTGTCCTAAAGGAGATATGCAGGTGCTGAAGGAGCACCCAGTGTGGCAGCTTGTCATCGGTGTCACAGAAGACCCCCCTGAGATGGTGAGGTGGATGTGTACAAGCTGACACCTGACACATCATCAGGAGTTGACATGGCCAGGAGGGGGCTGAGTTTGTAAAGGTGGAAGGAGGCTTTAGGAAGTGTGCAGAGTGGGAGGGAGTAAGGCCTGCTGCGGAAATCAATGAAGCCCTCTCGCACTTTTGCATAAGAAGCAATGACTCCTAACAGCGCTGGCAATCCCAACTGCCCTGGCCATGAAACACACCTAACAGGAACATGTTGCAAGATCCAGAGTGACAGAACTGTCAGCTTTACAGTGGGTCACTGGGGTCAGCCACTGAAGCGGAATCAGGCCTCGGAACACTAGGTGATGCTAGAGAGGAAACAGTCTACTTTTAACCCGAAATTCGAATGGAATCATATGATTCTGTTTTGTCATGGATAGGGAGTCATTTAGCAACATGCAGCAAAGGGAATGTTTATAAAAATATAAACAGTGATGATCTCCCAGGAGGCAATCTCTATTTATAACAAAAAATCTTTAATAACTAAGAAAAAATAGATACAGCAATATCTCTAAGAATGCATACGACCCTAAGTAAGATTTTCTGGGTAAAAAAAAAAAAAAAGCAATCTGATAAGCACATCTCATGAGGATGTGTGAGTGGGCAAGAAATTCGCAGATAAGCTTTGATGTGGGCAAGTGTAAAATTATTCATTTATGCAAAATAATTCAAATGTCCCCTGTAGAAAGATGAGTTCCAAGAAATCAGTTACAGCTCAGAAAAGGATCTAAAAGTCAGATATTCCCTAAAAATGTGTTACTATAGTCGAAATAGCATATAAAATGTTAAGAACTCTACATTATTGACAACCATGGTATATGTAACCTAGCCTTAAGGAACCAGTTTCCTAAAAGATCAGCAGCCTTGGGAGATGTTACGGGATACAGCATGAGGGAAACTGAGTCTCCTGTAGTTTGAAGCAAAGAAAAAACAGACAACCAGTGAGAGATGAAAAAGAAAGAAGAGGCATTTCTCCCTCCATCCATAGTGCAGAATGTGAATTAAGGAAGACAATTAAGGACTACAGGAAGTGAGCAATGCCAAGATGAAACAGAAGCAGCCAACATAAGAAAAACTAAGGGTAGCAAGCCTGGGCATAGAGAAAATCACAAAGATAATCGAGAAAAGTCTAACACCAGATAGCAGCAAAGGTGGTTATTCCAGAGCAGTGGTTCTCAAAATGTGACGTCTTTGCAATGCATCAGCATCACCTAGAAACCACAGTTTGAAATATAAAATCCCTCTCAGCCCCACCTGGGATCAAATGAATCAGAGAGATCAAGAAACCAGGAAACTGAAGAAGAATCCTCCCCGAGCCCAGGCTGAGCAATTTAGCCGGGTGTTGGGTTTGTAGGAGGCCACATCAGACACGGGACCACTTTTCTTTACCAATCCTTTTTCTCTCTAACCTCGTTTGCATGCCTTTAGCAAAAAGGTACTTCTTACTCAGCAATCTTCTCTTCCTGGAAACTGATGCCCAGATTTCTATCCCAGTGCTGCCCTCTGGTTTTATCTAGACCACTGGTTCTCCACTCTGGCCATTTTGCCCCTCGAGAACATATCACAAAGTGGGAGACCTTTTTGGTTGTCAAAACTGTGAGAGTGGGGTAATGATACTAGCACCTATTGGGTAGAGGGCAGAGATGCTGCTAAACATTCGGCAATTCACAGGAAAGCTCCCCACAACAAAGAATTCTCCAGACCAAAATGTCACTAGTGCTGCTGTTCAGAAACCATGATCCAGATCAGTTGCCCCGGAAACTACATTCACACCAAGCATCATCTCTTTGCTCCTCCACTCCTCCAGCTCAAACTAGTTCCACTAGCACTGTGAAATCCTGGTTGTGCTGACATAGTCAACTTCCCTTTATACCCAAACTTCTCCATGTCTGCTCTCCATAGGCTCAATTTAATTACATGTGGCTTTTCTCAGGCGACACAACCCTCTCAGCTACATTCTCCATGTCAATGATGAATATAATATTCATTCTATTGCTTACAAACCCCAAAAGAGAATTGATGTCATGTTATTAGCAGTCATGTTTTCTGATTTGAACGTGTTGAACAAGCATATTAAGAGAGTTTCCATAATAATGCCACTTATCAGGAGTCATAAAAATCTGCAAACTTTAGCTCCAGAAAGATAATAAAAATGCATCTCTCCAGAAACAGTTTTGACTTTCTTTTTATCAATAGAAACTTAAAAGTCAGAAGGCTGAGAAGTGAATTTTTCTAGAAAGAAAGTTAAAAACCCTGAGCATGTTTGATTCCTTGGTTTTACCTAAATATAACATATTATGAACCCATGGGTTTAGGTTAAAGTAGGACAAATTCTGGGAATATGTACTTTCACTATATGGGAAATTGTGGTGCAACAAATCTATAAATATTTTTCAAATATTACTTTCACTAATCAGTAGTCCCATGGAAATGATGAACCTCATTTTTCTCCTCAGAATAAAGCTGATACTAAGGGGGGAAAATTATAATTACACATGTGCGTGCACACTGAATTATGCTGCACTGTTTTCAAATACAAACCTGAGAAGAAAATGGAGAAGAGACAAGAGTGAATATGGACTATGGTGACCTGTTAAAAACACACACTTGTGAAAACATTCATTAATAATAAATTAACACACATTTACCAGATCCTTATATGACAGCATACAGCAGGTAATTTAACCTCAAAAATTCAGCCAGGAGTTTGACATCAATCTGAGCAACATAGTAAGACCTCCGTCTCTACAAAAAAATTAAAAAATTAGCCAGTGTGGTGGCACATGCCTGTAGTCCCAGCTACTCAGGATGCTGAGGCAGGAGGATCCCTTGAGCCCAAGAGTTTGAGGTTGTTGTGAGCTATAATTGTGCCATCGCACTGCACTCCAGCCTAGGTGACAGAGTGAAACCCTCTTTAATTAAAAAAAAAAAAAAAAATCATCTCCCCAACAGGCTTAAAGAAAGAATCCATCAGCTTCACAGAAATGTCCTTTGAGCTCATGTGGAGCAAAGGCAGACGCCTTGTTATACTTCCTGCCCATGTGGAAACTCTGATGGGTCTTGTTTTCCCATCTCTCTTCCTATCTTGTGTAGTTAACTTGCACACCCTCCTTAGCAAACTGCACAACTTTTTAGGATAAATAAAAGTCCTCTTTGTACTTGGCAAAAGTCAAGCTGCCTGCCATAGCCTTTGTATAGAACACAGGAAGGGGATGACCAGTCAGCCGACAAGCACTGTACTTCTTGACAACTGTCCACGTATTCAGGTGTAAAATGATGATATGGAAATTCAAAGGACGCTATGTGGGAATAACAGAGCTTCCACTGAAGTAAGGAGTGGCGTAAGATGCAGCCATATTCATACAAGTTTCTCTCGAATGTCTATTCATCTCCTGCAAGCTTTCTACATAAGCGTGGTCACTGGACACGGCCTCCCTCTCACCAAACTCCAGGTCATTCCAACCTAACTTGCTTCAGGGAGCAACAGATTCTCCTCTTATGGGGGTGGAGGTATCCACCACAACACCCACGTTGCTCCTCCTCAGACCTGCAGGCCAGCACTGGGTACTCCCTTCTGCTTCTCACCACTAACTGCTAAGGGCCTCCTCTCCTTTCTCAGGCCTCGTGGAAATCTCTCCCCATCTCCCTTTCTACCTCTCTTCTAACTCTTGCCTCAGGAAAATTATTCTTCCTCCTTCTGAATCTCTCATTATATTTCTTTCCTATGTGAATCAAAAAGACTAAAATTTTGTAAAAAGTACAGTTACAAGTATAATAAAATTATACCCAGTTAAAAACCCAGGATTTCCCTTTGGAACCTAAATCATAACAGAAAAAAAAAACGATCTTCTTCCTCATCTTTCTCTAATTAAATGTGCTTTCTTTCCCCTCGAACATGTCTTCAAATTACATTCTTTATTCAGGTTTACAGTGTCTCCTTTGCCTGAAATTATATTTTAATAGTTTTTCATTGGAAATCTTCAGAGAGTATTTAAATTGAATTAAACAGGGTTTTGTGGGTGTATTAGTTATGGGTAACTAGTTCCTGCAAAATTCAGTGGCTTAAGACAACAAAGATGTATTATCTGACAGTTGCTGTGGGTCAGAAATGCAGAGCGTCTTAGCTGGGTGGTTCTAGGCAGTGAGGCTATCAGCAGGCCTGCAGTCTTCTCAAGGCTTCACAGGGACTGGCAGGTCCACTTCTAAGCTGGCGTCTTCACATGGCATTTGGTCAGAGACCTCCGTTCCTCACCATGGGGGCCTTTCCACAGGCCGCCTGAGCATCCTCAGGATGTGACAGCTGGCTGGCCCCAGGGTGAGGGATCCAGGAGAAAGGGAGAAAAGAGAGCCAAGGTGGCTTTTGTCATCTAGTCTCTGAAGCCACATTCAGTTGCCTCTGCTTTTTTCTTTTTTTTCTATTCGTTAGAAGTAAGTCACTAAATCCAGCCCATGCTGAAGGGAGAGGAATTAGCTCTACCATTTGAAGGTTTTGTCAAAGAATTTCTGAACATATTTCAAACAACCACAGTAAGCAGGACTTGAATGCAAGTCCCACTTATGACATTATTTCCACTGGGGAAAAAGTGTTCTGCAACCTAACTACAAGCAAATGTTTAAAACGCAGCTTTTTTGGTAAAGGAGATACACCTCATATTATATAAATATGGCTGGGACGTTGTCAAACATTATGGTGTATTACTGAGCCTTTGAAATGTACTGAAAGCTGCAAGTTTATAGATTTCATCATTATAAAATACCCAAACAACCACAATATCTGTACCTTTATACACACACACACACACACACACACACACACACACACACACACACACACCTGCAACATTCATTTGAAAATTGAAATACCTACAGAATAGCTATAGGGTTCCATAGAGAATAACAGGATTGGATGACTCCTTGAGGAAAACATGGGGGGAATTTTAGCTACTAAGGAGACAAGTTGTTTTAATAAATGGCTCATAAACCTTATTTACATTTACTCAAACACCAGGACAAGTCCATCATTAGCCATCAGCAATTACATAAACTAGGGATTCTTTTAAGATGTTAAGATATTGGCCGGGCGCGGTGGCTCACGCCTGTAATCCCAGCACGTTGGGAGGCCGAGGCGGGCGGATCACGAGGTCAGGAGATCGAGACCATTCTGGCTAACACGATGAAACCCCGTCTGTACTAAAAATACAAAAAATTAGCCGGGGGCGGTGGTGGGCGCCTGTAGTCCCAGCTACTCGGGAGGCTGAGGCAGGAGAATGGCGTGAACCCAGGAGGCGGAGCTTGCAGTGAGCCGAGATCGCGCCACTGCACTCCAGCCTGGGCGACAGAGCGAGACTCTGTCTCAAAAAAAAAAAAAAAAAAAGATGTTAAGATATAGTTAGCCAGAAAACAATTTGTCTTTAGGAGAGAAAAGTTTTCCTCTCAAAATATCCTCTCTTATAATAGACTGCTCTAATTCTCACTCCTCTTCCCCTTCCCATTGCGCACCTCTGCTATCCTGAAAGAGTCTTGAATCAAGAGTTTAGATTTACTTTCATCTTCTATAAACACTATGTGAATGGATATAGTTTAAATTCCAAAATGCCTTGTCTATAATAATTGGAGTCCAGTGTCAAGTCACAAGGAATTGAAAACCATTATATCTAAAAATAAAAGCAATATACCTAGTAAAAATGTATATTGGACTCATGGAAAAATATTAGACATAGTCACGAGAGCAGTGAGGCATAAAGAAAATACAGTTTGCTAATAAACTTCTTGTTTTTCTGTCTTGCTGTGCATTCTCTCTCAATCTCTTTGCCATCTCCCCTTCACCATCCAAGTCTTCACTGTTGGTGTCATTCAAAGTTCTGTGTATCATTTCTTGTCTTCTCATCTAAAATACTTGGTGATCTCATCAACCCCTGTAGCTTCAATACCAGTTCAATGTGATCACCCCAAAGCTGTGCCTCCAACCTAGGCCCCTCTTCTAAGCTTCTGACATAGATACCCAACTGCCTTCTGAAAAGCTTTACCACAATGTCCTAAGCTGAAAGCATTATCTTCTCCACGGAAGTTCCTCCTCAGGTGCCTCCTGGTACAATCACGCTGTAATTCAAGCTTCCTTTTCACACCTCCAGTCCTCTCAAATTGAATCAGTCCCCAGTACTCCCACACTCTGCCTTCTTGCAAAGTAGATGGATCACTTCAATCCATCCTCACTTCCTGGACCTCGCTACCTCCCACTTAGACTACTGATTGCAACAGTCTCTTCATTCACTCTTCCCATCCTACACTCTCGACCCCTCAAATCTATTCTCCACCCTGCAGAGTGTTTTTCCTAACTGTATTAGTCTCCTATTTAAAATCCTTCTGTGGCTTCCACTTCAACCATCAGGCTCTTCTAAGTTCATTTTGATAGCTATGGGAAGCCTACTTTGACTTCATTCTCATTTCTTCTCTAGGTTCCCTTCTGGTAGCTTCCCACCCTGAGCCTACATTCACCATGTCTGTTGTATAGACTTTTTGAAAGGCAAATGAATCTCAGGACCCCAAAATCACTAAGCCAAAGGGAAATGTCAAGCTGGGAACTTGCTCAGGCAAAGCTGCCTCCCATTTTATTCCTAAATAAGATAACTACAAAGATTAAAAAAGCTACATACCTCCCTCACAATTTGCCCACTAGGAAATTCCTTTTGGGACTCAAGATCTTTATCTTAAAGGAGTTCAGTTGGATTTCACCTTGGCAATGTAAATTGATAGCTTATCTTCACAGCTGCGGGACAAAGGACAGAACTCAAAGTCATCCCTCTGCTCATCTGAGGCAAATGCATATCTGATTGCTTCTTCTCACCTATTGTTTATACAAAAATGTACATTCACTGAGCCAGACTAAGACAAAAGTGACTCTTCCTCTACCCCCTCTCTCACATGTAAATTCTGTATTCAGTGAAAGGCTGATCAAAGACTCAAAAGAATGCCACTGTTTGTCTCTTACCAATCTATGACCTGAAAGCCTCCTACCCACTGCAAGTTGTCTCACCTTTCCAGACCAAACCAATCTACATCTTACACATATTGATTGATGTCTCATGTCTCCCTAAAATATAAAAAACCAAGCTGTACCCCAGCCACATTGGGCACGTGTCATCATCTTGAGGCCCACAAAGAATTTCCTTGTAGGCAAATTGTGAGGAAGGTATGTAGCTTTTTTATCTCCTGAGGCTGTGTCATGGGTGTGTCTTTAACCTTGGCAAAATAAACTTCTAAATTGATTGAGTCCTATCTCAGATACTTTTGGTTCACAACTTCATCAATATTGTTGAAAGAATCATTTGCACTTCCCTTTATATAATGTGTTAAATACACACCTCTGTTCTTATTCTCTCTTTGGAGAGAAAGTGTTTTCCTTCCTATATATTTGGTAAAATCTGTTCATCCCTCAAGACCTAGTTTGAGTTACCTTATTTGTAAAAACTTCCTTGACCTCCCCTCACATCTCAGCTGCAGCTGGTCATACCCTTCTTTGTGCGATCAAGACCCATATTCTTACATATTTTGTAGCCCATTTCACACTGTCATGGAACTATTTGCCTTTGTGACAGTCTTCAGGGAAAAAGGTACGTCTTTTTCACCTCTGTATTTTCTGTATCTACTACCTATTACTTAAAAGGTACCCAATGAATGTTTGTTGAGGGATGAATGATGGAAGTAGCAAAATGCAGTAACAATAATGGAATAATAGACTGACATGTTTTCTAACACAGATTCCAACAAAGCATGGACTTACGTAGATCCTGACAAAAAACAAATGCATTAGGCTTTGTAGGTCACATTAACGACTGTTCAATGAAATTTGCACAACCATTATATTTCACAGGTATCCCTGCACTCACAATACTGAAGTCCTCCATCTATAGTTGGTTGGATGCTGGTGACACATTCCGAAGAATGAGTCAGTGAGATATGTCCAGACTAACAAGGTGTTGCTGTATTACTGAGGCCTCCCCCAGATGGTGATTCCTTGGAAAGTTAAGTATGTGCTGCTGGCTGGAAGTTTGCAGCTTTGACACAGTAGGAATGTTTGCCTTAGGACAGTGGAAACTCCCCATCTCGTATGACACAAGGTGTGTGAAATTGTTACCCCAAATAACACAATCTGCCCTTCCCATGAATTCATACAAGCATGAGGTATTCTGTAGAAGGAACAGAATTTTGAGTAACTCTACTCAAATTGTTAAAAAATTACAATTTATTAATAACAGTATAGTCTCCACCGTAGTTTGTGTCTTCATACTCTGAAAACCTTGTGCAGAATATTTTGAACATAACGTATGTGAATATATTTAAAATAATTCTTCCTTCGATTAATTTTTCTAAAAATTACAGAAAGTACTCATATAAATTCAACAAAATAATGCAATTATAGATTATCTTAGGACTAATTCAAGCCTAAGATTTTTTTCCATCTCAGGTAACAACCTATGCTATTAAAACCTCATGTGACTTTGCACAGAGAGAATAGCAGTTGAGTTAGCACAATGTCCCCGTCTCTCCCAGACATCAATTTAATTGCCATTTAGAAGTCACTTGCTCAGGATTATTATTTTTAGAACTTTTCACAAAATAGTTTCACTACCTAACATTAGGTCATAACATTTTTAAGTGGAGAATTGGAGAAAAATAAAGAGATGAACATTTTAACAAAGGTCAAAGAAAGGAGACTTAAATGATTACTTGCTGATAAGCACTTAAAACATCTCAGCTGAATGTAAAGCTAGACCCAGAAAACATCACTTCTTCCTTAATACAATTCTTTGCTCCTTACTAAGAGCAAAACTTTTTAAAACGCAACCATGCAACTTTAAACAACACTGAAGAGTTCTTCGCAAGAGAAGGATAACTCTGAAGCAATTAGACATAAATCTAGAACTTCAGGTGTGAAAGAGTTGTAATTGCTTTAAAAATATAGGATTCAGAAAGTTAATGCCTACCTCTTGCCTGACAAAACATAGTGAAGGTTCATATGTCAGTCAACCACATAGAGTACATTAAGCTTCCCCACCAAAAAGTTATATGTTACCTAAAACCTGTCATTATTATTAATGAAAAACCTTGAAAATTTGCTAAAGATCTGATGGTCTAAGAGGCAGGAATGCACCAATGCCTGAGGGCAAGATTGTGCCTCTCTATCCTCAATGTCCAAGTCCCACTGTTTACTGTCCCATTGAATCACACAACTGGGACACAACCCAATTTCCAATAGCAGGGCATTGGTTACATAAATTATTTGATTACTTTTAATAGCATTATTATTTATATTAAAAAGATTTATATTCTGGAATACCCAGCAGCTGTTTTTAAAATGAGCTAATTCCCAATATACTGACATGGACTTCTGAGACTGGAAGATAATTATAACTTATTAAGTAAAAAAAAAAATGCCAGAACATGTAAAGTATGATTTTAATCTATAAAATGCATATATATATATATATATATACACACAAACAGATATTCATATCTGTAGATACTTCTTAAATATCTAGAAAGTTCCATTTCACACTGTTAAAAGAGACTATTGCTAGGAAGTGGTGGAGGAGCAGGGACTAGTGTACATTCTAAATCATAAAATCTGAGCTGTTTAATTCTAACACAGGCTACTTCCATTATAATGTTTTTTTTTTTTTAATGAAAGCATCTGAGCTCTTAATCATGGTAAACTCCTCACATTCCAACAAGGACACCAGGTTGCACACCTCGAGGGTGTAGGATGTACATTATACATCTTACGTCCCTCATGGTCCTTCACAGTGTACTATGTAAGATCTCCAGGAGGAAGGAGCCACACCTGCATGCACACTCCAGGGCTTTCTGAAGTGGGGCCCAGAGGTCTCCTCTGGGAGAGTGTGCGAGGGCACTGACAATATGTCTGTCAGGATACACGGAAGTTCTACCAATAGCAGTAGCCAAGGTCCAGAAATAACAGAATAAGAACTCCAGAATTAAATATTTTAATATTTATTTGTTAAATATTTGTTTGTTAAAATGCAACTCAATGTAGCTGTTAAAACAGTATGTTCTGCAGTCAGACTGTCTAAATTTGAATCCTGAATCCATCAGCTATTAGCTAGGGGACTTTGAGCAAATTAAATAATTTCTCTATGTTTCAATTCCATAGCCTATAAAATGTGGACAGAAATAATAGGGACATTGTGGAGTTTCAATGAGTTAGTATAGATGAAGTGTTTAGAACGGTGCCTGGACAATCATGTGTTCAATAAATGTCACTTTTTGCTAGTGTTCTTGTCTGGTAGGCAAGGTGTTATTATTGAAAATGGGTTCACTGATTATACTCACTTTATAAATGTCTCAAGAATAGCCACATTCACAGAGAAACACACACACTAGCCCTCAAGGTCTAGCTTACCGTCCTCTAGAGCAAAATGTACATATCTGTAGATACACAGGAATTATACCAGCAGTTACACACCAAACAGTTGTATGGGCAGAGATATCAGAAGGGAAAGATTTTTCACCAACAGCAATCAGATTATTTCTATTTTGACCAGAGTTATTTCCAATTTGACCTCACATCAGGAAAATCTTATTTTTAATGGGCAAAATTTTGAACTTTATATTTAAAACTCTTGAACTTTATATTAAAATTATTTACCTTTAAAAATTATATTAGAACATAATTTTTTAAACCCTTGGTGTCCTCTAAATAATGATTGCATATTAACAGTTGAAATATGAATCATTAACAAAAATGTGTTTCATGTATATATTTTCAGGAATACATTAATTATATGAAACAAGTAATTTATCATCACTGTCTATGACCTTCACTGAGGGCCATTTTTAATTAGTGTTTGTACTTAGTAGACATTGACACCATAACAGTTATAAAGATTTTATATTCCAATACATCCCAGTGAACTTAAGAGGTTTCCTAACTTACAGGCTTGTAACTACATACTGTTTTGCTAGGAGGACTGAAAACAGTTTGGTGCCAATAAACCAGCAAAGGTCGAGAGTGCAGTGAAGACTGCACAAGCTGTTAAGGCCCAGTTCACTTTATGATTTGAGGTCATCAGTTAATCTACAAGTAGTATCGTGTACATCTGTGTGTGTGCGTATGTTCTGATCTGTACTCCACCTGAAAACACAATATAGTGTGTGTTTGTTTTTACTTCCCTAACACAAAACCATTCTCTGCATGGACCACAAAATACGTCTCTTAACAAAAATTAAAGATAATGAAGATATTGGAAAGGTTGCAGATTATAAAATTTTCTTTTTCAAATGTTTTAAATGCTCATCTGAGATTAACTCTATAATGAATGGAGTTAAACCCTAGAAAAATCTTCATTAGTCAGATTCAGATAAGATTTATAATCTGATACGTGCCAGCCACAAGGAAAATGTGCATCACCACTATTCATAATAGTGAATACATGGAATCTACCCAAATGTCCATCAGTGATAAACTGGATAAAGAAAATGTGGTACATATATACCATGGAATACTATGCAGCCATAAAAGGAATGAGATCATGTCCTTTGCAGGAACATGGATGGAGCTGGAAGCCATTATCCTCAGCAAACTAACGCAGAAACAGAAAACCAAACACAGCATGTTCTCACTTGTAAGTGGGAACTGAACAATGAGAACACATTGGCACAGGGAAGGGAACAACACACATTGGGACCTGTCAGTGGGGGTGGGGGGAAGGAGATCATCAAGATAAATAGCTAATGCATCCTGGGCTTAATACTTAGGTGATGGGTTGATAGATGCAGCAAACCACCATGGCACACATTTACCTACGCAATAAAGCTGCACATCCTGCACATGTATCCAAGAACTTAAAATTACATTAAATTAAAAAGAATATGTGCTTCACATACAACAGACAAGAATATAAACTATTGTTGCACCTTAATATTTCTTTCCATATTATCATAATTTTTAGTATATAAATTTCTGGCCACATTTTGATGATGTAATCAAAATACCACAGAAATCTGAATTCCCATACATCTTGCTAGTTTTCACTTTTGCATTTCTTTCTGCGTAACACCAGCTAAAAGGCAGCTCTTCCACTATTCAGTTTCCCTAAGGAAAAATAATATGATCAATTTGAAAATTGGTAACAGTACATGTGAAGATGTACAGTGGTTTAGTTAAAGTTATAAGCTGCTGTTCCAAATTAAAACTTCATTTTTAGCCCTTTATATCTCAGTGAAATTCTCTTATTAAGTGAAACTTTGCATTAAGTAGAGTAGGAAAAAGAGAATTCACTTCCTTTATATGTTAACTTTCTGAAAATCTCAACATAATTCCATTGGGAAACTACTATGGTGGTTTAGAAGAGAAATAAACCAAAATCAACTTTATGTTAAAAAAAAAAAAAACAGTCCAAGGGGAAAATAATTTGCTGTGTTTACAATTTTTTTCTAAGCCCTAAAAATAACAGAAGGAAATCTTATAGTATACAGAATAACATAGAATGAGTAGACTGGATTTTGAATAAAAATATAATTTCAACCAAAAAACACGATGATGTCTTTAAAACAAAGCTAAAGAGCTATAAATATCAGAAGTAGCTATAACACATAAAAATATGGATTCATTACTCATTTGCCCCTTCAGCCATTCTAACTTCACTCTTATTAAGCAATAATTAATACTACTTAAAGCCACTATCTTGGCATACACACAAAAAGGATATGCTATGTGCAAAATCCTCATTTGAAGAAGGATCAAGATCATCCCTTTCGTCAGCTTGTGGTGATTTTAAAACTATGGCATAGCATACAATTTCCAGATGATCTTGTTGGGAACAGTCTACATATTTGAAAATTAGCCTACAAAATAATTAAATTACTTGCCCCAAAATGTGTGCTACTTATATCTGCTCAAAGGTAAATAAACCCAAGCATGTTGATCTAGATGGCAGCATCGTGACTGAAAATTTTCCCTGTCATGGATGAGGTAGAGCAGGTTAAAAAGAAATGACAGAGCTTGACTGTGTCCATTAAAAATTAAGGAAATAATTATGAGACAAATAAAATAGTATCCCATGCAGTACTAGCTACTTGGTAAAATGATTACCCTTAAGAGATAGTACAAGATGAAAATATAAACTCTCAATTAGAGTTTACATAAATCACAGGTAATACCTCCACAGTAAGTTGAGAAAAATTAGCGAGAAGAATACAAACACCTTTTGAAGTCAATTTCAAGGAGCAAAATTATCAGACTGTCCAGTCAACCATTCACACCTGTCTGAGAACACTTCTTAGATGGACTTTTACCCTCAGTCAAAATACAATTCTTATGTCCTCGTGTCTTAACCAAGCCAGTTCCCACTGTATACTCCATTCTAAACACTGGACAGTACACATACTTGTGCGTGCACACACACACACATACACACACACACGAGCCACAAATTGCAAAGCAAAGAAGGCCATAAATTACAAAGCAAAGAAGGGATTAGATTGCTGTATCATTTGAAGGTAATTCTAAAATATCTCCCAGTGAAATTATATCCCTGTCTAAATTGGAGAACTTTAAAAAAAAAGAGTGCATGTTAAGATCTCCAGGTAAAAATTACTAAGCAAATGGTATCTCAGTGTCTTGATTGTAAATTAAAAAGTTATATAATACAGCAATATTAATTGATATGCTCTTTTTTGAGCATCTCATTTCAAGACAGACCATCAAATCAGAGCGGTTTCAAAGAAAAGCAAATGTCATCATCAACAGAAAGTCAGAGGCTCAGCACTCTTCACCTGGACTTGTCTGTGGTCCAGGAGAGGAGGTGAGCCAAGAACAGGCAGAATATTATTCACCTGAAGGACATCAAGTTGGAAAAGACAGCATGGAGAAGAACGGAAGTTAACCTGGCTTCAAAGCCTGATGCCCAAAATGTTCAAAACATTCAGGTGCCAAAATGTCTTAGGAAATGGTGCTTAAGATGTAGACTGGCCATGGGGATTTTAGGTCTCAGACTCCAGCCAAGCTGTGTTGGTTGTGAATTTTCTTTCATAGCACACGTACAGGCCAGTACTATAGGAATTTGTAACAGAATCCACTTCCAGAAATGCTGCTCTGTTTTCCCTGAATGTTTTCTGCACCGTTTGCCACTCCCTCCTTATTTGCCTTCCCTGCAAATGCTGTTGTTCTTCAGTTCCATGGTTTCAGCTATGAATTCATGTGGGATTCGTTTCCAAACTTTTGTCTTTACCTTTGAACACTATTTTGAATTCTAGACCCTTAAAACAACTTCAGATTTCACATCTTCCAAACTGAACCAATTGGATGTGTTCCTTGTATTCATTAGGTTATGATTTTAACTGATATAACAGAGAACCTAATAGCATTTGCTTGAACAAGATAGGATTTTTTTTTTAATCTCTCAAATAACAGTGTGGACATGAAAAGCAGTCCAGGGCTGACATGGTGGTTTCACGGTGTCAGTAGCCCAGTCTCCTTCAGTCTTCATTGTCTCTTGGTATCATGTCCTCTTCTCAATTTCCATGGCCACTGCCTTGGTTCAGGACTTCATCTTCTTATTTGAAGTATTGTCGTGCCCTTCTTCCTGGGGCCACTGCTGCTGGCAGTGTCCTCACTACTGCCAGAAACTGATGTGATCTGTTTGTTCCAGAAGACTCTAAATTCATTGCCATGATAGTCCAGGCCCTTATAATTATGGCCTGGGTTTAACCGTTTCATCTCCATTTCTAGCCACTCCTAACACTAGGTCACCCTTTTACAAATACTTTACAAGCTTTCATTCCCTCGTGATTTTGCTGGGACTGTACTTTCCTCCTCACCCCTATTTTATCCTTTTTCTGGCTCATTATTATTCAAGCCTATGTCAAGTATTATCTCATTTGCTGAATGTTATCTCCTCTATGGACTCTTCCAACTTCTCTCCACCAAACTGAATTCAGTAAATGTTTAATGAGCATAATTCAAGGTAAGGAATAGAGATATTGAGATAAATAAAAGTGCTTCTGCTCTAAGAGGTTAAATATTTAGCAGAGGAGATGGAAACTTTACTCATTATAATATCTTATCAACAGGATAACTGCAATATGAACAGAATGATATGGGGTAAGTTAATCTTGCCTGCAGGCAAAATCAGCTGTTACCTCTATGTACAATAGCACTTTGTTGACTTAGCACTTGTATGTTCAATAAATCTGTGTCTCTCTTTCTCATAAAATTATGAGTTTAGTGAGAACAGAACCCACGGTCCCCACACCACTATTTTATCCAATGCCAAAAGAAGAAAGAAAAGAATTTTATTTTGGTATTCATTTCTAAAGTCCATACAAGTATAGAAAAAAAAATCAAATTTTAAATAACGATTTTGCAGGGTAAAATTTTCAAAATCAGATTAAAATAATAACTATCTTTATCTAATCATATCATGAAGGGAAAAACTTACATGTTAATTAAATCCACATGGAAAAGGTTACTTTATTGAAGTGTTGAAAAAGAGAATGATTTACTTTCTATAGGAAAAAAACTCATGAAAAATAGTGAGCATGTTAAGAATATTAAACCATTAAGGCATAAAAACTGACTTGACTTTAATAATATTTCATTGTGGTAACATGAAATACAATAAAATTCAATGTTTTAAGCGATATACACATCTGAAAGAAAAATGTTTAAGTAACAAAGAAATCGAAATGTAATTTTGCACCAATCACAATTAAAATTAATATACTCTGAAATTCAAATTGAATGGCTAATCGACTTAACATTTAGATCAGTTGTGACCTCCAGTTATTAGAGTTGCTAATTTATTTATAGAGAAAACATACTCTTATTCACTGATTTAGAAAGAAAATATTCATTTGGGATGGCATTAATTTCCTCATTTTGCAAGGAAAAGAAAGTGATTCTGAGAGAGGTTGAGCAAGTTTCTGTATTTCACATGGTCAACTGGGAAATCAGAAATAGGACTCCAGCCTATTTGGATGAGATAAGAAGTATTAAGAGCTTTGTAAACTGTAAAGTGCTCTAAAAATGTAGGCATGGTACATGCTCAATTAGAACACTATGTGTTCCAGTACACCACCACTGCATTCCGTTAGAAAAGGCTCTTTTTCCCATAGCAGGATTCTGCCATTAAGATTAATGTTTATTATTATCATGCAAGAAGGAAAAACAAAAGGCATTTCTTGAACCAGAGAAAATATATTATTCTTTATTTCTCTAATGTGATGTCTCCATCATCTGCCTGTGACCGCTGTTGGGAGCTCTTTATTTGTCCTGTTGCCACTCTGAATAGTTTGATTGATTTCTTCTCTATCTGTCTTCCACAAATGTATAGCCAAGATTCTTTACCTTCATGTCTAACATTTAACAGGGAGGTATTTCCATTTTTCAGGGGAATGGAACTCAGTGCCCTGCAGGATCCGGTCAAGCATCTTTCAATGGATCTTTTCCTGAAGAAAGATCTTGACTACCATTTTGTTGCATTTGAATATCTTAGCCCCCAAACACACTTTCAGCTTCCTTGTTTGCACCTGAGATGGAGGCAGAACTAAGCTAACAATTTTAGATCATTTGGGTACCCAGGTACGTGGTTGTGGATCTGAAGGAAATTGTGTTATTGCTACTTTTTTATTATAAGGAAGATGCCGTAAGTGCCACTGGATTTTACACTAAACTTTTTAAGTCAATTTCAACAGGACAAATGTGCACATCTGTAATAATGCAATGCAATGATTTCCTTAGTGAACACTCAAATGATCAAAAGCACTTGTGCTGTAAAATATGTTTCCAGGCACCACGCTTGAGGTTTAAGAGCAACCAGGATGCTTTAGCATGACACTACTTTCATTCCAATTTGTTTTCATGGTTTTGAAATGTGTATAACAGGCCACAACTTCATGGTGGACTCAATTCAGCCTTAGAAGGTTGCTCACATATTCACAGTAACTCCAACAGTAGTGGGGTTCTTCTACAGACTGAGTTTGTTCAGGCAGTTTCAAATTCCAGCCCTCCCACTTTAGCTCTTCACTATTTCATGCTTAAGAGTATTTCCTATTTACTACTCCTGAGAAAAAAGGAATTATGGCAATTGAAGGACTTCTCAATAGACATTTCTATATATTGCCAATTAAATCCAACAATACTTACGAAGTATAAACAGATCTGACTTTAGATTATACAATGGCAGAGACAGACCTTGATGACAAAGTCTAAGCGAGTTTTCAACAAAAGGCATCCACCCTTCACTGGAACCATCCACAGCACCGCAGCCAGTGGTCAGAAACCACGGTCTCTCCGAACTTCTCCATTCAGTTCCTCTGCAGTTGAGCATCAGCACACAACACAGCGCAAAAACAACTGTCTATGGGAGAAATGTCCAAAAAACTGGAAACCGCACACATATGGGCGAGATGCAAAACTGTTGCTTAGTCATAACATCCATGTGGCCTAAACTGTTCAGTCTGACCTGTTTCCCTAAGTGGGATGCAGAGTTAGCCCAGTCCCAAGTAAGATTTTTCCCTTAAAAATTTACCTAACTTCCAACGCTCTTGCTATTTTTTGTCTTTACACCACTAGGTTTCTCCATTGTGGGAATGTAATTTTCCATGATCTAATTATTAAGCAGGACCATCCCTCTAATTTCGGCATCCTTTTGGTCCCTTGAGCCAGGCAGTCACCAGGGAGAAACAAAGTTCTTAAGCTCTATCGAGTCACAGCCCCTTTGAGAATCTCAAAGTCTGGGTCCTCTAATCGGGAAAGTCCACACACACACACAGCCTAGGCATGACAGGATAGCACAGCATGGATCCTAGAGGGCCATGCCTGGACAGCCAGTAGAGGAATCCATGGAAATGGAAAGATCTGAAGTCAACACCCCCAGATTCCAATTTTGGCTTTATCCTCGACTAACTATGAAACCTTAAAAAAATCAATTAGAATTCTTTGAGCCGGTTTCTTCATTTACAAAACGGCGATAATAATTCCTGCTGCAGCCACCCCTCTGGATTCTACTCATAAAAATTATTATGTATATCAAAATTTTGTAATTATATTTCCCCATGCTTGTTAAAGTATGACTTTTCATTAGAAACTTTTGCGTTATCTTTGATTCCTTGTTTTGCTTTGTCCACTAAAATCTGTTAGATGTTCCTTCACGGAATCTCTCATCAGTTCTCTGTCTCACTCACCTTGCTAAGGTCCTCATGTCTGAATTTCAGTCTCCACTTCCTTGGGGATCTCCTACTTCCAACCTGTTTATGTATATATGTGTGTGTGTGTGTATAGTTATAATTATAGTTATATATAGTTTATATATAGTTATATGTGGAAATGTATATGTGTCTGTATTTTTTGTATATGTAGACCTACAAAATTTGTATATGTGAATATAATATATAGTCACTATTTCCCTGACTTGGCTATATTTCTATGAGACAGCCATATTTCCAACAATAATATGTTGTTTGATCTAAACAATGTTCTCTCCACTGTCATTTGCCCAACTGTCAAAAAGTAAGCTAAGATAGAAAGTTTAGAGTGCATATATAGGAAGTGTTTGTTAATGGGGGTAGGGAGCAAATGGGCATCAATGGTTAGTGAAAAGGTTTTCATTAAGAAAATTTTATCTCACCCAACACAAGGTTATTAAAACAGCGATATTAAGAGAATGTTAAATCAAATAGAAATTGTATCCTGCTGCCTTTCACTGGAGTTCATAGACTACTGACTCGTACCCAGTCTTCCCCTCCTGGTACCCTGGGAAACACAAGATTGCCCAGCTTAGAGACAATCTCAGAAACATTGTACAACATTAAAGAGTAAATCATGAGTGACTGAAATACTTAAAAGCACAGTATATTATAACATGTCGTACCAGTACCAGTGGTCAAGATGCTGAATTATAATATTCCTTAAAACCATTATATTTGTAAACATAACCTGTTCTTTGATGAATGATCTAAGATTACTCACATAAAATGCTAAGGCATGGTATTCAGGACATGATGAAGCCTGCGACCTGCACGTGGATGTGGTGCTCACATGGTGGCTTCCTGTCCTGCACTGCGGGAGCCCCCTCTTTACACAATTATTCTCTCCTGCCTCAGCAGCAAGCACTGGCTGAAACACTGACCACATTCTCCTTGCAAAAAAAAAAAAAAAAAAAAAAAAGCGGTTACTTCTAGATTCTGTCTTCCTCCTGACAGTAAACTCTTAATAAAAATGTACTTGGCTTGTTCTTTCTCAAAACTTCACAATGTAATTTAAACTATAAAATAATCTCAAGCAGGTAATATCTTAAAACAGAAAAATACACATCTGATGGAAAGTAAATTTCAAAACTTCTCTCTTCTGAACTAGCAGAGTATATCATTTTTTAGTATAGACCTTCATACAGAGCTTGCCTAGAACTACAAGATTAAAGTAAATAATAAGATGTATTTAACTAAAATTTAATAACATTGTGTGGCAATTACTTTCTCATTTAGCTAACTTAAAAACTCACCGTTAAAAGCAGGAATTGTCCCAGAGTTGAGGGAAAAACACAGAGAAAGGAAATAATCCAAAAAGGTTTGTACTGTTATCTATTACCACATAATAAATTACCCCAAAACTTAGCTTCTTAAAATGGCAGTAAGCATTTATCATTTCACACAATTTCTGTGGGTCAAGAATTATTTGGGAGCAGCTTAGTGGAGTGGTTCTGGCCCAGGGTCTCTCATGAGTTTGCTGTTAAGATGTTGGCCTGGGCTCAGCCATCTGAAGGCTGACCTGGGTTGACTCACCCACTTTCGAGACGGCCCACTCTCATGGATGGCAAATTGGTCCTGGGTGTTGGCAGCAGGTCTCAGTTCCTTGCCATATGGGAGCTCCCTGGGGCTCCTCTAGTGTCCCCACCTGATGGCAGCTGGCTTTCCCCAGAGCAAGTGATCCAACAGAGAGCACTGACACATGAAAACACCACTGTCTTTTATGACCTAGTCCCAGAAGTCACACTTTGTCCCTTCTGCAATACCACACTGGTTACACAGGTCAGCTCTATTCACTGACAGAGGGAACAACAAGGGCATGAACCCCAAGAGGCAAGGATGACAGGAGCCATCTTGAAGGCTGGCGACCACAGATCCACACCTAACTCCAAACCACCAAATTACTCGGAGTGTGTGTCGGGTAAGATGGAGTAGAGGGCAAAAAAACAGATTCTTTGGACTGAGAGAGATCTAGTTTCAAGAACTAAGTCTACAGATCACCAAGGAAGTGATCAAGGATACATGATCTAACCTCTCTGAACTTCAGTCTTCTCATTTTTAAAATGGGGGTGACAGTGCCATGGCAGACCCAGTTGGGGTCACTGCTATCCATCTTCTCTCTCGCAATTCCCAGCCTGCCCACGGTGCGGTGAGCCCATGTGACTAGACCCCGGACGATGGACTAAGAGGGAAGAGGACGTGCCTAAGTTCCGGGCTGAGGCCTTAAGAACCCATGCACTCTTCTCCTGTTACTTTTCCCTGCGGCAACAAGCAAGGAGTCCTCATTCCAGGGAGTGTGACCGCATCGTGGTGCTAATTCCCTTCCCTTGGCCTCGACTGCCAAGGAACCACAGGAGGAACTGGCTTGGGAAGTCCCCTGGCATCAGAGTAAACTTTGTGTGAGCGAAAAATAAACCTTTATATTACTAGGCCACTGAGATTCGGGGTCTATTTGTTAACAAAGTATAATCTAGCCTATTTTAATTCACGTACATAAAATAATACTTATTTTGATAATTAAATGAGAAAATACATCTTAACTTCCTACACAGTACCTACATGATAGGGGTTTTAATATGTCAGTTTCTGTTCACCTTGTCTGAGCTTGTTTTCTCATTAGCAAAAAAATCGAAATAATATTCAACTCACAGAATTGCTTTCAAAATTAAAGGGAATGAAATACATTAAAAATCTTAACAGCCAGTAAGGAGTTAATAAATATTTAAGTTTCTTCTCCTTCTTTCCCTGGAATTATGACCACGGGGGGTTCAGAAGGTCTTTTTCCCCTCATCGGACCTTCTCCTCCTCTATATTCAAAGCTCCAGAGTCCCTGAGAAGCTAACATACTGAGTTTATTTGATAATTCCTGTGAAAATATCACATTGCCTACTTAAGACATTGAATGCAGCTGCATGACAGAAATGATAATAGCTTAAAAGATTTACCAATCCTGACAATAATGCCATGATTTCATTTCAGAATTACTCTAAATTAGTCATTATTTTCTTACATATAAAGAAAATGCAATTCCCCTTCTTTTGTAATGTTGATATTAAAGGCCCATAAATGCCACCTTATTCTATCAGGTCTTTTGTCCCATGAAAGGAACTATGTAAGATGTGTCCTGACTTGTGTCATCTCTAAATTTAATAGCATATAAAGCTGAAGTATAATGGATCCTTTGGACCTAAATAAACATGAATAATAATAATTTTTTAAAGCGAATCCAGCCATCCTGTGCCAAGTCATTACACTGTTTCACAGGACTTGCTCCAGAGAGATTTCATCATGAGTATATTATAACCTCTCAGTCAACAGATTAGTAAAACTTGTCTACTTCCTCACTGAAAAACTAATCATGTGTCTTTTCCATGCAAAACTGGAATCATTGGCCCATTTACATGCCCAAGTCACAGCCTAACACTAGAACACTGGCTGATGTCCTTTGAATGTGGTTTTTCAGCCACATGGAAGCTCCTGACACTTTTTGGTGTTCTGTCACTGTCCTTCATTGAAGGGCTCCCAGCAATGACCAATATGCCCACTGCAGCACAGAAAAAGTGGAACAGCATGCATTCTGCTGCTCTCCCTCTCCTCAACAAAAGTAAGACAATAAATTGCCCAGATCCATTCTGCTTTCCTCTGTGGTAGCCAAAGATATGGGGGAATGAGATGTGCTGTGGGAATACAGGTGTGGTGTCTCAAACTAATTGCCATGTGACAGACCAGCTTTGCCTCCTGTGTGCTCCTTATGCTGTGCAATCAATGTCTGTTCGATGCTGAGTCATGGTGACACAGGATCTGGCTGCAGACATTATCCAAAGGGATGTTACAATGTCGCACTTTCTCCCTACCCTAAGGCCACCTGCTCCTTACCTGTTCAAGGTTATCCATTGCTGCCTTAGAGTCTGGGTGTGTTTAAAGACCTCACACAAGACCTCATCAACTGGTGTGCCTCCCTTAATACACCCATGTAAAACTCGACTCACAAATAGCATTTGTGAATATAAAAATATACATGAACAGAAAAATAATGCATAGGAATATATAATTTATGTTACATTTAAATAGTACATTGTGTTGTATATAAGGTGATACATTTCTTGGAACAAGAAAGTCCTTACATATAAAGCATTACTGCTTGTTGCTTCTTTGTCTCAGGTTTTATGATTTTAATGCTGAGCGACAAAGCTAAAACTACGAATTCAAAGTCCACAATTTGGTCTGCCTCAGAATTACCCAGCATTGAATTCTTTAACTATCAAATAGAATAAATCTTTTTTTTTTTTGAGACAAGGTCTTGCTTTGTTGCCTAAGCTGGAGTGCAGTGTTGCAACCACAACTCACTGCACCCTCAACTACCCAGGCTCAAATAATGCTCCTACCTCAGCCTCCTGAGTAGCTGGAATGACAGGCATATGCCACCATGCCCAGCTAATTTTTTAAATTTTTTGTAGAGACAGGGTTTCACTATGTTGCTAAGGCTGCTCTTGAACTCCTGGCCTCAAGTGATCCCTGCCTTGGCCTCCCAAAGTGCTGGGATTACAATTGTGGGCCACCATGCCTGGCATCAAAGAACAATTCTATTGACACATTAAAAAATGAAAAGAACTATACATTATTATATTTTTATTTTTTAAATTTTTAGTGATTATGGGTACATAATAGATACATACATATATTTATGGGGTACATGTGATGTTTTGATACAAATATTTTTGTTTGTTTGTTATGAGATGGGGTCTCACTATGTTGCCAGGTTGGTCTTGATCCTCCCACCTCGGCCTCCTGAGTAGCTGGGATTATATGCATACACCACCACACCTGGCCATGATTATATTTTAAAGTAAATGATAACAATCACAGGGCAGAAGTTATCAAAGACAAAGGTTAATTTTGATAAAATCATTATGTGTCAGACAACTGGATTATTTTATTTAACTAAGTGAGATAAAAAATGGGTTTGCCAATGTGCATCCTGTTATTCTTATAATACCGACTAGATTTGTCAAAATAATAATGAAGTACAGACACACAAATGCACCCATCTTAAACATTTTGTGTTTCTTCTTAAATTGAACAAGAATGTATTGAGTACTGTTTGTTAGGAGAGAAACCCTGCCTCTAATGACCTTAAGGCCTTAAGGAAATAACACACATAGTTCACATACATGAACTATCCCTATTTTTTATCCTCATACCTTCTTCCGCATACCAAAAAAAAAAAAAACCAACAGAAAAATTGTTCAAATCCTAATAATTCTAACTTAGAAATGTCTTGCATTCAAGATCTCTCCACTTCTAGTGCAACTACACTATTCCTATTGTCCTCATGTATCCCATGAACTATTGCAATAATTTCTGGCCACGTGTTATTTCATATTCCAGGTATATTCCTGAAACAAACAATTAGGTCTTACCGACTTAAGGCCTCAGTCTTATTTAAAACCCTGTTGACTATACAATAAAAACAAAATTTATAACCTGATACAAAATGTTCTTCATGGGCTCCTCTTGCCTGTCTTTAAATCGAATCACCAACTCTGTACATTCTACCCTGTTTCCAGGATGCCCCTCCCCATGCCATCTTCTCACTGGTTCCAAGTCACAACAGGTTATTTCACAGGATGGGGTGCTGGGTTTGAGGGTTTTTTTATTCTTTTTTACTCATTATCTCTCTCTCTCCTCTGCCTAAAATAGCCTTATTCCCTTCTTAGCCAGCAAACTTCTATTCATCCTAGAAAATCCAGTCTAAATGTCCCTTCTCCAGTGAAACCTCCATCAGACTACTTTTTCTGGATCTCAGAAGCAATTCATTTCATTGTTATAGCTCTTGTCACGTTGCATTATAATGTCAATATTGTATCTGTTTCCAGAGCTGTATGATGAGCTCCACATGGACAGAGATTTGCTCTTATTTTTATACCCTTAGCACTAAGCACAATTCTTGGCACATAGAAGATCGATGTGCCAAGAATATTAAATAAGATGCTTACTTAATATGAATAAATGAATAACAAAGTAAATGCTTTACAAGTTTACAGAAAGGAGAATTCAGTGTGTTATGGAGTAATTAGGAATTGCTACACTAACATATATGTAAAATATATGTAAATAAAATGTACATAACAAGCTTTAAACAAAGAATAATCAAACTTCAACCCTGTTTAATTTCAGACTTTCTTTAAAAAGGATATACTTATACTATCACACATTCTCTTTAATATGCCTTAAGTATGTAGTTGGAAGATGCTTAGGTTCAAGATTCCCTGAAGTTCTTGGGATCAGATAAGTAGGAAGATGTTCTTCTATCTGGATCATCGTCTACTTTTCTTTATTGATATTAATTTGTAACAATCATATTTGTAGTATTTTAACCAATGAATCCATTTTAATGCTATAATTTAGTCTTTTCACTTACTAAGAAGTATTTCTCTCTACTTCATTCAAAAATAGTAATGTATTAGTCTAGGATAAAACCTGCCCAACATCTAACCCCAAAATTCCTACATAGCACGTAGGTAGGGGTTGTCAGATTTAGAAAAAATAAGAAACCTACAGGATGCTCAGTTAAATTTTAATTTCAGGTAAATAATGAATAAATATAAAAGTCCCTTGCAACATCTGAGGCCTATTTATACTAACAGAAATCTAGTTATTCATCCGAAATTCAAATTTAAATGGCTGTCCTTTATCTGGCAACTCTACAAAGCAGCAGACGAGAAGACTAGCGATGAAGACATGCCAGGAAAGTCTTGGTTGACGTATGCCACTAGAAAGGCTAGCTTTCCTGGTTCCCCAGAGAAAATCTAAGGGCGTCAACCATCCCCTATCCTCTATATTCTTAAAGAGACCCATGTTTACCCATGTGCTGTGGCATTAGGACTTCCAACAGGAAACTCATTTTGGTAAAGGAACAATCTAAGATCATGTCTCAGAATAGTTTTTTTTTTATAAAGGAGCATACAGATGATGTTCTCTACAGAACTAGTCTCAGGACTTTTTCCTACCACTGTCAGGAAAAACAAGAAAATGTATCGTCATTGTAGTCTGCCCAGCAATGCTGGTATTCCAATGTATCACAAAATTTAAGTCCACGAGCCCTTTCTACAACGCAGGGGCTACTGTGAAGCTTTATATGCATTACTACTATAAATCTTCATAACATTCCTACAAGATATATGGCATTCTTTCTACTGTAAAAATAGGGAAACTAAGGCTGAAAATAATAATTTACCCAAGGCTACACCATGAGTAGGAAGGGAGGTGAAACTCAAACACAGCTCTTAAGACCTTAGAACTACTTAAATATTTATCAGTGATGTTATATATTGACTTTTCGTACCCAGGTCCTACTAAAGAACCAAAAATGTAAAGGTACTCAAAAGAGCTGTCATACAGGTGGATGGTCTCAGGACAGATAAGTTCCTAAGCAAGAATACAGGCTTGCGTGTTTGTGTGTGTGGTCACATGGCGCTTCCTCTGAAAATTCTTCTCTAAAATCAAAGAGCTTTACAAAATCCAAGCCTTCACTATTCCACTCAATTTTTTCAGTATATTTGAAATTTTCTACATGGTAAATTACCTTCCTGTGAAGCTAGCACATTTCTGAAAGTGCCTAACTTTTAACTATAAACACTGTAAGGTAAATATGTAAGGTACATGTAAAAACAAGTCTGCTCATCCCTTCTCTGTTTCCCCAGGTTGCAGAAAATGAAATGACCATAATAACTCCAAGACAGAGCAGAAGGTTCATCTGAGTCATACCAAATAACTTCATTGCTGCTAAAGTAAAATTTGAAAATGATTGAAGTGATTTTTATGATCAGCCTTTTGGAAGTCATTCAAAAGTGCTGCAATGCTACTTCAAAGAAGATAATTCAAATTTAAATGTCACTCTTCAGTGTTGTTTATCAACAGCTGAGTATTAAAATTGGTGAGCTTGATTTGTGTTATTTCACTTCACCAGCTTATAATTTAAACACTCTTATACTTATTATTTGAATAAATGGAATAAACACAAGTCAAACTTTGGTAGTGAGGTGCTCATCTTCAGAGGAGTTCAATTAGATTGGAAAAACATTTTGTAGAGATCTTGTAGAACAACAGCTCTCTACCTTGAATGCACACTGGAATCACCTATGGGGTTCTAAAAAAATATCAATGCTTAGGTCTCACCCCTGGAAATTCTCATATAATTGGGCTGAGGTGGGACCTGAGCACTGAGATTTTTAAAACTTGCCAACTCATTCTAATATACAGCAAAAGTTGAGAACAACTGCTACAGAAGGAACTCAAGCATTGGATGGAAAGCTGGAATAATGACATTTCAGGATCCTTTCAACTCTGAAAGTCTATGTCTAATTGTACATGTGACCCTACTATGACATCGTACTAAAGCAGACCTGAAATGTCTTTGGATATACAAATTAGGAATACATCGTTACAGTCATTCTTTCTAGATGTAGTTTCAAAGTACAAAGAAGATGCTGCTATTATTTACACTTCTCTTTCAAGTTCTGATTATCTATTGAAGAGACCTTAAAATAAACAATTTAATCAATTCAATTATTAAAAATATACTGAGCATCTACTGTCAGCAAAACACAGTACCCACAAAAATGTGGGTACTGAACATTTATTAATGAGTAAGCCAGAGTCAGATTTTTTTGGAACTTACAATTCAATGGGCACAAATGGTTGTACTACAAAAGTAAGGGGAGTATGTTTGCAGTCTAAGTGCATGATGGTTCATTTAAGTGATTATGTTCAGCTGTGAAGTAGAAAGGCTGGCAGAAGTATTCTTTTTATCACTGCAAAAGTCCATACCTTATTCACTTTATTGAAGAATAATAAATGTAAAAGTAAATTTTAAAGTTTCAGGTGATATTTCACATATTTTTTAATACATATCTTACATATTTTATATATATATATATATATATATATATATATATATATATATATATATATATATGTCAGTAAGCAGACGTGTCAGATTCTTTAGCCTTACTAAACATTCACCAAAAGGAATTACGTTATACAAAACCAAATCAATTTCTTCTGGTGGTTTTTCAATTAAGGGCTAAAGTAAATTTTTAAGTGATTCAAGAGATATAGGTAGTTTATGCAATTTTAACTAAATTTCCAGTAACCTGAAACAATTTCATTAAAATACAGGCTTGCTAGTGAATTATGCTGATTCTGCAAGATAAAGAATATGTGAGATGTGAGAGAATTTTGATTAATAAATACACATTTGCTAAATTCTGCTTTGGTTGACTAAACTTTTTGTTTGTTTGAACTAAACAAAACAGAGTTCAAAAAGGCAGAGTAATGTAACACAACTAGTTAAAGGGAGACTTTAGAAAAATGAGCCATAACATCTGGCCAATCATTTCAGCTCACTGTACCCAAATGGAACTGGAAACACACAGTGATAGGAAAGGTCACTCATGCTGGTAAAAAGTAATACCTCTGCTGCCACAGTTACACCCCACAAATGAAATCTACATCCATATTGTCTTAATCTTCACTACTAGGCAGGATCGATCCAGGGGCAGGTGCTCAGCTAGAGCCAAGATTAAGTATTTTGTGCTCCTGTATCCTGATTTCTAGCACAGTGTACAAGACACAGCGGTGATCAAATCAGCCAGTATATAGTGTAATACAAATAATAAAATGTTTTAACTGAAAGCATAAGACTTTGTAGTAAATTAATGACTGGAAATCAACTCTTTGACTCAATTTATCGTTATTTAATAACGTTGTAGAAGACTAGGCAAGGCTTTACAAATAAAAAATTTAAAATCATACATATAAAACCCACCTTCTGAGTGAAATAAAATAAATACTCGAAATTCAATAAATAAGACTGCTTATATGGGAGGCTACAATTTTAAATATAAACTTTAGTTCCTATTTTAGGTTATATCTTCCAAATTCCAGTAAGGAAAAATATTCATGAGAGTTTCTTTTCATGCAAGAAAAAACAATTCTAGTCTCAAGAGAACCCAAACCCAAATCAGCAATTAAAGTATCAATAAAAGCTATCTGCCTTGTTTGTTTTTCCAATCTTGTTCCTTAAAAAGATCAACAACAAATTTAAAACTGCACATGTAAAATCAAAAATCGTAACCAAAAGAATAGGATGTACTAATATATATTTTCTTTGAATGTATCTTCTTGAATTCAAACCTAATTGAAATGAAAAAACTGTTAATTTTGAAGCTGTAGTATCTAGAGTACATCTCCACATTGACATCGAAATTTTAAGGAATAAATCTGCTGGTTCTACTGTCAATAAAAATGCGTGGCTGGGCCTATTATTTCATTAACTATTGGAATCTGTAAGCACCCTTGATATGGTTTGGCTGTGTCCCTACCCAAATTTCACCTTGAATTGTAATAATCCGCATGTGTCAAGGGCAGAACCAGGTGGACATAATTGAATCTGGGGGCAGTTTTCCCCATACTGTTCTCATGGTAGTGAATAAGTCTCACGAGATCTGACGGTTTATACATGGCAGTTTCCCTACACAAGCTCTCTTGCCTGTCACCATGTAAGATGTGACTTTGCTCCACATTCACCTCTGCCATGATTATGAGGCCTCCCCAGCCATGTGGAACTGTGAGTCAATTAAACCTCTTTCCTTTATAAATTACCCAGTCTCAGATATGTCTTTATTAGCAGTATAAGAACAGACTAATACAACCCTGTTCTGTGCTCTTTTCCTTCCACTGTCTGCCTCTCCTCCATGCCCTCATTCATTCCCAGGTTTTCAATTAGCAGTCAGACACTGATGATGTCATCATGGCTTTTATAGCCCAGGCCTCCTTTGTGAGTAGTATACACAATGGTCTGGTCTACAGCTCTCTAAAAGACATTTCCTTTCACCCATTGCCTCTCCTGGAAAAAGAAAACCCTCGCTATAATTCTGTAACATTCTAAATAATAAAATATCCAAGGAAGTATGAAGTAACTTTAAATGAAGTTTAATTGCTGCTGGGATATTAAATATTCAATAGGAAATCAATTATTTAATTAGTTGATTGACATTTTGAATCAGGTCATCTTCACTTGCAAGTTTCTCTAAACCATATTCTCTGAGCACATTGGAATTCCATGTTTTCCAATGATATTCCCAAGAAAGGGAGAAGTTTGTTGTTTGCTGTCACTGGCACAAGCCCATGGGCACCAAGTGTGAGGAACAGCCCCAGTGACCTGAAGCCTGCAGTGAGAAATGCGCTTATTGGGCCCAACTTCTCTACCACCCAAGACAGGATGCTTATTGACGGAGCAGAGAGTTTCCTACAAGGTCCTTGAAAAAGGCAAATTCAAGCTAGTCTTCAAATATCTAGGTCACCTTTTTTTTTTTTCCTAAGAAAAAGAAGTGAATGACAGAGCACAAAGTAGTCAGGTAGGAATAAAGGAAAGGCTACAATTTGCATGAATATAAAAAATTGACAGGACAGGCTATTTATAGTGTTCAGGTGTGAGCAGAATCACCAATAGCAAAGCTAAGGCTTAAATACTTAGTTTGCTTTAATATGTGCTTTGTTCATTTATAACTAGAGTAAAAAGCATCAGAGAATGGGAATGACCATAAAATTCACCTCAAAGTTTTTGAGATATTTATTTTTAGGTGTAAATAATTAGGGAAGAGAATAGTAAAAATGAAGTGAAATACATACATTATAAAAGTCTAGAAAATATTTTAAAATATCCATTTTGGCATATACACATGACTAATATTAGAGTACATACAAGAAAAGCAGGTATCTTAATATTCTAGCACAGATAAAGGGCCAGGCGCAGTGGCTCACGCCTGTAATCCCAGCACTTTGGGAGGTTGAGGCAGGCAGATCACCTGAGGTTGGGAATTCAAGACCAGCCTGACCAACATGGAGAAACCCCATCTCTACTAAAAATACAAAATTAGCTGGGTGTGGTGGCACATGTCTATAATCCCAGCTACTCAGGAGGCTGAGGCAGGAGAATCACTTGAACCCAGGAGGCAGAGGTTGCAGTGAGCTGAAATCGTGCCATTGCATTCCAGCCTGGGCAACAAGGGCAAAACTCTGTCTCAACAACAACAAAAAAATTCTAGCACAGATAACTTGACAATTTTCTTTACAATTCAAGAACAATATAAGACTTCAGAACTGTCTGTCTATAGCCAGTCTCACTGTAGGCAAAACACAAACTGTTCTAGGCTTCTTTAGGTCCTAAAGGCTTGCAAATCAAGAACTCGTTAGGCCTACAAGGTACAAAAGAAGACTCAGTGACAGAACAAGGCTCTTACTAGGCCTCTAATATGTCTACCTTCAAGCTTAACTTGGATACTTTTAAAAAGCACAAGGATTTTTAGGGCAGTGAAGATACTCTGCATGATACTATAATGGTGAATACATTATATATTTGTCTAAACCCATGGAGCACACAACACCAGGAGTGAACCCTAATGTAAACTATGAACTCTGAGTGATGATGTGTCAGTGTAGACTCATCAGGTGTAACAAATGCACCACTCCGGTGTGGTATATTGGTAATGGAGAGGTGATGGATCTGTGGGGGCAAAGGGTATAAGGGAAATCTCTATGTCTTCCTTTCAGTTTCACTGTAAACCAAAAACTGCTCCAAAAATATAAAGTCTTTAAAAATTAAAAACTTCATTGATTTATAAGCCCTATGCTACTAGCTATAGGTAAAAGCTTTAAAATACTATACAAATAAAAATATTAATTTCAGCATAGATCATTTACCAGAGAACGAAGGAAAGAAACTAACATTGTTTCTGACAAGGAAATGGACAGGCAAGAATAAATAAATATCTACATTCTAGGTTTTACATTAAGTATGTTATATATATCTATATCTATCTATCTATCTATCTATCTATCTATCTATCTATATATATATATATCTTCTCTTTTAATCACTACATATTTAAAGGCGGTATTCTCCCTCTACTACCAAAAACAAAACAAAAAAACAAAAAGAATCCTGAGGCACAGAGAAATTACAGCTAGAATTTTCATCTTTAACTCCAAAGTTCATATAGTGCTGTCTTTATCAATAAAAAAAAGCAACAAAAATGATTTTTAAAACAGACGACTATCTAACAATAATTGCAAAGTAAGACAATGAAAACACAGAGGCATTTAGTGGCCTTTACACAGGGTTACATAAAACTGGCCCATCGATATCAACAGGATTGGGCACACTTTGACCAGTACAAGCCAAAAGAAGGTACGATCATCTGTCTAGGAGTTGTACCAAAAGCTCTGTCCAGCCTATGAAGGAGGACATAAAAGATTGAGCTTTTTCATTCATTCTGGAGGACACTGTCTATTAAAGGGAAATACCCAGGCAAATCGAAATTCCAATTTTTAAACACTGTATTATTTAACATTATAATAACATCATCAAAAATCTCTATAAAGTGGTTATTTGTACTGAAAGAGCTCTACTTTCAAGTTTGGGCTAGAGATATCTAAATTAAAGGCATTAGAAACATACCACTATTATTTTCAAGGAAATCAATATTACTCTAACTACATTCATTCAGCAAACCCACAAGGCATCAAGCAGTATGTCTTGACACTAAAAGTAAAGAAACAGCAAAGGTACATATGTTTTATTCTCTACATTTGATTTACCTGTACACTTAGGTAACATAGATATACACATACACACACACACACACATATTTATATATATGTGTATGTATATATATATATACCTTTATATATGGGTGTGTGTATATATATTTTTAAACTTTCAGTTTAAAGTATATATATATATACATACACACAAACACACATATACACATCCAATATGCAAAGAGAGAAAGAGAGATAGTTCAGTGGTCAAACATTTACTATGTTTCTGAATGTAACACGTGCATATAGATTAAGGCAAAAGAACACCTACATCCTAACAGGTTCATGTTAACAAGTCTACCTCTTCTAAAAGGCCAACTTTGTTTACTTATCTAACGAGTAAACAAGTTAGAAAGGTAAAGCAACTCATCTCACATAATTGTACTTTTCTCTGGCAATGTAACTGAAAAGAAAATATTTTTTGCTATCATAAAACAAAAGGTTTATCTTTTAAGAGAAAAACTGCCATATTCCTTAAGAAAATAAACCAAGAGCCTCCAAAGTTTTCACTGGAAAGCCAGCTAGGTCTCTGAAAGCCTTATTCAAGCCTCCAGAGACTCATCTTCCCCTTTAGATAGCTCACTAATGATGGCTTCAAAAGAGAGAATAGTGAGTGAGGCTCTGAGTTTAATACTCTCTGAATTTAACACTCTGGTTTAAGCAAAGGTAAATGTCCCTTTTCTTAATTTCTCAGAGCACAGCCAAGGCAAGGCTGAAATCTTAAATGCAAGATAACCAAATATTTAGATATAATACAAAGGAAGTAAACATAGAATGTCATGGAACTGACATTCCATGGAACTGACATTACATGGAATGTCATGAAACTGACATTCCATGGAACTGACATACATGGAACTGACATTCCAAGTAAACAGAATGTCATGGAACAGGCATATAGTTTACCTGTTTTCAGTTTAAAGTTCAGCACGAGTGCCTCCCTATTCAGCTCTAACCTGCCCCAAATGCCCAATTATATCTAGCAACTTAAATATCCAAACCCAAGAAATGTATGAAACAGAGCATGAAGTCCCTTTTGCTATCTAGTTAACTCCCAGTTTCAGGGTTCAAGTTCATGGCTGCAACTTTCCTCAGATGATTGACCCTGAGAATGTCTAGCTACTTCAGGAGAGGCTCTACCTACTTATGATGACAGGGCTTTAATCTACTCAATCGGGTATTTTCCTAACAAAGCACAGAGAGCTGCAGCAGGAGAGGCTGGTCTGTTACAACTTTAGATTACATTCAAATCAAGGAATGTTTACGTTTTGCAAGAGACATTTAATAAAGAAACCAGGATAAATTTAAATACAAGAAGTGTAATTTACATCTCACAGTGAATCCTGACTTTCATTACATTTAACTTTAAAACTAAGTAGACAAATTAAAAGTAAATATAGCACCATATTGTCAGTGTATTAATGAAATGCCTATGCTTTGAAAAATAAACACAGATAAAGAGTCAGAACCATTTTTAATCAAAGATAAATATAGCTGCTCCTCAACTTATAATGGGGTTATGTCCCAATAAACCTATTGTAAACTGAAAATACTGTAAGTCAAAAATCCATTTAATACACCTAACCTACTAATCATCTTTACCTTAGCCCAGTCTACCTTAAACATGTTCAGAACACATATTAGCCTACAGTTGGGCAAAATCATCTAACACAAAGCCTATTTTATAATGAAGTGTTGAATACCTTATGCAATTTATTGAATATTGTACTTAAAGTAAAAAACAGGATGGTTGTATGGGCAGTCTGAATGCATATTGCTTTCATACCACTGTAAAGTTGAGTAATAGTAAGTCAAACCATTCTAAGTCAGCAACCATCTGTACATAAAAATTGCTCACTCCATTATCTACAAATAGTCTAGTGTTTGCTGTGGTCTAAATGTCTGCGTTCCCCCAAAATTAATATGTTGAAACCTAATCTTCAATGCAATTAATATTAAGAGGTGGAGCCTCTAGGAAATGATTAGGTCATGAGGGCTCTCCCCTCAGGAATGGGATTGGTGCCTTTGTAAGAGAGGCTCACGGAAGATTGTTCTTCCCTTCTGCCATGTGAGGATGCAGGAAGTAGGCACCATCTTTGAAGCAGAGAGCAAGCCCTCACCAGACACTGAATTTGCTGGTGCATTGATCTTGGACTTTTCAGCCTCCAGAAACATGAGAAATTAATAAATACCCAGTCTAAGGAATTTTGTTATAGCAGCCGGAATGGGCTAAAACATGTTCTAGTTTCAAGAGGATATTAATTTCTTGAAAGTGCTTATATGTTTCACAAGAGTATTAATTTTTTAAAAGTTCTAAGTAAAGCTATAGTAAAAGTAGGCATGCATTGTTAGAAAAAATGTTTACAGTATCCCTATTATCATTTCATGTAATATACAATAATTTATTTCTTTGAAACACCAGGACATTTTTAGAGTGTTCTTTGGTAAAACAAATTAAGAATGGTAAAAAGGTATTTTGGTTATATGTCAATTCAAAATGAGATTTACATGTCCCATGAGATTATCAACAAATGTTCCTTGAAAAATTAGATGTCTACAGGCACAAGAATGAAGTTGGACCCCTACCTCACAGCATCTACTAAATTAAGTCAAAACAGATCACAGACCTATATAAGGGCTAAAACTCTCTAAGAAAAACTTAGGACAAAATCTTTATGATCTTGGGTTAGGAGATCATTTCTTAGGTATGATACCAACTATGTAAGTGACAAAGAATAAACACATAAACTAGACTTCAACGAAATTAAGAACTTTGTGCTTTAGAGGACACCATTAAGAAAGTGAAAAGAAAATCCACAGAATGGGATAAAATACTTCTAAATCATATACCTGATAAGAAACTTGTATCTAGAATACAAAAAGAGCTCTTACAACTCAAAAATAGAAAGACAACCCTATTAAAAATGGGCAAATAATTTGAGTAGACATTTCTCCAAAGATATACAATTGGTCAGTAAGCAACTAAAAGATGCTCAACATCATTAGTCATTAGAGAAATGCAAATCAAATACACAATGACATACTTCACAGCCACCAAAATTACTACTATCAAAAAAACAGATCATAACAAGTGTTGACAAAGATATGGAGAAATTAGAACCCTCATACATTGCTAGAGTGAATGTAAAATGTGCAGCTGTTTTGATAAACATTTGGTAGTCACTCAAAATGTTAAACATAGATTATCATCTTACCTAGTAATTCCATTGCTAGTTACATACCCAAAAGAATTGAAACATATGTCCATGTAAAAATGTATACATAAATGTTCATAGCTGCATTATTTATAGTAGTAAAATAATGAAAACAACCCAAATGTCCATCAACTGAAGAATGAATTTTAAAAAGGGGTATATCCACACAGTGGAATACTATACAATAATGAAACAAAATGAAATATAGATTCATGCTTGAATCTTGAAAACATTACTCTAAATAAAAGAAGCCAGATATTGAATGATTCCATTCTTATGAAATATCTAGAATAAGCAAATTCATAAGACATAGAAAGCATATCAGTGGTTGCCAGGGGATAGGGAATGGGGAAATAGAGAGTTACTGCTAATAGGTATGGGATTTCTTTTTTAAGTTGATGAAAATATTCTAGAATTGGATAGTGGTAATGGTTGCACAACTATGTGAATATACTAAAAACTATTGAATTGTATACTTTAAAAGGGTAAATTTTATGGTATATGAATTATATTTCAATAAAGCTGTTACAAAAGTGAGATTTATAACTCAATCTGGGCTTAAGAAATGCAATTACAACTAGAATTGTGATCAATTATACCAATTATTTTAGATTTCTTACATAAAAATATGTTATAAAAATAATTGTTATATCAATTATTTTAGATTTCTTAAATAACAAAAAAGTTCTTTGAAGTTGTGTTAGTATTCATTAGACAAATATGTTTATTTGTGGTGAAGTAAGCATATTTAAAAGAAAAAATGCACAAAGGCCCTAAAAGCATTGTCAATCAGCTTTGTTGGACAATAAACCAATTTCCAGTCATAACCTACTTTGTAGAAGTAATAGCTATTACTATTTTCAACATATTACTATCTTTTCAACTTAAAAATGTACCCAACTTATCAAATGCTATCTAAGGACAGCCATGTACTCTTCATTCTGTTTGGAAATATTCCAGTCCAAATCTATTCCTAATCTGGTCCAATGAGTAGAATCTCCTGTCATGACTGGCAGTGACAAGGAGAGAAAGGGAATGGGAGAAAAAAGGGGAATGAGGATAGATCCGTTTATTCCTCCACCTCTATCAATCACTGCTTTAGCTCCAGGATTGACCATCCCCAGCAATTCTTCATTTTTATCCAACTTTCCAGTGCCCTCTAATCCCCTTGGGAAGATTAAGACCCTGTCTGATTCATGTATCACCCATGGGGCCAAGCGCACTCTCCTTCATGTAGAAGGAATTCAGGAAGGGTTGGGTGTGAAATCAACTATCTGAAATGGGGTATCACACATTAAAAATGTTACAAAAAATTTTAATATCTTTTTTAAAAGGAGACCAACTCTCATATGTTAAAATGTAATATCAGTTCTCAGTCATGGTGTTCCAATTACTCACATGCCATGATCAGACGCAAGATGTTATTCAAGTAACTTGTTAATAATAAAAAAGTTCCAGTGTTTTTCAATGTTTGTTTTTTCTATAATCAAAATGTATTCAAAACTATTTTTCTAGTAGCATTTCTGTTACATGATTTATAATTTTTTTTTGAGATGTAGCAAAAAAGGGAAGTTAAAACTTGTGGGTAGGAAAAAATATTTATAAAATTGCATTAGACATGAGAATATTATCTATCATGTGTGGCAAATTAAAAAATGGCTGCAAATCTGTCTCTTGTATTACACGACAAAGAACTACTAGAGGTATATTTGGGAGGTACAAAGGATAAATATTCTTGATAAGGTAAAACTCTCAGATTTCACATATCATTATGTCTACTGGAAGGCAAATCAACTCAAATTCCTACCCCTCATTTATGTATACTTGTCATTCTTGGTACTCACCACACTCTCTCATGCCCCTAAAAATATTTAAGGTTTACTGTTTTCTCTTTCTTGAACAATTACCTTGTGCCTTTCCTACCCGACTAATCCTCAATCATTCTTTGTGAGTCAGTCAGAATTTTATGCCCTGCAGGAAGCCTGCCATGCCCTCCTCTTGAGCCCTATAGCATCAGAGCCACAAAAATGAAAGATTACTCTATGATATTACTGTACCCTACAATACTAATCAGAAAAAAAACTGTTAAATGTTACCCTTACAGATACATGCCACAGTCTACATATTTTATTTACTGTTTTATTAAACCATCGCTTCTGATCAACTTGGAGATCAGCTCTCAAAGTCATCACAAGTTGATTAATTTTTAAGGAAGTCTTGGAATCAAAACCTTTGAATCTCCTCCCTGCTTACAAAGTATCTAAAGGAAAACTAAAAACAAACAAACAAAATAAACAAAAAATAATGCAGGACAGCACCTACACCAGAGATTTTCACCTTTTGTTCTTTTACATAAAAGATTAATAAGGAGATATGAAAGAGTCATAGCAGTCCTTAGGAGACTATAAGGTAAAAGTATTGGCAACTATTGTCAAGTATGTCTAACCACATACAATAGAAATCAATGATATACGATATGTTAAAACTCCTGCAATGACCATATGGAGACAGCAGCCAACAGAATTATTCAGAACATTTTTCGTTTCCTCCCTGTGAAGTTTTGAATAGCCTAAAGACTTACTGACTACATATTTTTTCTTTTGCATCTTATTTTCTGCCTTTCTTCTAATACCTGCTAGTATACAGAAAAATCATGGTATCAGACAACCCTGAACCTATAGAAGAACCTATAATGTAACTTAAATATACCACACATTTGGAGATTCCAACACTTACTTCTAAGTTATCTATGTGGCTTACTTACTTATGAGAAGAAGTGAGTAATAGCTGGTTATACTGTACCAATGAATAAATACCAATAACCAAGATGCCTGACTAGTAAACCTGATACAGGAAACAGACATACTTAAAAATGTCTTGTTCTTCAATTACATCCTATTCTGTAGATCTCAGCATCTAAATTTTAATTTAAAATAATCTCAACAAAAGCTACTTGAAAGCCATGAAATGAACTGATGTGGATATGAAATATCATTTTTTATTTTCAAAATCACAAATTTAAAACACAAAAAGTTATTTTTGTACTGAACCCACTTCTAAGCTATTTATTTCTGTCTTCAAATTACTATTAATATCAATCCTTTCTGAGTAGCTCTCTTGGGTGAAAGATTCTAATGGCCAACAGATGGGGTAAGTGCACAAACACTTAAAATTTTGTCCCAAGCTAAATGTCTGGCATACATACACACCCATAAATACATTCAACTTGCTTTGTATTTGCCTTTCAAATTGGGAAAACTCAAACAAAAATTTAACCTGTGAAGTACTGTGTTAAAGCAGTATTTCACTATTTAGCAGCTTAAAATACAGCAATTTTGCCATAATGTAATATAGCGTTTAGGAAATAAATATGATGTGTTTTACCCGAACGTCACTTTTACACAATTTTTGAAGTTCCTTGAACTTACACTGGCATATTTATTAACAGTACTAACTCTTATTATTTTCCTTAATTTTCTTGTAATTCTAAAGGGGAGGGAGATAAGAATAGCTCCCAACAAAATATACAGTAATTTTTTTTTTTTTTTTTTTGAAACGGAGTCTTGCTGTCTCCCAGGCTGGAGTGCAGTGGAGCAATCTCAGCTCACGGCAACCTCTGCCTCCTGGGTCCAAGTGATTCTCCTGCCTCAGCTTCCCAAGTGGCTGGGATTATAGGCATGTGCCACCAAGCCAGGCTAAGTTTTATATCTTTAGTAGAGATGGGGTTTGCCATGTCTGCCAGGCTGGTCTCGAACCCCTGACCTCAAGTGATCTGCCCGCCTCAGCCTCCCAAAGTGCTGGGATTACAGGTGTCAGCCATCGCGCCTGGCCCCTACAAAAATATTTAAAAGTATTTCTACCAATTATAAATTTGAAAGGATACATAAAAAATGGTCAAAGATTTGTCTTACATTAAAACTGTAACACTAAAAGGAAAAAGCATAGTCAGGCAAAAACTGTTATCAAGATACGCTGACATAATGCCTCCTTCTGCTTTCAATAACAAAAGCGAGAGTAAAGTTGTAAGACACAGAGTGAACTGAATGACCCTGACTTCCTTTCCTCAGGCTCTCACAAATACAAGTTAGTTGGCACCAGAGAGGCTGGGTAGGAAACTGTGCACATTTCCATATGACACAGATTTGTTCGTGACTCCGAAGTGGCACCTCTACATGGAAAGGGTGTACATTTTACTTTTTCATTCAAAGTTATGTTCATACAAAATTCAAACCGTTTATTTAATGCTGCAGGATTTAGTACTGTGCAGCTGTCTATTGCATTCGCACTCATTTGCGAAAAGTTTGATTAAATCACTACTCACTCACCCACTAAAATGACAGAATTCAGGTTTGTGCTGCCAATTTGCTCCCACCACAGTATGTCTACTACTGCTATCACCACCTAAAATGGACCCTTCCCCTTCTTGTATGAATCATGCTTGTGGCCCTATAAATACCAGTCTTATAAACCATGATTTCCAATAAGGATCCTAGTTTTAAATCAAAGAAATTGCAACTGCTGAGAATAAGGCATTATTAGTTACATTTTTATAAAATTTGAATAGCCATTGAGAATTTAGTTGCTCTCATTTTCACAAAAGTTACCTTCCTTAAAATATCACTTTATAAATTTTGTGTCATTCTTAAGCATTCAAACATCCAGGAGCCAGATACTGACCCCTTGAAACACAATTCAAATTTTATAACAGAAAAGAGTAAGGAAAGCAAAAATTATTTCTAAAAGTTGTGCTTTTAGCCAACTGTTCCTTAATGTGTATCTCCTCTAAGCAATGATCATAAAGGTTACTAAAACATATGATCAACACTAGAGCCACAGCAGCATGCTGGAATTCTTACAGAAAAAATAATGGTCCAAACTGGTTAAAAAAAAAAAGTCCTTATATCCAAATAGCCTATGACATTTTCAGTCCTTCTTAGTTGCAGGGCTTTACTAGAAAACATCATCATTTATTTTTATATTTTTAAACTTTTCTTTTAGGTTCAGGGGTGCATGTGCAGGTTTGTTATGTAGGTAAATAGTGTATCACAGGGGTTTGGTGTACAGATTATTTTCTCATCCAAGTAATAAGCATAGTACCCACTAGGCAGTTTTTTTTTTGTTTGGTTTTTTGAGAGTTTTTGGGTTTTTTTGAGATGGACTCTCGCTCTGTCGCCAGGCTGGAGTGCAGTGGCACAATCTCGGCTCACTGCAACCTCTGCCTCCCAGGTTCAAGCGATTCTCCTGCCTCAGCCTCCTGTAGCTGGGACTACAGGCGCATACTACCACGCCCGGCTAATTTTTGTATTTTTAGTAAAGACGGGGTTTCACCACGTTGGCCAGGATGGTCTCGATCTCTTGACCTCATGATCCACACGCCTCAGCCTCTCAAAGTGCTGGGATTACAGGCACGAGCCACCGTGCCCAGGCCATAGGTAGTTTTTTGATCCTCAACTCCTCATCCTCCTCTCTTTCTCCACTCTCAAGTAGTCCCTGGGGTCTGTTGTTCCCTTCTTTGTGTCCATGTGTACTCAATGTAGAAAACATCATTTTGCAGGGAAATAAAATGCTGCTAAGAAGAGTATGTCAATACTACAAAGTTGTTCAGTGTATCTTGAAGAAAGTAGTCAAAGCCATTCTCCCCTTATTTAGAAAGCCAGTAACGTCATCAGGGCTAGCAAAGTGACTCCAAATTGCATAAGAAAATTAAAACTACAAAGTAGGCTCAAATTGTATAGAAAGATGTATAATGTATGCTCAGACAACTATCAACTACATGTAACAACAACATAAATGTACCTGCTAACTAGATTTCCTATCTCACATTCTCAACAAACCATCTATGACTTCCAAAAGTCGATGGAGGCCACTTTCCCATGAGGCACCACAGTCCACAGTTGACTCCCATGTCTCTCATTTACACCTTCTGTTTCACGCATCCTTCCAGGTTCCAAGAAAGCAATGCCCTTCCTGGCCCACAATTTCTCAACGTATGCCTTCGATTCATCCCTTCCTAATTACTGAGCAATTTCTCTCCTGCTCATATTACATACCCAGAACCATCCCTTCATCCAAGCTCCTGTTTCCCATTTCGAACTAACAGAAGGACATTTTCATTTTATTGCTTTCTTAGTACAAAAATCCCTCCTTCCTCCTAGTACTGCCCCTCCCCACAATCAGTTATACAACCCAATTATAATTGAGCCATTCTCAATCATGTCGTTTCTCTTTTTGGAAAAGTTCTCTAGTTCACTAATTTTCACCACATCCCAGCTAATTCCTCTACAAGGCTTTTGGACCCCAAAATATGATTTCACTAAGCCGCTAAAATATGATTCCATTAACTTCCCATAACTCCCAATCATGTACCTTTCACTCTATCCATAAATAATCCCAGCCTTTGACTTTCATTCACATTACTCCTCTTGCCAAGAATATGCTTATCTCTCCTACCAATAGAAACACACATTCAAGAGTCAACTTAGGTCATGCTTCTCTAAAAGATTTCCCCTTCTTCCCCTTCTTCCCCTTTCATCCTCGATGAGTTTTCTAGCAGAATTCTTTCTCATATCTAGTATTCTCCATACATTTAGTTTTATTACTTGTGGGTCAAAGACCAAACCTTTATAGAATGTTTTAAATCTCCCCCAGTAACTAACATGTAATGTTAACATATCACATATTAGTTACTTAATAAATGCAGATAAGTTTATCATATAGGATGTATACTACCTTCTCAAAACTTCATGATCGATTTTAAGATAATTTCCAAATAACAGTTATTTTTCTAAAGAGTAAATACATCAACAGAGCAGTAAGCATGGCAGTGCCAAGAGAAATAGAAAAGGAAGAAAGAGTTACCTTGCAGAAATAGATTTAAATGAGAATTTTCTCATGGCATTACTGCACATCTTCTAACAGCTTTTGTACCAGACTGTCCTTGCAAAAATATTTGCATAACAAACCACCTTGTCATCTAGAGATGGTGCCTCCCTCCAGGTTAGAGGACAGATTTGTTTCCTGACCAGGATAATAAAGATAACACCTCCCTGCAGAGAAAGATTAGGCAGCTTTGCTAGAAGCCCCTTAAAAGATTGGGAATTTCCTGATATGGCTGCATTACAGACCACTGAGCAATGACACAAATCCGCTGTGAGCAAGCATCCACCTGAGACACTCAGCATTGCCCCTGAAAGGATTTTGGGACATACAGGGAACTGACAACCACATGAAGCTCATGCTGTCTTCTATGCTCTGAGTGATAAAATCCCCTGTCTCTGACCCAGGAGTCCCCTGTCTTCTGCCAGCATCATGTAACTGCAGCAGACTAGCAAGCTGGGTAAACTGTGAGACCCTTGGTAGTTCCTGAAATTTTTAGATGTTAGGAGTTTCCGGTTTAAAAAATAAAACAGAAGCTACCATGTTGAATTCTCCACGTCTAACATGCAATGTCATATCCCGGAAACAATATGTTGAGTGAAAAAGGCAAACTCAAAAGTGTGAAGACTTCATGATTTAATGATATGAAGTTCTACTATAGGTCAAACTAAGGGGAGAGAAATCAGAATGGCGGTTGCTTCTCAGAGTGGGGATGGGTAGGAACAGAATGGAAATAAGAAAAATTTTGGGGGCGGGTGATAGGAATATTCCATATCTTAACTAGGGTAGTGGTTACAATGATGCACACAACTGTTAGAATACATCAAGCTATAAAGTTAAGACTGTGCATTTTAATGTATATAAATTATATCTCACTAAGAAAGCATTAAAAATTCTAGATAGCTAAACAGTGAATATATCACAGTCCCTTTTAGTTTCAGGACAGAATAATTCACAAAAACATTAGGAGAAATACTGATCACTTTCACAAGCATTCTGTTCAACATCCTTTCTAGAGCGGTAGCTGCAATTTAGGGATTTAAGAGTATGTATTCTGGAGTCAGATTACTTGGTTTTGGTTTTATACTCAGATCTTTCAGTTACTAGCTAGGTACTCTCCAGTAACTTCCTTAATCTTTTCATGCTTGGGCTTCATAATTTTTAACAGAAGTATAAAAGATTTTCCTGTGATTTTAAAGATGAAATTAGATAGTATAGGTAGAGTGCCTAGTATATAGAAGCATTCTCTAAAGATTAGTTGTTATCAACTAATAATAACACAGGATTCAAAATAATTCAGAACATTTCTGTTAAAGCAAAAGAGTAATATAATTTTAAAAATCTAGTAAGTGTAATATACATTCGTTAACGGGAAAACTAGGTGAGAGATTTACCATGCCCTAAAAGTCATTTAATTATATAATCAAATAATGCAGTAGATCCACATCACCGTTCTTTTACATGTTAATTTGAAGTACAGAAAGAAAAAACTTAAGCCGAATAAATATCATTTTGGGTAAATGTTTCAAGTTCAGACAGATGTTTCTCATTTACTCTCAGACAACTATTTTATTATTTTGGGTCTATTTTCCTAATGTAATGAATGTAAAAGAGGTAAATCCAATTGAATACTAATCCTGATCTTGCCTGAAGAGTAAGTTGATGACAAAATTTTTGAAAAACATGACTAAAAAATATGTAAAAGGACAAAATCTAGAATCGGATAGTACAAATACAGGGAGAAGGAGACAAAGGGATGAAATATCAGTACTGGAAAAGCACTTTGCTACAACAAAGGGCAAGCGGTCTGACAAAGCTGGGCGGACTTTATGGCTGCATATCAGACCACATACTAACTATAGCATTCATGTCACAGTTAGTATCCCCCATACAGAGTCACATCTGCCACACATGTACCAGAATGGCCTCAGTACTGTGTTGTTTAAAATTATTCCCAACATTTTAAAAGAAAACTAGAAAAGAGATAATAATAAGCAATAATGATGTAAAATTTTTATCCTATATCAAATTTCTTAACTGCATCATTAAAATATCTCTAACATTTGGTACTGATCTCATTAAAAGTATTTCCAATATTTAACAGTCATTATTATTTGTCTGAGATGTGAGGTATTTTATGTTACTTGTCATGTGAGTTGAAAAAATTTTTAAAGGTACAAGAAAAAATAATCAAGTTAATGGAAAACATCACTTCTCAGGAAACAAATCAACTCATTTAGCAATGAAGGAGGAAAGAGCATATTGTGTTACTGCTTTCAATTTGTCCCAACAATAAAATGCTAAGGCCAAATGATGGTTACTACTGAGTGCTTACGTAGAAAACTGACTCAGTTCTCCTAGCAGACAGGGTCCTTTCTTTGCTTAAAAGTTACAACACCTGGTATACAGCAGCAATACAACTAAAGAAGATGAGTTTCAGACTACAAATAAGTGGCTGTTGAAACAAAAAGGACTACAATTATGAGATATGATTTCTCTTTTAGTCTTTAAGCCTTCTTATGTTCATATTTCTTAAAGTACAATATTATACCATGTGCTCCACACAGGAAGTGGAAAGAACAGATATTACAATCCCTCCCAAGCTACACCTTTAAGATGCAGCATTACAGATAAGGTTACCACACACTTCAGTGATCCACTATAATTGTGCAGACAACAAAATGCTACAGGAGGAAAAAAAGGCATTTTAACTACATTCATTCCTATCTAAAAAAGCACGTGTGCAAACTTACATATGTAAATTCAATAAAGTTCATACTTCCTTCTCTTTTCTTGCCAGACCTGAATAGTAAATCTGAAAACTTGGCTTTTAATTGCACTACTTGACTCCTCAAACTGAACAAAGTATTGTGTCCATAAAAACATCTGCTATTGACAAAGAATTGTACATAATCGTTTAAAAAAATCATTTTGGCATATCTTTATTGTAAAGCATTTTTTCCCAGTCCTAAGGATTTTCGGGTTTGAAATCAAGATGAACTTTTTATCCCACAGCAACTCTCCCAGAACTGTCCATTTAAATTTTAATCTAGAAAGAGAAGCTTGTCTAAGTCTCCTACTTGCTGTTAAAAGCTACCTCGGCCCCTCAATATAAACAGTCAGAAGACAGCCAACCATGTCTCAAGAAGATGGAAGTGTTCTGTTGGCAAATGGCCAGAAGACTAGCTCACCAGAACTGTCCAAATCAAAAACCTGTAATCAGAAAATTCCAGACTCCTCCTTCAACTTCCTTCCCAAATTCAAACTGGCCACTAAGATGGATGGACTTCACTTCCTCTCTAGTGCCTGTCACTGCCTTATTCTGGACCGCTCACCACTGCTCACTGCTCTTCCTCCCTGGTCTTTCCACCTTCAACCTTGCCCAACCCAGAGCTGTTTTCCACGCTGTAGTCATAATGGTTGTCTAAAGGGTAGATATGATCATGACACAGAAGAGAGCTCACGATCTGTGCCTCACTACCTTGCAACCCCACTCACTACCTGCCACTCCCTAGAAACACCCTCTATTTCTCAGTTGTACTTGATATTCTCGGTCTGCACCACAATCTTTGACGCCCCCAAAGCTTAAAGTATGCTTCTTTCTCTTCCTTGACAGCCTAACCAGTGCCTTTACCACGTGGCTAACTCTTAGTCATTCTTCATGACTCAGTCTGAGTTTTATTCCCTCCAGAAACCTTTCCATGCCCCTCTTCCTTGGCCCTATAGCACCTTGGTCCACCTACACAGAATTGTTCACCACATCATAATTGATCCTGTCTTTTGTCTTTCCTGCTAATTCCTTGAAGGAAGAACTCTTCTTCACCCCTGTATCTCCAGCATCAACAGTTCAAACACAGCAGCACTTTTTAAGTGTTTACTAAGTTTTGTTTTTTGTTTTTTTGAGATTGTAGTTACTGAAAAAGTGATAAAAAGCACGTGGACCTAAAAGAAATAATTCATAAATTTCAGAGTTGTAATAAACTCTGAAAATAATCTTTTTCAACTTCTTAATTTACAAATGAGGTTTATAAAAAAGATTTAAGAAAGATTTTTCCCAATAGCATGGATATGAGAGAAGGAAAAATAAACTAGTGAAGATACCCTCCCCTACCCCGAAAATCTTAAAACTGTCTAAGGAAAAGGTATCTGGGGAATATAATGGATAAATGGAATGCCATCTATTTCAGCACCAACCACACAATTCTATGAAGCGCATGAGGAGCTCTTCCTAGTGTCACCAGTAAAATACGCGTTTCTTCACCCAAGGCTCAAAGCTTCTACCTGTGTTTGTGCCTACAATTCCAAAACTGGCTCTTGGAACAGTCGCTTCCTCCACTGGGAAGGAGTTGCCACACCTGTAAAAGGAACAGGTTGTTTGTGATCGCTAAGGTCAACCTCTTATCTCTGATGGTCTCTGAATTTAGAGTACAATTTAAATATATAGTTAACATAGTCCGGGAGAGATACAGGGAAGGGGTGAGGGAAGTTTACTTACAATCAGGACTGGGTGTGAACGTTATGGGAACCTAGAATATTAGAGCTGGGGCTGATCTGGGATTACTCTAATCAATATCCTTCTTGTAGTAGCCGAGGGGACTGAAGCCCAGAAAACTTCAGGACCCGCCCAGGGTCTCCCAGTAGCTAGTGTGTAAGCTGAGACCAGAACTTGGCTCGTTCTCTCCCAGTCCTGAGCTTGGGCAGAATCACCAGCAACGCCAGCTCCCTTCCCTTTCCTTCAGATGGGTCTCGGGTCCAGAGCTGGCGCCCGCTAGCGGGAGGCCAGACCGGGAGGGCCAAGGCAGCCACCTGTGGCTTTCCCATCCCTCAGGTCCAGCAGTGCACATGGGGTGCCCCCGCGTCAACGCCGGAGGAGTGACCTTGCAAACCCGCGCCCCGCGGGCGGCAGAGCCGGCCGCTCACTGCCCGGTCCCCGGCCACCACGGAAGAGCGAAGATCTCTGCCAGGGCAGGAGCCCTAGCCCCGACCCGCGCCCCAAGTCTCTCCCGCGCGGCGGCTTCCGGCCGCCATGGTTTCCATAGCAACAACAGCACAAGCTGCCGGGTCCCAGAGACGCCCTAGGGTCAGAGGTCATCTCCGTGGCAACGGAAACTTCCCGCGCTACGGCGGCTCCAACGGGCCGCTTCCGCCGCATTGCGTAGCGAAGCCCCCGGCGAGCCGAGGCTGGGAGCGCGGTGATGGCCGGTCCCCGTGAGCAGAGGGCAGCGGCGGCGGGACCGGGGACTCTGGGCCAATGGGTAAAGCCAGGAGGAAGCCCGTGCCTGGCCCGTTGGGCTCCCTCCTCCTCAGAGCCGAAGCAGTCCACACTCGGAACCCAGCTTCACCCGGATTACCGAGGGGTTCCACGCCTGGAGGCAGAGCTGCAGCGTGGGCCCGCTCGCGGCTTTGCAGAAAACAAATAATGACACACTTCTCTGGAAGCCCGGGGCCTGGGCCCAGAGCCGTGGCTTCTGCCAAACTTTCTGGTCCCGGACACCAACTCCCCGCCTCTCAGCCCGAGGCCACAGCGGCCCAGCACCCTGCACCTTTTAAAGTGGCTCCAAAAAGGAGAAAGCCAAATAGATCAGGGTGGTAGGCGCGAGTGCAGGGAGCTGCGAAGTTGGAAGATTACTGCTTTTCAAACTGCCAAAGAGCAAAATACTAAGCGAGAAACTCCGTCCAAAGCAACTGGAACTCGAGGTTCTTTACTAATGAGAGTTCCAGTTACCATCTTCAGAGAAAGGAGCTCAAAAGAGGGAGTTTATTTTTTGCGGAATGTCTTCCTTGTTAAGAAGAAAATTAAAGATTAAAAAAGAAAATGAAGGGTCTGGCAACTATGAACCTAATGGTGCCCTAACGTTTGCTATTCTAAGGCCGAGAATGCCAGATGGGGAGAACGCCATGAGCTTTTGAGCTTGTGTATTTTGCGAGAGGCTCGAGTGTGAACAGTAGACTACAGGCCTTGAGACTGAGAAGGAAGCTATAAAATGTGGGCCAAGGGAATGTCTGCAGGACCGGGTTTCAGAGCACCCTATCGTGGCGGATAAAGAGCCACTAACAGCTTTTTTCTTTATTTAGTAGCCAAATTCTTGGTTGGCGCTTTGAGAAAGGAGTAAGCATTAAGCGAATTTAACCAAGTAAAATGTATCGTCCTGCCCTTTGTAGTCCCATAGTTCACTATCCTAGAGATACCTATTTTTCACTATTTTATTAAAGTGTATTGAAAACCTACCATGTGTCGTGAACAGAGTTTTTGTCAAGAGACAGTGACAAAGGCAGTGGTGCCCAGCAGTTGTTGGGTGACTTTCTTACATGATGTTACCAGACTAATCAAACAAGAACTTCACTGTTCCCTATAAAACATGTCTGCGACATTCATCCTTTTTGCCTTCAAGTTTAGGAAGTCCCTAAGAATCCCTCCTTTTGTTCCCTTCTCTTCATCATCCTACCTTTTACATTCTGACCAAAGTAAAAAAAATAGTGGCAGCTAGAGAACTACACAGGGAAAACATCAGGACATAGTTGGTCTTGATACAAAAGAGCTATTGCATCTCTAGAGGTATACGGGGAGCTGAGAAGTCTCCCTCAGAAAACTCCATGCCCTTCAGTACCCGGGTTCAACACATAACTAAACCTTGTACCTGGTACACAAGTCCTAAGGAACACCACACAGACTATGGCAGTGAGCAGGCAGATGTGTAAATAGGTGTTTCCCTGTCCCTATTTACAGGAGGTAAATAGTATTACCTCCACAGTCCCTCCTGGAGGTAATACTGAGTTGGGCTCAAAGGTTTTATTAAAAATAGGCACAGTGCAATGACTTGTTTAACACTGAAGAGAAGAGCTCCTGTTAGACTGTTCAAACAGCCCAACTGTTTCCCCTTAAGGCAAAAGACACTATTTTGAATAAATGCTTCCATTTTGAGACATCTACGTGGTATTTATAGAAGGCGTATGAGTCAATTTGAGTGAGGTATGATGCCAAAATGTGCAAAGGAGTGAAAACATTGGTTGTTGTCCTTGTTACCATATGTATAAAAACACTTCACAAAAGTCTCCAATGTTTGTGTTGCTAAAACATGGAAGACTGGGTTCGAACATTTTAAAGGAATGGTTCATTGTAGGAAACGTGAAGTATAGTATAGAATTAGCTTTAGCACTTTCAGAAAGTACTGCATCATTTGAACAAATTTTCTCAGTTATGGATGCTGTCTAAGATGAGAACAAGTTGTACAGCCAAAGTCATCTTCATTGTTAAAACTAAGTTTAGATTATCATGCATTGAATTTTACACTTATTAACTGGGATATACATTTCAAAAAAGAAAAATCTACTCTCCCAACAAGGCAGTACTCCGAAGCCTACCTAAAATGCCATCCTTTGGTTCATGGAGTGGCACTGCTCTACAAAACCCATTTTGTTACCTCAGTAAATAAGCTTCCTGGATGGAGTCTAAGGCCAACTAATACTACATTGAATCCCACTCTACAGCCAAGCATGTTAGAAGAAGCAGCTTACATCTGTTTGCTGTTCCAGACGTGCAGTCTGAATTTGATGTTTTCATTTGAAATATACTCAGTGTTTAGACTTGCAGAGGTTGTGGCCCATTTGTGGCTCACCCAGCTCTACTGGAACCTAGGATGAGTCGGTAGGCTGAGAAGGAGGGGAGTAAAAAGTGCTCACTCTTCTTCCCTCTCTTCCTATTTTCTCACTTCCAAACACCATGACAGCCCTAGATGTAAAGCAAGTAGCTTTTTAAAAAAACGTATATTTAAATGAGTAACAGTGGCATACCAGGTGTTTTGGCACCTAAAACAGCTTAGTGAAAGGCAAAAGCAGAGCTGAAAGGCAGCCAGACAAGTAGGAAATAGAAAGTGATCATGGGTCCTACCAAGCCCTGCATGTTCCACCTCAAAGTTACACGACAGAGCGGGAGACTGAGTTCAGAAAAAGAGAATTGATGGAATGTTCTCAGTGTGCTGTGCAGAACTAGGTCTAGGGCGTCTGCTTCGTACTAACACTGGGCACTGACATTTGTACTCAATAAAATCCTCTTAGATTATGATTTATCTTAAAATCTGTGTTTTCCAAAATCCTACCAAGCCATGGAAGTTTGGGGATATCCTGTGTGTGGTTGAGTGGGTATATCTATTTGAGGGTCTGTGGCTTCCTTTGCTTGTTTTACATTATGTGCCTGAAGAGACAGCAATGACATGACCTTAGTATTTATGTTTATTGTGGATTTTCTTTTTTCAACCACACTTCTTTCCTTAGTACCCTTGGCTTAAAGTGCAGTGACCTAGATTATTTCCAGAACGGGCCTATTATATACATTGGTCAATCCAAACTATCATACTGGTTTAAAGAAACCTATGAAGCCTCCTTCAAGCAAAATAAATGCCTTGGACTTAGTATTCCCTATTTAATGATTTGCCTAAAATAAAGTCACCTTGCATGACTCCTACAGTGAAAGTTGAAGCAGGTAACATTTATTCTAAATGCATAGCTGTTGCTCTGCTAGGAAAGTAGGACATTTAAGAGTGTGTGTGTGTGTGTGTGTGTGTGTGTGTGTGTGTGTTCTCTGATAATAGTTGTTAGACTGGGTGTTTTAATGAAGATAGCAAATTTACTTTATATCCAGGACTTTTAAGCTATTGGAATTTATTTTAAAAAGCATATATTGTGCAAACACATTTTTCATGTTCTCTTCCAGTTAAATTTTACATAAAACAAGCCCAAAACACTATTTAATGAAGACCTCTTATATAAGTATTAATAATGAGCTAATCAATAACTTTTGGGTAGATGAATAACTTTGTCCTTAAATTCGTAACTCTATTTTCTGCTTATTTTCACACCAACTTGATTATATAGCGGTGCTCTGAAATTCCACGAATGCTTGAACCACCTACACTTGTTGACAGTTTAGCGAATTGGAAATAATCAGTAAATTATTTCATAACTTCCAAAGATATAGGAAGGAAAATTAACCTATTATTTATCTCTGAAATAAGAATAGGTGCTTTACACCAAATTCACTGGTATTTGGCAGTATTCTCCCAAGTTTCTTAGTTTGAAACCAGTTAATTGTTCTCTTTTTAAATTTAAGATAACATAATAGGTAGTAGTCAATCTGTTCCTTTTGGCTGTAACAGTTAAAAGAATTTTAGTGTTTGTTTCATTTTAATTACCCAATTAACTTTTTAGTTCTACTGCTATTTTGGGATCAAAAACCTGCAAAAGATTTTAGGCTTTATGTTACTAGCAGGAGAATGGAACTCACGAAGTACAATAGTGAAAGGGAATGGCTTGGCATGGGTTCGATTCAAGCTTAACAGGCTAAAACTTTTAGAAGGTAAGATAAATAATGTGACACATTAATGTCCCATTTAAATATATATATTATATATATGTATAATATATAATATATATATATACTAAATGCTCCAACTCCCTGGTTGGAACTCATATCCCTGGTTATCTAACACTAAATTATCCTATTAGAATAGTTGGTAATGTTCTTAGATACACTTTGAGTTAGCCCATCAATTCATACCCAAATACTTTAGCATTCATAAGCTGCAAAATGAATTGTTCTAAAAATAAATTGTCATTTGTTCCACAGTTTCCAAAAATGCCTTGGAAGGGGGGAAAAACTATTCCAGAGAGATGAAAGTGGGTGGGATGGAGGAAGTGTAATAAGATTGTGACTCGTGTATAGGGAGAAATTTAGTGTTTCCGGTAAAATTGTTTACAAAAAAAATTATAAAGGCCTACAAAGAAACTTACTGTTCTGTGCTAAATTATTTCCCACTCTCCAGTACTATGGAAGGACTGACTTCAAGGTCCCTAAGACAAATGGTCACATCTAAATAAAAAATGTTTTTGCACTATTCCTTTCTCAGAAGAGAGTTAAATCTTTTCACAGAAAGACACAAGAAGGGTTCAAAAGACCACCATTTTTGCAGTGTAAAGCAGTCACCCCTGCCCTTCCCACTGCAGCCCTTGGCCTTTCTCACTTTGAGAAGTCTTGCAAAAAGGGTCTTCATATTAGGCTGTGAGATAGTGTTGCAGATGTAAGTTGGTTTTGTATGAACCAAGCGTCAGCAAGTTTTAGGTTTGATGTCGGGGACTTGGAGTACATCTTGGGGTACACTTCATAGCTGAATTAGACATGCGGGTGGAAAGGTGACAACACTGTTTTCCCCTTGGGCAATTCTCAGGTTGGTGTGTCGTTTCAGAGTTGCTAAACGCTGAGGAGTTAAGAAGAGAGGAGGGTAAAAGGACGGAGGAGGAGGAAACAGATGGGGTGAATAGAAACGGTGTAAGAACTAGAACACAGGGAGGAGGACTCAGGGCAGAGCCCAGAGCCCACTGCAGCACCGAGTCCACGGAGCAGCCAGAGGCTACTACCAGAGCCTCAATTGCCACCCCAAAGTACCAGCTGGGGGCAATCTTCTCCGCCCCAGCATAGGAGCCTCTGCCCTTTTAGACTGTCTAACAACTCGCAGTTTCTCCTTTGCTGCAGGAATGGTGGCCGCAAACGGTCTCAGCCTCCGCACCCACCGCCTCCGTCCCCGCCCACCCGCACCTCCTCCTCCTCTGCCTCGCGCTGCACCCGCAGGCGGCAGACCCCTCGGAGCGCGCCACCCCAGCTACGTTGCATTGGCAAGGTTCGGAGGCTGGAGGGCAGCAGCCACTTGCTGCCCCAGTCGCTGGGGCTCTGGGTGCCAGTGCGGCCCCCGGCAGAGCCCAGGGCGTCAGGGAGGCCGTGGAGAGCCATGATCTACTGCACCGCAGTGCCAGCGTCAGGAGCTTCCAGAGCCCGGGCTGCCACTGCGGGACGGCCGATCTGCCCGCTCCCTCCTTCAGACACAACCCCAGACAAAAACAGCCGGCCCCGGGTCCCTCTCCACCCTGAACGGAGCTAGGGGACGCCACACACTCCCGGCTGCCAGCGTGAGCGGTTCCGGGAAAGGCTGCGCCCAGCCTCCTCGCCAGCGCCGCCGCCACCACCATGCAGCCCTCCAGCCTGCCTCCCCTGGGTTGCTCGCCCACAGCTCCGCGGCCGCCCCCAATCGCCTCGGACTGAGACGCGGGGACGGGAACCCCTGGGATCCGACTCCCCAAATCAGATGCATTTGCATTTCTTATGTAATGTACTGCAAGTTCCCTTGTTGGAGCCCTTTGGAATCGGGGCGCATGATCACCAGTAGGCTTAAAAGCAGGAACTCACGGCCTGGCTCATCCCCACCCCTGGCCCTGTGGGACCCCGACGCAGGGCTTTGACACCGCTTTCTAAAGGGGGGGACTTCAATTACAAATATTAGAGGGGCTGGGCTTGTCCTCTCAGTCTGGGGTTCCCTCCCGGCGCAAGCCTTGCTCAAGTATTCCCGGTGGCAGGATGTGTCAGAGGCAGACAGGGGGAATGAGTTAATGCTCGGGCACCCGGAGCTGGACGGGGGAGGGACGCGGGGGCTGACGGAGGAGCGGGGCCGCGAGGGAGGGGGCCTCTTTTACTTTGGTAAAGGTGATCGTGGTGGCGAATATTGTGCAAGCTAATCAGAAAGTCTAGAGCAGGTTCTCGGAACCCAGCTACGTCCCTCGAACCTGCTGCAGAAGTAAGGGGAGCTCGCGGTTCTTTTTCCTGGCAACTACCGAAGCTTCAGCTGCCTGGGGCACAACCTTAAGCCATAGCCCTTCACTATTCCACCAAACATAGGCAACCAAATACATTAAAAAAAAAAAAAAAGTTTCCTCCTCCCTCCTAGTGATGGATTGTGTCACAGCCAAGGGATGCCAATAATGGTTTTGGGGTTCGTAGACGCCGATCCAGCTGTTACTTGTTTATTCATGCAACACCTCTATATGCAACACTGTCCTGGTTCCTGGTATGTTTCCCCTGCCTTCCTGCATAGCAGAACTGCAGATCTAGCTCGATGAGCAACAGACAGGTTATTATGAGGAAAAACATAACATGATGCATGTTTCGCTTACCAGTTGGGTTCTTGTTTTTCTTAAGACTCTTGCCACAAAGACACTGCAGCATATGCGTTCCTTTGCTGAAAATGTTCCAAAGAAACCACATTGATTTGGGCGAAAAGCAATCCAGCAGCTTAGACACCCTGAGAAAGAAGAGATCCTTGTGGTTGCATAATAATAATTTGAAATCAGTTCTCCTGAAGAGGGGCACCGGTTTTACCATAGGAAAAACGATAATATTCCGGATCTTCTCCCAGTTTTTTCCCCTCACGTGGTATATTTCTTTGAGACTTCTCAGTGATTGTTTGTTTTCGGCCAGGGTGAATGATTTATCCCCCCTCGATCACCACCGGATTATTACCAAAGGGTTGGAGAAAAAATCCTTTTTCAGCATGAAGCCAAACAGAAAAGCAAAGAGATCCCAACTGAGATCAAAACTAATCAGGGAGAACAGTAATGCACAAAAGATCCCCAAAGAGAAAACCATAGCCTTTTTACTTGATCGCTATGAGGATGGGTGGATCTGCAGAAGGCAAAGCAGGATTCATCTTACTGAGAGAAGACTGCCATTGTGTAGCCCCTAGGAGAGAAGGAAAAAAAAAAAAAGAGGAAAGAAAGAAAGAAAAAAGAAAAAAAAAGAAAAAAAAACACCACCACACACACTCACACACCAATACCACCTCCGAGATTGAGTCTGACAGCCGAAGACAGAGCCTCCCTTCTCCCAGTGTCGATTTTTTTTTATAATCAATCGCCAGTGCTCAGTGGGATCGGTTTGAACCTGCAGTTCTCAATCACCACGAAGAAAAGATGCAAATTTAGGTGCCCCCTCCCCTTGTCAGTCTTGTAGTAGGTAGAGAGCGCCACAAATCCCCTTCCTCCTTCCTCTCACTCTTCCAGTTTCCAACAACCGTGAGCATGAGGAAAATCTCCCCTCCGGATTCCTCGCCCAGCCTCGGATGTGAGTTACAGGCATTAGAGGGAGGAGGAGGAGGAGTTGAAGTTTGCATTGAAAAGACTGGCTTTCCATGACGTAGCCACGTGCTTTCAGACCCGTCACCAGTGAGATGCTTCAACCAGCCCAGGGAGGGCAGTGTCACTGCAGTCTCTCTGCTAGGGCCCCTCCTGAAGTCTCCCCACCCGCCAGCTCCAGCCCCAGCCCCAAACCCAGACCCAACGCGCGACCCTCTCCCTCCTCCGCCAAGCGCCAGTCAGCCTGCTGTTTGCTCTTGGAGCCAATCTGACAGCCTTCTATTAAAAGTGAATTTTGAAAAGTAAAAATTAAAAATTATAATGAGTAAACCTTAGAAAATGCATGTTGGGAGGTTGGAGGTGGGGGGGAAATAAAGAGAAAAATGGGTTTAATGCTTCTCCACCCAGCCAAAATCAGTTCCACCTTCACATTTTCAAAAGCAGCATATAATGCACCTAAAACATTAAGGAAAACTCAAGTTCCTTTAATTCTTATTATTGGACTCCTACTTGAGGGGCTGTTTGAAAAATGTAAACTAGATATATAACAGATATTACCAGAAACCGCCTCTTAAAAGGACAACCACTAAAATCTAGGTGGCAAACTGTACTTTTGTGGGGAGGGTCATGTATACATGAGAAAATGTATGCCTTTTATAGACAACACGTTACCTTTAAATAATTGTGCAGAAAGTCCCTGCTTAAATCACGCCCTAATTCTTTGCATGTTTCTGCACTCATTAATTGAGCTAACATTAAATTCACCCTCATTTACTTCTCATCTGCACATCTCACCTACACTAATCCAACCTAACAAAACAGGCAAGTTTTCTATTTTCACCAACATATAACCCAGCTTCCTACTTGCCCAGAAAAATCAAAGGATTTCAGACCAAGCTGTTATTTTATTTTATTCTACTTGGAGGAAAATACAATGTGCAAAGTGATACAAACAATTACAAAAAATAATATAACAAACTCCAGAGTACCCGCTACTCAAAAGTAACTTAGCATTTCATCATATTTTTGAGATAAGGATTTTAAAGAAGTAAAACTGACCACTCCCATTCTCTGTAGGTAAATGAATTAAACTTATGCCAGCTTATTTCTATTTTTATAGGTAAACTGACATAAAAATTTTAACTCTAATTTAAATATATATATTTAGAAGTTTCTTCATAATTTCAAAAAAATTAAAACTACTGCCTCTACTGCATGGTATATAAACTTAGATGTCGATTTATATAGTTGAGGATTGATGGAAAAGACTGATTTGATTTTAAAAGTTGATTTAAAGAAAATCGACTAACTCCTTGATTATCAGTTGTCAAAAAACAAAAAATGGAATAAACATCTTTACCACTTTTAGAGTTTTCTATTAGTTAGGATGCTAAAATTAGCATTGATATCCTGACCTTCTGGGAAACATCAGTCAATTCTAGGTAAGATAGAAGAATTTAAAACCAGTAAATCCCATAAAGGTTAAGACATTGGAAAGCTATATCATGATGGCCTTGATGTGTCAAAAGGATCATGTCATACAGCTTTTAAAAATTACTACAATTTAAATATGGTCTAAAAAGGTTTGTGAGGTAAAGAAATAGAGAATACTAAAAGTACCTGAATGTAATGCCAGTGACTTACTAAGAAGAAACAGACTGAAAAAAAAAAAAATGAAGAGTGGAATTCTTTTTGAAAGAGGAAAAATGGAATAGCATGGCCAAATAATTAGAAAATAATTTTTATATCAATCAGAGACAGATACCATATGCTGCTTCTATAACATGTTGGTGTCTCCTAGGGGGTTCCAGAATATCCCAATATATTATCACTGGGCAAATGCCAGAGAAATAGCTGAAATATAAATAGGCCTTCCAAACTCACAGGCTCTGATGTTATGTTAAAACTTTCTGAGTTCCCTGGAGTATTTCACAAATAGAGTAAAATTTGGGGAAATATTCTATAATTATTGGATCTTCTTAAATGCTAGTTTGTTATAAAGACAGTCTGTCTCAAATCAGCTCTTCTTGAATATGAGAATTTGACTTTCTTCTCTGCATTCTGACAGTGAATTTGTTCCCTACTGAAATAAGGAATAACTGCCAGAAAACTGTCATTTCTTTTGCTACATGTTGGTGAAAAACTTCTTTGACTTGTGACCTAAGGAACAATATAAAAGACAATTAACTGTGACTACTATTTATTGAGAATCTATTATGCCAAGCAATGTGTTAGTTGCTTCTCATATTTTATACTATTTAGAGGAATGAGAAACTTTCTTATGATGTATAACATTTTGCTCTTTCTGCACTTCTTTCCTATATTTATTGATATATTATTTACTTAGGTTACATAGGCTACTATTCACATCATTAAACCCCGCAAAAAGCAATTGTTTTTGTCTGGAAAAGATGACTAACCAATTAAGGTTACTTTTGGTCTAAAGGACCCTCAATTTTTGATGTTTTCTGAGTAGCCCAATTCAGTCATTCAACCAATATTTATTAAGCATCCGCTCAGTGAAAATAACTGTACAAGACTCCACGTTGGATACTAAATGATGAACTTGAACCAGATTTCCAGTTATACAAGAAAGACTAAGTATGGTCCAAGAATTAACTCAGGTTCTGGGGCCTCCAGATCATGGATGATTCAAATATACATATGATGCTGACCTGAATTCCAGACAATTATTTAAGGTTTGTTTTGGAAGATATCAAAATGTTTGCTTACTCTTTGCCATGCTACATTCCAATCAATATTAGATGACAAAAATGAAAAACTATGGGGAAAAATGCAAGTTTTGAAATGCATGTAAGTAGAAATAAGATTTAAAAATCTGAGACTGTAAGAATTGATAGTAAAATTTGTAGTATATAGGAGAGAAAATCTGTAAGACTGTTTTCATAAGGCTAACGTAAAATAAACCCAGTACTCATAAACAAGTTCATTTAAAAATTAAACCTACCTTCAGCATATTATAGTAAACAATTCTAAAAGTAACTGTAATGACCAGAATTTCATGACACAATCACATTTGCATTTTATTTTAATGTAAGATATGTGAACTTTCATGATATTAATCAGCAAAAATCTGTAAAACTATTGCAGCATGCTTTTACTATTTGCTTCCAATTATTGCTCTTCTATTGCACTCTTCCTTTTAGTATTGAACCCCACCCGCTCTACAGTTTTGGAAGGGCACATGGGTACTCAGATGGAGAATACAATTTTCAGCCCCATCATAGTTAAGTGTGGTCACGTGACTAGATTCTGATCAATGAGATGTGAGCAGCAGTGACATGTTCAACTTCCTGGTCATATTCTTCAAAGGAAGCTCCTTGCCTTCCACGTCTCTCTTCCATCCTTCCTGTGAGCTGGAAAGAAAATGGTGTGAGTAGCTTTGACTACTCATGTGGACAGGAACACACACCAAGAGTGGTGTAGTATCAAGATTCAAGAAAGCTAGCACCTTGGACAGAGCCACCAACCTACCCTGCCCACCAGGCTCTGCACTGTTGACAAAGAAAGAAACTTTTATCTTGTTTGAGGTTGTCTTAGTTCATTCTCACTGCCATAACAAAACACCATAAACTGGGTAACTTATTAACAATAGATATTTATTTCTTACAGTTCTGGAGGCAGGAGGTCTAAGATCAAGGTGCCAGCACTGTCTGGTGTGGGCTTGCTTCCTATATACAGTGACTTCTACCTGTGTCCTCACCTCACATGGTGGCAGGGGACAACAAGTTCCCCCTGGGTATCTTTTATAAGGACACAAATTCCATTCATGAGCAATCCACCTTCCTGATTTAACTACCTCCAAAAGGACCCACCTCTCAATACTATCACATTGGGCATTCAATTTTAACATCTGGATTTGGAGGAACATAACCATCCATAGCAGACCACGTGTTTTGTGTGAATTTGTTACAGCAGCTTATTCTCTCTACTACCTTATGGGCTGGGCTTGTGTTAATAACAACGCACTTATATTTGGGTTAGTTATTTATTTTAAAAGAATAAAGAACTTAAGTACATAACATATACCTATGGCTTTACCCACAGTCTGCCACTCTCATTTCCATTCACTACAGCAGCTGCTTATCTCTTAGTTGCCTCTTGCAAGCCACCCTTGCTTATTTCCAGCACGAGTGCAAACATCCCACTGTCAGATTTTACTTTCCCTGCCTCCTTCTCTGTCCTGCTCCCTGCTCATCAAATATAACCTATGGCAGTTTAGAGCCTATGGCCGTGACAAAAAAGCTTTGATCACCGAAGAAATAGAAGGGCAAAGTGATTGAAAGAGTTGGCCGTCAAGGCACTAGAGATAGAAAAAAAAGACCAATGTGTATATAAGGACTTCAGTGTCTATATTTACCTTGTAAATCTTTTTCAAAAAGATGAAGCTTTATGTTGTTTGCACATGTATTCCTTCTCTATTTTTGTTGCTAACAATTATCTTCACCTTTTAAGGAATAATTCTAAATTTCACATCTCTATACTACTCATTAGTACCTGTTCTTCCTCTCCCCATGTTCCTACATTTACCCATGATATAAAAAACCTCTGCTCCTCTATGTTGGAGGGAACAGTCTGGGAAGGTAACTTGAGTTCATCTCTCTTCCCCTCCCAACTCCTCAATGAAGGAGAAACAACTTAAGGGGCCCAACCCCTTCTTTTCTCTCTGTCTGCAAGAAGCTTTCCTGCCTGCAAGAAGCTTTTAGACTCCTCAGCCTCAGCTCTTCCACGTGAGAAGCATTGAGTCACCTCTAATCGCCAGTATCTCTATCTCTGAGCTTGAGATTTCTTCTTTTTTTTCAGATTCAGGAGTGCATGTGCAGGTCTGTTACATGGGTATATTGTGTGATGCTGGGGCTTGGGCTTCTAGTGAACCCATCACCCAGATAGTACCCATCATATCCAATAGGTAGGTCTTCAGCCCTTGGGCCCCTCCCTCTTTCTCTCCCTTCTTTTGGAGTTCCTACTGTCTGTTGTTTCCATTTTTATGTCCATGTGCACCCATTTTTTAGCTCCCACTTATTAGTGAGAATATGCAGTATTTGGTTTTCTGTTCCTGCATTAATTCGCTTCGGATAATGGCCTCCAGCTGCATCCATATTGGTGCAAAGGACACAGCTTCATTCTTTTTTATAGCTTCATAGTATTCCACGGTGTATATGTCTCACATTTTCTTTATCCAGTCCACTGTCGATGGACATTTATGTTGATTCCATGACTTTGCTATTATGAAGTGTGCCATAATAAACATGAGTATAGGTGTCTTCTTGCTAAAACAATTTATTTTCCTTTGGGTATGTGCCCACTAATGGAATTGCTGGGTTGAGTGGTGGTTCTATTTTCAGTTCTTTGAGACATCTCCAGACTGTTTTCCATAGGAGTTGAACTAATTTACATTCCCATCAACAGTGTATAAGTGCTCCCTTTTTTCCACATCCTCTCCAATATTTGTTTTATTTTGTTTTTAACTTTTTTTTTTTTGAGATGCAGTCTCGTTCTGTCACCAGGCTGGAGTGCAGTGGCATGATCTCGCCTCACTGAAACCTCCGCCTCCTGGGTACAAGTGATTCTCGTGCCTCAGCCTCCTGAGTAGCTGGGATTACAGGCACGCGCCACCACACCCATCTAATTTTTGAATTTTTAGTACAGACAGGGTTTCACCATATTGTCAAGGATGGTCTCAATCTCCTGACCTCGTGATCCACCCACGTTGGCCTCCCAAAGTGCTGGGATTACAGGCTTGAGCCACTGCACCCGGCCATTTTTTTACTTTTTAATTATAGCCATTCTGACTAGTGTGAGATGGTATCTCATTATGGTTTTAATTTGCATTACTCTGATGATTAGTGATGTTGAGCATTTTTTCTTATATTTGTTGTCTGCTATGTCTTTTTTTGAGAAGTATCTGTTCATGTCCTTTGCTCACTTTTTAATGGGGTTATTTGTTTTTTTTTCTTGTTGATTTAAGTTCCTTATAATTCTGGATATTAGTCCTGTGTCAGATGCACTTTGCAAATATTTTCTCCCATCCCGTAGGTTGTCTGTTTATTCTGTCGGTTGTTTCTTTTGCTGTGCAGAAGCTCTTTTGTTTAATTAAGTCCCATTTGTCAGTTTTTTGTTTTTGTTGTAATTGCTTTGACTGCCATACCACCCTGAATGCACCCAATCTCATCTGATCTCCAGGGGTTTTTATTTAAACCACAGAAGGCCCTTTATCTAGGCACTCAAAGAAAAGACTAGAGATTAACGCTCCCTAGGAGAATTTCTCCATCACTAAATATTCCAGCTCCTTTGCCTCTTGGGAGGGATAATGATGAAGCATGTGTTTTACATCCATCCACAGTTTTCCTGTGGGATAAAGACATGGTCTCCCACTGGAGTAGTTGGCTTATCACCACACTATTGGCTTCCTCCCCTTCCCTAGATCCACTCCTGACTCACCTGCTGTATTTCCTCCCAAGTAAATTACTTGCACCAGAATCTGTCCTCTAAGGAAAATCAAGCCAAGACAAGGCTGAACAGATACAACAGGGGTTTTGGATAAAAGTATCTGCTCTCCAAATCCAAACCCTTCCTTAGATGGCCACTGCAATTTCCAGATGTGGAGGAAGTATCTAGAGACTCAAATTCTTGTCCTCAGGCCAAGTTTCCAGCCCCCAACCAAACTTATCAGTAATATAAATAGTATTTTTATTCTCATCTTTCTAACATGTGTGGTCATTTTTCTTAATTGAATCTGAATTCAGAAGTAGGAGGAAAAGGGAAAATTAATGATCACCTCTTAAGGCCCCCAAATACTAGAAAATAATATAAGAAAAAAACCCTCCTTTGTTCCAATTATGTTCAGAAAGTATAATAAAACAGTGAAGAACCTGCCAAGAGATACAGATAAAAGCAGGTGAATTCCCTTGAGTCCTCAGAAATATGAGCTTCTCTTGGCAATATTCCACAGGCTTCACTTCTCACTGAAATGAACTTTATCACAGTCTACATAGATATAACGGACAATAAAACCCCAATTCCCTGTACAGCCCAGCAAGAGTTCAGAGGACCCTCTCTGCATCCTTTGAGGCACGTGAGGGGATCTTTTTACAAGTTGAATTGGCCCTGAACAATTTGCGGACATATGCAGCAAAGCTCTTTGTATCAATGCCTCTAGACCTTTATAACCCATGTCTCCTATTAATAAACCTCCTAAACCTTCATTGATATGATTTAAATTTCAATATGAAATTAAGGCCTTGACTAAAAGCAAAGCAACAGTAACTTTTATAAACTAATTCAAACTACACGCTACTTTCTTCCCACTCATCCAAATTTTTCTGATGCCTTATTCGAGGCAAGTATGCTCCCAATTGAAAATAATTGTTGCCTGTGATTTGAAGTATTCTAAGGTCAGACAATATTTTACATACATGGAATCCAGTTTCTTAATTTCTATAGCCATTGAATGGGACAACTTTGGATATATCACTTTTAAATCACAGGAGAAATTTGTCAGCTGAACTTTTTCCATTTGAGGAGAGATTTATATATGCAAAAATTTAGAATATTATTTACCCTGGACAATAGGTTATAAAACTTGGATAACTGGAGAATTAAAATAACATTATTAAATATGTACCTAAATGGAAGAGATGCCTCCCTCTGAATGATGAATTTTCCGTGGTCAACTCTGCACCAACCCCATTCCAAGCTCACCTGAAGAAGCCAGAAATAAATTTCCCAGACTACCCTTTCTGTGTGTTTGCAGGATAGTTTTCTCCAATGAGAGGCCCACAAACAAGAGATTTGGGTGGCAGAAGAGAGGTCATTATTCTCTGAAGGCAGTTGTCAGGACCAGTGTGAGATTCGCAGTCAATTCTTGGCACATTCTTAAAAACCATCGCTTTGCTGCTGCAGACAAAAATCTCAGCCACTTCCCAATTAACTCTTAAGAGCATCCACTTTCAGTACTTCAGGCTGAGATCATGGATGATAGTTTCCCTGACTTTCATTTCCCAGCTTTCCCAACAGTTCTAAGTCTCCAATTCCTCTATTAAAACACTTTGAAACCAGAAAATACCAAATAACGTATTCCTGACTGATCCCAGATGGATACACAGTGTTTTCTCTGCCTAGGTTCTAAGCCATTATAGGTACCTGGTAGCTTACTGATAAGGAATTCGCTTTGAGTTTGCAATGGTTTACTTGATCCCTAAACATCTAGTATGACAATGAGAACTTCAATCCAATATGCACATGTTACATGCACTATGAAACATGTAAACAGGGATTATTTCCTTCCATAAGTGCTTACTGAGCATAGGCTTCCAACAGGCCTGTTTCGGAGAGAATCAAGTTGAATCTGTAGCACTTTTCACTTTGCTCTGAAGAAAATGACTCAGTTGGATTTATTTATCATATTTCTTCAAATAAGAGATTTGTAAAATCAAATTCAACCCTCACATAAGAAAATATACGAAAACCATTTTACTAGAACTTGAGGATAAGTGGTTAAAAAAACATGAAAATCATTGCACTTGTAATCTCACATTTCCTGTCATAAAGTTAAAATGAGTCATTCAAAAAGCTATTATTCAAAATAAATGTAAAAATTGCAATTCAGAAAAATGTGTCATATATTGTAACATTTAGGTTACAAACTTAATGAAGAAAAATGCCAACCCAGAGAGATTTTATACTCAAAAAAATAAATGGTACAAGTCTGTTGGACCATAAGTTTCCAGAGGTCAAAAGTTAAGGTTATTGAACTTGCTTAATCCAGCATCCTAATAATCTCGGATATATACACGTTTAATTGCTCATGTCCAAAATATTTAATTTCCACAACAATTTAGATTCAGAAGATTACATTATGTGAAAAAAAATCCTATTTCATGTCAACAGAGATCCTCTTGAGCATTTATAATATTGTAGATTTAGATGCACATAATTGAATTGTCTATGAAGGTGTGAAAAATGCTTAAATGTTGCATTTGAACATTGATTGGGTTTAATGTAGTATTGGCATCTTGACAGCAATGCACTTTTACTTTATTACTGGTCCGAATGAGATAGATAATAGAATACACACATACATATGATGGCTCAGAACACTACTTAGCACTTAGTTTTAATTGTTTTGATAAATATTAAAATAAACAATATATAAGTAATTAGTCAAGGATATCTTGACTCACATATTAGGTTACTTTTAAGGAATTTATAATTTGCGTAACATTGGAATAAAAGTATGCAAAAATCATATTTTAACCTCAATATCAATTACTTTCCCTTAATCAATATATACATTTCTCAAACTCTGATACACATTAAGATACACATTTTTGTTTGTTGTCATTTTACCTCTTAAAATAGGCACATACTTTTTATATAGACATTCCCATGTTCAGGAATGTATCTGTTTTAAAAGGCCATTGGTCAATTGGGTCTGATTTTATTGCATTAAGGTAACATTTTAAAGTAAGGTTTTCAAGTATGTTCAAGCAGTGGGAGATTGGAAGTAATGATGCTCAATGCACAGGCATGTGGAATAGTGTTACAGTAAAATTAAAGTTATCAAATATACTTTAGTGATAAAACTTATACCATCTCTATCAGATTACGGTATGAACATTAGCAGCAGCAGGTGCCAAAAAAATCAAGTAGAATTTAGGAGAAAACTTAAAATTGAATTTAAAAATATCTATCAATAATGTTTCTATTTTATTTCTTACAGTATTGGGGGAAAAAACAACTATTTACAGCAAAACACTGCCATTTAACTCTTGAACATTGAAACTTCCAAGGCATCAGCTGACCAATGGGGCATGAATTATAACTAAAATGCAGCTTGCATCCATTAGCCCAGTCACTTCCCTGGCCGGGTGGCAAAAGCCTAGGCTAGGAAAGGCATCTTTTTCTAATAGGCTCATCCCAAAGGGGCTGCCATTTTCTAACTGGTTCATCCCAATGCGGCTGGCTCCCATTTTCTAATTGGGCAGCCCAGAGGATATGCTTTTTCTGATTAGTCAACCTAGAAAGTGTACCTTTTTAAAATTGGTCCATCCAGAAGAGATTTTTTTTCTAATTTGCATAGAGCACTGGATGCTTGGCCTCCCTGGCTATGTACTCGTGGGCCAAGGAGGCCCACGAGAAGTACCCATGAGACCCAGGAGATCCATCCTCAAAGAATTGTTCAGACACGTAAGCTAGATCAAAGAAGACAGACTCAGATTCACAAAGAATGGTGATTTTTGAATACAGTACGAAGTTTGAAATTTATTGATTGTGGCCTATTTTCCATGGATTCGTGGCTGATTGTGGAGGGTGCAGAGAGAGGGACACCAGAGTAGTTTTATTTTTAACACTATATTCGTAATAAATTTCAGTAAGAAGTCAGTTCCATTCAGAAAGGTTTACCCACTGAGAGTTTATTGAAGAGAGTATGTGTAGCAATATGAGCAGGGTTAAGGAAACCAACAAGTGATGTTGAGGTTCACCAGACACCAGCAACAGTGGAAAATCATTACCGCTACCCTGTTCAAAGGGGAAATCGAGGACATAATATTACTGGATTGCAGGGAGAGCCAGAATAGTAGAAGAAGAGACTGACATTATGAGCTGTATGAGTCAAGGGAAAAGTCTACTTCCAAGACCAAAGTGGAGGAACAGAGGAGAGGACATAGGAAAAAAAAAAAAATACTCTGATCTTTTTTCCTTCTAGCCACTGTTCTCCAGCTACTGCCTCTCCCTGTCAAACCCAACTGGAAAATAGAAGACAGGGGAGCCCAGGTGATGCAGTGTTTGCAGTCCAGGCTCGTGGCGCACAGAGCAGAGAAAGATGAATAACACATCTGTAGAGCTAACAGACAAGAAATGGCAATGTGGGATGTTACTACCACAATATATGATGATAACAATAATAATGATGATGGTGATAATAGATTTAGCAAGGGCTTAATTTGTGCTACACATTGTTCTCACCGCAACTTCATGAGATAGGTACCCTTCATCCTACAAAAATGAAGCAATTGTGGCACAGAGAAGTTAAGTAACTTGTCCAAAGTGGCACTCACCCAGTAAGTACCCTTTTGCAGTTGATACACAGCCATATACTTTGGGATGTATGTTGCACAGAATAACGCAAAGTTAGGGAACATGACATCCCTTTTCATGAGGAAACACAGCATAGCCTTGGTTCCTGGTGTCTCTCTTTTGATCAGTTCAAGGTGGCTGCAAAAGAAATAACATAGGTAGCCCCAAGAAGACTTTACTAAGGATCATTTCCAAGGTAACCTCTGGGAAATTCTAGTCATTATTAAAGACAGGCTTTGATGGTGACCTTATTTTTATCCTGGAGGGTGGTGGTCTGTGCCACAGATAATCCATAATAGACCCTGAGCCCTGACATATGAGCCTCATAAACTGTTAATCATGGACCTATTTACTGCATATCTTCAGCTTTAATCTCCCATGTCATTAAGTCTACATCACAATGTTAAGAAGCAATAGCTAATATTTATGAGCATTTATTTACTATTAATACATGTCAGGCATTTTGCTGAGTATAAATTGATACTTCCCAATAACTATGAAATGGGAGGCCGTTTTATAACTGAGGATACTAAGTTTCGATGAGGTTGAAAGATTTACCCACAGAATCCCAGCCAGTAAGTGGTACGGTCAGAATTTCGCATGTGTGCTCTCATTCCGTAGTTCTTACTCCCTTTATGCTGCCCTGCTCTGAGTCTTTGAGTCATGAGTTCTCCGAGTCTGGGAAGCAGATGGAGTTTGCAAGCTGGCTTAGAACTTGGGGTAACTTTGCAGAAAAGCTGCCAAATGAAGGAGTTGAAGAAAGGGAGGAGGCAGGATGTGGTGGAAGTTTTATTCTGTGGTCCAAGGAATCCACAATTTTAAGGGATTCTGGAGAAGAAGAGCCAGACCAAAAATGGCCATTTAATTGTGAAAGCTACATGGATTTAGGGTATGCTGTATAGAGCAGGGAAATACTAAACTGAAAAATCCACACTGGAATATCTCTGTAAATGGCAAAGTTTGAGAATAAAAATGTTTGCTTAGCATTTTTTACTCCTTTAATTTCAAAATTAGGCATGATTACTATCCTTACCTTTTTACAATTAGTGTAACATACAACAGAGAAGTATACAATCTTAAATGTACACTGATCTTTTTGCACGTGTTTATATTTGGGCATCCACAATGCACATAATAACAGAACATTTGTAGTGCCCCACAGGCTCTTTTGTGTGCCTTTCCAGTAAATTTACTCCCACAGGAAATTACTATTCTGATTTCTTTTACCAAGAATTACATTTGCTTGAGATTCATGCAAATTGAATCATAAATGTACTCTTCCTGGGTGGCATATTTTGCTCAACATTATATCTGTGAGAACCATCCATACTGTTACATGTAGCAGTGGTTCATTCTCTGGATTGCTGTGATCGATTCCACTGTGAATATGCCACAATTTGTTTGCCCACTCTGTTAATGATGGACTTTAGGGTGTTTTCCATATCAGGATTATGAACATCCTTGTTTATGTCTGGGTGGACACGATAACCCATTTTCTTTGGGTAGTTACCTAGATTGCAGATTAGCAATATTTTCAACTTTAATAAATACTACCAGTTTTTCAAAATGACTGTGAAAATTTACATTCCCACCAGCAGCATACAAGGGTTACAATTTCTCTATACTCTCACCAACATCAGAATAATCTCTTTTTATATTTTAGGCATTCTAGTGTAGTGGTACCCCACTGTGGTTTTATTTTATAGTTCGCTGATGCGTAATCATGTTTATCACTTTTTCATATGCTTATTCGCCATTCGTTTACCTTCTTCTATGAGGTGCCTTTTCAAGTCATGTGATTTTTTTTTATTAGGTTGTCTACTATTTACTATTGATGTCTGGGAGTCCTTTACATAATGAGTCCACATCTTTTGTTATGTATATGCATTGCAAATACTTTGTGGTTTTTTTTGTTGTTGTTATTTGTTTTGTTTTGTTTTGTTTTTTTTGAGGTGGAGTCTTCCTCTTGTTGCCCAGGCTGGAGTGCAATGGCACGATCTCGGCTCACTGCAACCTCCACCTCCCAGGTTCAAGCAATTCTCCTGCCTCAGCCTCCCGAGTAGCTGGGATTACAGGTATGTGCCACCACGCGCAGCTAATTTTGTATTTTTAGTAGAGGCAGGGTTTCTCCATGTTGGTCAGGCTGGTCTCGAACTCCTGACCTCAGGTAATCCGCCCGTCTCAGCCTACCAAAGTGCTAGGATTACAGGCATGAGCCACTGCGCCCAGCCTGCAAATACTTTCTCCCAGCTTGTGACTTGCCTTTTCAGTTTTCTAAGGTTGTATTTTAATTATTAGAAGTTCTTAATTTTTAATGAAATACCATCTTTCAATCTTTGTATCAGGTTATACTGGCCTCATAAAATGAATTAGAAAGTGAGCTCTCTTTTTTTCTTCTCTGGGAAAATTTATGTAAGATTGATATTATTTTTCAATAATGCATGAGAAAACATCACCAGCAAACTCATCTGAACTTGTAATTCTCTTTGTGAAAAGGTTTTAACTGCAGATTCAATATATTTAACAAGTATAGAATGCTTCACATTTTTTCATTTATTTCTATTCTTCTATTTCTGTTTTGCTATGTTTTCAAGGGATTTTTCACACTATCTAAATGAAATGACATAAAGTTGTTTAAAATGTCCTCTTATGATTTTACTGTCTGTAGGATCTATAATGATGCCCCATTTTATTTCTAGTAATGTCACTCAAGTTTTGTCTTTAAAAAAAACACTATTGCCACAGGTTTACTAATTTTATTAATATCTTTTTTAAAAGTAACTTTTGGTTTTGTTGAATGTCTTTATTGTTGGTGAACTTTTAATTTTCATTGATTTCTTCTCTTATCTCCATTTACCTTTTTAGTTTGGTTTGATGTTCTTTTTCTAGCATTCTGAAAGAGAAGCTTAGATTGCTTATTTTCAAGCTTTTGATTTTTCTAATATATGCATTTAGTGTCATAAATTCCACTTTAAGGACTTCTCCTACATCCTGTAGTTTTTGAAGTCATATTATTTTTATTCATTTAAAAATATGTTCTAATCCTGGCTAACATGGTGAAACCCTGTCTCTACTAAAAATACAAAAAATTTAGCCGGGCATGGTGGTGGGTGCCTGTAGTCCCAGCTACTTGGGAGGCTGAGGCAAGACAATGGTGTGAACCCAGTAGGCAGAGCTTACAGTGAGTCAAGATCACGCCACTGCACTCCAGCCTGGGTAACAGAGTGAGACTCCATCTCAAAAAGAAAAAAAGTTCTAATTGATTTTTTTTACTTCCTCCTTGATTTTTTGTTATTAATATGTATATTATTTAATTTTCAAGCATTATTTATATTCTGGTGCTAATTTCTAGTTTAATGCCACTGTGATCAGTGAAAAACATTTATATGATTGAAACCTTTGAAATATGTTTAAGAGTGACTTTGGCTCGGAATATGTTCTATTTGGAAAATGTTCCATGAACATTAAAAAATAGTATATTCTTCAGTAGTTTGGTGAAGTGTTCTCTACATGTTGATTAGTTTCAGTCCTTTCATACTGTCGTAAAAATAATCTATATCAGAACTGTCTAATAGAAATATAATGTGAGCCACATATGTAATTTTAAAATCTTAGTGGCAATATTTAAAAAGGTAAAATAAAAAAGAAATTGATTTTAATAATATATTATATTTGAAACAATATATTCAAAATACTATCATTTCAATATTTAATCAATTTTGTTATTAAGAAATATTTTACTTTTCCTGTCCTGTCTTTAAAATTGAGGATGTGTTTTACACTGACAGTGTATCTCATTTAAAATGCTAACTTTTTATCTGAACTATTTGATTTATATTAATTCATAAAATTACAGTTGAAGAAGCAGATTCATATACCCAAGATGTTCAAAATACACTTAAACACTTTCCAGTAACTTTAACTACTAAGAATCATTTTCCATTAATAATCTCACTCACATTAACAGCATTTGTTGAGGTTTTTTTCTATAAAAATTGATTTGACTTTTAAGCAAAAGTATATTAGTTTTAAAATTGTGTTTTCCAAGTTAAATTTACTAAATCTTGTGTCAATAGAATATTATTAATATTTAATTCAAAGAGTGTTGCATAAACTGAGTGATTATTCTAAATTTATTAATTTCAAAAATAATTCTTTGAATTTTCCTTAAAGATTTTGAAGCCAGTTTACATAATGTTGTTAACAATTAACATATTCTTTATGCTGATTTATGCTAAAATATATGAAATAATTATTGCTCATTTGTATGATGAAAAGTTTTAATTTCAACATTTCAACATATATTTTTGATTTTGTCTAGTTAGGTCAGAAATTAGCTTTTCCTTTCCTTGGAACTTCAAATTTAGCTCATTAATGTGCAGTATAATATTAGTGAGAAAACAAGTTACTGTCATTTTTTGTCTTTGACTATTAAACATTTAGCAAGCATTTCTTTTGCTTTAAGAAAATACAGAATTAGATTCAAAAGTATAGTAAATCCGTGTAAAACTTTTCCACCATTTAACAAGTGAACATTAGAAAAAAATCCAAGATTATTAGATTGTCTCATTTCTTACAACAGTTCTACAAATTGCAAATTGGTGATCCATAACATTTGTGCATATATACTAAATGATTTTAATAGTAATATCCATGACACTTTTGATAGTTTGCTTCAAAAACTGGAGTTACAGATATTTTCAATATGTGTCATGCAGTAGAATGAAGCAATTAGAGAAATGTCAGGCCCACATTAAATATCAGTAAATCTTTATCATTGACCTAACATAGCTGGAACATTGACAACTGTGATAGAACAAATTTTTTATATCTATCTGAAATCATTCTTTGAAAAATATGAAAGTTCCAAAAATATTAATGACAGGAGTTAAATTTTTTAGAATGCACATTGAAATTTCTTTAAAAAAACTGAAATATTTTGAGACAAAGCATAGCCAAAGTGTTAAATGGGCAGCATTTTATATTATACAACTCATCTAAAGCTTAACTATAAACCTGAAATGTTTAAAATTTTGAATCAATTAATCATTGCTATTGTTAGAAACATCTTGTATTCTCCAGGTGATTTTTTGGTAGCTTAATTGAAGATCTTTCCACTTTTGTAAAATAATTCTTTGAGTATTTTTCTTTTAACTTTCTAACCAAATTTACATAAGTGAAATAGTGATTTATTTTGCCATCTCTTCATCACAATATTGTTTTGTTTGGGTATGTGTGTTCAAAAGTATAGGCTTCTTTATAGGGGGCCAAGAATATAAGCTCAGATTCTGTTAAAAATATTTCTCAAAGGCTGGGCGCAGTAGCTCACGCCTGTAATCCCAGCACTTTGGGAGGCTGAGGTGAGTTGATCAATTGAGGTCAGGAGTTCGAGACCAACCTTACCAACATGATGAAACCCCATCTCCACTAAAAAAATACAAAATTAGCCAGGCATGATGGCAGGCACCTGTAATCTCAGCTACTTGGGCTGAGGCAGGAGAATCACTTGAACCCAGGAGGCAAAGGTTACAGTGAGCCGAGATCACGCCATTGCACTCCAGCCTGGGCAGTAAGAGCAAAACTCAGTCTCCAAAAAAAAAATTCTTAAAAATGTTTTAGACATTTGCTTCTAATTTCAAGTGATTTACTTGTAACACAATGTCTTATTTCAAGACATTTACTTCTAATTTCAAGTAGGTAAGTGAACTTAAAGTGCATTATTAGTGGTTTCACTAATAATGTAAGAAAATTATAACAGTTTAAATTCACTTAACTCTTTCTCATCTTTTGCACTAATGTTGCATACAGTTTACTTTACATAGGTTTTTAATTATGTATTGTAATTATAATCAATATTTATTTACATTTATCTTTCAGGGGTACTCTTTGTTCTTTTCTACACCATATTCTCCAGTTTTCCTTGTCTGAAAATGTCTTTATCTCATTTTCCTTTTTAAGGACATTTTGGCTAGGTATAAAATTACAGGTTAAGTTTTTCATTAAACACTTTAAATATATTGCTACTATTTTTTATATTCCCTGGGCTATTTTTTTTTGTTTGACAAGTGGGCAATATCCTTACTGCTGTCTCCCTAAAGGTGATGTGTTTTATTTTCTGAGACTGCTTTTGTTCTCATTGTATTTTATTTTCTCCCACTTGAACATAGTATGACTACATGTGATTTTCTTTGCATTTATTTGACTTGGGCTTCTTAAACCTGTAAGTTGATGTCTTTTAAGCTATTTGGGAAATTTGTTTAGATAATGCTTTTATCCCATTAATTTTCTTCTATTCTCCTAGGATTCCAATTACAGATTTACTACATCTTTTCAAAATTTCCCATGTGCCTTTCAAATTCTTTTCTATGTTTTACATGTTTTTTCTGTGTGTGTCATTATGAAAACTTGCTACTGACCTATCTTTCAGATAACAAATATTGTTTTCATGCTGCTGTTATTCTCATCTCTTGAAATTTTAATTTTAGTTATTTTAAGTTTTATTTATAGAATTTCAGTTTTGCTTTTTTATGGATTCCAGTTATCTGCTGAAATTTTTTCTCTTCTGTTATTTTGAATATATGAATCATAATTATTCAAACATACCTGTCTGAAAACTCCAGTAAGTAAATCTTCTCTGGGTCTGCTTCTATCATTTGTTATTTCTCTTAGTTTCAAGTGCATTGTTTCTGTTTTGTATCATGCTTTGTATTTTTAATTGAATGCCACATTGTGTATATAAACTTGGGGAAACTGTAACTTTGTTTTATTCCTGAAAAAAAAACTGTATTTTTATTTTGGAAGGCCGATAGAGTACCAGCCGATCATTTTAATCCTGTCATGGGTGTGGCCCTTCTGAGGTCACAACTATAAGCCTTTGTTGTTGTTGTTTTTAAGCCTCTCATAACTTATGAAACTTAAACTGCAATCTCTGCTTCTACAGAACGAGCCAGATGCTAAAATATTTATCCTTCAACTTGATGCATTCTACTGGGTTTTTTGCAGTCATATCCTGTATTTGAGTATCTTGAAAGTCAAGCCTAGAAGAAAATTTACATTCAGATTTTGTTGTTTCTTCCTCTGTGCCTTTCTCCTTTCTGCAAGTTTTGCCTTTCAATTTCTGGCTGCCCTGACAGTCTTCGTCTCCTGTTTATGTCTCAGTCAAGAAAAACAGTTCCCATTGCACAGAACTCACTCATAGCATGGAAAACTAGAACGTGCCCTCAAAGAAAGCTATGAAAATGTGGATCTCATTCTTTTAAGGATGTACTCCTTTCAGTTTTTGCCATCTCTCATGGCTTTCCAGTGCCTTCAGATTTTTTAAGTTGGATTTGTCCAGCTCTTATAATTATTATTGGCAGAAGACTTCATTCCATATCGGCTACTCTGTCATGATATGCACCAGACTCTAGTTCCTTGTCCATAAAAAGAGCTACCCAGTGATGCCTTGGACTTCCTTTTTTCCTTGAACATTTTGCTTTTATCTTTTTCCTAGGTTTCCAGCACAAGATTTATTAAGTTTTATTTTTGTTTCACTTATCAAGTATAAACCCAGGGAAAGACCTAAGCAATGATATTGGTAATAAGAAGTCTGGACAATATGACACTGTCTGGAAATGTTTTGATAGTTGTGAACATGTGTTATAAATTTAAAATATCTAGGATTTACCTCTCGTGCCACTCCTGTTCAACATAGTATTGTAGGTCCTGGCCAAAGCAATCAGGCAGGAGAATGAAATAAGGGACATCCAAATAGGAAAAAAGAAATTCAAACTATCCCTGTTTGCAGGCAACATGATTGTATTTCTAGAAAACCCAATAGTCTCATCCCAAAAGCACCTTCAGCTGATAAACAACTTTGGCAAACTTTCAGGATACAAAATCAATGTATAAAAATTACTAGCATTTATATACATCAGCAACAGCCAAGCTGAGAACTAAATCGGGAACACAATCCAATTCACAACTGCCACAAAAAAAAATACCTACAAATACAGATAACCAGGGAGGTGAAATATCTCTATAAGAAGAATTACAAAACACTGCTCAAAGAAATTAGAGATGAAACACACAAATGGAAAAACATTCCATGCTAGGAAGAATCAAAATCATTAAAAATGGCCATACTGCCCAAAGGAATTTACAGATTCAATGCTATTCCTATCATACTACCAATAATATTCTTCATAGAACTAGAGAAAACTATTAAAATTCATATGGAACCAAAAAAGAGCCCAAATAGCCAAAGAAATGCTAAGCAAAAAGAACAAAGCTGGAGGCATCACATTACCCAACTTCAAACTATACTACAGGGCTACAGTAACCAAAACAGCATGGTACTCATACAAAAACAGACATACAAACTAATGGAACAGAATCTATTTCAAGCCCAGAAATAAGGCTGCACACATATGACCATCTGATCTCCAACATACAACCATTTGATCTCCAATGAAGCTGACAAAAACAAGCCATGAAGAAAGGACTTCCTATTCTATAAATGGTACTGGGATAACTGGCTAGCCATATGCAGAAGATTGAAACTGGACTCCTTCCTTACACCTTACAAAAATCTACTCAAGATGGACCAAAGACTTAAATGTAAAACCCAAAACTATAAAAGTCCTGGAAGACAACCTAGGTAATGCCATTCTGGTCATAGAAACAGGAAAAAATTTTGTGACGAAGTCACCAAAAGCTATTGCAACAAAAACAAAAATTGACAAGTGGGACCTAATTAAACTAAAGAGCTTCTGCATAGCAAAAGAAACTATCAACAGAGTGGACAGGCAACCTAAAAAGTGGGAGAAAATATTTGCAAACTATGTATCTGACAAAGTTCCAATATCCAACATCTATAAGGAATGTAAACAAATTTACAAGAAAAAAACAAACAATCTTATTAAAAAGTGGGGAAAGGACATGAACAGACACTTTTCAAAAGAAGACTTACATGTAGCCAGCAAGCCTATGAAAAAAAAACTCAATATCACTAATCATTAGAAAAATGCAAATCAAAGCCACAATCGGATACCATCTCACACTCGTCAGAATGGCTATTATTAAAAAGTAAAAAAATAAATAAATAACAGATGCTGGCAAGGTTACAGAGAAAAGGTAACAGTTATGCACTCTTGGTGAGAGTGCAATTTAGTTCAACTATTCTGGAAAACAGTGTGACAATTCCTCAGAGAGCTAAAAACAGAATTACCATTGGACCCAGCAACCCCATTACTAAATATAAACTCAAAGGACTATAAATCATTCTACCATAAAGACACATGCATGCGAATGTTTATTGCAGCACTATTCACAATAGAAAAGACTTGGAATCAACTTCAATACCCATCAAAGACAGATTGGTGAAAGAAAATGTGGTACATATACACCATGGAATATTATACAGCCATAAAAAAGAATGAAATCCTATCTTTTGCAGGAACATATATGGAACTGGAAGCCGTTACCCTCAGCAAAATAATGCAGGAGAAGAAAATGAAATACCACATGTTCTCACTTACAAGTGGGAGCTACATGATGAGAACTCATGAACACAAAGAGGGGAACAACATACACTAGCCCCTACTTGAGGGAGGACGGGGGGAGGAAGAAGAAGATAAAAAAAAAAATAACTATTGGGTACTAGGATTAGCACCTGAGTGATTAAATAATCTGTACCATAAACCCCCATGACACAAGTTTACCTACATAACAAACCTGCACATGTATCCCTGAACCTAAAATAAAAGTTAAAAAAAAAAGCATTTAAAAAAATAAATGTTTTGAATTTAGGTCAGAGATGTCACTGTAAGTTTCATTTGTCTTCTATTTCCTGACGGTGCACCTGCTGCATTTCATGAGGTGCAAGTTGTTATAGTAGAGAGGAGGAAGTTGCATTAGTTATGGGCTTGTAGAATGTAGAGAGAGACTTAAGTAAAAAGTTTTACAGGGAAAAAATAAAACTGTCATTACACAAGAAGGCATAAGAAATATTCTGTAGAATCTTTAAAAAGATTAAAATTAATATGTGATTTTAGCAAGGTCCCTAAATTTAAGGTGGATATATTTAAAAATGAAAAATAAAATTTAATAAATAATACTCTTTATAATAGTACCTGAAGCATCAGTTATGTGATGTGCAAAACCTCTACACACAGCCTGTTAAAAGATTTTTAAAAAATTAAAGACCTACATAAACAGAGAGATATATTGTATTCATGTAGTTGAAGACTCAAATTGTAAATTTGTCAATTTTACACAAAGTTTAATGGCAATCACAAATAAAACTTTAGCATCATTTTAAATAACATGATCAAGCTGATTCTGAAACTTAAATGAAAATATGAAGGGGCAACTATAGTCAAGGAATCCTGAATAATAAAACTAGAGGATTTATACTGCCAGTAATCGAGACCTATTCTAAACCACAGCAATTAAGACAAGGTGGTATCAGTGCAATGATAAACAAATAGACCAATAGAACAAACCAGAGAGTCCAAAAACAGACCTACAGTTACACTATTACCTGATTTATGATAAAGTGGCACTGTCCTACAATGTAAAAAGATCATCTTTTCACAAAATCGTGCTGGGTCAACTGTATAAATGTTTTAAAAAGGGTAGATTGACCCATACATCACACTTTACACAAAAATTATTCAAGATTTACTGCAAATATAAATGTAACAGGTAAAATAATAAAGCTTTCTGAATAAACATAGGAAAACATTTGTATGACCTTGGTGTACACCACATTTTTAAAAACAAGACAAATAACCATGAGGGAAAAATATAAGTGATAATGATAATAGCCCCTGTCAACAACTCACAGTTAACAGACTGGAAAGACAACTGGCAGAGTTAGAGAAGTTGTTTGCAAAACATGTACCTATCAAGAGAATCATATCCAGAATCCATAAAGAACTCTTGCAAATCAATACAGAAAATATAGACAACCCAATAGAAAAATGGGCAAAAGGTTTGAACCAGCACTCCACAAAAGAGGATATCTAAACGGTCAATGAACATTTGAAAATATACTCAAAAGAACTACTCAGCATTCAAAGGGCATTGAGATTATACAACCCCACAAAATAGTTTAAATGATTGTGTGTGAGTATGGACATAAAAAGACAGAGAATATTGAGAAAATACCAATTAGAGCATTCATACAGTGAGTGGGAGTGGAAATTGAAAAACCTACTTTGGAAAACTGTTTGTCAGTATCAGCTAAAGTAGAACATAGGTATGCCCATCATTTGGTTATTCCATACCTACATACATACTCAGAAGTAACATGCTCATATGTCCTCCAAAAGAAATGTGCAACTATTAGGTTAGTGCAAAAGTAATTGTGGTTTTTGCCATTACTTTTAATGTCATTACTTTTAATGGCAAAAACTGCAACACTTTTGCACCAACCACCTAATAATACATTCTTAATAATGCTAACTGCAATAGCACAAAACAAGAGGCTATCCAAATGGTCATTAAGAGAAGAATGGATAAATACATTTTGTTATAGTCACATAGTGGAATAGGTTATAGCAATAACAAGGGAAAACTACACCTATGTTCATGTGGACGTTTGAGTAAATTTCACAAACATAATAATGTTCAAAAGAACACAAAATAGATACAAATGGTATATACTGTATAATTTCATTTACATAAATATCAAAAGCAAGGAAAACCAATCTATGTTGTTAGAAGATAAGGTGTTTTACTTCCCAAAACTAATAAATACAGAAAGGTATCTGGGTGCTGGTTACACAGGCATATACATACACATGTTTTAAAATTCATTGAACATTTGTGATTTAAGCACTTCTCTAGATTTTGTTATATTTCAATTAAAAACTAAAACAAAAAATTAAATCCATTAAAAGCAAAAACAGGAAGAAAAAGCCTTTGGAAACCTCGTAGATATCTTGATGTCCAACAATGCTCCTGTATCCCATATCCTGCACCTATGATGGAATCTTTATTCTGAAGCCATTGGAATTAACTGAAGAAAGAAGGAACCATTCTTGGCATATTGTGCTCCTGAAACACAGCTGGCCATGGAAAACAGGTTTGGAGCCAGAGCTCTGAAAGTCAAAATAGGAAAGTTAACAAAGCTCCCAGGAAGAGCCATCATCCAGGATAGGTTATTTTCCCAAAGACCCTTTGGTGAGTACAATTAACTGATGTCTTCTCAGAGAGTTCATGGAGGATTAGTGGAGGTGATCACACCTGAAATAGCAAGATACATTTGATCAAACCAATTCAGTAATATTACTCTAATGGAAAAGATGTCTCCAAAAGGATGAAACATTTTTAAGAGGTAAGTTAGCCTTGGGAGCTTTTTTATATTTAAATATAACTATATTGGTGTCTAATATTTTAGAAATGTACTTATTCAGAAGGGAGAATACATAACTATTATAATTCAGACCTTTCCTACTTGATGGTGATGATAATGTTGGAATTATAATCGCTAAATCTTTTTGAGTATTTACTAAGTACCAGGCACAGTGGTAAGTGATTTGTACATATCTCTCACTTAAAATTTCAACAACGCTAAAGCTACTACTACTTTTTTCACTGAGAAGAAAACTAAAGTTTAGAGTTTCCCTGATGTCACTCATCTCAGTAGAGCAGACACTCTACCCAAGACTAAATTCCAAAGGTGATGCTCTTTATTACCACTTTGAAAATGGAGAAACACTTGGCTTTCAGAGTATTTCTCTGCACATTAATGTGCTCAGGTGTCACAAGGAAGCAGCTACTCAAATGAAGCAGCTATTCTCAATCAATTTACAAAGATGAGCCTCAAAGATAAATCATAGAGTTCAGATAATGTGCCTGATAATATTCTAAATAAGTTTGTTGTCATTCTTTAAAAAGTGGGTGCTAATCGCTGAAAATTTTTAAATTCTTTGTATCCGAGTCTATTCTCAAACACCACATTTCTCCAACCTGTGGTATGTCATCTTCTGCACGTGAAGAATATTTATCTTAAACATACAAAAATCAGCATTGAAAGGCATTTAACCCAAAGTAGAGTTTAACACTTATCTGTAACTAAAGTACTGGAGAATTAATAGTTCTGATAGTTTATATTTTTTTAATTTTGCAAATCTGTATCACCCATGTCTGCCGATTTTATCTCCAACATTTAGCCAGCCAATTCATTAGAATTAAATTTGGCAAGCCTCTGGGAGTATTAGAAAATCTGTTTCTGAGGCTCTAGAAGATTTTGGCTTTGTCTACATGAGACCAACTATTTTAGTCTGCTCAAGCTGCCATAGCAAAATACATTGACTGGGTGGCTTAAACAACAGAAACTTATTTTCTCACAGTTCTGGAGGCTGGGAAGCCCAAGACAAACTTCCAGCCAATTTTGTTTCTAGTGACGGTTCTAGTCCTGGCTTGCAGATCCTCGAGGTAAGTTCACACAGCCTTTCCTTGGTGTGGGAAGTTGCGGGGGAGTAGGACTCTCTGGTGTCTCTTCTTATAAAGGTCACTAATCCCATCATGAGGACCCCTCCTCATAACCTCATTTAACATAATTATCTCCCAAGGCCCCAACTCCAAATACCAGTATATTGGGAATTAGAGCTTCAACTATGAATCTGGGGGAAGCACAGACATTCAGTTCATAACACCAACTAATGAAAGTTTTGAAACTCAGACCATCTCTATTAATTCTGTCTCTTCCCCCTCTCTGTCCCTGTAACATGTAACTCGCATGAGTGCACGCACAAACACAGCTATTTGAACTTAATTTTTCCTAAGGTGACCATTTGTTTTTCTCATCAAAAAAAAAAAAAGAGGCATGATGCTGTCTGCAGAAAGTGTTTTCACAGATGTCTCTCTAGAAACCTTGGCATTGGGATGTAAGGACGTGATACAGGTTTGGATCACTTCCGCAAAATGGAGCTGAGTAAAATCCCACGAGGTTTGGCTTTTACATCATTTCCCAAGGCCAACAAATCATTTCTGTTACCTCCTCTCTACCACCTCCATCCACAATGAAGCTATAGGAAGTAAGAAAGTTAACTAGCAATTCCTAAGCAAAATGCCTCATTAACCTTTTGCATTGTCCAATATCATATTTGTATATTAAAAATTAGACTAATATGTGGGGGAAAATCATTAAGTATATTTTTATTTTTAAGCTGTTCTTCACAATAATTTATGACCTTTTAATTATCTATTATAATTTCTATATTTTCATTATCTCTGATGACCATATTTATTATTATTATTATATTATAATATATTATAATATATTATATTATATTATATTATGTGTTATGCTCAGAGAATATGATGTGTTGAGCCTTCCATTAGGGCTTGGTACATAGTAATTTTTTCAGTAAACTTTTTTTTTAAGTATAACAAGCATGCATAAAAGCCACAAATTATAATACAAATTTCAATGAATTTTCGCCACCAGCACCCTAGTCAAGACATGAAATAGTAACCTCCTTGGCCCCCTTTAATCATTACCCGCCCTCAGAAATAACCACTATTCTAACTTACACCATTTTATTGGTTTTGCCTTTTCCTAAACTGAATATACGTGGACTAACTCAGTATACACTCCTTCACTGGCTGCTTTTGCTCGACATTGCTTCTGGGATTCCATCCCATGGTTCTGTGAATCAGTAGTTCATTCATTCTTGTTGCTGTTTGGTATTCCATTTTAAAGAGAGAGAATGTGGTTTGCTTTTGTGTGTGTCTTATGTGCACTTGAGAACAGTACATGTTCCTTCTTATTATATATACTTTACTTTTAAAAACTTTTTTTTAATAGAAATAGGGTATTACTATGTTGCTCAGGCTGGTCTGTTCTGAACTGTTGGGCTCATGTGATGCTCCTGCCTCAGCCTCCCAAAGCGCTGGAATTATGGGAATGGGTCAATGTGCCCGGCCCATTATATACACTTCAGATGAAACTTCAACATATATTAGAACAAGCTATTATTAGGTATATACAGGCTTATGACTTTCATGGCTTCCTGTCAAATTGTTCTTTTATAATTAATTAGTATCTCACTTTACCTCTATTAAGATGTTTTGTTTTTAGTGGTATTTTCTCCATATTAGTATTGCTATACTAATTTACCTTTTAGGTTGGTACTTTTACGCTCCATATTTTTAACTATACTTCCTTAATTTTAACATTCCTGTGTAGTTTCAAGTGTGTCTATCATATATGTGACAGAATTTTATTAGATGTGATTATATCTGCCTTTTAGTTGTGTGATCTTCATATGTTGATATATACTGAGATACTGACATATTTAGAATTATTTCCATCATGTAATTTTGGTTTCTATTTATTAGCCTTTTTATACAGTATTTTCTGACTTCTGTTGGATTCAGTGTCTACACTCTCTTTTCGTTTTGGCATGTATTTTTTTGTTTTAAATTATTTTTAATTGACGAAAAGGTGTATACTTATTGTGTACAATATGTTGATTTGAAATATGTATACATGGTGAAATGGCTAAATGCACACACATTACCACACATGCTTTTCCTTTTTGTGATGATAACAATTAAAATCTACTCTCATGGCAATTTTCAAGAATAGAATGCATTAACTACAGTCACCATGTTGTACAATAGATCTCATAAACTTATTCCTTTCATCTAATTAAAATTTTGAATCCTTTGGCCAACATATCCCTAACACTCCTCTCAGTGGTTTCTGCTGAGAAATCCACTGTTTATCTAATGGAGATTCCCATATGTGTGACTTGATGCTTTTCTCTTACTACTTTGTTTGGAAAGGATCTTTTTGCATTAAATCTGTTTGGACTTCTTTGAGCTTACTGGACTTGGATATCCATCTCTCTTCCAAGACTTAAGAAGTTTTCTGCTACTATTTCATTAAATAAGTTTTCCTCACCTTTCCCCCTCTTCTTCTGGAATGCTCATGATACCAATATTTGTTCACTTAATAGTGTCTCATAAGTCCTGTAGGCTTTCTTCATTCTTTTTTATTCTTTTTTTATTCATCTATGTGATTTCAAAAGACTTTTCTTCAAGTTCAGAAACCTTTTCTTCTGCATTGTCTAGTCTGTTGTTGAATTTCTCATTCAAATTATAAATTGTTTTTCTGATTTCATTGTATTGATTGTGTTCATTCTCTTGTATCTCACTGAGTTTTATTAACTTTATTGTTTTGAATTCCTTTTCTGACATTTCATGTATTTCCTTATGATTGGGGTCTATTATTATTTTCCTTTGGAGGTTACATGTTTCCTTGCTTTTTCATGGTTGATGTGTTCTTATGTTGATTTCTATGCATCTGGTGGTATAGTCATCTCTTCCAATTTTATGGAGTAGGTTTTATAGGAAAAGAATTATTCATGTAAATGGGTCTTAGGGTGTCACTTCAGTGAACTGCGTTGGCATTGGTTCTAGGTGGATGCAGTGATGTGTTCTTCACGTAATATCTTCAGCTGTAATCCATTCAACTAATGGCAAGCTGGCTGGGCTGTTTCTCAGATTAGGGGTATGTGCAAACACACAGTGTATTGGCCAACTCAGGGTCTGGATCACTAGGGTTGGGACCATGGAGCTGTAACTCTGGCCAGGAACACAGGCACATCATTGCTCAGCTGACCTGAAGGCATGCCTGCCAGGTGCAGCTTACAGGGAAGTTCTCAGGCCTGGGTTGCATGTACAAGGCTGCTCAATTGGCCTGGGGGTATATTTGCAAGAAGCAGCCCACAGGGGTGTTTGTCAGTCCCAGAATGTAGTCACACACTTCTTAGCTGGCCTGGTGTGTGTGTGTTGGGGGTGGTTGACAGGGCATTTCCTCCAGCTCAGGACACAGGCGCACAGCTATTCAACAAGCCTGGGGACATGTCTGCTGGGGTTAGCCAATGGAATGAGCCAATTCCTCAGGTCCAGGACATAGATGCATGGCTCCTTGCCTATCCTGGGGATGTTTTTGTCAAGGGTGGCTCACACTGTATTTTGTAGGCCCAGAATATGGACACAGGGCTGCTCAGCTGGCCTGGGAACGTGTCTTCTAGGGGCATCCCACAGAGTTGCTTCTCAAGTCTGAGACATAGATTCAAGGCTGCTCACCAGCTCAAAGGCATGCCTGCCAAGGGTGGCCCATGGGGCTGTTTCTCAGGTCTGGGGTGTGGGCTTTTAGCCCTTGGATGATCCTGGGGACATGCCCTCTTAGGGTGGCCTGCAGGACTGTTTCTCAAGCCCATATTGGAAGTGCAGGTCCATTGGGAAGTCCAGGGGCATGTCTTCAGGGGCTGGGGGCACTGCAGGGCTGTTTTTTAGGTCCCGTGAGTGAGCACATAGCCATTCCACTGAACTGAGGGTGTGTCAGATGCTCAGGGACTCAGGGGTCTCTCCTGCTTGGGGGAGGGCATGCAGTGGTTTGGTCAGCTCAAGGGTAGGTTTGCTGTGGGTAGGACTGGCAGATTGTTCCTCTGGCTGGAAGTGCAGTGGCAGGGGCTGATTTCCCTGCTGTTCAAAACCACGTCACAGCCAGCACCAGGCCTAAGCTGCATAGTTGGGGTTCTGGTGTTCAGCCACCTCTGTGGGCTTGGCATAATGAAGTTGAAGCTCCAGTGCTAGAGAGGTGCAGTGGCTACTGGCTCCCAGAGCAGGGCACTCCAGAAGCAGTTCTGGTCTCAAGATGATACTACGTTTTAGCAGCTTGGCTCACAAAGAGTGTGTGGGGAGTGGAAAGTACACACTTTGTGCTCCTAATCTGGGGCAATGCAGCTATGCGAATTCCCAGCAGCCCTCCAAACTGGGCTCAAGGCTGTGAGGACCATGGAAATCTCCTGTAGTAAGAACTGTATGTGTTTGTGGTGGCAATGGGGACTGTGGGGATCTTCTGCTTACCTTTCTCCCACAATAGGAAGTCCCTCTTGTCTCTGGGCTGATCTGATCTTGGTGAGGAGACACGGCTACAGAACCCAGGTGTCTTCATGCTACTCTCCTGGACTTCTAATCACCACATGTGCATCTCCACTCCCCCACTGCACTCTAGCACTCTCCCTTTGACAGTCCAGTCAAATCTTAGCTGTGTATTCATTGCTTTGGTCCTTTCTTGTAGGGGACACAAGCACCAGCTAGTCTAGTCAGCCATCTTGCTGATGTCACTCCTGTCCTTATGGTTTTCATTTGCATTTATTTGATGATTAGTGATGTTGAGAATTTTTTCATATACCTTTTGGCCATTTCCTTTCCTTTCAGAAATGTATTTTCAGATCCTTTGCAATGGCTTTCAAATCTCCTCCTTTGGAAGAGAGTTTCATAAACTCTCTTCTCCCTTAACTTCTTCAGTTTCTTGTTTCTCTTGCCACACTATCAACTCCTCCTCCCTCCTTCTCTCATTTCTTAATTAGATTATTTGTTTCCTTGCGATTCAATTGTTTGAGTTCCTTATATATTTTGAGTACCAACCCCTTATTAGATGTATGGTTTACAAATATTGTCTTCCATTCTGTAGATGGTTTCTTCACTCTGTTGATTGTTTCCATGGCTATACAGAAGCTTTTCAGTTTGACATAATCTCATTTGTCTATTTTGCTTTTGTTGCCCATGTTTACAGGTTCATATCCAAAAAATCATTGCCTAGACCAGTGTCATGGAGTTTTCTCTTATGTTTTCTTTTAATAATTTTACAGTTTCAGGTCTTACATTTAAGTTTTAATCCATTTTGAGTTGATTTTTGTATATGGTGTGAGATAAGGATCTAACTTCATTTTTCTGCTTTTGGATATCCAGTTTTCCCAACATTATTTATTGAACAGACTATCCTTCCTACTGTATGTTCTCAGCACCATCGTTGGAAATCAACTGACCATAAACGTGGACTTTTTTTCAGGCCTCTCTATTCTACTCCATTGGTTTACATGTCTGTTTTTATGCCACTAGCGAACTGTTTTGATTACCACACCTTTGTAATAGATTTTGAAGTCAGGTAGTATGGTGCCTCTGGCTTTGTTCTTTTTATTTGAGATTGCTTTGGTTATTTGGAGTCTGTTGTAATTCTATACAAATTTTAGGGGTTTTTTTTGTATTTCTGTGAGAAATGTAATCAGAATTTTAATAAGGATTGCATTAAATCCATAGTTTGCTTTGGGTAGTATAGAAATTTTTAACAATTTTGATTCTTTTAATCCATTAACATGTGATATCTTTTTATTTGTTTGTGTTTTCTTTCATTTCTTTTATCAATGTTTTACAGTTTTTAGTGTACAGGTCTTTCACCTCCTTGGTTAAATTTTTTCCTAAGTATTTTATTTCTTTGTAGCTATTGTAAGTGGGATTTAAAAATTTTTTAGATAGTTTGTTGTTAGTGTATAGAGCTGCTACTGATTCTTGTATGTTGATTTTATAACTTGCAGCTTTATTGAATTCATACATTAGCTCTAACACGATTTTTGCAGGGCTTCAGGAATTTTTATACACAAGGTCATATTGTCTGCAAACAAGGACAATTTAACTTCTTCCTTTCCAGTTTGGATGCCTTTTATTTCTTTTCTTGCCTAATTGCCCTGGCTAGAGTTTAAATCTATTTTCTTGCTACTGGCTTAGGTGCTATAGATTAAATTTTTATTATTTCATAGTTTGCATTTTTTAACATGTATGCTTCTATTATTCAAGGTCCCAGATAGCTCACTCATATTCAGCTATTTGAAAAGATGTTAATAAAAGTATGTAGGTAGGCAACAACATGGGTATAAACCATACAGGATAGTGCTGAAACTTAGGAGAAGGTACAGCAGGGTTATTACTTCCCTCTAGGCCTGGAAGGGCAGAGGAAGAAAGGGTACTAGAACTGAACAAACTTGGAGACAGAAGATGCTGTGTATACTAACCTCACTCTCCTGCCTCCCTTTAATCTTCTGAAGAGGGCTCCACTGGCACATCACTGAGAAGCCAGAAGGGAAAAGTTGGATCTAGAGAGGCAAATTGAAGATACCCAGCACGATCTTTGACTTGAAGTTTTTCTAACAAAATTTATGATTGTTTGGTATTTCTCTCCTTATCACAACAGAAATTTCAACACAGTTTAATGACTCATTGGAAACTGCCCACCCGTTCCTAGTATTCTAACTGTTTTTAAGAGTTTTGGTGATAGCTGAACAAAAACTTGTGATTATTTGAGTGGTCAATAATTACTTGCTGATATACTTTATCAGTTTCTGTGTTCAACATTGTTTTCTGTATCTCACATCTCTCCTCTGGGGTCACTTTTAATCTTGCTGAAGTAGTCTCTAACAATTCTTTTAGTGAATGACAATGATTGGAAAATGCTCTTAGTATTTCCTTTGTCTGACTCTTGAATGATAGTTTGGCTAGTTATAAAATTTTAGATTGACACTTTTTTCTCTAGGCAATTTGAGACTATTATTCCATTGTTTTCTAGCCCATCTTGTCCTGATGAGATGTCTGCTCACTCACAGTCTGTCTTTCCCTTGCAAGTAATCTGATTTTACTCTCTGGTAACTCTTAAGCTTTTCCCCTTTCTCTTTGATGATCTGCAGCTTCACTATGGTGTGCTTATGAGTGGATTTATCTTTATTGAGCCTACATTCTATTCAGTGGGTAGCCTTCTTCAATTCCAAGATTCTCAGATATTATCTCTTCAGATATTTGTTCTTAGCCATTCTCTCCATTCTCTTTTATTGGAAATTCTAAATTAGAAATATTGATTCTGTTTTACTTTGTCTTTGTTTTCCAATTTTTTTTTGCTTATGTTTTATGTAAACTGCTCTTTTGCTTCCCTAAAGTCTTGGTCACATTGTCCCATCAAGTAAATTTAATATGGAGTAAATTCATATTCTGATTGTTGAGTTCATTAGTAGTATTTCTTAGCATTCAATTTAAATGGGTGTTTGAATTTTGGTTTTAAGAAAATAAGAAGAAAGATTTTTGTTTACTTTTCTTTGTTCTCTCTATTCCTTGTTTTGTCCCACTCTGTCTCATGGTTGCCTCCCTCTAGCATCCCCTAGGACCATAGTCTAAAATAGAAGGCATGGATTTGCTGGTGCTCACAATATGCAGTGACACTCAGGATTAAATTAAGTCCCCAAGGCAATACCTAGCCATGAGGACTTGCCTTTATCTTCCTGTTCTTCCTAGGCTCATAAATGCCCAAGTCTCAGTAGCAAGCACAATTGTGTTTCAGAGTCCTTTGACAAAACAAGGAGTTTCATTCCACCTCCTGGCCTCCAGGCCCTGCTACCCCTCAAGAACCAAACTCCCAGATGCCTCTGCCAATATTAATCTCACTGTGGCTTCTGCCTCCATCTCTTTGGGGAGTTTCTATTCTACTTCTGGTCTGTGAAAAAAAATTTTTTTTTTTGATTGAGACAGCCTTGCCCTGTCACTCAGGCTGGAGGGCAGTAGCGTGATCTTGGCTCACTGCAACCTCTGCCTCCCAGGTTCAAGTGATCCTCTCACCTCAACCTCCTGAGTAGCTGGGACTATAGGCATGAGCCACCATGCCTGGCTAATTTTTGTATTTTTAGTAGAGATGAGGTTTAACCATGTTGACCAGGCTGGTCTTGAACTCCTGAGCTGAAGTGATCCACGCACATTGGCATCCCAAAGTTCTGGGATTATAGGTGTGAGCCACCACTCCCTGCCTTGGTCTGTGAAAATTTCAATATTAAATACCCTGGCTGTGTAATTTTTGGTTTCTGGTTTTTATATTGCATCCATCACTATAATGTTATTGGGACAAAAAGAATAATTTAAGATGTTATTTACTGTGCCATATTTATTAACCATCTAAACTCTACCATCTTAATTTCACCCACCTTTAATCATAAGTGTTTGTCAATAAAGATTAAATGGAAGAAGCACCAAGGGATGTGCATCTATTTTTTCTGACTAATATGGAAAATATAAGCTCTAACATCTCTACTGACCACTTAGTAATTGCTATCACTTAATAAACCCCTTTTTCTGAAACTCTAGCATCCATATATTGGCCAACTGAAGAATAGCCATTTCCACTGAGTGGCTTCACATTAACTGATTTTTTTTTTAATTCAAGACATTTTTGGTTGTACGTGATAGAAACACAACTCTGTTGACTCCAGTAAGTCTGAGAAGAGCAAAAATTTCACTGATTCTCAAAGCTGAAAGAAAAAGAGTTTTCTGCCTTTTATCTCCATTCCTCTCAATGTGTCAGCTTTATTCTATCAGAGCAGCTTCATTCACAAGAGTGGGAAAAATGGCTGCTGGAAACTGCTATGTCTTATATCTCACAGCTTTACCAGTAGAGATAAACTCAAGACTTGTTCTCTAGACCCAAATTTAGGGATTCCAGCTTTGCTTGATTCATCTTAGGTCAGTTGAGTTGGCCACCCTGAGCCAACTAAAAGTAGTCTTGGGTGTCAGATATCTAATAACATGGCAACACTCATTCAAACCACATGGATAAAATAGGGAGGGGGTTAAAGAAAGAAGCGAGTACTAGTTTTGGCAGGCAAAAGAATACCTTTCCATCATGGCTTTCAAATAAACATTAAAGTAAATTCAGTGGAAACAAAGATTATATCAGTCAATGTTTGACTCAGGAAAGAGAAATCACTCTGAGTAAATTAAGAATTTAATATACTTTGGCAGGACGAGGTGGGCGGATCACGAGGTCAGGAGATCGAGACCATCCCAGCTAACATGGTGAAACCCCGTCTCTACTAAAAATACAAAAAAAAAAAATTAGCCGGGCGTGGTGGCAGGTGCCTTTAGTCCCAGCTACTCGGGAGGCTGAGGCGAGGCAGGAGAATGACGTGAACCCGGGAGGTGGGCTTGCAGTGAGCTGAGATTGCGTCACTGCACTCCAGCCTGGGCAACAGAGCGAGACTCTGTCTCAAAAAAAAAAAAAAAAAAAAAAAGAATTTAATATAGGCAATTAGAAGCTTACAAAGTCATGAAACAGATGGAGTAACCAACATCAATGGAGCTGGCATTGAACTGTTGACTTCAGGGACAAATACGACAATTAATTATATAAATGCTAGGCAATCTACACTAAAAATTTAGACTATGATTGCATGATAACTCTCTAGGTAATGCACAAATTAATAAAGTATTATCAGAAACTCTCTATTTTCTTTCAAAAAATTAAGAAGAAACAAATGCAGATAGGGAGTTACTCAGATAACAATTATATTGAGTAATGTCTGGAATATTATCAATGACCTCTTGAATATTCAGAGTTATGTTTTGCATGTTCATTTGATTTGTGCGATGTATAATCCTGTTCCCTCAAAATAAGATCAACCATTTCCATTTTTTAATTTGCATCTTGTGTTTTTGGTGAATTACTTGAATTTTGCCTCTTTATCTTTGTATTTAAAATTAATTTATTACAGGATACTTGCAAGAATATAGAACAATAAAATTATGTATAAAATCAACAAAGACTCAGTTGGATCAATGAGTAAGCTTCAAATTTGAGCTTTTAGAAAGCAAGGGAAAAACAAAAACATGACAAATTAGAAAAATTTTGTTATAGTAAATAATAATGCACAGGCGATCATTAAGGAAACCAAATATAGTCATTACCTGGACAACATAGTGCCTCCAAGAGAACTTGGAGATACAGATAATAAAAGTTTACTTCAGCTAACAGTAACAGAAGACTAGATAAGTCATTCCACCACTCCAGCTAAGGGTATCTTCCTTCTTTTAGACATTAAACAAATTGTTTAATTGACAAAGAAAAATGGTATATATTTATTATGTACAACAAGTTGTTTTGAAATATGTATACTTTGTAGAATCAACTTCCTTTTAATAAATAACAAAATGTAAAGAATTGCTAGGTCAAAAGTATTGAAAAGAATCAAGAGACTTTAGCTCTTTATATGGCACCTCTTTCTCTAGAAGCATTTGTCATCAAAAAGTAGCTATTCATGGACTGAGCCACAGTTGTGACAACATCCCAGAGCTGCAGGTCAATGTCAAAGAGTCCCCAGACAGCCAAGGGTTGTGTCTAAGTCAGCATGGCTGAACCAAGTTCAAATCAACTGGATGAGCAGATAATCTCAAGTCTTGGAACTGATTAAAGGAATCCTTGTTTCTAGTGCCCCCAAAAAGGAAAAAAAAAAAAAAAAAAAAAAACCTTTCCAGAGGAAGATAATGTTATCTTTTCCCTCAAAATATTTTTCAGATAACTTCATCACTTGTGTCTTCAGTGAGTAACATACTATGACAGACTACTGGAATATTTTCAGTAATTATAGCAGAATGGGCTGGGGAGGAGTATGGAGAAGCATACACCAGCTTTAAAGCCTTCCTCTTAGACGTGAAACACATCATTTCCACTCACACTACATTGCCTAAGGTAAATCTCATAACTGCACTTGAGCTTGATAGAGTTAGGAAATGCAATTTCTCCAATAAAATAGAAACCAGAAACGGATAAGCAGTCATGCAATTTTTCAGGGCCTGCCAAATATTTATTTTCCTCTTCTTTCTCAGTGCAAATCACACTCAACCTCTCCCCAAAGGACATATCCAAAATTTCCAACCAATCACTACTCTCAAAGTTCAGGATCTCCAAGTGACGCACAACAGCCTCTACATTGGGTCTAGATCTGACTTTTGATCTGGAGATTTGATAACTAGAGACAAGGTATCGGCCCTTTACACTCCAAAAAGGCAATGGGAAGGGATAACACCTGTACACTATCCTCTCCTGAAAGAGCAGAAATAGGAGAAGTCACTAGTAAATAACAATTCCAAAGTTACGCAGAGCATATGTGCTGAGGGGCTCGTATTCAGGGTGAGATGTGGTCTCCTCTCTGACATGACCTTCCCAGCCCATTGCTCTCTGTGCCCCTTTGCTCAGCTCTCTGAGGGGTCCTCCTTTTGTCCATTATCGTCCTTAACCACACCTTGAGAGAGCATTGAAGAAAACGCCTTCCTTGAGAGCTGAGCAGCTTTCTTAGCCAGCTTCCTTCTAGCAGAAGCATGGGTGCCTATGTGGCTTTTTAAGTACCAGCTACAGCCTCTTTTAGTCCAAGTGATGGCCCTTGGCACAACAAAATTCTCTCAAAAATCTAGATAGTTTATTACCTATTTTATTCCAGGCAATTTTCTTGTTCCATGTCCCACACCTAACATACATGCATGTATATTGTGTTTATGAGACAGAGATAGGAGAGTTACATGTTTGTCTGTTTTTCTTCAGCCATTTTATCCAACTAAAAGAATTTACTGGGAAAACCTTAATCTCTTCAGAAGTTTTAACAATGAATATGGCAACCATGCTCTTATTTTATCCTCATCTTAACGCTAAGTTTTGATTAGCCTCCACATTTATTTGTATTTTATTTATTTAAAACTCCCCCCTTTTTTCTTAGTCTAGCTGAGGGTTTCTCTATTTTTTCAAAAAACCAACGCTTATTTTTGTTGATTTTTTCTATAGATTTTCTAGTAGAAATAATTCTGCCTGATCTTTATTATTTCCTTCCTTCTGCTAACTTTGGATTTAGTCTGCTCTTCTTTTCCTAGTTCCTCGAGATGTAAAGTTAGGTTGTATTCCAAAAATTCCTCTAGGTTTCTGTGTCAGTGGATGATGGAGCAAAAAAAAGAAAAAAAAATTCCTCAGTTTTATCTTTTAATAATTAGGTTTAAGAAACAGTTCTCTTTTCAATCCTGCAAGTACTTGAATTTACATTACCGCTATTCTTTTCCATTCTTGCTTCTTGCTTGCAAATTAGTCAGTTTTGTTCTGATTTTGTCTCTTTTAAGATCTCTGTACCCACTTCACAGATGAAGAAAAATAACTATCCAGGCTGGGCACAGTGGCTCATGCCTGTAATCCCAGCACTTTGGGAGGTCAAGGCGGGCAGATCACTTGAGGTCAGGAGTTGGAGACTGGCCTAGCCAACATGGGGAGACCCCTGTCTCTGCTAAAAATAAAAATAAATTAGCTAGGCGAGGTGACGGGCACCTATAATCCCAGCTACTCAGAAGGCTGAGGCATGAGAATCGCTTGAACCCGGAAGGTAGAAGTTGCAGTGAGCTGAGATTGCACCACTCCATTCCAGCGTGGGCGACAGAGCGAGACTCCATCTCAAAAAAAAAAAAAATGAAACAAAAAAGGCCAGGCCCGGTGGCTCACCCCTGTAATCTCAGCACTCTGGGAGGCTGAGGCAGGTGGATCACCTGAGGTCAGGAGTTCGAGACCAGCCTGGCCAACATGGTGAAACCCCATCTCTACTGAAAATACAAAAATTAGCCAAGTGTGGTGGCACATGCCTGTAATCCCAGCTACTCCGGAGGCTGAGGCAGGAGAATCGCTTGAACCCCGGAGGCAGAGGCTGCAGTGAGCTGAGATTGCATCAGCACACTCCAGCACTCCAGCCTGGGTGATAGAGTGAGACCCTGACTCAAAAAAAAAAAAAAGAAAAGAAAAGAAAAGAAAGAAAGAAAAAGAACTCTCCAGCCACTCCAGAAGGCCCCCAGAATGTCCAGGACCAACCACAGCTCTCTACCTCCATGAGGAATTACTCTCACAGCTTTTAGAGGACTCATTTCCTTACATTATTACTGTATTGTTTTGTTATCCTAATTTACATCCCTAGATACTGTAGTTTAGCCTTCTCATTTCTTAAAATTGATACTGTAGCAGGACGAGCCGCAGACCAAACCTCTCAGACACCTAGTTGTAGAAGGAAGGGCTTTATTCAGCTGGGAGCATCGGCAAGTTACTGCCTTAAAATCCGAGCTTCCTGAATGCACAATTTCTGTCCCTTTTAAGGGCTCACAACACTAAAGATTTCACATGAAAGGGTCATGATTGATTTGAGCAAGCAGGTGGTACATGACAGAGGCTGCATGCACCAGTGGTCAGAGAGAACAAGAACAGGGCAGGGAGTTTCACAGTGTTCTTCTATATAATGTCTGGAATCTATGAATAACACTGGTTTCTAAGTTATGAGTTGATTTTTAACTACTGGGTTTAGGCCAGGCATGCTCAGACCTGGTTTCTGGCCTGGCGCCAGGCTGCCTGTCTTTGGTTTTACTTCCTTGCTGTTTTTTCTTAAAACAGGTACTGAGTATAAAACAATATGAGAGGGTCTCTGTCTTCCTTCAATACCTTTAACTTCCTTTCAATCTATCTTTTTTCTTCTCTCCTAACTCATTTGTTGGAAGAGCCTACACTTGTGAGCTGTAGTTTCCCGTTGCTTGGCTTTTGCTAAGTGAGTTCTCATGCTTCAGGGCAACATGTTGCTTTTTCCTGCATATTGGCAGCTGGATCCAGAGTCTTGATCAGAATCAATTTGATCCCTTTGGCAAGGTTAGAGTGGTGGTGTGTTCATTCATCATGAAGCACATTATGTCTTTCTCTTTCTTGATGTTAGCAGCCTTTGATGCTCAATGCTCAGGACCCTTTAATTCACAGGAGTTTACAAATGGTAATATTTTAATTCTATCATTTTGTTTTCACTTATTGGCTGTAATAATTTTGTAAAACGACACTTCTGCTCATCTGCTACTTGATTACCCAGGGATAGCGGCTATATAGAAAAGGCAGGATACATAGATTGATATTCTCTTGTTGATAGTCATTACAGACTCTTAAGTTTAAACATATTTGATAGTTTTTAACCCATTGAAATCTGTATCTTTATTAAGGTTCAAATTATCCTACCCTTGGTGAATACAAGCCTCTTTGAATTGACTCTTGTGTCCTTTTGACACAAACCTAGTAGCTTTTTATAGCTTCTATGCTATCTGGTATGTCAAAATGTCCCAGTTTCATTTTGTACACTTCCTGTCCACAATCAATGTTCCAAGAACCCCTCTTTTTAAAAAATAGAAATGATCTTTGAGACCATAGTCTGGATGCTGTGAATGTGTGTTCATAGTGAGCTGGTCATTGTTTCTTGACCTCTTTATGGATAGAGCTAGAAATTGCACACACACACACACACACACACACACACTCCTTTTTCTTTTCCTAAACATGTCTTTCCAGCATGCCCCTTCTTTTCTCTTTGTTATAGCATGGGATTCATCACAATATGTTTTTATTGCTTCTTTTTATTTTCCCAAATTTTAGAAGAAAGATTGGTTAGCTAGCTCTACTAACTTTTTTTCAAGCTCACAAAATTTTCTCTTCTCTTGTTTTTATGAGATTTTAAAAATAGCACCTTGTTTTGGGAGTTTTTCTTACTTGTTTTCCCACCTCACTATAATCTTGACCTATTTTTTCCTGTGGGATTTTTTTCTATATCCTAATTTCTGACTTGAAATTGCACTGTCAAGAAAATAATTTACACGTAGTATGATTTTATAAGCAAAGATGCTCATTGCTGTGTTTTTAACTAGAAAAAGTTAAAATGTTTTTGTTATTATTTCTAAAAAGGGGGAAATTGTTAATTTGTGTTCAAAACCAGAGGAATAATTAGACAAATCATTGCTGTTATTAAAGACTTACCTGGAAAAAATTTGGAAGTATTTCTCCCTGTGTCAAATCTTAAAGACATGGCTCATTGAATCAAACAAGGAAACCACCCACATTGATTTATAAACATAAATTAGTATTACTGAATGGTAGTTTGGGAGAAAAATATTTTCTAATAAAGGATTAATGCTGCAAGTTACCTAGTACCTAGTTCTTCCTTACCTTCTGCTATTGGTATGGAAATATTAGATCTCCTTGAAATAGACTGGTTGCTATTCATCTTAACCTTTAATATATCAGACCCAAATTTCTTTATACTGACAGTTCAACAAGTGAAATTAAATAATTAAATTGACTTAATCTGATTAACATTTTTTTCTTTCTACATATCTTCAATAGCTTTACTTTAATGAACTCTCTATAGAAGCCCTCCAACATTTCTGGTGTCAGACATTACGGACAACTGAATATATCATGAGTAGGTCTCATAGGGAGAATGTGGAACCTGTTCTTCCCTTCTTTCAGGCTTTAGGGAAAGAGTGAAAAATAAGAATAAATTCTGACATACTAAACAAGACAGCATATAAAATAGAATATTCACAAATCATTTGGTTACCTTATTTTTTAAACCTCATATAGCCAAGACAAATTTTAAACTAAGAAGTACTAGTGGGGATTTGCAGGGATCGTGGCGGATGGGAGGCAGGACTAGATTGCAGCTCCGGACAGAGCAGCATGTGGAGGCTTGCAATGTGAATTTTAGCTCCAGATCAACTGCAGGAACAAACTAGCAATCCTGAGAGGAGCCACAGACCCTCTGAAGGAAGCTGACTGCTCCTGCAGGACCTCGAAGACACCCTAGATACTATGAGTAACCCCAACTACAGAAGTGGGAAAGGGAGGCCCTCCTCTCCTGAAAACACACCCCCACTGGAGAAGCTGAAGGTCTGTTTGTGGGAGAAGTTTCTGACTTTACCTGGAGTTGAGTCAAGTTAGAGAGCCGACCCCAGCGAAATACGGGAGTAGAGGAAGCAGCAGAAAGGCCCTGGGAGCTCGCTGGGTCCCCAAGCAGCCCATTCCTGCCTGGCACCACAGGGATCCATAGGGAGGGTGGCCAGAGGAACAGGGGGTAAAACTCCACAGGGGGTTTTTAGCTGGCCTTTGTAACAATTTGAACTGGGCAAGAAGCCTCCTGGCCAGAACTTGGGGGAGAGTGCGAATCTGGCATGCAGACTTCACAGGAAGGGGAAGAACTAAAGCCCTTTTCTTTCGCAGCTGGAAGGAGGAAAGCCTCAGGAAAGTTTTCAAGCTCTTCTTTGCCCTCCACCTGGAAGCAGACTGTTGGGGGAGGCATGGTGGGAGTGAGACCAGCTCTTATGTCTTTGCATGGGAGCTGGGTGAGGCCTGTGACTGCCAGCTTTCCCCTATTTCCCTGACAATGTGCATGACTCAGCAGAGGCAGCCATAATCCTTCTGGGTACACAACTCCAGTGGCCTGGGAATCTCACCCCCATCTCCCACAGCAGCTGCAGCAAGACCCACCCAAGGATAGTCTGAGCTCAGACACGCCTAGCCCTACCCCCACCTGATGGTCCTTCACTATCCACCCTGGTAGCAGAAGACAAAGGGCATTTAATCTTGGGAGTTCTAGGGCCCTGCCCACCATCTGTGCCTCTCCACACTACTATAGCTGATGCTCTCTAGAAAGCACCACCTCCTGGCAGGAGGCCAATCGGCACAAAAATAGAGCATTCAACCACCAAAGCTAAGGACCCTCACAGAGTCCATTGTATCCTCTGCCACCTACACCAGAAGAGGCACTGGTATCCACGGCTGAGAGACCCATAGACGGTTCAAATCACAGGACTCTGTGCAGACAACCCCCAGTACCAGCCCAGAGCCGGGTAGACTCGCTGGGTGGTTAGACCCAGAAAAGAGACAACAATTATTGCAATTCGGCTGACAGGAAGCCATATCCATAGGAAAAGGAGGAGAGTACTACATCAAGGGAACATTCTGTGGGGGAAAAAACAAAACAAAACCTGAACAACAGCCTTCAGCCCTAGAACTTCCCTCTGACAGAGTCTACCCAAATGAGAAGGAACCAGAAAACCAACCCTTGTTATATGACAAAACAAAGCTCTTGAACACCCCCAAAAATCACACTAGTTCACCAGCAATGGATCCAAACCAAGATGAATTTCCTGATTTACCTGAAAAACAATTCAGGAGGTTAGTTATTAAGCTAATCAGGGAGGCACCAGAGAAAGGCAAAGCCCAATGCAAGGAAATCCAAAAAATGATACAAGAAGTGAAGGGAGAAATATTTGAGGAAATAGCTAATTTAAAGAAAAAAACAATCAAAACTTCAGGAAACATTGGACACACTTACAGAAATGCAAAATGCTCTAGAAACTGTCAGCAATAGAATTGAACAAGTAGAAGAAAGAAATTCAGAGCTCGAAGACAAGGACTTTGAATTAACCTAATCCAACAAAGACAGAGAAAAAAGAATAAGAAAATATGAACAAAGCCTCCAAGAAGTCTGGGATTATGTTAAATGACCAAACCTAAGAACAATCGGTGCTCCTGAGGAAGAAGGCAATTCTAAAAGCTTGGAAAACATATTTGGTGAATAAACGAGGAAAATTTCCCCAGCCTTGTTAGAGACCTAGACATGCAAATAAAAGAAGCACAAAGAACACCTGGGAAATACATCGCAAAAAGATCTTCGCCTAGGCACATTGTTATCAGGTTATCCAAAGTTAAAACGAAGGAAGGAATCTTAAGAGTTGTGAAACAGAAACACCAGGTAACCTATAAAGGAAAACTAATCAGATTAATAGCAGATCTCTCAGCAGAAACCCTACAAGCTGGAAGGGATTGGGCCCTATCTTCAGCCTCCTCAAACAAAACAATTATCAGCCAAGAATTCTGTATTCAGCAAAATTCAGTATCATGTATAAAGGAAAGACATAGTCGTTTTCAAACAAATACTGAGAGAAATAATTCACCACTATCAAGCCACCACTACAAGAACTGCTAAAAGGAGCTCTAAATCTTGAAACAAATCCTGGAAACACATCAAAACAGAAACTCTATAAAGCATAAATCACACAGAACCTATAAAACAAAACTAAAAGTTAAAAAGCAAAAACAAAAAACAAAAAAATCCAAAATTCCCAAACAACAAAGAGCATGATGAATGCAACCCTACCTCACATTTCAATAGTAACATTGATTGTAAATGGCCTAAGTGCTCCACTTAAAAGATGCAGAACCGGCTGGGTGCAGTGGCTCATGCCTGTAATCCCAGCACTTTGGGAGGTCAAGGTGGGTGGATCACCTGAGGTCAGGAGTTCGAGACTAGCCTGGTCCACATGGTGAAAACCTGTCTCTACTAAAAATATAGAAGTTAGCCAGGCATGGTGCAGGTACCTGTAATCCTAGCTACTTGGGAGGCTGAAGCAGGAGAATTGCTTGAACCCGGGAGGCAGAGGTTGCAGTGAGCCAAGACCGCACCATTGCACTCCAGTCTGGGCAACAAGAGCAAAACTCTGTCAAAAAAACAAACAAAAAACAACAACAACAACAACAAACAGATACAGAACCACAGTATGGATAAGAACTCACCAATCAACTATCTGCAGCCTTCAGGAGACTCACTTAACACATAAGGACTCACACGAACTTAAAGTAAAGGGGTGGAAAAAGGCATTTCATGCAAATGGACACCCAAAGTGTGCATGAGTAGCTATTCTTATATCAGACAAAACAAACTTTAAAGCAACAGCCATTAAAAGAGACAAAGAGGGACATTATATAATGGTAAAGGCCTTATCCAACAGGAAAATTTCACAATCCTAAACATATATACATCTAACACCGGAGCTCCCAAATTTATGAAACAATTACTAATGGACCTAAGAAATGAGACAGACAGCAACACAATAATAGTGGAGGACTTCAATTCTCCACTGACAGCAATAGACAGCTCATGAAGCCAGAAAGTCAACAAAGAAACAATGGATCTAACTATACCTTTGAACAAATGGACTTAACAGATATATATGGAGCATTTCATCCAACAACTGCAGAATACACATTCTATTCAACAAGGCATGGAACTCTCTCCAAGATAGACCATGTGATAGGCCACAAAACAAGTCTCAATAAATTTAAGAAAATTGAAATTATATCAAGCACTCTCTCAGACCAGAGTGGAAAAAAAACTAGAAATCAACTGCAAAAGGGACCTTTAAAACCATGCAAATACATGGAAATTAAATTACCTGGTCCTGAATGAGCATTGGGTCAAAAACGAAATCAAGATAGAAATAAAAAATTATTTGAACTGAAAGACAATAATGACACAGCCTATCAAAACCTCTGGGATACAGATAAGAGGAAAGTTCATAGCCCTAAAGGCCTACGTCAAAAAGTCTGAAAGAGCTCAAACAGACAATCTAAGGTTACACCTCAAGGAACTAGAGAAACAAGAACAAACCAAACCCAAACCCAACAGAAGAAAAAAATAACGAAGATCAGAGCAGAACTAAATGAAATTGAAACAAAAAAATACAAAAGATAAATTTAAAACCTGGTTCTTTGAAAAGATAAATAAAATTGATAGACCATTAGCAAGATTGACCAAGGCAAGAAGAGAGAAAATCCAAATAACCTCACTAAGAAACAAAACAGGAGTTACTACAACTGACACCACTGAAATACAAAAGATCATTCAAGGATACTATGAACACCTGTATGCGCATAAACTAGAAAACGTGGAAGAGATGGATAAATTCCTGGAAAAATACAACCCTCCTAGCTTAAATCAGGAAGAATGAGATACCCTGAACAGACCAATAACAAGCAGTTAGAGTGAAATGCTAATTTAAAAATTACCAATAACAAAAAAAGTCCAGGACCAGACAGATTCACAGCAGAATTCTATCAGAGATTCAAAGCAGAATTGGTACCAATTCTTTTGACACTATTCCACAAGATAGAGAAAGAGGGAACCCTCCCTAATTCATTCTATGAAGTCAGCATCACTCTACTACCAAAACCAGGAAAGGACACAACCAAAAAAGAAAACTAGAGACCAATATCCTTGATGAACATATATGCTAAAATCCTTAACAAAATACTAGCTAAGTGAATCCAACAACATATCAAAAAGATAATCCACCATAATCAAGTTGGTTTCATACCAGGGATGAAGGGATGGTTTAACATATACAAGTCAATAAATATGATACACCGTATAAACAGAATTAAAAAGAAAAATCACATGATTATCTCAATAAGATGCAGAAAAAGCATTCAACAAAATCCAGCATCCCCTTATGATTAAAACTCCCAGCAAAATTAGCATACAAGGGACATACCTTAATGTAATAAAAGCCATCTATGACAAACCACAGCCAACATAATACTGAATGGGGAAAAGTTGAAAGCATTGTCTCTAAGAATGGGAACAAGACAAGGATGCCCACTCTTACCACTCCTCTTCAACATAGTATTGAAGTCCTAGCCAGAGCAATCAGACAAGAGAAAGAAATTAAGGGCATCCAAATCAGCAAAGAGGAAGTCAAACTGTCACTGTTTGCTAACAATATGATCATTTACCTTGAAAACCCAAAAGTCTCCTCCAGACAGCTCCTAGAACTGATAAAAGAATTCAGCAATGTTTCCAGATACAAAATTAATGTACACAAATCAGTAGCTCTTTTGTACACCAACAGAGACCAAGAGGAGAATCAAATCAAGAACTCAAACCCTTTTACAATAGCTGCAAAAAAATAAAATACTTAGGAATATACCTAAACAAGGAGGCTAAAGCCCTCCACAAGGAAAACTACAAAACACTGCTAAAAGAAATAACAGATGACATGAACAAATGGAAACACATCCCATGCTCATGGATGGTTAGAATTAATATTGTGAAAATGATTATACTGCCAAAAGCAATCTACAAATTCAATACAATCCCCATCAAAATACAACCATCATTCTTCACAAAATTAGAGAAAACAATTCTAAAATTCATATGGAACCAAAAAAGTCTTGCTTTGGCCCACATAGCCAAAGCAAGACTAAGCAAAAAGAACAAATCTGGAGGCATCACACTACCTGATTTCAAACTATACTATAAGGTCATAGTCACCAAAACAGCATGGTACTGGTATAAAAATAGGCATATAGACCAATGGAGCAGAATAGAGAACCCAGAAATAAACCCAAGTACTTACAGCCAACTGATCTTTGACAAAGCAAACAAAATCTTAAAGTGGGGAAAGGACACCCTTTTTAACAAATGGTGCTAGGATAATTGGCTAACCACATGTAGGAGAATGAAAGTGGATCCTCATCTCTCACCTTATACAAAAATCAACTCAAGATGGATTAAGGACTTAAATACAAGACCTGAAACCATAAAAATTCTAGAAAATAACTTTGTAAAAACCCTTCTAGACATTGGCTTAGGCAAGGATTTCATGACCAGGAACCCAAAAGCAAATGCAATAAAAGCAAACAAATAACTTGGACCTAATTAAACTAAAGAGCTTTTGCACAGCAAAAGGAACAGTCAGCAGAGTAAACAGACAAACCACAGAGTGGGAGAAAATCTTCACAATCTATACATCTGACAAAGGACTAATATCCAGAATCTACAATGAACTCAAACAAATCAGTAAGAAAAAAACAAACAATCCTACCAAAAAGTGGGATAAGGACATGAATAGACAATTCTCAAAAGAAGATATACAAATTGCCAACAAACATTTGAATAAATGCTCAACATCACTAATGATCAGGGAAATGCAAATCAAAACCACATTGCAATACCACATCACTCCTGAAAGAATGGCCATAATCAAAAAATCGATAAACTAGATGTTGGCGTGGTTGCAGTAAACAGGGAACACTTCTGCACTGCTGGTGGGAATGTAAACTAGTATAGCGACTATGGAAAGCAGTGTGGAGATTTCTTAAAGAACTAAAAGTATAGCTGCCATTGGATCCAGCAATCCCACTACTGGGTGTCTACCCAGAGGAAAAGAAGTCATCATCCGAAAAAGATACTTGCACACACATGTTTATAGCAGCACAATTTACAATTGCAAAATCGTGGAACCAACCCAAATGCCCATCAATCAATGAGTGGATAAAGAAACTGTGGTATATATCATATAGATATATACATATATCTAGATATATGTATATATATCTATATTATACGATATATGTATATATAGATATATATGTCATATATATATAATACTGTGCAGCCATAAAAAGAAATGAATTAACAGCATTTGCAGTGACCTGGATGAGACTGGAGATTATTACCCTAAGTGAAGTAACTCAGGAATGGAAAACCAAACATTTTGTGTTTTCACGGATATGTGAGAGCTAAGCTATGAGGACGCAAAGGCATAAGAATGATACAATGGACTTTGGGGACTTAGGGGAAAGAGTGGGAGGGGAACAAGAGACAAAAGATGACAAATATGATGCAGTGTATACTGCTCCAGTGATGGGTACCCAAAATCTCACAAATAACCACTAAAGAACCGACTCATGTAACCAAATGCCACCTGTACCCCAATAAATTAGGGAGAAAGAAATTTTTTTTAAAAAAAAAGAAGAACTAGTGGAAGTGTTTATTAAGCTGGATAAGAAAACAATAACGCAAATAGATTTGGGGATATAATTTTCATGCCATGACTTCAGAAATAGAAGTTGCAAAGTAAAAACCCCTATTCATTTCTGGGAAGCCTATTACCACTATTATCCTGGTATATGGATTGGCAAACATCTTTGTTCTCAGACCTAAAGCGTTTAGAATATAAGGGACAATGATTACTAAATCAAGCATCCAAAGAATCCAAGTGTATCTTATTTAGTGAATGAGAGTTTTAAAACACATCCATTTTAAGGAGGAAATGGGGATTGAATCAAAATAGAGAGAAACAAGTTCTTATTGCATGAGGACAGAGCTCCATAATTATTCCTTGAACTTTTTTTCTTAACTGAAATTGATGAGCTCACCAAATATTATCACTGCCAAGAATATTTTCTTATGTAATTGGAAAGAAGATCTGAGGCTGAGAAATGAAAAAAGTTATTTTCTAGAATCTATTTCTAGAAACATTTTTGATAACCCAAACGAAAAGTAGCAGATTGGACTTTTTGCTTCAGACTCCTTATTTCTTCTTTAAGAGAATTACATTTACTCCAAGGACTCCAACAGAGCAAACAAGATTCCACACCTCTGTGTAGTTTAGGTTACACGGAATTTTTTTTTTTTAAAGATGGAGTCTCACTCTGTCGCCAAGCTAGAGCACAGGACTGATATCCGCACTAGATTTCACACTGTTATTAATATGACAAGCTTCCTATATTCCAGTCTTACCTGCTGGGCCCTGGCAAGGAGGACTCCTGGACATTTTTTTTTTTTTTTTGCGACGGAGTCTCGCTCTGTCACCCAGGCTGGAGTGCCAGTGGCACGATCTCGGCTCACTGCAACCTCCGTCTCCCGGGTTCAAGCAGTTCTCCTGCCTCAGCCTCCCAAGTAGCTGGGACTAAGGCACGCATCACCACGCCCAGCTAATTTTTGTATTTTTAGTACAGACAGGGTTTCACCATGTTGGCCAGGATGGTCTTGATCTCTTGACCTCGTAATCCACCTGCCTCAGCCTCCTGAAGTGCTGGGATTATAGGTGTGAGCCACTGTGTATGGCCTATTGTTTTTGGTGCTGTGCTAAGACCTATAGTAGGCGAGCTTGGTACATCTCAACTGAAATATTGTATTGCTGATATAGTTTGGCTGTGTCCCGCCCAAATCTCATCTTGAATCATAGTTCCCATAAACCCCACATGTTTTGGGAGGGACCCAGTGGATTCAATCATAGGGGTGGTTTCACCCATGCTGTTCTCGTGATAGTGAGTGAGTTCTCATGAGATCTGATGGTTTTATAAGCATCTGGCATTTCCCTGCTTGTACTTCTTCTTGCCACCTTGTGAAGAAGGTGCTTTGCTTCCCCTTCGCCTTCTGCCATGATTATAAGTTTCCTGAGGCCTCCCCAGCTGTGGTGAACTGTGCATCGATTACATATCTTTCCTTTATAAATTACCCAGTCTCGGGTATTTCTTCATAGCAGCATGAGAACGGACTAGTACAATGGCTGACCCCTTTTATGATGGAAAGGGCTATAGATTTTTATAAATTGTGAACTTAAGCCTTCAGAAAGGAAAAAATCTAGAGAAAAAATCACATTACCAACCTAAATAAGAAGAGTTGTTAGTTGATGCAGATATTAGAGATGTTCCATGGAATGATTCATAATATTAAAACATTTTTTACCATTTCAATGGACTCCCTAAATTGGAGAAGGAGAAACATTCTTTAATGAAAAGATCATTAAATTTAGGAAATTGGGCCAAGGATGGCAAATTAGGTTCATCTGCTATGACAGACCAAATAAATTGGAAGTGGATGACGTGACAGCTCTTTGGGGAAAGCTTATGGGGCTATGTTCCAATTAGCTGGGAAAAAGTATTGGCATGTGCCTGCCATGACGGGAGGAAAGAGTGGGAGCTGGTGAGACCCAGGTCTGCCCTCCCTGTGTGCCTTTGGCCATGAAGATTAGCCAACAAGAATTGAAACTGTTCTTTCCAGGAAAATGGCTGGAGTTTTGTAAGACTCCTCATCCATGAGAGTTCTTCTGGGATGCAGAAACGCATAATATCAGGAAGTGTGCAGAAGTTTTCAAGTTCATGTATTCCTCCTCTCCTTCTTGTCCCTGTGCCAGTGCATAACCTTAGAGGAGAAAATATTGTTGATATGTGGTTGACACAGATGCCCATTGATTTACCATGGGCTTATGCCCCAATATACTCATCAAGTTGAAAATACTATACGTCAAAAGTGCATTTAGTACATTTCACCTACTAAACATCACAGCTTAGCCCAGCCTTCCTTAAACATGCCCAGAACACTTATGTTAGCCTACACTTGGAAAAAATAATCTCACACAAATTCTATTTTATAGTAAAGTATTGAATATCTCATGTAATTTACTGAATACTGTACTGAAAGTGAAAAACAGAATGGTTGTGTGTTTGCTTGAAGTACCATTTCTGCTAAATGCATATCAGTTTCATACCATCATAAAGTGGGAAAGTCATTAAGTCAAACCAAGGTAAGTCAGGGGCTATCTGTATTTAAAAGAATGAATGGGGGCTCTGAAGAAGGGAAATTACAGGACTGTCTCTGGGATGCGCCTCCAGATAGAGGGTGGATAGAGCAGGAGATTCCAAAAAGGGAGCCTGAGGAAAAGCTGCCAATTATGTAGAAGGAAATCAAGGAGAGGAATATAAAAAACCAACTCAGAAGAAGTGATGTAGAGAAATAAAGTTACAGTGGAAGGAAGGGCAAAGTCAGAAGACCGACTCTAGTTCCTTCAGATACGAGGTACAAAAGATTGTTAATATTTGTGCAGAAATGGTTCCAGTTGAAAGAGAGAGAAGTAAGCTGAAAGTGGAGATCTAATCAGAGCTTGTGAGAAGGCCAAAAAGATAATGGGATTCAGAGCCAAATGAAAGAGTAGAGGCATTGCAGTTTTTTAAATTTAATTTTAATTTTGAGTTCTGGGATACAGTGCAGGATGTGCATGTTTGTTACATAGGTAAACGTGGGCGTGGGCATTGCACTTTTATAAAAATGATCTTTCTCCCTCTAGAGAGAAGGACACAGATTTAAATGCAGGTAGATTTCTGGACTTGGAAGTGTAAAGATGAAGAGACTCCTCACTGACGATTGCTACATTTAAATGAAATAAGAGGCAAAGTTAAGAGTAGGGATGAAAGTATAGGAAGGAGAAATGAGAAGTTTGAGGAGAAAGGAAAAGGCAGAAAATAGTTCACTTAAAGAGTGAGAAAAGCAACTTACAAGACAAATGCAGGTGAGTTGTCAGTCAGGGTTGAGTGGCCCCTTGGAGTTTTATACAATTTCTTTAAAGGGAAGCCACGAGTCTGCCTGGCTGCATCACTCTCCTCCTGCAATGTTCAGCTGTCTGTATGTAAGCACTGAAATGTGCTTGGATGGTTGAGTCATCACAGACTGGGGTTTTACCAGGCCAAAAAACATGACAGAAGGAGAGAAAATAAGGTTTTAAAATTTAATAATAAGTTATTAAATGTCTAATAGAATAGGAGGTCAGTAGACCACAGCGGTGAGGAAAAGAAGAGAATGATTGCTGTGAGCCATGTCTGTATGCTCATCAGATCAGCTCTGCACTTGCTCTGTGCACCACTGAGTCCCCCATGGAACACCTCAAAAAGCTCCCTTGCACCCTGGTTTCTGGTGGGGTTCAGCCAATGGGGAGACTTTTGGGAGACTGAAGGGAGGAAGGTCGGATTACTTATTCCCTAGGTTGCGTCAAATTGTTCCTTGGCTCCAGGTCATTGAATGCTCAAGGCAGCTGAAGTGATTTGGCTCTGTGCCCCCACCCAAATCTCATCTTGAATTATAATTCCCATAATTCCCATGTATTGTGGGAGGGACCTGGTGGGAGATAATTGAATCATGGGGGCAGTTTCCCTCATACTGTTCTCATAGTAGTAAATAAGTCTCACAGGATCTGATGGTTTTATAAGGGGTTTCCTCTTTTGCTTGGCTCTCATTTCTCTCTTGTCTGCCACTATGTAAGAGGCACCTTTTACCTTCTGCTATGATTATGAGGCCTCCCCAGTCACGTGGAACTGTGATTCCATTAAATCTCTTTCTCTTTATAAATTATCCAGTCTGGGGTATGTCTTTATCAGCAGCATGAAAACGGACTAATACAGCAGCCAATTCTACATGGGTCTCTTACTCTAGGTTTTGATAACAACTCCCGAATGCCTCCCTTGAGGTGACCACTCTTACTAGTTCCAGGTTCCTGCACTATTCCTCGTAGTTTCTCTATAGCCTACTTGTATCTGTGTAAATGCTCCTTTTTTAAACCCCTCTTTGAATTTTCCTACTTTGAGTGTGCCATCTGTTTCCTAGCTGGGACTCTGACTGATACCATGATAGAATCAATCAGATGGTATAAGCATGAAAATTTTTAAAAGAAAAAGAGAAAGTGAGAGAGAGCCTAATCGTTCAGAAGTGGCGATGAGAATTAAGAAGGGGAAAAAATGCCTCCAATTGAAAGGCTTCAGGGGAAGTTGTATGCTGAGATACCAGCCAGATTTCTGTTAGAGGCCCTGCTTGGAAGGAGTAGTGAAAACAAGATTTGAGGATGGAGGGGAAAATGGGAGGAAATGAAGGAAGGCTTTTAGACTGCAGAAACAGACTACAGAGCTATTCCACTGGATGCACCCTTCTTCATACAAGGGAAGAATGACCACAAAGTCTCTGCAGAGATCATCAGGGCTGCCTCTTCCTATTTCAAAGGGTGGGAGTTGGGGGAATCTCCTCAGTTTCTATTTCAACAGGTCAGACTGTGGCCACCTGGAGCCTTGAGGGAGGGGCCACTGGAAGTCTTGGAGCACAACCCTCACCTTGCCCCCTGGCAGAGCTGAGGAGGCAGGATAGCAGCTCCAGTGGGTCCTGTGGGTTGGGAAGGCAGAGCATCAAACCACAAGAGTATTCTCCATCTAAAGGTGCAGTGGGGGCCTGTCAAAGTGGCTCACGCCTGTAATCCCAGCACTTTGGGAGGCTGAGGCAGGTGGATCACCTGATGTCAGGAGTTCGAGGCCAGCCTGACCAACATGGTGAAACCCTATCTATACTAAAATTACAAAAAATTAGCTGGGCGTGGTGGCGGGTGCCTGTAATCCCAGCTACTTGGGAGGCTGAGGCAGGAGAATTGCTTGAACCCGGGAGGAGGAGGTTGCGGTGAGCCAAGATCGCACCACTGCACTCCAGCCCAGGTGACAGTGTGAGACTCCATCTCAAAAAAAAAAAAAAAAAAAAAAAAAAAAAAAGCAGTGGATTTTGCCTTGCTAGGTTTTTGACTTGCTTGGGACCCATCACCATCTACTTCACTATTTATCTCTTTTTGAATGGAAATGTCTAACCCTATGCCTTCTCCACAATTATATTTTGGAAACACAAAACATATCCAGGTTCACGGTTTCACAGCTGGAGACGAATTTTGCTTCAGGATGAATTGTACCTCAAGTCTCACCTATATCTGATTTCAATGATATTTAGGTGAGACTTTGGATTTCAGACTTTAGAGTTAATGCTGGAACAAGTTCAGACTTTGGGGTTGTTGGGATGGAATGAATGTACTCTGCATGCAAGAATGACATGAATTAGAGTGGGGAGCCAGGGGCCTAATGTTATGCACTGAATGTTTTTCAAAATGTATGTGTTCAAAATAATGTTTTTTAAATTTATATGTTGAAGTCCTAATCCCCAATGTGATAGTATATGAAGGTAAGTCCTTTGGGAGGTAATTGGGCTTAGATAGGATCATGAGGGTGAAGCCTCATGATGGTGTTAGTGTCCATGTAAGAGGAAGAGGCTGGAGCTTGCTCTCGCTCCACCATGTGAGGATACAGCAAGAAAGCAACCATCAGCAAGCCAGGAAGGGAGACCTCGCCAGGGACCAAATCTGCCAGCAACTTCATCTCAGACTTCTCAAACTCCAGAACTTGTGAGAAATAAATGTCTGCTGTTTCAGAGACCCAGTCAATCGTTTGTTATAGCAACTTGAGCTGGCTGAGACAAAGAGGATTTGGCCAGTCACAGAGCAGGAATTCTAGAAGGCACGGTGACGGGGTTTGAGGTGACAGGGAAGGTTGTGGGATTGGGACATATTAGGGATTTACAGAGAGGAACATAAATGGAAGTTCAAGTGGTAGCAAACGTTCTCAGAGGTTTGGACTTATGGGGATAACCAAAGCAAACTGTGAATTGAGGCATACTAGGGATGGCCATGATTATGTCTTAAAGGCAGATTAGCTTTGGGCTCTAGCATTCCATTATGCTCCCAAAATTTCTATTGTTGATATTGCTACTGGTTGCTCAGGTCATAAGCAGTTATTCTGGCAGACAACAGAGCAGGACCACTCCTGAAGGCTTTGGTCAGTGTTCTAGCTACAAACAAGGGCCTAACGCAAAGATAATTTGGCAAATGATGAAAGCTTATTAAGATGGAAGAGACTAGGGTGTATTTAAAAAGCTGATGGGAAAGAGATCAAGGCAAAGCAAAGGGTTGAAGACACAGAAGAAAGAGAAGGTGATGACGGAGAAGTCCCTGAGCCAGCTGGACAAGATGGAATCCTGAACGTCAGTGATGAGATGGGTCTCTTCTATTCTGACAAGAGGTAGGTAAAATTGATCAGTATAGTAGAGGCTTGAATCTGGACAGGTGGTTGTATGCATGAGGGGTAATTCTATAGACTATTACTCAACACTGGGGTGCAATTTCACATTGCTTTAATGTCTCCACATTAAATTTCATCTGGCTTGGCATCCAAATGGCAGATTGACACAAAGTCCATTTTTAAACTCTTGGGGATTCTCCCACTTCCCATTAGATATTCAAAGAAAAGGAATATCTTCCATGTCCCAGAGGTGGCTTCCTCCAAATGTGCACTCCTAAGAGGAGAAATGTCTTGATGTCGCTGAGCTCCCGCAGGTGCTAGTGGCCCTTCTTTCTCTGATTTTGCAACCTGCCCTCCCAATCACAACAAAATAGGGCTGTCACCAGCTGCAGGCTCAGACCAGTCAGGTTCTTTGATGGCTCGTGTCTCCACCTCCTCTTCTACATGGTACCTGCATCCGGCACCCCAGCCACAGCACTAGGCACAGTGCTAGGGATTCCTGTGCCAAAACATGCATGTCACCTGCCCATAACGAAATCCACACCCACCTTGCCCTTTCTCCTGGAATTTGGGGATAATCACAGAGTTCACTGCTTTTTGTTTCATTCCCTGAAACACCAACTTTTTCTCTCTAAAATTACACGTTTGCCCAAGACAAAACCTTGGACTTTTGAGACATAAAGAAATTTTTTTCTCTTCTCTAAGAGACAGTAAGACTTAGATCCTAAAAACATAAGGGCTTTTATCCTCTGTCTGAGAAGGGGTGGAAGGGAAAAATCTCCATCATTCCACATGGATGAGTAAACCAGCTCTCCACATACCCAACAGCAAAAAAGAACGTTTTTTGGCTGAAGGAGGAAAGAAACTGATAGCACTATCTTTAGCAGGTCACCCCCACTACTTGTCTTAATTCAAGTAGCCACATTACCAATGGGTGGCGTTGAACCTAGATCACTGGTATGTGATCTAGCCAAGAGGCTGTGGGCTAAGTTTGCACACCTGAGACAGGCAGCTCACATACCTGTGTGTCTTGTATATATGTGTAATGAATGATGGCGACTCTGCCCCATGGAAAGAAGTATCTGAGCCAGAGGCAGCCAGGGATTGTATCCGATTTCCAGGTCACCATGTCGTTTAGAGAGGGGACATGGAGGTAGGGAGGCTCATGCCCAACTCTGGGGACAAAGGAGAGAGTACTGGGGCAGCTGGTCTGCCTGTGCTTCAACAGTGACACCATGTGGCAGCAATGGCTACAGGGACTGCAGACAACCTTTAAACTTCCGGTTTCCTCTGTGCGAGGTGATTGACACGTCATCTAGGATAGCCTGAGATTCTTGACCTGTCATGTGGAGTGTGTGTGTGTGTGTGTGTGTGTGTGTGTGTGGTGTGCGCGCATGTATGTGTGCTTCAGGTGTGAAAATTGATAGAAGTAAAATTCCAGGGGTAAGAAAACAAAAAGATCTTCAAAGATTGTAAGAGGAGGGCCCGATTCCTTTGATTTGGAGAATAATAGAGATTTAACTGTTTTGTACCCCTGGTGGAACAGGGCATACTGGCTGCAGCTCTAAGACGGACCTTCCTTCACAATACCCGTTTACACTTAGTAGCCCCACTGGAGTTACAGAGGGAAATTTCCTAAGTCAGAACAGGGACATACACCACAGAGGAAAAGGTGTGGATTTTGACGTGAGGTAGACTTGGGTTTAAATCTCACTTCTTCCACTGATTAATTGTGTAACTTAGGGCATGTTCTCTTAACAATATGAGCCTCAGTTTCTATATCTACCAATGGAGGTGAGATATAGGATCAATGTCATAATTACAGTCATCAAGTGTTACCACAGTGAGAAATTTCACATCCTTTCTCCTCTTCTCATGATATGTTGAATTGTTGATTTGGCTGTCAGCATAAAAGTTTACAGCCAAGGTTACAACTGGCTTAATCCCTGAATGTTTATAACAATGACAAATTTGGAATAAATTACATGAAAGGGAAATAAATAAATATGATGAATTCATATTGAGAAATACTATGCAGGCATTAAAAATAAAGCCTTCAGCACATTTCAATGACATTAGAAAGCATTGACAGAATATTAAGTAAAAAAGGCAGCACATCAAGCCTCACATCATGTGTAATTTAACCAGGATCATATTTACATATATTCATATAGTATTCATATCCAAATATATGCCTTATATATGGAATTCAAAGGGCATTGAAATAGTTGCTTAAAGGAGATATGAAAATCTTAATAACTCCGCTGGGTGCAGTGGCTCACACCTGCTGTAATCCCAGCACTTTGGGAGGCCACAGCAGGCAGATCACCTGAGGTCAGGAGTTTGGGACTAGCCTGGCCAACATGGTGAAACGCCGTCTCTAATAAAAATACAAAAATTAGCCAGGCATGGTGATGCACCCCTGTAGTCCCAACTACTCAGGAGGCTGAGGTTGCAGAATCACTTGAACCAGGGAGGCGGAGGTTGCAGTCAAACGAGAACATGCCACTGCACTCCAGACTGGGTGACAGAACAAGACGATGTCTCAGAAAAATAAAAAAATAAAAAATCTTAGTAACTTATCTCTCTAGTTCATGGGATTCTAATTTGGGGGGAGAAACAGCTTCAGATTTTATAGTCATAAAGTAAATGACTTTTAAAAATGAAACGAAATAGAAGCACTGCTTTATGGCTTTTCTGTGTAATTTCGGCTACTGTTCTGTGAAATTGGGGCTTCATCTTCTCTTTCTTATGTTCCCACACTTTAGATAAATGTACAGAGAAAGAGGTTGGGTCTGTGAAAGAAGGAGGGAAGGCGAGGGAGGACACAGCCTTTCAACTTCTCAGCCACATTCTAGTTGTTCTTGGCCAGGTACTAGGGGATGCCACCCTGGGTCTGAAACTTGCAAAGTTCTATTTCTTCCCTTGAATTTTATTCACTGAGGACCCTGAATGATGCCAAATCTGAGAGGGCTAAGACTCATCCCCTTCCGTGGCAAGTAAGCTGTTATGTTGGTAATAGCTAAATATGAGTATTTATTAAAATAGTAGTAATAATAAAACATGATCCAACTTCCTCAGAACTTTCTTCTTCTGTCCCCAAAGTAACCCTTTTGCAGCTCTAGACGAACATACGTGCCCCTCTCTCCAAGCACCTATTTGATGTCCCCTAGAATTTTTGATGGTAAGCTGGCAGTGAGGCAAGCAGTTACTTTAGGAAAATTAATCTACTGCAGTTAATTCACTTTTTTGTTCACTGCGAACACTTCCTAAATATCTTCTTTGTGCCAGGCACGATGCTATGGAATGAGGATCCAAACATGAATAGCTGGAGTTCGCAGACTGTTGCAGACCTCTTGACCATTAGCTTGATGAATAATGTGGCGGAGGTCCATGCAGAATACTGTGGGACACCAGAGGGCAAGCAAGGCTCTGCACAGGAAATACAGAAACGTGGAGGAGAAGGCGCTTGCATGGGTATGGAAGAAGGCTCTGAAGCCTCTCCCATGTTTGGGCAACTCTGTTTTATGAGCTACGGGTCCCCAGAGCAGAAGCTGGAATCTCACTTTCCCCACCTCCATCGCAGCTACAACAGGCACGGGGCACAGGCTCCTCCAATCAGACACACCTGCTCAAGATGGCCGGTTTGGAGAATTTGGAGGAGGGTCTGACAAGGTGCACTCCAGGGAAGGGTGGCAGTGGACCCCACACTCAGCAGCCATCGTAGGGGTAGTGATCCTGAGCACTCACACTAAGCGGCAGAAGCTGGGGTCTTTATGGGACAGACGCACACCACCTCCATTATGCTCTTGTGAAATTCTCAGAAACCCCAAGAACTGTGAACTATCCCTAGATAAACTCCCTTTCTTCTTAAACCAAAAATAAAATAAAAATGCTTTCTTAATGTTATGGTAAAAACATTTGATTTTTTACTTTTTAATGCCAGATTTCAGTGTCCTCAAATAAATATTTCCACCTAGAGATTAAGAAAGAGGTAAAATGACATTATTAAACTGAAAAACTCAGTTCAGTTTACATCAAATACATATTTTAACTTCTTTAAATCAATGACTATCCAACCTTTTAAAGGGCAGAGGACTTTTTAGTTGATATTTCATGAAATCTATAAACCACATGCATTAATATGTAAACGGGTAACAGCAGATTTCCTGGTTGCTCTGGGACTGATGCAGGTGTGGCCTCCATTCTCCATTTCAAGGCGACTCTGCGGCTCTGCGCAATACAGTTAAACATCGCTTCATTAACTGAATGGTTCACAATATTCTCACCACCCAGGGTTCTTTATTATTCTTTCCCAAAGTTTCTAATACTTCCCCCTATGCCATCAAAAGTGAATTAACTGATCTAGACTTTCTACATATAATTTCCTTTAATCTTCTCAAAATTCTTATTAGATTGATACCAATGTATCCATTTGTAGATTTTTTTTGTTCACTTGCAAACACTGCTGTCTTTGGGCTTTACTCGAGACATGAGCGTCTTGAAGCTGTTGTCAAGGACGCAAAAGCAGCCTGAGCAGGTGTTGGTCTAGGTCCTCAAACGGTTGCCTGTTCTGGTCCGTTGGACAGGGGTGGAACCAATGCATTCTTGGTCCCTTCTGGAAGGTCTTGGATAAAACCGGATCTACAGCTCGGGTGGATATAATTGGCAGGCAGCTCATCTCCGCCAAATAACCAAGGCAGAAGGACCCACAGATGCCGCAACGCCTGAGTCACACTGGCCTGCTGCACCCTCCAATTCCTAACAATACTTAAAACATTTGGCATTCTTGCAGGCAGCCTGTCCAACAGATATAATCCAAGCAACTAAGTTATCTGAAATTATCTTGTAGCCACATCAACAAAAATAAAAAGAAACAGGTGAAAGTAATTTTAATATGTTTTATTTAACCCCATATAGCCAATATATTTTCAACATGTAATCGATATAAAAATATGATTAATGTTATATTTTGTATCTTTTTAAATACTACTTCTTGGAAGCCTGGAGGGTATGTCACACTCACAATACATCTCTCAGTCAGTGACACTTCAAAGACTCAAGAGACACCTGTGGCTGGTGACTACTGAATTGGATGGTACAATCAGGGGTTCTGATTCACTTGCCTTTGAATTGTTATTTATTTATAATACCTCATGAAATGATAGTAAGACAGAAATGAAGACAGACTGTATTACTCAAAACATTTGCCTTTTACCATAACAGGATAAACAACGCTTCCAAACTGGCCCATGTTTGAGTCAGTGCATAGGAATGCCTATAGCTGTATGATTTTCATATTTTTCCATAAAAACACACAGAAAATACAGTTTTCTTAATATAAAATGATAGAATGCTTCTAATGCTAACTAATTTTTCTTTTTAGCAAGTATTCAAGTGTATGATAGAACACATTGATTTATTTAATTTTATGTAAGTTCTCTCAATTGTCAGTCTTTAATATTCTGTCTAGCCTTGAAGGCATCACAGTAAATGCAACTGTACTTCAAAAAATTGAGAAATCAATAAATATGTTCTGCAAGGTGCTACTGTCAGATTCAATTAATGAATCATTGTCCTGGAACTTATAAAGTTTATTTCCAGGTTTTATAGGAAGTCAGTGTAAAAAAATTAAAAACTTATCCATTTTATTATTTTCCTAAATTAGAAATCCACCTCTAAGCTTCATCCAAGGGCTCACTTCTGCATGAAGCCATCCTTATGCAGGCTCTGAAGTATTGTAGAAATTATCCTTTTTTTATTTTTATTTGACCCCACTTGTCATTTTAGAATCTGTAGTTCTACTTCCACAGTCTCCCCAACTATTTCTACAAATTACAATGGGGTGTCTCACATGCATTTCTGAACAACAACTCTCCTTTAACCTGTTCAACATATTTCTTTTTTTCTTGTATTCAGATAGAAGATAAAAATGTCTTACAGCTATTTTCATGATGTCTGCAAAGCACTAGCTAGGTATGCTACCACTGTGCCAGGTGCCCCCTTCTACTGTTGCTGTTACTTTCAACTGACTCTTTCCCAAGATGAGACACTGTACCAAAGCCACATTGCACTGATGACACCTCTATTGCAATGGGAAAAAATTATTCCTTTTTTTGCCATATGTCCCCCTCCTTCCTACCAAAAGACACATGGTATATTTTTAAAAACTACTATTTTTTTAATTGCCATCCTCTTCCCATTCTAAGAGTGAACATTTGGTGGGAACATTTTTGAAGTGTGGGGTAAATGGGAAATACCTTAATGGGCATTTTTAATTATACAAAGTGGTGTCCAGAGCCTGGTATAGAAAGAGGAGTTTAGGATAAAGAAGAGTCAAATTATTTTGCAAGGTAATAGGAAAGGTTGCCTTGCTGGTGGTCAGGATGGCATTTTGGGGAAATGATTTATGTGGGTCAACTGATTTATCTACTATTTGTCAGAAGCCAATCAAAGACTGAAAGAAGACTTGTTAGGGGTTGGACCTGGAAAGGGAAGAACTGAAGAGATTCTAACAGCATGATGACACGCAGGAAGTGGGGAAGGGTGATGATGATGCCGTAGATACTGGTGGAGGTTTCAAAATAAGGGCTATAAAATTAGAATCCTCATTAGGAATTTTGCAAAAAGCCAGAAAGAAGGAAACATGTATCCAAAAATGGAAAACATTTCTAGGAGATAGCGTGTTGTTGCTTCTGGCTGCTTTTAACAGATTAGATAGACAAACCTTCTTAGATATGACACCAAAAGCAAAAGAAAAGAAAAAAAAAGAGAAAAAATTTTAAACTTTTGGCCTTAAAGGATACCCTCAAGAAAGTGAAAATACAACCCATGGAATGGGATAAAATATTTGCAAATCCTCTGCTAAGGGTCTAGTATCCAGAATACAGAAATATAAAAAGCTATTACAACTTAACAACAAAAAGGCAAACAACTCATTTATAAAATGAGCAAAGGACTTGAATAGACATAGCTCCAAAGAAGGTATACAACTAACCAATAAGCACATGAAAAGATGAGCAAGATTCTTAGTCATTAAGGAAACGCACATTAAAACCATAATGAGATACCACTTCACACCCACTGGGATGGCTGTTAACAAGAGTAATTCAGGAATAAGTGTTGGTGAGAATGTGGAGAAATTGGAAGCCTCATACATTTCTGGTGAAAATGTAAAATGGTGTAGCCATTTTAGAAAACAGTCTGGGCTGGGCGCAGTGGCTCATGCCTATAATCCCAGCACTCTGGAGGCCAAAGCAGATGGATCACCTGAGGTCAGGAGTTCGAGACCAGCCTGTCCAACATGGTGAAACCCTATTTCTACTAAAAATATAAAAATTAGCCAGGCATGGTAGTGGGCACCTGTCATCCCAGCTACTTGGGAGGCTGAGGCAGGAGAATCACTTGAACTTGGGAGGCGGAGGTTGCAGTGAGCTGAGATTGCGCCACTGCACTCCAGCCTGGGCAGCAAGAGCGAGACTCTGTCTCAAAAAAAAAGAAAGAAAGAAAAAACAGTCTGGCAATTCCTCAGATGGTTAGATATAGAGTTGTCATGTGACCCAGCAATTCTACTCTTAGATAGGATAGATAGATAGATGGATGGATAGATAGATAGATAGATAGATAGATAGATAGATAGATAGATAGATGGATAGGTAGATAGATGATAGATAAATGGATAGATAGATAAATAGATGATAGATAGTATATACATATATTATATATACATATATAGAGACATGAAGATATCTGTAAATCTATATATATACCTGAGTGGATATCTATATATATAAATACATATATCCAAAAGATATGAAGACATATGTCATCACAAAAACTTGTACATGAATGTTCATGGCAGCATATTCATAAGCAGAAAAACATGGAAACAACTCAAATGTGCATCAACTGATGAATGGAAAAAATGTGATATATCCATTCAAGGGAATATTATTCAGCAATAAAAAGGAATAAGGTGTTTATACATGCTACAACATGGATGAACCTCGAAAACATGCTAAGTGAAAGAAGTCAAACACAAAAGAAAACATATTGCTGCCTCTACTGATATAAAATTTTCAGAATAGGGAAACCCATACACACAGAAAGCAGATTAGTGGTTGATTAGGTTTGGTGAGGCTGGAGGAAGAAGGACAGTAATTGTTCATGGGTACACGACACTCTTTTTAGAAATAAAAATATTCAAAAATTTATTTTGGTGATGTTAGAATGTATAAAGACCCAGAGATATAAGGAGCCTCTGACGGCCAAAAATCAAAACACTTCTCATTCTCGAGAGTTTGATTTAGCTGTGTTTAGCATTATTTTTTTAAAGTTCCCTTGTTCCATTGAGACTTGTGATTACTTATCAGATTATTAAAAAGAGAAGGGAAGTGGCGATATGTATCATTGTTGTAGATGTCTACAACCCTGACCAGGACCAAAAATAAGATTGAACTGATCATTGGCCATGGGTGCCAAAGATGGTGCCATAAATAGAAGATAAAACTTATGGGGGCAGGGATCAGATAGCAGGCCTACATATAGTTTTTATGGCCAGGATTTTCGTAATACATAAGGAGGATTTTACTATATGTGCCAAGAGAATGGAGAATCTGAGAATCTGGAGGTCTTGAGAAGACCTCCAAATGTATCTCATGAAATGGAAATTCTTTTAAAAATTTTTTTCAATTGACAAATGAAAATTGTATATATTTATGGTATACAATGTGAAGTTTTGAAATATATACAGATTGTGGAATGGCTAAATTGAGCAAATGAACGTATGCATTACCTCACATACTTGTTTTTTATGATGAGAACACATAAAATCTACTTTCTTTGTGATTTTCAAATATACCATAAAATAGAACATTCTTCATCCTATATGTTATACAGGGAACTGACTAAGTGGGTTTCTCTAGTTATGAGGCTTCAAGCTGTGAATCTGTGCTGGTGCAAACATTCAAAGAGAGGGTAGGATTTCTGTTAGCAATGCATTTCGGAATTTCCACCACAGAACCTTCATTTCTTCCTGTCTCTAAACTCTAAGAGTGTTAGGCCTAACCACAATTTTTAACATTGTTATCGTAGGAATTCAACTAGGAGACTAGGAATTTTTACAATTCAGTTAGATGGAGAGCTTCTCTTTCCTTTTATTCTGTATACAAAACTGGCTACTGTGAGGAGGAGAGAGGAAGGAGAGCCTTAACAGCTGCAAAAACTAGGAAGTAGCAGGGAGAACGTAATAGATCCACGGCATCAGTGAGAGGGAGTGACAGGGTAGCCGGTCGGGATGCGAAGGGCAGAATGGGGAGTTGCCTGCAGCCTCTACAGCCTGTATGACACGGTGTGTGTGTGTGTGTGTGTGTGTGTGTGCGCGCGCGCGTGTGCACATGTATTTGAGTGTGTGAATAGATTTTGGGGACAGGTGTTGAAATTATAGGTGAAGAGATGGGAACAAGGGTTTTATAAAAGGGAACAAAGTGGCTTTCTTCCTGGCAAAGATGGCTGTCCATATATGAGTAATATTAAGCTCCTAAAAACCCTCAAATAATACATTTCATCACCACAAGTTGATTTGATTTAATATATAGTTGGATGTGTTTCTATAATATTTATGAATTTATTCATTGGTTTATTTCTTTATTCCCTCATTCCACCAAGAGTTATTGAATGCCTAATCAGTGCTAGATACCCTGTAATAGTGGTTATAGCGGAGGACAACATGGACATGGTCCCTCCCTTTGTGAAAAGTAAAGAAACGAATCATATGTCTCCATAATTATTACACTCATCATAAATCCTAAAATGAAAACATATACAGTGTTATGAGAGCATATATTATGAATATGTGATTTATTTTATGGGGTTAAAAAGGGATTCCTTATAAAATTTATGTTTATTTAAAGTAGGACTGAAAGATAAGGAAGAGTTAGCTAGCAGAAAAGGCAAGGGTGGGGAGAGTGTTCAAGACAAACAGAAAATCATATTTGAAAGAATCTACATATGAATCAGAATAAGGGCTTAGCTGCCATAATTAGAAATACGGAAAAGAGAAGGGACACAAGTTGTGAGTTGAGGCCCTAGAGATTTGAAGGTGCTGCACCAGTAAGAATTTTTAAGGATTTTTGACTTAGGGGGAATAGAAAGCTGCTGAAGGGATTTAACCAAGGAAGTGACGTAAAGGCTTGCATTTTAAAGAATAGCTCTCAATGAAGAATGAGGAATACACTGAAGGGAGAAAGAATGTGTTAAAAAAGTAGCGAGAGTATTACAGAAGTCCAGATGGGATATGATGGTATTGGACAATGTGATAAAAGTGAAATTGGAAAGATGTGAACAGATTGGGGAATTATTAGAAGCAAAGCTGATGAACTTGGTAACTTCTCACAAGTGGGGAGATGAGGTGAAAGGAAAGTTTCAATTGTAAATGTCATTCCCAGAAGCTTTCTGCTTCTATGCAGGATGGAGTGTTCATGGAAACTTAACACTCCAATGAGAAAAAGCCTGATAAATTACAATTATCACATTGTTATATGCATAAGAGAGGGAGACCCATTTCCAGTTGAGCTAACATATTCCAGAAATTTTTTCCTCTAAAGATATGTTGATTCTGTGCATAAACTCAGGATTGGCCGGAATCCAGGAAGAGATCTTATGGTGGAAAAAATTCAGCAAAGTTTTGGCAGTTAACAAGGTCTGGGTTGACTAATTAGGGACATGGTGTGCCTCAAACACACAGACGACAGGGCATTTGCTGAGCTGCGGGCTGTGTGGAAGGCAACACAGACCTGGAGTTCCTCTCAATATATTTTCCAGCATTTGAACTATGTGGAATGAGAGGCTACAGAACTAAGCTGAAAACCTCTAATAAAGTCTGAGAGGCCAACCCCTAAAATTGGAGTGAAGCCAGAAGTAGGCTGGGTCTTGCCAAAACTGCAATCCAGCTTCAACCCACCTCAATTCTGGGTTTTTTTTTTTCTTTTTTCTTTTTTAGAGATAGGGTCTTGGTCTGTCAGCCAAGTGCAGTAGTGCAATAATAATAGTTCACTGCAGCCTTGAACTCCTGGGATCAAGCAATTCTCCCACCTCAGCCTTCAGGTGTCTAAAACTATAGCTGCATGCCACCACACCCAGCTTTTTTTTTTTAATTTTTTGTAGAGACAGGGTCTCACTATATTGCCCAGGATAGTCTCAAGCTCCTGGCCTCAACCAATCCTCCTGCCTCAGCCTCCTGGCCGACCACCTCAATTCTTACCAGGATGAAGTGATCAAGCTTCTACACTACCTAAAAGAGGAAAGGAGAATCTTCTGTAGGATAGAATGTCATCCGGAGCCTCTGGACTTGTTTTATACATAATGTTAAGCTTACAACAAAAAATTACCAGACATGGAAAAAGACAAGACTATATGAGTGATAATCAAGAAAAAAAGACACCAAACAGATTCACACATGGTCTAGATATTAGAGTTAGTAGATTCGAAGCTGACAAGAGTGGATGGAAGCACAGACAGAAGTGGGAGGCACCAGATTTGCTGGCTCAGGTCAGCCAGGCAAGGACGCACAGGAAGAGAGCAGAGGTTGATGGATTCCTATGCCTAGAGGTCCAGTTGAGGAAGGGAAGCTGGTTACAGGGTCCGAGACTGATATGTAGAAGGAGAACCAGGGTTGTAGTTCTCCTACTTATCAGCTGCTGTGATGACAAAGCAAAAGATAATTTTTGGAAGGAGGAAGGACCCCTGCAAAGAGGTCAAGTGAGGTGGGGAAAGGGACAGTTTTAAAGTGTGGGCAGCTGGTGGGAAGCAGAGACCTGCTGACTTCAGCATCCAAGCTGAGTTGTGCAAGGTTGTCATCTTACATCAATACATTTTGGTGGATGGTTAAATTAAAAATATCTGAGTATAAACCCACCCAAAGTTCAACAATCACCAGAGCATAATACACTACTTTAATGTTACTTTAGCTATTTTCTTGACCTGAACTGACATTTCTTTTAATCAGATTACAAGTCTCTTGCTCATTAGTCACAACTTACTCCTTCAGAACTAATAATGTTTCACTACTTGACTCTCATAGAAGTTACATGAAGTGAAATGTTAAAGACACTGATACAAGATTATTATCAATTAAACAACTTTGAGCAAGCTTTTTTAAAATTTTACTTTAAGTTCTGGGATACATGTGCAGAATGTGCAGGTTTGTTACATAGGGATACATGTGTTATGGTGGTTTGCTGCAACTATCAACCCATCACCTAGGTTTTAAGCCCCACATACATTAGGTATTTGTCCAAATGCTCTCCCTCCCCTTGCCACCCACCCCCTGACAGACCCCGGGGTGTAATGTTCCCCTCCCTGTGTCCATGTGTTCTCATTGTTCGACTCCCACTTCAGAGTGAGAACATGCAGTGTTTGATTTTCTGTTCCTGAAAATGTTTGCTGAGAATGATGGCTTCCAGCTTCATCCATGTCCCCGCAAAAGACATGAACTCATCCTTTTTTCATGGCTGCATAGTGTTCCATGGTGTATATGTGCCACATTTTCTTTATCCACTCTGTCATTGATGGGCATTTGGGTTGGTTCCAAGTCTTTGGTATTGTAAATAGTGCTACATGTGTGCATGTGTCTTTACAGTAGAATGATTTATAATCCTTTGTGTATATACCCAGTAATGGTATTGCTAGGTCAAATGGCATTTCTTGTTCTAGATCCTTGAGGAATTACCACACTGTCTTCCATAATGGTTGAACTAATTTATACTCCCATCAGCAGTGCAAAAGCGTTCGTAATTTCTCCACAGCCTCACCAGCATCTGTTGTTTCCTGACTTTTTAATAATTGCCATTCTAACGCCATGAGATGGTATCTCATTTGTGGTTTTGATTTGCACTTCTCTAATGACCAGTGATGATGACCTTTTTTTTACGTTTGTTGGCCACATAAATGTCTTCTTTTGAGAAGTGTCTGTTCATATCCTTTTCCCACTTTTTGATGGGGTTGTTTGTTTTTTTCTTGTAAATTTGTTTAAGTTCCTTATAGATTCTGGATATTAAACTTTGTCAGATGGGTAGCTTGCAAAAATTTTCTCCCATTCTGTAGGTTGCCTGTTCACACTGATGAGAGTTTCTTTTGCTGTGCAGAAGCTCTTTAGTTTGATTAGATCCCATTTGTCTATTTTGGCTTCTGTTGAAATTGCTTTTGGTGTTTCATTCACAAAGTCTTTGCTTATGCCTATGTCCTGAATGGTATTGCCTAGGTTTTCTTCTAGGGTTTGTATAGTTTTGGTTTTACATTTAAGTCTTCAATCTTTCTTAAGTTAATTTTTGTATAAGGAAGGGGCCCAGTTTCTGTTTTCTGCATATGGCTAGCCAGTTTTCCCAGCACCATTTATTAAATAGGGAATCCTTTCCCCATTTGAGCAAGCTATTTTTAAGCTTCCACTTCATGTTTCTGAAAAATATAATATTTGTTTTAATAGATAATTGCTGCTTAAGTAACATTACCTTTTACATGAATGCTCAGCAGACTTTTTCTGTAAAGGGGCAGCTATTAAACATGTTGGCTTTGGGAGCTACACATTCTTTTTAAAAGTAGTTCATTTAAAATGTAAAAACCAATTCTTTGTTTGCAAGCAATATAAAAATAGGCTGTGGGTCAGATTTGGTCTGTGAGGCATAGTTTGACTATTCTCACCCTGAAATATTTATGGTATAATATGTGCTTTATTTTACTCATGGTAGCTTACCTTCTTCACATCTATATGAGTTTGTATATAAGTTTTATAGAAATATATATCATTCAAAAGCAAAACTTCATCTCAAAAAAAAGAAATATATATCATTTATATATGATTGTATACTTTATATTTAACATAAGTTATTTATATTGAAAGTTATTAAGATGTCTTTATAAAAGATTATGGTATTTCAGAAACTTTTATTTTTGTTTTCAGGGGTCGACAGAGATCATCCGAGCAAAATCTTAGCATTGTGAGAGAGCCCTCTGAAAATCATTCTAATTCAGATGTTTCTCATGAGATTTTTGAACGCCACAATTATATTTTCAACCGAGAGCTCTTGTAAATTTGCAGTTGTTGGCTACATGATAACATCTCATTTCAAAACGTCTTTGTCTGGCTGGTTTATCTACTTCTCTACCAGGAAATCTGTTGAACCCATAGTGGTTTCTGTACAAATGTTTCTGCATTTCTCAATAAACAGTGATGGAAGAATGGGTCCACTTCACTGCCTCACCCAGGAGACAGCAGCAGCTGAAACAAAAGGAGCATAGCCAAAGCAGAACTGGTGTAAAGATAATAAAACACAAAAGACTTGGACTTCCTTCTAAATTCTAAGAGGAAGATTCTTTGTTGTAGGAGGAGCTGCAAAACACAGGACAGAATATGCATGAGTCCAGTCACCAACACACTGAAATCTAGTCTTCAAAACTAGCAGATGGCCTCAGCCAAAGCCCCTGAGGATGTCTTTGAAGTACACATTGTGAGGAACTCTGGTGAATAAAACATCTCTTGAGCACTGACTTTATGTGTGGCAACCTGTGTCTTGAGAGTCACTTGCAAAAAAAAAAAAAAAGAATAAGTTAACAAAAGTAGTGAAATACTTTGAATACTTTGTAACTATCAGAGAGTTTCATGGCACAAAGTGGAGGACAAGCAGAAACAAAAGGTCACACATTAAAGGAAAAACAACAATGAAAATTCACTGTCAGTCTTGAAGTTACCAGTTTATGCAGAATTCAGCTCCAACTGTTATTTTTTTGAAGCCATTGTAAATTACTACTTCCCGCCCCTGCCACCCTCGCCACCTCACTTTCCTCCCTCTTTTCAAAAATGGGCAGGGATGCCTGTTAAAATCAAAATTAGATATGTTGAAGTCATATTCTCATGGGTTCAATGTGGAAAACAAAACAAGTACATGCTTTGGAAGCAACAACAATGAAATCTCTTTGAAATATGTATTAATATCATTTAATAAAATAACTAGTTCTAAAACAAAAAATAAAATGTTTACAATAATGTGTACATACGTACGCAGTGCACCTTACATACATTATTTCACTTAAATTCTCAACAGTCTCCTGGAGTGGCTATTATTAATCTCATTTTACAGGCGAGGAGATGGCATTGGAGAGATGAGATAGTTCTTAAAGGTCACGTGGCCAGGGATACAGAGCCCTGTTCCCCACATCTTCTCCTCACTCCGCTATGCTGCCTCTCTAAAAGGTAAACCAGCCGGGCACTCAGGGAACACAAGGAATGGCAACTCATTACTACCCATTGAGAGCTCAAAATCAACTGATGCCAACAAGGAGAGTAGTCATTCGTGTCACCCACCGCTAAAGAGAAACTCAAGGCTGTTGTTGCCCTGTGTAACAAGCCTGATCCCAAGGTTTGTCACTGATTGTGTTATGGGATCTTTAGGGTGTCGCTTTTCTGGCTAGAAACCTCTGTGGCCAGTGGCTCCTTTGCCTCAGTTCTTGTCCTGCATCCAGGATAAGAATGAGGTACACAGACAAGTGGAGAGTGAGCAAGACAAAGAGAAGCTTTACTGAGTGTCAGGACAGCTCAGAGGAGAACTTCAGGGGGCAGCTCCTCTCTGCAGGCAGGTTATCTCACCCAGTGTTCAGTTCTCAGTAGAGAGGAGGCCCAGGAGAGAGTGGCTCCTCTCTGAGGGCAGGTCTTCCCTGTTATCTCTGCAGCTCTCAGCAGAGAGGAGGTCCTGGAGAGAGTGGCTCCTGTCTGCAGGCAGGTCGCCGTAGACATCCCAGCTCTAAGCAGAAAGGGTAGCTCCTCTCTGCAGACATCTCTCCATCCTCTCTGTCCTCTGCCCTGCTCTGGCTGAGCCCAGGGGTTTTATGAACCTCAGAGGGGAGGAAGTGAATGCCAATTGGTCCATGGTCAGCCACGGGTGGCCCAGAAGAGGGACCAGAGGTCCCCACTCCAGTCCACTGGGACAGGCAGCCTGGCCACTAGCCTTCAGGCCCTCCCTGGCCTGAAGATGAGGCCTTACTGGAACCCACCCCCTTTCACCCAGGAATCTGTCTGCCTCCTGCTGCCACTCATGGCCCTGGGCTTGCTGGATTTTGCTCCAGGGTCAGAGCAGGTGCCTAAAGCAGGGAGAAGCCAGGCAGCAGGGGCAGTCACTACCAAGCCTGAGAGAGCAGGAGGGCCTTCCCGGGCACCCAAGAGTGCAGGGATGGTGGACGGGGGCTCCTGCCTTTTCCTGGGTCTGCAGCCATGCAGCTGTGGTTTGGGCAGCTGCCTGCTCCCAGCCTACCAAGAGCAGAGGGAGGCTCAGATCCACAGCCATGGTTTGGGTGACTGCAATGCCACCTGGGGAACTCCTGCCCCAACTTGGAAGGAGTGCTGCTCCCACCAGCTCCACAGAGCATGCAGCCCAAGCCATGCCTCCCTGCTGCAGCTGGTGTGATGGCAGTGGCAAGCTGCCTGGAGTGTGGCTGCTGCCATCAATTGCATGTTTAACATTGGTCTCCTCCACCCAGGATGACAAGCACCACACCATTCATTTCCAAGCTCATTGTCAATAGAAACACACCCTTCACTTATTCAGCAAATGGGCCTTGCTCTCTCCCAGATGCAGTCATGTGGCAGGCATGTGCTAGGGTGCAGTCCCTACCCTCACAGAGTTGGTAGACTAGTGGCTTCTTAGACTTAGTATTTCCACTGTGTAATGCTTTGAGAAGATATTTCATTTAGAAATCAATGAAACATTAATATTGGCTGAGGTCTGTTGAATGTTATGTGTTCAAAAATATACTTAACCACCTCACATCATTAGGACGGCTACTATTTTTGTAAAAGACAGAAAATAACAAGTGTTGGCAATGATGTGAAGAAACTGGAACTCCGTGCATTGTTGGTGGGAATGTAAAATGCTGCAGCCACTATGGACAACAAATGGCAGTTTTTCAAAAAATTAGAAATCAAATTACCATATGCCCTACCAATGCCACTTCTGGGTATAACCAAAAGAATCCAAAGCAGAGACTCAAAGAGATATTTGAACACCCATGTTTATAGCAGCATTATTCATAATAGCCAAAAAGTTCAAGCAACCCAAGTCTTTTGATGGGTGAATTAATAAATAAAATGTGATACACAAATACCATGGAATATTATTTAGCCTTAAAAAGGATGAAAATCCTAATATGACCTACAACATGGATGAATCTTGAGGAAATTATCCTAAGTGAAATAAGGCAATTACACACACACACACGCAAATACTATATGGTAGGTACTTATTAAGGCACCTAAAGTAGTCAAATTCATAGACACAGAAAGAAGAACGGGGGTTGCCAGAGACTTTAAGAAGAGAGGGATGTGGAGTAATTGTTCAATGGGTACAGAGTTTCAGTTTTGCATGATAAAAAGAGTTTTGGAGATGGATAGTGGTGAGGGTTGCACAACCATGTGAATGTACATAATGCCAATGAACTATATACACTTAAAAATGGGTAAGATAGGCCAGCCCTGGTGGCTCACGCCTGTAATCCCAGCACTTTGGGAGGCTGACGTGGGTGGATTACCTGAGGTCAGGAGTTTGAGACCAGCCTGACCAACGTGATGAAACCCTGTCTCTACTAAAAATACAAAAAAATTAGCCAGGCGTGGTGGTAGGTGCCTGTAATCCCAGCTACCTGGGAGGCTGAAGCAGGAGAATTATTTGAACCCGGGAGGTGGAGGTTGAGGAGGTCAGCCACGATTGTGCCACTGCACTCTAGCCTGGGCAGCAGAGCAAGACTCTCTCTCAAAAAAAAAAAAAAAAGAAAGAAAGAAAGATGGTTAATTTTATGTTGTGTATTTTACCACAATAAAAAACGTTAGTTGATGAATTGTACACTTTAAATTGGTAACTTATATTGTATGTGAATTATATGTCAATAAAGCTGTTAAATATATATATACACACAAAAAAAAACCTACACTCAAAACACTATAAAACTTCTAAAGCTCCCAATAAAGCTGAAAATGACAAAATATTATTAAGCCACATAATTAGAAAAATAATCTCCCTGTATTAGTCAATAATTCACTTTCAACTATTTGGTAACATTTATTAAGTGCTTTTATTTAATGGGAAAAACAGCTGAATGGAATTGTGATACCTGTTATTCTTGCTAGTGTCGTGTATATACGAAATCATCCTGGGGGCTTTGCCACCTGCTAACAGGTGGCAAACCCAATTCATGGTTCTTTACTTGAAACAGATATCCAAAAACAGAGAGATACTTCTTTGTTTTTCTGCTTGATTATAATTATTTTGAAGAAAAATCGTTTATAGAGAAAAAAGCCAATTTCAGTATTAAACATTAAGGAATGAAATAAAGAATTCCTAAATAATGAGTTTTAAAGAAATTATTGCTGTAGATTTTAGCTTACTGCTGAAATCATTTCTCATAAATTTTAGGCCCTGTCTTTCTTACAGATTCTTTCATTTCTCCTTCCTTTTTCAATATCCACAGAATAATCATTATCATGATATAGTATATACTTGCAGTAGAGGAAGCCAACCATAACTGTCTATTTTTAATTCAGAAAGGAGTAATTTCACACTTCCTTTTGAAAAAAAAAAAGAGGCAAACAGTGAGAACAATAGAACATAAAACTACTCACTGTTACTTGAAATTTTCTGATAATTCAAAAGCAGCACTTTTTTTAAAAAAAAAGGTACTTTATCTCCTTTTTGATGTTTTATCCCTTTATTCTATCAAAAAGAATTACTGATTTTCAGTTTTAAATTCATGTATACTTAGCACATTCCAATGTGGTCTTTTCTAACAGCTCTAAATAATTATAAAGCTATTAGGAAAACTCTCTACAGTATCAAAAACTAAGACAACATTCAACCTAAAACCAGAATCTGTAAGTAATTACAGATAAAGTATGGAAATTACACTGAAAACTATACAGATTTTAGAATACAATACAGGCCAGGCATGGTGGCTCATGCCCGTCATCCTAGTACATTGGGAGACCAACATGGGTGGATTGCCTGAGCTCAGGAGTTCGAGACCAGCCTGGGCAACAGGGTGAGGCTCCGTCTCTACTAAAAATACAAAAAATTAGCCAGGCATGGTGGTGGATGCTTGTAGTCCCACCTACTCAGGAGGCTGAGGTACGAGAATCACTTGAACCCAGGAGATGGAGGTTGTAGTGAGCCAAGATTGTGCCATTTTACTCCAGCCTGGACAACAGAGCAAGACTCTGTCTACTACTACTACTACTACTACTACTACTAATAATAATAATAATAATAATAATAATCCACCCAGCTCTGATTGACTAAACTGAATCCACTCCTAAAAATTTGTAAAGAGATGCTTTTCATCTCCCATGATCTGCTCCTGAATTTAGAGACCCAGATCTGGTACCAACCAAAACTAAATCCCCTAGAAGTTCTTCTGCCTGTAATGTACACATATAGAATGCAAGCAGGTTAAGGGAGCTAGCTTATTCTGGAGCAAATAATTTGTATGAGTAAAGCATAGGGTGGAAACAGGATAAAAGCATATTAAGAAAATATAGGAAGATTGCTTGATGACTTGTGATGTAGGAAAAAGAAACTACAAAAAAAAAAGAAAAAAAATACAGGAAACGCATACTGACAATTTTTTTACATACTTTGTCAGATCATAAAATCAAGAAATGGCCTTATGAGAAGATAAAAACATAGTGAAAAGTAGTATTGGAGGTAAAAACATGCTAGAAATGGACTGGATGGCCACTAAGCACATCAACTCAGACTCACACTACAGACTTAAGGTGAGAATTTCATCTGAATATCAACAAACAGAGAGTGGTGCAGAGAACAATCCGCTTGTTTGTGTCTACAATCATTGGGTCTAATCAGATCTTGATATATTAAAATAGATAAGCAAGAGTCTCATGAAATCATACTGCAGAGCAAGAGAAAGTTAACAACATCCAAACCTTGGATTCTGGGGAAGAGCATTCTCCTGGAAGCACACTCCTGAAGACTTCAGAAGAAACTTTATGAGTAATCAGCACACCTGGATAGAGTTCAAGAAGATATAATCACTAAGAAAGTGGAGCAGAAAATAATGCAAGAAAGTTCTGGCATAATAAAGAAAAAGGATGACAGCTTCAAGATGAAGAAATGAACAAAGCAAAATCCGTTTTTGCTCTACACCTACAGAAAGAAAAATATATATGTAAATTCTTAATTAATGAATACATACTTGCCTTCAAGATGCAAAGGAAGGAATTCTTACACCAGAGGCTTTGTGGCAACTTCAGAGGAAGTAATAATACATTAACTTCAGAGCTAAATCAAAACTACTCCAGCAAATTGTCACCAAATAAGATGCCACTACCTTCGCAGGAAACTGTACCTTTAATGCCCTATGACTAGACAATTTCAGCGACATAGGCCATTGAAATGATGCAGACTAGGACACTGGTAGGAAAACTCCATTTACATAAGGTGAGCTCAAAAGAACCAACAAGCCTATAAGGGATGCCTACACCATGAAAGACATGTATCTAAAACCACCATAACAAAAAAACCCCAACAAATTGAAGAACTTACATCTGAACAGAAATAAGAGAAGAACAATAAAAGATTTAAAGTAAGTATCCTTTAGACTGTAAAGACATAAAGGAAAGTCAAATGATAAATAAGAACAGGAAGTTATAAAACAAAAAGTAGATTTTCATGGAAAAGTACCACTTAGAGATCCTAACATTTCTTTTAAAAAAATAATTGTTTAGGATTCAAACAGACACTTGTACACCAAAGTTCACAGCAGGATTATTCACAATAGCCAAAAAGTGAAAACACAAATGTCCATTAACAGATTAATGGATGACAAAAATGGAGTACATACATAAAATGGAATATTATTTAGTTACAAAAATGAAATTCTGACACATGCTACAACCTAAAGGAATCTTGAAGACATTATACTTTGTGAAATAAGCATAGACAAGAAAGGACAAATGTTGTATGATGCCACTTACATGAGGTACCTGGAACAAGCATAAAGACAGGAAGTAGAATCGAAGTTACCAGAGGCTGGAAGAGTTGGGGAGAAGGAATTATTGTTTAATGGGCCAGAGCTTCTGTTTGGGGTAAAAAGTGCCAGAACTAGATGGTGGTAATAGTTGCACACCATTGTGAATGTACTTAATGCCCCTGAACTGTACACTTAAAAATGGTTCAAATGGTAAATGTTATGTTATATATCTTTTACCACAATAAAAAAGACAAAAAAAACCTACCTGTTTAAAATTTAAACTTTAAATATAAAAACTCAACAAATGAAGAGTTGGCTGGACATAAGAAGTGAATTGGCTATCTGGAAAATCAAACTAAGGAAGTACTCAAGTACACAGTTCACAGAATTAAAGAGAAGGAAAGAGTGAGGAGAAAAGTTAACAGACATAAAAGAGATGACTTTAGAATGTCAATATCCATCTATTAGTGACACCTAAAGGAAAGACTAGAGAGAATGTAGGAGAAGCAATATTCAAAGTACTATAAACAGATATTCTCAAGAATTATGACAAGACCAAAGTTTTTGGTTGGAACAAGCCCACTGAGTATGATCAGGAGAAACAGAAGAAAAACAAAACCTAATCTAGGAAATAACTATGATAGAACTTCACACTATCAGAGGAAAAATAAAATCAGAAAAGCTACTGTATTAATTCAGTCTCACACTGCTATAAAGAAATGCCCGAGATGGGGTAATTTATAAAGAAAATAGGTTTAATTGACTCGCAGTTCCACATGGCTGGGGAGGCCTCAGGACACTTACAACCATGGCGGAAGGGGAAGCAGGCACGTCTTACACGGCAACAGGTGAGAGAGAAGCGCTCATGAAGAAGGAACTGTCAAACACTTATAAAACCATCAGATCTTGTGAGAACTTACTCACTATCACAAGAGAAGCATGAGGGAAACCGCCCCCATGATCCAATCACTTCCCTCCAGGTCCCTCCCTTGACACATGGGGATTATGGAGATTACAATTCAAATTAGATTTCGGTGGGGACACACAGCCAGACCATATCAGTTACCAAAAAGAAAGGGTTTCTTGTCTGGGCCCTTGAGAAAGAAAATTCCAAAACAAGGATTTAAATGTTTATTATTTTGTTTTTTTAATTTGATATTTCCCCTTTAATATAAAGAATGTGAAAATATTAAAACCCACCACAATAAACTTTTTTAGTACTATTTTCCAACCTTATAGAGGTGTAAGTAATACAAATTATAAATATTTAAGCTGTACAATGTGATGTTTTGATGTATGTATGCATGTGGAATGATTAAATCAAGTTAATTACCATCTCCATCACCTCACATTTTTATAAGAAGACTTAAAATGTATTCTCTTAGTAATTTTCACATGTACTGCACATTATTATTAACTATTGTTAAAATAGTTAATAATAATGTATTATAGACATCCAGAATTTATTCCTTCTGTCTAATAAACTTGGTACTCTTTGAACAATATCTCCCCATCATCCATCCCCCCAGCCCCTCATAACCACCATTCTACTCTCCACTTCTCTGAGTTCAACTTGTAGATAATGTATATAAGTGATATTATGTAATATTTATCTTTTTGTGCCTGGCATATTTCACTTAATATAATCTCCTCCAGGTTTATGGACATTGCTGAAAATGACAGGATTTTCTTCTTTTTTTAAAGCTGAATAATATTTCATTATATGTGTGTGTGTATATACATGTTATATACATATCACTTTTCACATATATGTAGAGGGTGATGTATACATAATCACATTTTATTTATCCATTCATCTGTCAATAGACACAGACTGATTCCATACCTTCACTATTGTGAATAATGCTGCAATATACATACATGGGAATGTATATAGCTCTTCAACATGCTGATTTAATTTCCTTTGGATATACATGAAATAGTGGAATTGCTGAATCATACAATAGTTCCATTTTTTATTTTGTGGGGGGGAACCTCCATTCTGTTTTTCCATAACGGCTTTACTAATTTACATTTGCAAAGCCCCTCGAGGACTATCCTCAGGAGTATTTGGCCAGAGTTGGTCACATGCCCGTGAATCAATCAATCCCTGGACAGGAGAAAAATGATGATAAGACCACGACTAGACCGATCATGATCCAACCCCATGGAGCCAGGGTGGGAAAGCTCTTTAGGGTGTAGATACACAAAGAATTTACACTAAGACTAAATCTAAACTGGTGATTAAAATTATCAGATGTATGATCTAGAAAGATCCTCTGGTGTTATGGAGATTGGGTTAAAAGCATGGGGTACACAGGTGATAAAGAAAAAAAAACCAGTGAAATGAGGAAGCCATGAGGAAGATTGAACCTGTACAACAGCATGGGAAATAAAGAAGAAAAGACTGATATCAGAGAAAATGAGAAAGTAGAATCAACAATATTATGTGAGAAATTTACATGGGAAAGAAAAGGAAATTAAATGCTATAATTGGACTCCCAGGATTCTTTGAACTTCTGCTGCTCATTTTTTATTTCTTAAGTTAGACCTGATTAATTTTTATCCTTTCTTCTGTAACATGTATACAAAAATTTGGGGATATAAATTTTATTATGTATGGTTTTAACTGTATCACACAAGTTTTTACATGTAGCATATTTATTACCAGTTTTAGGTGATTTCTAATTTCCATTAAAATGTCTTTTATAATTCATATGTTATTTAAAGCTGCATATTTACATTTTCAAGTGTGTAGTACTTTTTAATTATCTTTTATTACTGGTTTTTACTGAGTTGTATTCTGTATAATAACATTGCTTAAGTCACATTGAGATTTATGGTGTAGTATGCTGCTGCTTTTCATAAATGAAAGGCTTAAATGTATATTTGAAAAAAATGTGTATTCTCTGATTGTTGTGTGCAGAATTCTATATATGTCCATTAGAACAAGATTGTTCATTGATTGCATTATTTAAATATTTTATATCCTCCCTAATTTTTCCTTCCTCTATCAATTACAATGAGAAGTGTTTTAAAATATTCCACTAAAACAATTGTTTCGTGAATGTCTTTGTTTTCCCAATTTTTACTGTATATGTGTTGAGGCTATGTTATGTACATAGTATGGAGTTACGTATTTTGGGTGAATTGAAGAAAACTTTATTATTATGCTTCATACCTCTTTATTCCTGAGAGCCTCTGTCATGTGATATTCTAATCTGTTTTGTTTAATTGATATTTGCCTAATAAATCTTTTTCTGTGTTCTTATTTTTCAAACTTTGTCCTCTATTCTAGGTTCAATTCCTGAAAATAACAACATACAGATGCATTTATTTTTCAATCTTCTGTGCCATTTTTTGCCTTTGAACAGGTATAAATAAATTTAGAACGTTTTCAACAAAATAACTTTTTCTGAAATTTTAAACCTGAGAGAGAATTACCTGGGTTCCCTAAATTTTTATTCTTTGCTCTAGACTTGCACTGTGCAGTATGATAGCCACTGGCCACATAAGGCTTTTAAGCATTTGAAATGTAACTACTTAGAATTAAAATGTTCTTTCAAAATAGAATAAAATAAAAATGTTCTTTAAGCATAAAAACACACATTAGATTTTAAAGGCTTAGTACAACAACAAAAGAATAGAAAATATCTCATTAATATTTCCAGGCTAATTACATATTGAAATGATAATATTTTGGATATATTGGGTTAAATAAAATATTGTTAAAATTAAATTCATCCAGCTATTAGAAAAATCAGGACTACAGATATGCCAACATTTGTTGCTCACATTTTCCTATCAGACAGCATGGTTCTAGACAATCTTGACACCCAGATACATTCTTGCCTGTGGGTTCTGATGATAGAAAATAAATTACATGGAGAATAAATTTGTATCATTATAATAAATCCTTCTTTTGTTGTTTAATATGGTTCAAGTAATTTTTATTACTTGCCATTGAAAGAGTCATTGCCAATATATTCACTAAAAAAGCATTTTTAGCATATCATTTCATCATATATTGATGCTGAATTTCTTACTATATGGGATCCTGAGATATGAGTTTTCTCTATAACTGAATCTAACAGATAATGGCAAATCAAATTAAAACATCTCAGTAACATTTTTGCTAGATTCTGAAGCACAAAATTTTTGAAGTGGATCAATTTGTGGATGATTTGATTAAGAAGTTAACTTTCTCTTAAATTCAAGTACTTATAGGAATTCTCCTAAATGTTCCTAAGAAAAGAGGTTGAGAAACACAGTCTGTGATTGTGGGAACTGATACCTAGTAAGTTCCACCCCAAACTCACTTTCCTGGAGATTCACAGTGGACATTCATATTACAGATTTTGCATTGTCTTGAAGAGGAAAAAAAAAAAATGTTACCTTGATGGAATTCTCCAAGGTTCTGGAACTCATTTGACCTTAGAAACCTATTTTATGTTTTAAGAATAACAACTAAAATCTCAAATAAACTTGGAAAATGTATCATGCTTAAATATTTTTAAGACTTCAATCATAAAGTAATAAAGAAAGCATTTTTAAAGAAGTTCTTAACTTTATTTTCAATGTAGTTAAGTCAGATCTTTTGAACAACAAATATTCAGAGGTTAACATAAGCCATCATTATTTTATTGGCTGAAATTGTCAGTAAGTCACTTAATCTTATCAATAGTTGTTCAAAAGGTTTGTAGCTGAACTAATGAAAAAATGATGTGTTATCTTTTATATAAGAAAATAGAGATAATAACTCACTATTTGGACAGGAAAAAAATTGTTTTCCACCTGTAGTGATGGAGATAAGCAAATTCATTTACCCTCCCTTTGCCCATGTGACAAGTGACAGACTTTGCTTTTACAGCTGGCAAAAGTTGGAGACAGGCAAAATTTACAGAAGCAGGGATAGAAATAAAACTATCATTTTTTTGAATTTTTGATTTTATAAGTGTTGTTTAATAATTGAAGGCTGGCTGGGCATGGTGGCTCATGCCTGTAATCCCAGCACTTTAGGAGGCTGAGGCAGGCAGATCACGTGAGGTCAGGAGTTCGAGACCAGCCTCACCAACATAGTGAAACCCCATCTCTACCAAAAATACAAAATTAGCCAGATGCGATGGCGCACGCCTGTAATACCAGCTACTTGGGAGGGTGAGGCAGGGGAATCACTTGAACCCAGGAGGTAGAGGTTGCAGTGAGCCAAGATCATGCCACTGCACTCCAGCCTGGGCAAGAAGAGTGAAACTCTGTCCCAAAAATAAATAAATAAATAAAAATAATTGAAGGCTTTAGAAAATATCTCTATATTTAATATCTAGGTGTTGTGCTCTAGCTTGCCTACTTATTTTTTAATTTCTAATGCACCAGTGTACAACATAGCTGCAGAACATTTCAAAAATCATAATTATGATTGAGACCTAAATCCATATTTATATGATCAAGTGCTAATGTTTCTATTTAATTTTTTTCTTCCATTTACTGTTTTAAGCATTTGTTGCTGTGCATAGAGCATTTGGATGCCCACATATCTGATGGATGTCCCCCATTTGACACTAATTCCAGTATATAGGACCAAATTAAGACTTGCTTATATTCAGTTTTGTTCAAAAGAAAAACGTTTCACTTTGAAATTATTTTAGAATGTTATCAAATGTAATATTTTTAATTAAAACATTATAAATTAAAAAATTGTTTAATTTTAAATAAATTTTGTTAGATCAATTTGGCAAATGCTGAATTCTTTAGGATGATAGGCAGCATTATAAAATAATAAAGAACATGTATCAACTTGGATCAATTGAGGCTACTTTGGTTTTATCAGCCAAACCTCACACTACTTTCTGTCTCTAACATGGCAATTAGGAAGGATAACTACTATTTGTGAAGAGTTTTACTCACTTTATCATCATTAATTTACAAAGCAACTCTATGAGGTAGTTATTTCCATTCAGATAACAAACTTGACACTGAAAGGGTTTTAATACCTCCTCATGGAAACATAAATAGAGTGATGAGGTCAGGATGGTTGCAGGTCTATTTGCTCTATCTTTCCCACTTTTTTGTGCTAAACTTGTATTGTCACTGTCTGATCTTTTGCTCTGAACCATAGTAGACCCAACCAAATACCACAGGGCCTACGTCCTACTTGACAACACATTTTTCTATAGAATAGGCATGTAATTTTGGGGCCAAAATCCAGAAGAAGAGGGAAGCCCAAGGTGCTAAGTGCAGCATTTGGACCACTTTTCCTTTAGAGGCATCTGAAAATTTTGGAGATTGTAAATGAGAGGCTGAAATTGAGAAGAGCTCTCATGAGACTCAAAAAGCAAAAGAATAACCAACAATAGACAATCCAAAAAGGAAGTTAAAAAAATTCCATTTACAATTGCATCCAAAGGAATAAATACCTAGGTATAAATTTAACCAAGAAAGTAAAAGACTTATATATATAACACTTCAAAACATTACTGAAAGAAATTAAAGACCTGAATAAATGGAAAAGCATCTAATGTTCATGGATTAGAAGACAATATTGTTAAGAAGTCTATACTACCCAAAGCAATCCGCAGATTCAACGCAATGCCTATCAAAATTCCAATGGTCTTTTTTGCACAAATAGAAAAGATGATTTTCAGATTCAGAGGGAATTGCAAGGGGATTCAAATGGCTAAAACATTCTTGGAAAAAAAACACAAAGTTGGAGGGCCCACATTTCTCAATTTTGATAGATTCTTAGCTATGACATCAAAAGCACAAGCAACAAAAGAAGAAAATAGACAAATTGGACTTCATTAACACTTAAAACTTTTGTGCATAAAAGGACAGTAAAAAGAACATGAAAAGACATGCAAACCATGTATCTGATTAGGGTTTAGTATTCAGGATATATTAAAAATGCTTACAACTCAACAACATTCCCAATGACCCCCATCTTCTACTACTCTCACTCTTTTTAAATAACTTACTCTTAATTGTGCGTTGGACCTACTGACCTGTGTATAATCAGTATAATATGTCAAGAGTGATGGGATGTGGCTTCCATTAAAAACTTTCATCTTGCTGGTATTCTCTCTCTATTGCCTGCTTGGTTTGCATGCTTTGATGAAACAAGATGCCATTCTGGAGAGGCCTATATGGCAAGAAAGTGAGGTCAGCCTTCGTCCAACAATCATTGAGAAACTGAATCCTGCCAACAACCACAGGAGCAAACTTGGAAGTATACAATATTGCTCCCCAGTGGAGCCTTGAAATAACTACAGCCCCGGCTGATACCTTCACTGAAGCCCACAAGAGACCATGAACCAAAGGACTCAGCTAAAACATGCCCAAATTCCTGACCTGCAGAAAGAGTGAATTAATCAACATTGTTGCTTAAGCCACTAAGTTTTGTAGTAATTTGTAATTTGTTAGGCAGCAATAGACAGCTAATACAATAGACTCATTCAAAACCCAGTAGAATTTTATTTCTTGAAATTGACAGTTTGATTCTAAAATATAAATAGTGATCCAATGGCAAGTATAGTCAAGACAGTTTTAAAGAACAACAAAGCTGGATAATTTATACCTCCAGATATTAAGACCTATTATAAAAATACAGAAGTATAACAATATGGAATTGGTACAAGGATAGACTAACTTATGAAACAGAATAAAGAGTCTAAAAATAGAGCCACATATATGCAGTACCCTGCTTTATGACATAGGTGACTTTGCAATGTAGAGGGAGAATGGATGATTTTTTTAATAAATTATTACTGGGTCAGTTGGGCACACACATGAAAAAACTTAATTTGATATCTATCTCCATGTCGAATGCAGATATAAATGTGAAAGGTAGAACAATGACATCTTAGGCAAAAACGTCAGAGAATGTCTTAATGACCTCAGTGTAGGCAAAAATTTCTTAAACAGATACAAAAAGTGCTAAAGTGCTAACTTAAAAAAATAAAAATTTTTAATGTAAAGAACCTCGGTTCAAAAAAGTACAATTAAGAGAGTTAAAGGCAACCCGGATAGGGGGAGAAAATATTTGGTATGCATATTCAACACAGGACTGAAGGACTCATATCTAGAATGCATTTTTTTAAACATACAAATTAGTTAGAAAAGAGTTAAACCAAACTTTAAAAAGGGCAGGAAGCAAAAGGCTTGAATGGTGTTTCACAAAAGATGACATGTCAGTGGCCAAATGTGCTCAATTGTATTAGTTGTCAGGGAAATATAATTTGCAAACAAAATGAGATTACTAGATATCACTACAATCTGCCTACATGGCTAAAACAAACAAACAAAAAGGTTGATGAGGATGTGGAGCAACTGGAACTTCCATCTGCTGCTGGTGGAAGTATAAGCTACTACAATCATTTTGGAAAACTTATTAGCATCATCTAATAAATTAAACGTGCATATCCCACGACCCAGAAATTCCACTTCTAGGCATTTACTCAATGTGTAAAGTACCTGTGTGTTCACCAAAAGACACATATAAGAATTGATAGCAGTACTACTCGTGATAGCCAAAAATTGAAAATTACCCAAATGCTAATCAATAGAATTAATTTTAAAGAACATTTTTATATTTATACTGTGGAATACTGTTCAAAATTACTAGTAAACAGGCTGGGTGTGGTGGCTCACACCTGTAATCCCAGCACTTTTGGAGGTCGAGGTGGGTGGATCACTTGAGGTCAGGAGTTCAAGACCAGCCTGGCCAACATGGTGAAACCCCATCTCTACTAAAAATACAAAAGTTGGCCAGGTGTGGTGGCGGGTGCCTATAATCCCAGCTACTCCAAAGGCTGAGGCAGGAGAATTGTGTGAGCCTGGGAGGCGGAGGTTGCAATGAGCTGAGATGGTGCCACTGCACTCCAGCCTAAGTGACAGAGCTAAACTCTGTATCAAAAAAAAAAGAAGGAATATTAATAAACAGATTTCAAAAATGGGTAAATATGGGGCTACTGGGAATAGTCAGAAGGAGGAAGTGGGTAATGATGGAGAGGGCTGCTTGTAAAGCCCTGGTAATGTTTGTAAAGCCCTGGTAATGTTCTGGTGTGATGGTTAATTTTGAGTGTCAGCTTGATTGGATTGAAGGATGCAAAGTATTGTTCCTGGGTGTGTCTGTAAGGGTGTTGCCAAAGGAGATTAATATTTGAGTCAGTGGACTGGGAGAGGCAGATCCACCCTTAATCTGGGTGGGCACCATCCAATCAGCTGCCTACGTGACCAGAATAAAGCAGCCAAAAGAAAGTAGAAGAAGACCTTACTGAGTCTTCTGGCTTTCATCTTTCTCCCATGCTGGATGCTTCCTGCCCTTGAACATCAGACTCCAAGTTCTTCAGCTTTTGAACTCAGACTTACACCAGTAATTTGCCAGGTTCTCTCAGGCCTTCAGCCACAGACTGAAGGCTGCACTACTGGCTTCCCTACTTTTGAGATTTTGGGACTCAGACTGGCTTCCTTATTCCTCTGCTTGCAGACGGCCTATTGTGGGACTTCACCTTGTGATTGTGTGAGTCAATCTGCCTAATAAACTCCCCTTCATATACACATTTATCCTATTAGTTCTGTCCCTCTAGAGAACCCTGACTAATACACCTGGCTAGTAGTTACATAGGTATGGTTACAGTGTGGCAACTCACTAAATAACTCATATATTTTATGATTTTTGTACTCCTCTTTATGCTATACTTCAATAAAAAAGTGAAGAAAACATTGTTCAAACAAAGAAAAAAATAGAAAACCTCTGATACCTGAGTTCGAATCACAGACATATTTAAAGATTCTTGCTTCCTTCTTGATATGTTGCTTACTTCCTATCATATTCTAGTATTCCCAAGATCTTAGCCCCCAATTTTACCTCCTATGTTGAGATTTCCAATTGCAGCCATTTTCACTCAGCCCTTAGCTTTTCTCCTGCTCCACTTACTACAATCATTTCCCTCATGATAACCAAAAACCGAAAATTACCCAAATGCTAATCAATAGAATAACAGGGAATTACCCTGTTCCATGCAGGCCCAAATCTCCCAGTGGCATGGAACAACCTGGCTGGCCCTTTCCTCAAGGTGGAATCAGACATATTGACACCTTTCTGACTTACAAACCTCCTATCTGTCTAGCTCCTTCAGGAGACCACAAGCTCCCCTTCAAAAGAAGCCACGTTTTGCACATGTTCACATTTAGCAGAATTCTTGGCCCAGAGCCTGGCAAGCAACAGACATTCAGCAAATGAGCAATGATGTTGCCTTGACAATGCATTTGCTGGAAAGTACACCAGTGTCAAAGAAACAGAAGGGATGGCAGGAACGTGGCCAGGGGACACTTTTATGCCTCTTGTTCTTAACATAAGGAATTTTATTACATCTACCTGGAAGATTTTAATGTTTTGTTTTTGTTTCCTTTGATTTTGCCCTATACTTGACTTCAAATATCCCTCTCCTAAGTTCTAACTATGGTATTCTTTGCTATAATTGTCTGATTACCAGAGAGATTAATAAGCTTTTTCAGTTTGCCTCATAAATCACAAATTTCTACAAGTGGGAGGTTTTCAAAAAAGAGGCAAACTCACATTGCTTAGTCACTCTATTGTCTACTTGAATCAGTTTTAGAATCTAACAGCACTTCATGTTCACAAGCATATAAAAGTATTGACTTTCTTTGAGATGAACATTATGTTCTAATGACCAAAAGTGATAAATATTGTATTGAATGAAAGTAAGACAAGCCCAGTATTTCAAAAGACTATAAATCTTTACGTTCTCCCAAATAAAAATGCACTGTTATTTTATTACTAGAGAACAATTTGAAAGATTTAAACTACTAAAAGAACTAAGTAATATTAGTCTGGTAAAAGAACCTGGATATTAATGTACCCAGCAGAGTCTGTGGCTTGTAAGAGTTTATATTAAGGAAATATTTAGTGGGTGCCAGATTCAGTTTATGAACCAGGAGGAGAGGCCATAAGAGGATGCCCAATGCGAGAACTAGGTTGAGAATTCTAGGGAGGCTTCCAAGGACAGTAACTGCAGATTGTTTACCTGAGAAAGCAGACAAAGATATAGGCATTTTGGAGCCCAGGAAATAGTGACTGGTGTCATTCAATTAATTTTACTATGCAAATTCTTTTTCAGTAATACAGGCTGCATGACATCTTACCACCTACCACCTGAACTACTCGAAAGTTGAATTTAGCTAGTAGCCTCCATCCTATTTCACCCCACAACTTCCTTCCCTGCCTTTATGTCTTTAGCATTAGTGAAGAAAACCATATAAAAGTATGCATTGGGGCCTTCCTGAACCAATTATGTCTCATTTCAATTGGTGCCAATACAGTGCCAAGGGTGTGCTTGGTCAATTCCCTCTACAATTTCCTTCAGGGGACTTCCCAAAATTCACAACTAATTTTGCAGAAAGATGGCCATCTTATTATCTTTAATTTTATGAAAAAAGGTAAAATATAAAATATCAGAATGACACCAGAGAAGAGCAGCCTCACTTTTCTTAATCCCAATTCAAAAAAAAAAAAAAAACTGTCTGGGAAGAATTCTCACTTGCAATCATACACACGTTTGAAGAAAGAAAGACTACTATGTGATCGGCAGTTCTACTATAACAAAAAAAATTTTAAGTAGGAAAAGGAATTGGATCTCTCCAAAAAGAGAAAAAGCATGTTTTCCCAGAGAATACTAAAAATAGATTTGTTCCACAGTACATGTTGCAGAATTTGGCGGATAGAATTAAGCATACCTCTTCAACTGTCTCTGAGTTTAGAACTGATTGAGAGAGAAATGCAGACAACAGATGGATAGGGGTTAAGCTACCTGTGTTATCGGTAATGCTGAATTGGAAGGAAGAGCTCAGATCTACAGTGGGTATCTATCTGCCTTATACTTGGTCTTATGTCTAGATATTGAGATTACGCACCTGATGGAGAGTTTGAATCTTCAAAGCAGAAACATCCAAAATAACTGCCTTGCACCAACAAACCCCACAGTGAGGCAGAGAGAAATGTTTCACGCAATGCCATTATCATTCGATGAATGGTGTTCAGGTGTAAAGACATTTACAAATAAATAAAATACGTCATTTAATGAATATTTAATTTAATAAAATCTATACTTTCATAAACAAAAAAACATCTCTTATGTGTGAAGCACAGTTCTAAAGTGCTTGGCAAACATCAATGAATCAATCAAAGACTCCCTGTCCTGTGGAACTGACTTTCTAAAGGTAAACGGATATTGATATATATGAGAGAGACAGACCAAAACAAAGAGAGAAAGAACATACTAGAGCCAAGGATTGTTAGGGCATTGATATGGTTTGGCTCTGTGTCCCCACCCAAATCTCATCTCCAACTGTAATCCCCACGTATCGAGGGAGGGACTGGTGGGAGGTGATTGGATCATGGGGGTGGTTTCCCCCATGCTGTTCTCGTGGTAGCAAGGGAGTTCTCACGAGATCTGATGGTTTAAAAAGTGGCAGTTTTTCCTGTGCTCTCTCTCTCTACTGCCTTGATGTAAGACATGCCTAGCTTCCTCTTTGCCTTCCTTCATGATTCCTGAAGCCTCCCCAGCCATGCAGAACTGTGGATGTTAATTATACCTCCTTTCTTTATAAATTACCCAGTCTCAGGTAGTATCTTCATAGCAGTGTGAAAACGGGCTAATACAGGAGTAAAGATTAAAGAAATGGAGTAAAATAAACATGTAAAAAGCAAGAGAATTATGAGCTAGCAATGGAAAATAATAAATAAAGCTTGGGAAGAGAAAAGTTGGAGAATTTTACATATATTAGACCACTGGGAAAGGGAAACATTCAGCAAAGGGAACCAAGGAGCATAATTTCAAAAAGGAGTAGACAAAGCTTTGTTTTGTCTCATGGTTCAACTATAGAAGTACATCCATTAGGAGATACATATTGACATTTATTGAAAGGAATTGGCTTACACACTTGCAGGAGCTGGCTAGGCAAGCCTAAAATCAATAGGGAAGGCTGGCAGGGAAGGCACTGGCTGGAGCTCCAGTCCACAGGTACAGTTCCTTTCTTCTCAGGGAAGCCTCAGCTCTCCTTTTAAGGTTTTTCAACTGATTGAATCAGGCCCACCCAGATTATCTGGGATAATGCCTCTTTACTTAGAGTCAACTGATAATAAACTTTAATTACATCTATGAAATGCCTTCACAGCAACACTTAGATTTTATATTTGATTGAATAGCTCAGATCTATAGTCTGGCAATGTTGACATGCAAAACTGTCCATCACAGGTATGAAAATCAAAAAAGAGGATTTTGCTTCATCAATGACCATGAGAGAAATCGAGACAGCCTTGGGAATGAAACAATGACACTCACTCCTCAGCGAAGTGAAATTCCAGGCTGAGTAGTATATGTCTACTGGGTCAAATGAAAATCTACTTGTCATATTTAGTGGGTTGGAGGTTATTACAAAACAAGAACCATAAAACCCACAAATCTACCATTAACTTTATATAAACATAGTGTCTAGAGGCCAGTAGCATTTTTTCTATAGACATGTAGCCTCTACTTGCTGTTCCCAGATCACATCTTGGGTTTCTTGCCTTACTTCTTTTGCTGTGTTCTTTCTCTCGCTAAGAATGATCTTACTATGTCTGTCCCTATCCTGCCCACATACTGCAACCACCTTAACCTATCTTAATTCCTGCAGGACCTACCACCTTCTAATTCTTATAGTATTCCTTGTGTGCATCCTATCCCCTCTACTAGACTGTAAGCTCTCTGAAGAGAGGCACCCATTCTTATATCTCAAGGAATATATTGCATATAGCTGAGAACCAAAATAAATTTGATGCATAAATGAATAACTGAGAGAATTATATAAGTGATCCATTTTAAACAATGACTAAGATTTCAGTACAAAAATTCAAAAAGCCTCTAAATAATTAATAGTAAGTCTCTTGACAATTCAAGAATTACATTTAAACTATTTTTAGGTTTGCAAAATGTCTTGCCTTCTTATGCAATATTAATGTTTCAACTGAATGACACAATTAATTTTTGACCAACCAAAGAAAAGACTGTAAAGTAAAAGTGCTATGAAATTAACTCAAAATAATGACTTCCTTAACTCAGGAATGGAAACCCAAACATCGTGTGTTCTCACTCATAAGCAGGAGCTAAGCTATGGGATGCAAAGACATAAGAATGACACAGTGGACTGTGGGCACTCAGGGAGAAAGGGGTGAGGGATAAAAGACTATAAACTGGATGCAGTGTATGCTGCTTGGGGTATGGACGCACCAAAATCTCACAAATCACCACTAAAGAACTTACTCATGTAACCAAACACCACCTGCTCCCCAATAATCTATGAAAATTTAAAAAAAGACCTATTGTATACTTTTTAAAGAAATAAATATAACATTTTAAAGGAAAATTTGGTAGCTTTTAGCCATGCTATTGGTACATCACTAATATCCAAGTAAATAACATGATTTCTCATTAGTTACCACTAAATCCATATTACATTTACTTTTTAATTGTCAAGTGTGCTTTCCAAATAGACATCAGTGGGCAACTTTATTGCAAATAGAACAAGTTTAATTTGATTTTTCAAGAGAAAAGCACTTTATATTTGGTGTACTTTAGAAAAAGAAGAAAGATACCAGATGCCCTTCCATAGTGGCTTCCCTATGGGACTCCATATGGCCTGAAACTCTCACTCTTCAACTCATTGTTGGGACATACATACATAGCCACTGAATATTTTTACTGTTTTTTTTTTATAAAAGTAACGCATGCCCATTGTAGAAAATTTGGAAAACACATCACAGAGAAGAAGAGTCCGTTTACCTCTCATGACCAACTTTCTCTCTGTCCCACCCCTAATTTTACCCTCAGCCACAGTGCAAGACTTCCTTTTGCCCAAACACTGTTCTATCCCTTGTGAAAATGTTAACCATCAGGTCAAGCAAATCTTGCCTGACTACTTGAGAAATGACAGGAGTAACCAGTACTGCTCCTAGCAGCTGTTACACTCAACGCCACGACTCTGAACCCACCCAAAGTCTCTCTATCTTTCTTCTGCAGGCTCTTCCAGCAGGTAGAAAGCAGCTCAGCTCCACACTAGAGACATTTCTAGACTTAAATCCAGATTTTATTCACTCAGGTTATATTAAATTCAATTTATATTCATACATAACTCTTGATTAAGGGGGAAAAAAAATAGAAAGTTCCAAACTGTAGACAAACAATGGGAAGCCTGTGGGCCTGGCTGCTTAGAAGGATGGGCACATCTGAGTTGGGCAGGGGGAGGGAGGAAGGTGCAGTACAGGCAGCAGCAGCATTGGGAGGGAGCTGGGACCAGAATGCCAAAATTAAGCTGTCTGGGCAGGGAGGCAGGCTGCATGGGTAAGCACAGATTGAACAGCTGCGAGACTCTGCTTCATTATTTTGCCTGGGAATGGCCCTAAATGCCCTCATGCCTATATCTGGGCATCCCTATATTTTAGAACACAGAAATAGAAATTAAAAAAAAAAAAAAGATGCACCTGGGCAGATGGCCTTTTACAACATATCTCCTAGGCAGTTTCTTTTACTCACTGGGTCAGCAATCGGACTCAGCCCTGAGAAAAATGTGAGCATCTGAAGTGAACACCAGATTGAAAGTAAATGCTCCCCTGGGCCCCCACAGATTTTCAAAATGACTATAAGGCTACATATCTCAAAATGGGAGAAACAAGAACAGCAGTTTTAAAAAATCAAACACTCCTTTTTTCCATATAACCCAGCATAGTTATAGGTGCCAGGATTAAAGACTGAAACATCTTTTGGGATCATTATTCTGCTTACCACAGATGAGTTTAACTCATTGGTTCCCTACACATGAGCTAAAACTTTGGAATGATTTTACAGAAATGCTGAACCCATAGGTATCCCAAACTTTGTCTTTAAACTGAATAAATAACAACATGGGCAACTGACACTTAATGAGCATTTAATATGTGCCGGCCACCATTCCTAAGCACTCCACATCTATTATCTCTTTTAACCCTCAAAGAACTGTATGAGGAGCTAACTGTATGTCATAGTCTTTTTTTAAATATATATAGATACAGTTATGATTGATAATATATTAATTCTTTCAAAAAGTGTATGAAAATCACAATAGATTTTTATTATGTAATTTCTCAATCAATAGATATTATGCTGAGGTAGGAACTTAAATTTGTACTGACATTTGAACTTGTCTTTGAAATTTTCTATAGGGGACATTTCTTTTTTCTATTTAAAATGTATTATTTAATATGTGATACATGAAAAATATATGTAACATATATGTAACTGATGAAGTAACACTATAAACTTATAACTGAAGATCTAGAACATTGCCGAGAGCTTGCATCTTTATATGTGGTCCTTCCTTATATTATTAACCTGGCATCTCCCTGTTCCTACACCCACTCAGAGGTAATCATTACTCTTAATTGTTTATTATTTCTGTTTTAAAATACATTGTAATGATATTGTTATAGACAAAGTTTTTGTTTTCCTCCAAAATTCATATGTTGAAACATAATCCCCAATATGATGGTTTTCGCAGGTGGGGCCTTTGGGAGGTGACTCAGTCATGAGGGAAGGACCTTCATGAACGGGATGAGGGCCCTGATAAAAGAGATAGCTGAGAGCTCTCTTGTCCCTTTTGCCACGTGAGGTTGCAGCAAAAAGACAGCCACCTATGAGCCAGGGAGTGGACCTTCACCACACAGTGATCAAGTCCACAAGTTGGATCTTGGATTTCCCTGCCTCCAGAATTGTGAGGAATAATTTTATTTGTTTGTTAGCCACCCAGTTTATGGAAGTTTGTTATAGCAGCCTGAAAGGACGAATACAAACACATAATAAATATAATAAAATGTTTAATTTTGCTTATCTTGAAGATTTATGAAAATGATGGCATAGTAAAGATTCTCTAGTATAGCTTACCTTTTCTTCACTCTATGATTTCTCTAAGATTCATTGAAGTTATTACATGTAGTTATATTTCATTTGTTTGCCATGTAGTATTTTACTGTATAAAATGTAAAACAGTTTATCTTTTTTCTAATCACTAAGCATTTAGGTTTACTTTGTTTTTTGATACTGCAAACAATGTTGTAAAGAGAATTCATATACACATCTGACACATGAGCAAGTGTTTCTCTAGTATGTACTCTAAGGATGGAATTTCTGTCAATGAGGTTGTATCAGTTCATTCTCACACTGCTATGACGAACTAGCTGAGACTGGGTAACTTATGAAAAAAAAAGATTTAATCAACTCACAGTTACACAGGCTTAACAGGAAGCATGACTGGGAGACCTCAGGAAACTTATAATCATGGCAGAAGGCAAAAGGGAAGCAAGCAACTTCTTCACATGGCAGCAGGATAGAGAGGTAGAGAGAGAGTGAAAGGAGAAGTGCCACAAACTTTTAAACCATAGGATCTTGTGAGAACTCATTCACTGTCATGAGAACAGCAAAGGGGACATCCACCCCCATGATCCAATCACCTCCCACCAGGCTCCTCCTCCAATTCAACATGAGATTAGGGTGGGGACACAAATCCAAACCATATCATTCCACCCCTGGCCCCTTCCAAATCTCACATCCTTCTCACTTTGCAAAAAATTAACCCTTCTCAACACCTTCTTAACTCATTTCAGCACTAACTCAAAAGTCCAAAATCTCATCTGAGAAAAGGTAAATCCCTTCCACCTATGAGCCTGTAAAATTAAAAACAAGCTAGTTATTCCAATACACAATAGGGGTAAAGACATGGGGTAAATGCTCCTGTTCCAAATGGGAGAAAATGACCAAAACAAAGGAGCTATAGGCCCCATGCAAATCTGAAACCCAGCAGGGTAATCATTAAATCCTAAAGCTCCAAAACAATCTCCTTTGATTCCATGTCTCACATCCAGGGCATGCTGACGCAAGAGATGGGCTCCCAAGGCCTTGGGCAGCTCTCCCACTGTGACTTTTCAGGGTGAAGCCCCTGTAGCTGCTTTCATGGGCTGGCTTTGAGTGTCTGAAGCTTTTCCAGGTGTGCAGTGAGAGTGGTTGGTGGATCTACCATTCTGGGGTCTGGAGAATGATGGCCCTTTTCTCACAGCTCCACTAGGCAGTACCCCAGTGGGGACTCTGTGTGGTGGCTCCAACCCCATATGTCCCCTCTGCGCTGCCCTACTAGAGGTTCTCCATGAGGGCTTTGTCCCTGTGGCAGACTACTGGCTGGACATCCAGGTATTTCCATATATCCTCTGAAATCTGGGAAGGGGCTCCCAAACCTCAATTCTTGCTTCTGTGCACTGACAGTCCCAACACCATGTGGAAGCCACCAAGGTTGGGGCTTGCACCCTCTGAAGCCACAGCCCAAGCTATACCTTGGCCCCTTTAAGCCACAGCTAGAGCTGGAGTGGCTGGGATGCAGGACACCAAGTCCTAAGGCTGCACAGAGCAGCTGGGCCCCGGGCCTGGCCCATTAAACCATTTTTCTCACCTAGGCCTCCAGGTTTGTAATGGGAGGTGCTTCTGTGAAGTTCTCTGAAATGCCCTGGATACATTTTCCCCATTGTCTTGGCTATTAACATTTGGCTCTCCTTTACTCATGCAAATTCCTCCAGCAGGCTTGAATTTCTCCCTAGAAAAAGGGTTTTTCTTTTCTACCACATGGTCAGGCTGCAAATTTTTCAAACTTTTACACTCTATTTCTCTTTTAAATATAAGTTCTCTTTACTTACCCAAATGAGCATAGGCTTTTACTAGCAGCCAGGCTACATCTTCAATGCTTTGCTGCTTAGAAATTTCTTCCACCAGATACCCTAAATCATCTCTCTTAAGCTCAAAGTTCCACAGATCTCCAGAGCAGGGGTACAATGCAGCCAGTCTCTTTGCTAAAGCATAACAAGAGTGACCTTTGCTCCAGTTCCCAATAAGTTCCTCATCTCCATCTGAGACCTCCTCAGCTTGGACTTCACTGTCTATATCACTATCAGCATTTTGGTCACAACCATTCAACAAGTCTCTAGGAAGTTCCAAACTTTTCCACGTATTCCTGTCTTCTTCTGAGCTCTCCAAACTGTTCCAACCTCTGCCCATTACCCAGTTACAAAATCACTACCACATTTTCAGATATCTTTATAGTAATGCCCCACTCCCAGTACCAATATTCTGTTATTAGTCCATTCTCACACTGCTAGAAAGAACTACCTGAGACTGGGTAATTTATGAAGAAAAGAGGTTTAATTGACTCACAGTTCTGCAGGCTTAACAGGAGGAATGACTGGGAGGCCTCAGGAAACTTACAATCAAGGCAGAAGGCGAAAGGGAAGCAAGGACATTCTTTACATGGTGGCAGGAGAAAGAGTGTGAAGGGGGAAGTGTCACATGCTTTTTCACTATCACGAGAACAAGGGGGACATTTGTCCCCATGATCCAATCACCTCCCACCAGGGTCCTCCTCCCATTTGATATGAGATTTGGGAGGGACAAAATCCAAACCATATCAGAAGTTATGTGACTATTTAACTTTACCAGCTAGTACCTAATTGCATTCCAAGGTATTGCTGTAGGCTGGCTGTGGTAGCTCACACTTGCAACCCCAGCACTTCAGGAGACCAAGATGGGAGGACTGCTTGAACCCTGGAATCCAAGACCAGCCTAGGTAACATAGTGAGACCTCATATCTATAAAAATTAAACAAAATTAGCGAGGCATCATGGTGCATGCCTGTGGTCCCAGCTACTTGGGAGGCTGAGGTGGGAGGATCACTTGAGCCTGGGAGGTTGAGGATGCAGTGACTTGAGATCATGCCACTGCACTCAAGGTTAGGCAATAGAGTGAGACTCTATCTCAAACAAACAACAAGCATTGTAGCAAGGTACATTTTTTATACCAGTACAAAATCTATGCAAAAACCTCCCATGACTCTACCTCCTTGCTAACACTTAACTTTAACAGACTTCTTTTCTTTTTCCAGTTCAGTGAACATAAAATGGTATCTCATTGTTGTCTTAACTGTCATTTCCTAATTCTAATAAGATTAAGCATCTTTGTATAACTGTGTTGAACATTTGTAATTCCATTTATGTATGATATCTATTAATGTGATTTGATATGATAGTAAACTTTCTAATAGATTAATGTGTTTATCTCTCCATTTATTTATATCTTTCATAGTGTCTCCTAATACAGCAAATAATTTTGAGGGAGGTGGAGAATGATGATCAAATAGAACTCTCCAGAGATCATTACCCCTACAGGAACACCAAATTGAACAACTATTCACACAAGAAAGCACGTTCATAGGAACCAAAAATCAGGTGAGTGATCACAGTACCTAGTTTTAACATTATATCAAGGAAAGAAACACTAAAAAGGGTAGGTATAACAGTCTTGGACTGACAACACCATTCTTCCCTCATTCCCCAGCAGCAGCCATGAGGGGCAGAGAGAATCTGTGTGCTTGGGGGAGAAAGAGCAAAGTGATTATGGAACTTTACATTGGAACCCAGTGCTGCCATGTTACAATAGAAAGCATACACAGGGCAGAATTTGGCCAGCACCCACAAAGGGAGCATTTAGTCCAGCCCTAACCAGATGGGAATAGTCCATCCCAGCAGTCAGAGTCTGAGTTCCAGCTAGCCCCACCACTGTGGGATAAAGCACTCTGGCATCCTGAAAGGCAGTCTAGGCCTCAAAACCTGGGTATAGAAGGAATATATCTCAACACAATAAAAGCCATATATGACAGACCCACAGCTAGTATCATATTGAGTGGGGGGAAAACTGAAAGCCATTCCTCTAGGATCTGGAACATGACAAGGATGCCTACTTTCATCACTGTTATTCAACATAGTACTGGAAGTCCTAGCTAGAGCAATCAGACAAGAGAAAGAAATAAAAGGGATCCAAATTGGAAAGGATGAAGTCAAGTTATACTTGTTTGCTGATGATATAATCTTATACTTGGAAAAACCTAAAGACTCCACCAAAATCTATTCAAACTGATAAAGAAATTCAGTAAAGTTGCAGAATACAAAATCGATACACAAAAATCAGTAGAATTTCTATATGGCAACAACAGACAATCTGAAAAAAAAGCAAAAAAGTAATCCAATTTATAATAGCCACAAATAAAATATATAGGAATAAACTTAACCAAAGAAGTAAAAGATCTCTGCAATAAAAACTGTCAAACATTGATGAAAGTAATTGAAGAGGACACACACACAAAAGGATATTCTACTTTCATGGGTGGAAAGGATCAATATTGTTAAAATGTCCACACTACCCAAAGAAATCTACAGAATCAATGCAGTTCTACCAAAATACCAATGACATTCTTCATAGAAATAGAAAAAGTAATCCTAAAATATACATGGGATCACAAAAGACCAAGAATAACTAAAGCCATCCTGAGCAAAAAGAACAAGACTGGAGGAATCACATGACCTGACTTCAAATTATACTACAAAGTTACAGTAACTAAAACAACACGGTACGACATAAAAACAGACACATAGACCAATAGAACAGAATAGAGAACCCAGAAATAAATACATACATCTACATTGAACTAATTTTCAACAAAGGTGACAAGAACATACATTGGGGAAAGTACAGTTTCTTCATTAAGTGGTGCTGGGAAAACTGGATATCCATAGGCAGAAAAGTGAAGTTAGATCCCTATATGTCACCATATACAAAAATAAAATCAAAATGGAGTGAAGACTTAAATCTAAGACCTCAAACTATGAAACTACTACAAGCAAACATTGGGGAAACTCTCCAGGACATTGGTCTGGGTGACAATTTCTTGAATAATACTCCAAAAGCACAGACAATCAAAACAAAAATAGGTAAGTAGGATCACATCAAGTTAAAAAGCTGCTGCACAGCAAACGAAATATTTCATCAACAAAATGAACAGACAACCCACAGAATGGGAGAAAAATATTTGCAAACTTTCCATCTGACAAGGGATTAACCAAAATATATAAGGAGCTCAAACAACTCAATAGGAAAAAATCTAACAATCCTATTAAACAATGGGCAAAAGATCTGAATAGACACTTCTCAAAAGACGACATACAAATGTCAAACAGGCATATCAAAAGGTGCTCAACATCACTGATCACCAGAGAGACGCAAATCAAAACTGCAATGAGATATCATCTCACCCCAGTTAAAATGGCTTATATCCAAAAGTCAGGCAATAATGAATACTGGTGAGAATGTTAAGAAAGAGAAACACTTGTACATTGTTTGTGGGAATGTAATTAGTACAACCACTATGGAGAACAGTTTGGAGATTCCTCAAAAAACTAAAACTAGAACTACCATATGACCCACTGCTAGGTATATACCCCAAAGAAAGGAAATTGGTATATCAAAGAGATATCTGCACTCTCATGTTTATTGCAGCATTATTCACAATAGCCAAGATTTGAAATCAACTTAGTATTCATCAACAGATGAATAAAGAAAATGTGGTACTTATACATAATGGAGTACTATCAAGCCATAAAAAAGAATGAGATGCTATCATTTGCAATAAAGTGGATGAAACTGAAGGTCGTCATGTTAAGTTAAATAAGCCAGGCACAGAAAGACAAACATCACATGTTCTTACTTATTTGTGGGAGCTAAAAATTAAAACAAGTGAACCCATGGAGGTAGAAAGTACAATGATGGTTACCAGACACTGAGAATGGTAGCGAGGAAGGAGCAGGAAATGGGGATGGTTAATGGGTATAAAAATATAGTTAGATACAATGAATAAGATCTAGTATTTGCTAGCACAACAGGGTGACTACAGTCAACAGTAATTTTTGTACTTTTTAGAATACCAGAGAGTACAATTAGAATGTTCATAACAAAAAGGAATGATCAATGCTTGAGGTGGATAACCCCATTACCTGGATGTGTTTATTACACATTGTATGCCTGTATCAAAATATCTCATATACTTTATAAATATACTCACCTAATATGTACCCACAACTATTAAAAATAAATTTAATTTAAAAATCCAACAGAAAAACATAATAATTTTGTCCATACAGCTCTTGCACAAATTTTGTTAGATTTTTGTCAACATACCTTACATTTTTATTCCTTTAAAAAGGTATCTTTTTGTAATATTAATTAATCTTTTCATTTTAAAATAATTATAGCTTTGCATGGCATTATAAGAAATAATACAAAGAAATTCATACATGCTTCATTCAGTTTCCCCAAGGGTAACATCTTACAGAATCATTGTGCAATATGACAACCAGGAAATTGACCTTGATAGTATTCCCCTATCATATTCAGATTTCACCAGTTTTACACACACTTGTACACATGTGTGTGTTTGTGTGTATTTAGATCTATGTAATTTTATGTGTGGCTTCATGTGACCACCACATTTGAGATACAAAACAATTTCATCACCATAAGAATTCCTTGGGCTGCCCTTTTGTATCCACATCAGCCTTGCTTCCTCCCCATCCCCCAACCCTCGCCTATGCCCTGGCAACCACTATCTGTTCTCCATCTCTATAATGTGGTCATGTCAATCTGAATGCAATCATACCTTATGCAACCTTTAGGGATTAGCTTTTTGACTCAGCATAATTCCCTTGAGATCCATCCAAGTTGTTGCATGTATCAATGGATTCTTTTTCTTATTGAATAGTGATCCGTGATATGGAAGTACATATGTTTACCCATTCACTCATTGAAGGGCATTTTAGTTGTTTCCAGTTGGAGCTATGATGAATAAAACTGCTATGGACATCCATGCACATGTTTTTGTGTAAACAGAAATTTTCATTTCTCTAGGGTAAATGCCCAAGAGTGTAATTGTTAGTTTGCATTGTAAGTGCATGCTTACTTTTATAAGAAACAGCCAAAAGATCTTCCAGAGTATGTCTGTGCCATTTAACATTGCATTTGTAAGATCAACCCAACTATCATGTTATATTATATTTATATATTACTGGTCATTTTTTGAATAACCCCATTGATTTTTTAAAATTTTACTCTTTATTTTGTTAAATATTTTACAAACATTTTATATTCTGTATCTAATAATGTGATTAATATAAGCTCATATTTCATTGATCTTAATCTGTAGAAATACTGGAGGCTGTAACTGAGGATTTTTTCACTCAGAGAGCATTTATATTTTGTGTCTGCAGCAAACCGGAGGTATTACCGCCTAAGACCCTTTCAGCTCCTTTGCAGTGTCACCTAGTTTAAGACTCAAATTCTGCTCCCCCAGATTGCATTTGTTTCACATCTTACTCTCCCAATTAAACATAGATATATTTAAGATAAAGGTAAGCAGAAATAAAGAGGAAGGAGTGTAGCAAAGGAGCACAGAAGTCCTGAGTGGCTTGGACCTGTGGCATAGCATTGACAAAAGAGGTAGACCCAGGTAAGTGCCCCCAAAATTCACACTGCTCCCTGCATTGGAAGAAGCAGAATAAGAAAACGAATAGTATAGGAATCAAAGGAAGTTTCCAAAGGCAAATTGGTACTGTCTTTCAAATTTGTCCCAGAAAAAGTCCTTTCTAGAAGCTTGCAGACATTTGCAAGTCTCCTTTCCAATGTTATTTACAGTATTAAAATAACAAGATGTTGTTTTGCTAAAATCTCAGCCAGTCTAAACTGAGTCATGTCAGTTAAACAGTGCCTTGGCTACTTTAAGCAATAAAGGTTATAGGTAATATTCCCCCAAGACCAGTGGAAACTAGAACATTCTCCACTTATGGAGTTTGTAACACAAATTTTCTATTGTCTTACAAAATCACAATATCATTATCACACCTAAGAAACATAACATAATGCATGCTTCATAGTAGTCTATAGTAAGGGCATTTTATAGTTGTAGAATAGTCTTCTACTGAGGATCATTTGGGTTATTTCCAGTCTGGCTTTTCATAAGTCATTATCAGAACTTTCATAATGAAATAACTCCTAAAAGAATATAGAAGTTTAATTTTGGCTTAGAGCTACACATTCAAGTCCTTCTGCAAGTAACCAGCTCTGGATTTTGGAAGAGGGATAAAGGAGGTATGTTTATTGAGAGTATTTCTTTAACTGTGGTAATATGTTTTGGTTCCTGAGGTGAAGTCAATGGAGATAGACAAAATGTGACATAAAACATGTTATTTACAAAGCGTAAGCAAACCCAGCCTCTGGTCACCCTAAAAGAAAATGTAATTTAGATTGCCTCCTGCTGATTTTTGAAAGAACAAATCTTGGAATTTTCTCAATTTCCTTACATTCTAACATTTATTGGCCTCCATTTCCATGAGTTCTTTTTCATCAAATGAAGCTTTTGGATATCTGAGTCAGTGTTAGGTCAAGTGGCAGATTTTCATATTTACCATTTGCTCAGTGAAATGGAACTTTTAAAAGACAGTCAATAAATCACTCTGTCACTTGAAAAGTGAACTAGAAAAAAGATAATGGGAGTGGTAAGACAAATTATAAAATGCCAAATATATTCAATGCAATTCATTCATAAAACAGAAGAGAACCGATTTCAATCTTTGAAGCATAATTCCAATATAACCTTTCTTTTCTTGCAGTCAAGGAGCTCAGAGAACCAGACTCAGCTCTGACATCTCTAAATATAGAAAAATCAGTTTAACTTAGG